>NC_000023.11:96212542-96837542 GCF_000001405.40 Homo sapiens
CTGGTCTCACCCTTGACACATGGGAATTATTACAATTCAAGGTGAGATTTGAGTGGGGACGCAATGCCAAATTATATCATTCTGCCCCCTGGTTCCTCCAAAATCTCATGTCCTCCTATATAAAAACACAATCATGCCCTTCCAACAGTCACCCAAAGTCTTAACCAATTCCAGCATTAACCCAGGAGTTCAAATCCAAAGTTTCATCTGAGACAAGGCAAGTCCCTTGTACCTATGAACCTGTAAAGCCAAAAGCAAATTAGTTACTTCCTGGATACAATGGAGGTACAGTCATTGGGTAAATACACCTATCTCAAATGGGAGAAATTGGCCAAAACAAGGGGGCTACAGGCCCCATACAAGTCTGAAATCCAATAGGGCAGTCATTAAACCTTAAAATTCCAAAATGATCTCCTTTGACTCCATGTCTCATATCCAGGTCATGCTGATACAAGAGATGGGCTCCCATGGCCTTGGGCAGCTCCACCCCTGTGGATTTTCAGGGTACAGGTCTGCTACTGGCTGCTTTCACAAGCAGGTGTTGAGTGGCTGTGGCTTTTCCAGGCACATGGTGCAAGCTGTAAGTGGATCTATCATTCTGAGGTCTGGAAGATGGTGGCCCTCTTCTTGCAGCTCCACTGGGCAGTGCCCCAGTAGGGACTCTGCATGGGGGCTCTGACCCCACATTTCCCTTCTGCACTGCCCTAGCAGAGGTTCTCCATGAGGGCTCTGCCCCTGCAGCAAATTTCTGTCTGGACATTCAGGCATTTCCATACATCCCCTGAAATCTAGGAGGATGTTCCCAAGCCTCAATTCATGACAGAAGTGCACCCACAGGCTGAACACTATGTGTAAGCCAACAAAGCTTGGAGCTTGCACCCTCTGAAGCAATGGCCCAAGCTGTAGCTTGGCCCCTTTTAGCCATGGCTATAGCTGAAGAAGCTGGCACGCAGGACACCATGTCCCAAGGCTGCACAGATCGGGGGTGGCGGGGCTGGGCCCAGCCCACAAAACCATTTTTCCCTCCTAGGCCTCCAAGCCTGTGACAGGAGGGGCTGCTGTAAAGGTCTCTGACATACCCTGGAGACATTTGCCCCATTGACTAGGTGATTAACATTCAGCTCCTCGTTACTTATGCAATGTTTGAAGTGGGCTTGAATTTCTCTCCAGAAAATGGGTTTTTCTTTTCTATCACATCCTCAGGCTGCAAATTTTCCAAACTATTATGCTCTGCTTTCTCTTGAATGCTTTGCCACTAAAAATTTGTTCTGTTAGATACCCTAGATCATCTCTGTCAAGTTCAAAGTTCCACAGATATCTAGGGCAGGGGCAAAATGCTACCAGTCTCTTTGCTAAAGCATATCAAGAGTCACATTTTCTCCATTTCCCAAGAAGTTCCTCATCTCCATCTGAGACCACCTCAGCCTGGACTTCATTGGCCATATCACTATCAGCATTTTAGCCAAAATAATTCAACAAATCTCTACTTTCCCACGTCTTCTCATCTTTTTCTGAGCCCTCCAAACTGTTCCAACCTCTGCCTGTTACCCAGGTCTAATGTCACTTTCACATTTTCAATGTGAAATCCTTACAGCAGTGCCCCACTTCCTCTGTACCAATTTACAGTATTAGTCCATTGTCACACTGCTATAAAGAAATACCTGGTGGCTGGCAAGATGGCCGAATAGGAAAAGCTCTCGTCTGCAGCTCCCAGCAAGGTCAACGCAGAAAGTGAGTGATTTCTGCATTTCCAACTGAGGTACCTGGCTCATCTCACTGGGACTGGTTAGACAGTGAGTGCAGCCCACAGAGGGCAAGATGAAGCAGGATGGGGTGTCGCCTCACCTGGGAAGAACAAGGGGTCAGAGAACTCCCTCCCCTAGCCAAGGGAAGCTGTGAGGGACTGTGCCATGAGGAACAGTGCACTCTGACCCAAATACTACACGTTTCCCATGGTCTCCACAACCTGCAGACCAGGAGATTCCCTAGGGTGCCTATGCCACTGGCATCTTGGGTTGCGAGCACAAAACTGGGCAGCTGTTTGGGAAGACACTGAGCTAGCTGCAGGAGTTTATTTGTATTTATTTATTTATTTATTTTGTACCCCAGTGGCATCTGGAACGCCAGTGAGACAGAACCGTTCACTCCCCTGGAAAGGGGGCTGAAGCCAGGGAGACAAGTGGCCTAGCTGAACGGATCCCACCGCCATGGAGCCCAGCAAGCTAAGATCCAGTGGCTTGAAATTGTTGCTGCCAGCACAGCAGTCTAAAGTCAACCTGGGATGCTCAAGCTTGGTGGGGGGAGGGGCATCTGCCATTACTGAGGCTTGAGTAGGCAGTTTTCCAATCACAGTGTAAACAAAGCTGTCAGGAAGTTTGAACTGGGCAGAGCTCACCGCAGCTCAGCAAAGCCAATGTAGCCAGACTGCCTCTCTAGCTTCCTCCCCTCTGGGCAGGGCATCTCAGAAAGAAAGGCAGTAGACCCAGTCAGGGGCTTATACATAAAACTCCCATCTCCCTGGGACAGAGCACCTGGGGGAGGGGGCAGCTGTGGGCACAGCCTCAGCAGACTTAAGTCTTCCTTCCTACTGGCTCTGAAGAGAGCAGCGGATCTCCCAGCACAGTGCTCAAGCTCTGCAAAGGGACCAACTGCCTCCGTAAGTGGGTCCCTGACCCCAGTGGCTACTGACTGGGAGACACCTCCCAGCAGGGGTTGACAGATACCTCACACAGGAGAGCTCCAGCTGGCATCTAGCAGTGCCCCTCTGGGACAAAGCTTCCAGAGGAAGGAACAGGCAGCAATCTTTGCTGTTCTGCAGCCTCCGCTGGTGATACCCAGGCAAACAGGATCTGGAGTGGACTTCCAAACTCCAGCAGACCTGTGGCAGAGGGGCCTGATTGTTAGAAGGAAAACTAACAAAGAGAAAGGAATAGCATCAACATCAACAAAAAGGACGTCCACACAAAAACCCCATCCAAAGGTCACCAACATCAAAGACCAAAGGTAGATAAATCCATGAAGATGAAGAAAAACCAGCGCAAAAAGACTGAAAATTCCAAAAACCAGAAGGCCTCTTCTCTTACTAAGGATCACAATTCCTCGCCAGCAAGGGAACGAAACTGGACAGAGATTGAGTTTGATAAATTGACAGAAGTAGGCTTCAGAAGGTGGGTAATAACAAACTCCTCTGAACTAAAGGAGCATGTTCTAGCCCAATGCAATGAAGCTAAGAACCTTGAAAAAAGGTTAGACAAATTGCTAACTAGAATAACCAGTTTAGAGAAGAACATAAATGAACTGATGGAACTGAAAAACACAGCACGAGAACTTTGTGAAGCATACACAAGTATCAATAGCCAAATTGATCAAGCGGAAGAAAGGATGTCAGAGATTGAAGATCAACTTAATGAAATAAAGCATGAAGACAAGATTAGAGAAAGAAGAATGAAAAGTAATGAACAAAGCCTCCAAGAAATATGAGACTATGTGAAAAGACCAAACCTATGTTTGGTTGGTGTACCTGAAATTGACGAGGAGAATGGAACCAATTCCAATATTTTCCAAGAGAACATCCCCAGCCTAGCAAAACATACCAACATTCAAATTCAGGAAATACAGAGAACATCACAAAGATACTGCTCGAAATGAGCAACTCAAAGACACGTAATCATCAAATTCACCAAGGGTGAAGTGAAGAAAAAAATGTTAAGGGCAGCCAGAGAGAAAAGTCCTGTTACCCACAAAAGGAAGCCCATCAGACTGGCAGCGGATCTCTCTGCAGAAATTCTACAAGCCAGAAGGGAGTGGGAGCCAATATTCAACATTCTTAAAAGAATTTTCAACCCAGAATTTCATATCCAGCCAAACTAAGCTTCATAAGCAAAGGAGAAATGAAATCCTTTACAGACAAGTAAATGCTGAAAGATTCTGTTACCACAAAGGACTGCCTTACAAGAGCTTCTGAATGAAGAACTAAACGTGGAAGGGAAAAACTGGTACATGCCACTGCAGGAGTATACCAAATTGTAATGACCATCCACACTCTGAAGAAACTGTATCAACTAGCAGGCAAAATAACCAGCTAATATCATAATGACACGATCAAATTCACACAAAACTACATTAACCTTAAATGTAAATGGGCTAAATACAACAATTAAAAGACACAGACTGGCAACTTGGATAAAGAGCCAAGACCCATCAGTGTGGTGTAGTCAGGAGACACATCTCATGTGCAAAGAAACACATGGGCTCAAAATAAAGGGTTGGAGGTATATTTATAAAGCAAATGGAAAGCAAAAAAACAAAAAAAAAAGCAGGGGTTGCAATCCTAGTCTCTGATAAAATAGACTTTAAACCAACAAAGATCAAAAAAAGACAAGGGCATTACATACTGGTAAAGGGATCAATGCAACAAGAAGAGCTAACTATCCTAAATATATATGTACCCAATACAGGAGCACCCAGATTCATAAAGCAAGTTTTTAGAGACTTACAAAGAGACTTAGACTCCCACACAATAATAGTGGGAGATTTTAACACCCCAGTGTCAATATTAGACATATCAACAAGACAGAAAATAAACAAGGATATTCAGGACTTGAAGTCAGCTCTAGACCAAGTGGACCTAATAGACATCTACAGAACTCTCCACCCCAAATCAACAGAATATAAATTCTTCTCAGCACCACATCGTGCCTATTCTGAAACGACCACATAATTGGAGGTAAAACACTCCTCAGCAAATGCAAAAGACTGGAAATCATAATAAACAGTCTCTCAGACCACAAGGCAATCAAATTAGAACTCAGGACTAAGAAACTCACTCGAAACTGCACAACTACATGGAAACTGAACAACCTACTCCTGAATGACTACTGGGTAAATAATGAAATTAAGGCAGAAATAAAAGTTCTTTGAAACCAATGAGAACAAAGACACAATGTACCAGAATCTCTGGGAAACAGCTAAAGCAGTGTTTAAAGGGAAATTTATAGCGCTAAATTCCCACAAAAGAAAGTGGGAAAGATCTAAAATCGACACCCTAACATCACAGTTAAAAGAACTAGAGAAGCAAGAGCAAACAAATTCAAAAGCTAGCAGAAGACAAGAAATAACTAAGATTAAAGCAGAACTAAAGGAGATAGAGACACAAAAAAACCTTCAAAAAATCAACGAATCCAGGAGGTTGTTCTTTGAAAAGATTAGCAAAATAGATAGACCACTAGCCAGACTAATAAAGAAGAAAACAGAGAAGAAACAAATAGACACAATAAAAAATGATAAAGGGGAGATCATCGCTGATCCCACAGAAATGCAAACCACCATCAGAGAATACTAGAAACACCTCTATGCAAATAAACTAGAAAATCTAGAAGAAATGGATAAAATCCTGGAAACATATACCCTCCCAAGACTAAACCAGGAAGAAGTCAAATCCCTGAATAGAGCAATAACAAGTTCTGAAATTGAGGCAGTAATTAATAGCCAAACAACCAAAAAAAAAAAAAAGCCCAGGACCAGATGGATTCACAGCCGAATTCTACCAGAGGTACAAAGAGGAGCTGATACTATCCCTTCTGAAACTATTCCAAACAATAGAAAAAGAGGGACTCCTCCCTAACTCATTTTATGAGGCCGGCATCATCCTGATACCAAAACCTGGCAGAGACACAAGAAAAGAAAATTTCAGGCCAATATCCCTGATGAACATCAATGCGAAAATCCTCAATAAAATACTGGCAAACCAAACCCAGCAGCACATCAAAACTTATTCCCATGATCAAGTCAGCTTCATCCCTGGGAGGCAAGTCTGGTTAAACATACGCAAATCAATAAATGTAATCCATCACATTAAGAGAACCAATAAAAAGAAACCACATGATTATATCAATAGATGCAGAAAAGGACTTCGATAAAATTCAACACTCCTTCATGCTAAAAATTCTCAATAAACTAGGCATTGATGGAAGGTATCTCAAAATAATAAGAGCTATTTAGGACAAACCCACAGCCAATATCATACTGAATGGGCAAATGCTGGAAGCATTCCCTTTGAAAACCAGCACAAGACAAGGATGCCCTCTCTAACCATTCCTATTCAACATAGTATCGGAAGTTCTGACCAGGGCAATCAGGCAAGAGAAAGATATAAAAGGTATTTAAATAGGAAGATAGGAAGTCAAATTGCCTGTTTGCAGATGACATGATTGTATATTTAGAAAACCCCATTGTCTCAGCCCAAAATCTCCTTAAGCTGATAAGCCACTTCAGCAAAGTCTCAGGACACAAAATCAATGTGCAAAAATCACAAGCATTCCTATACACCAATAATAGACAGAGAGCCAAATCATGAGTGAACTCCCATTCACAATTGCTACAAAGAGAATAAAATACCTAGGAATAAAACTTACAAAGGATGTGAAGGACCTCTTCAAGGAGAACTACAAACCACTGCTCAAGGAAATAAGAGAGGACACAAACAAATGGAAAAACATTCCATGCTCATGAATAGGAAGAATCAATATCGTGAAAATGGCCATTCTGCCATAAGTAATTTGCAGGTTCAATGCTATCCTCATCAGGCTACCATTGACTTTTTCACAAAATTAGAAAAATCTACTTTAAATATCATGTGAAACCAAAAAACAGCCCTTATAGCCAAGACAATCCTAAGCAAAAAGAACAAAGCTGGAGGCATCACGCTACCTGACTTCAAATTATACTATAGGGCTACAGTAACAAAAACAGCATGCTACCAGCACCAAAGCAGATATATAGACCAATGGAACAGAACAGAGGCCTCAGAAATAACGCCACACATCTACAACCATCTTATCTTTGAGAAACCTGACAAAAACAAGCAATGGGGAAAGGATTCCTTATTTAATAAATGGTGCTGGGAAAACTGGCTAGCCATATGCAGAAAACTGAAACTGGACCCCTTCCTTACACCTTATACAAAAATTAACTCAGGATGGATTAAAGACTTAAATGTAAGACCTAAAACCATAAAAACCCAAGAAGAAAACCTAGGCAATACCATTCAGTACATAGGCATGGGCAAGGACTTCATAAGTAAAACAACAAAAGCAATGGCAACAAAAGCCAAAACTGACAAATGGGATCTAGTTAAACTAAAGAGCTTCTGCAAAGCAAAAGAAACTATCATCAGAGTAACCAGGCAACCTACAGAATGGGAAAAATTTTTTGCAATCTATCCATCTGACAAAGGGCTGATATCCAGAATTGGCAAAGAACTTAAACAAATTTACAAGAAAAAACAACCCCATCAAAAAGTGGGCAAAGAATATGAACAGACACTAGTCAAAAGAAGACATTTATGCGGCCAACAAACATGGGGAAAAAAAGCTCATCATCACTGGTCATTACAGAAATTCAAATCAAAACCACAATGAGATACCATCTCACACCAGTTAGAATGGAGATCATTAAAAAGTCAGGAAACAACAGATGCTGGAGAGGATTTGGAGAAATAGGAATGCTTTTACACTGTTGGTGGGAGTGTAAGTTAGTTCAACCATTGTGGAAGACAGTGTGGCAATTCACAAGGATCTAGAAACTGAAATACCCTTTCACCCAGCAATCCCATTACTGGATATAGACCCAAAGGATTAGAAATCATTCTACTGTAAAGACACATGCACACGTATGTTTATTGCAGCACTGTTCACAATAGCAAAGACTTGGAACCAACCCAAATGCCCATCAATAATAGACTGGATTAAGAAAATGTGGCACATATACACCATGGGATACTATGCAGCCATAAAAAGGATGAGTTCATGTCCTTTGCAGGGACATGGATGAAGCTGGAAACCATCATTCTCAGCAAACTAACACAGGAACAGAAAACCAAACACCACATGGTCTTGCTCATAAGTGGGAGTTGAACAATGAGAACACATGGACACAGGCCAGGGAACATCACACACCAGGGCCTGTCTGGGGGTGGGGTACTAGGGGAGGGATAGCATTAGGAGAAATACCTAATGTAGATGATGGGTGGATGGCTCCAGAAAACCACCATGGCACGTGTATACCTATGTAGCAAAACTGCACGTTAGGTTACTATCCTAGAACTTAAAGTATAATAATAATAAAAAAGGAAATACCTGAGACTGGATAATTTATAAAGGTAAGAGGCTTAATTGACTCACAGTTCTGCATGGCTGGAGAGCCCTCAGGAAACTTGCAATCATGGCAGAAGGGAATACAGGGACCTTCTTTACAAGGTGGCAGGAGAGAGAAGTGAGCAAAGAGGGAAGAGTCCCTATAAATCCATCAGATCTCATGAGAACTCACTCACTATCACAAGAACAGCATGGGGGAAACCGCCCCCATGATCCAATCACTTCCCTCCCTCAACAAGTGGGGATTATAATTTGAGATGAGATTTGGGTGGGGACACAGAGCCAAACCATATTAGGGAATAAACTCTCCTCATTAATGTTTCAAAATATTATCTTTATTCCCTAATCTACCTAGTAAATATTTGTACCTCCATGAAGGAAATTTACTTCTCATCTGGCTGATCCTGCCTATGCACAAACACACACATATAATCTGTACCCAAAGCAGGTAGAAACTGGATCTCTGTCCTGAATTTCTTCCTACAGAATGTCAATTTTTCCTGAATATTTCCCCTTTCATCTCAATACTGGTTCTCCTTCTACCCTCACTCTGGAGATTTTGGCTCATTGTCCAATCAGAGCAATCTCTGAACTAGAGTCAACCTTTGATAGAACTCACCTAAAAAGGGCAAGAGTGAGCAACTTAACTTGGACACTGTAGCTTGTGTAGACTGGTTCCCCAACCTGAATCCTCTGTCATATTTTATTCTTCCTCAGTAGTTTTATCTAGTCTTCCAGCCCTGGCAGTTTGTTGCAAAAAGGAAAATTGTTGCTGAATGAGGCTTGACTCTTGGAAGATAAGTGGTTATTCCTTAGTTTCTGCATTACCAGCTCTGGGTTTTCTTCAATGGTAAGATCATCCCAGGAATGCGAGAATGCAAAAAGCAGTGTGCTTGCATCTCCTTAATCTTTTAGGAACTGTATTAGAAATATTTCTCTTCTATCCTTGCCTTGCTATGTGGCTCATTAGGCCTTTCTGCAGATGCCTCAGGTGATTGTTCATAGACATGTAATTTTTTAGGTCTAAAGGAGTCCCACTGTTTTGGAAGCTGGAGCTTGTCCCACTGGGATAATCCTTCCTTCCCTATTCAGGAAGAAGTTCAGTTCTCTTAAATATTAAATCCAAATCTGACCTCAACAGCAAGCTCCAACAAGTCTTCATTAGACCCTCTCTTCCACCCTTTGGCTGATTGTCCTGCACCAATATAAGAAGTTTCATGTATTCTATAATAAATTTTAAATCCCATTGCCCTCATAGCCGACCAGCACTACTTTTGAAACCATCAATATCTTCTTCTTGGAGTCTACCAATCTCTCTATCACTACTTTCATGGGTACGAGGTAATATATTCCTATGCTCCTGGATCATGAATATATTCCTATGCTCCTGGATCATGAAGGACCATAAAATAGTCTAAGGTTGTCTCCGACCCATTTGCCTAAACATAGCACACATTTACTTTTATTTTCCCACTCCAATGCCATGATAGGATGGGATGGGAACATGGAATTTCAGATCTCATCCAGGCCCAGTAGCTCATGCCCATGATCCCAGCATTTTGGGAGGCCGAGGCAAGTGGATCACTTGAGGCCAGGAGTTTGAGACCAGCTTGGCCAACATGGTGAAATCCAGTCTCTACTAAAATTATAAAAATTAGCCAAGCATAGTGGCACGCGCCTATAATCCCACCTACTTGGGAGGCTGAGGCACAAGAATCATTTAAACCCAGGAGGCAGAGATTGCAGTGAACCAAGATCATGCCACTGCACTCCAGCCTGGTCAATAGAGCGAGACTCTGTCTCAAATAAATACATAAATACATAAACACATAAAGAACTTAATGTTCCATGCTCAGTAAACATGCTCAATGATTACTGAGCATTAGTCAGTAAACAAGGGCAAAATATGTCCTGCCTTATGTGTATGAATAACAAAATATTGTTATTCATTTCTAAAGTTGATTAGCCTACAGTATCATTGGCAACATACGGATTTAGCTGTTTTATAGTATTAGTAAAGTGTTACTTAGTTCTAATTACTCCAGATTTTTCCACAGTTCTTCTTTGTAACCAGTTTGCATACAGTCATCCAGGGCTAGGGCCAATGAAGGTTATCTTTGAATGAAGCAATATTCAATTGTCTACATAGGAATCAAACCAAACACTGTGGCCTAGCTAGTAAATGAACCACTAGATTTATACAGAAATATTATTTATCTATCTACCTGTTTAAAAATATGAATATATATATATATATGAAGTAATTTCCTATGCACAGAACCTATTAAAAAAGACTTAAAAATTGAGGAAAGAAGATAACTATATGAGAGAACTAGGCTGAGGACAATTACTATAATTTATCACTACATTAAGCTGCAAGCTTCCTGATAGTCAAAGCAAAATTGGAAATACGATTATGTTAGTGTTTGTTATTTGATTAAAAATACCAATTCATCTGGATATAGAGTATTTTTGCTTTTGTCTGAAACTAAACTTCTTGAAGGATTTGTCATGAAGCTCTTTATATAAGAAACATTGAACCAAAGGGATAATGTTCTTGGGGAAAAATTTCTCCACTGGCTACTTTTAAATATATCCTCAATGAAAACTGGCATATTATTAATTTATACTTTTGTGAAGGCTTGTCTACCAAGACATATATTAATAAAGACCAAATAAGTGGTGAACTAACTTGATTCAGAATTTTAAGTCCATGCTAACCAGCCATTTCTCTACCTTTACTTTTTCTCTCAAATATCAAGTCTCTCCACCTACATTATGTTTTAAATCACTGTTAACATGAGAAGGTACAGTACTGTTACCAGTTTACTTATCTTCCACTGAACCCACACAATTAGTACATATATTATCTCATTTATCTCTAAAATGCAATCTACAGATAAGGAGTTACCTTCTTGCTTCACAGATGCATTATTTGCAGTGTAAAATGAAGTGACACACCTAGAAGCCACATAGTTGATTGATATACAGCTAAGATTAGAATACAGGGTCTCTTAACTTTCAACCAGATATTTATTTCATTATATTTCTACACAGATAAAATGTAAAACAGACAAATCTCCACATAACTTGGGAATAAAACATTCCCAATAAGATCACAGGCACAATATATCTACCAAGAACTATTAGCAATAAATTTTCACTATTGCCTAAGGTTAAATGGCATTAAACCCTACTAATAAAAGGTTACTAGGAAAAATGAGATGTTTAATTTCCTTAATTTTTAAGCCAGGAAATGACACAATCTTTCAAGATCTTAATATGCAAAATATGCTTATAAGTAATTCTGCTAAGTTTCTCAAAATGAACAAATACTCTGAAAGAAAAGTGTTCAGAAAAGACAGAAAGAACCCAAGTATCCTGACTTAATAGCTTACTGTATCATGCTTGGGTCTCTTCTGCTTTTTAAGTCATTATTTAAGGAACACATCTGAAAAGTGTCTACTTACTGAATAAAATTCTGTGCTACACCTCCATCCCCATCAAAGATTTATTCTCACATTTTAAGAACAAATGCTCATTTTTCAAACATAGCATGGAAAACAAAAAGGAGGAAAATAAACTTTTCATACACTGGATATGGGAGAGGAGGCACACTGTCTTATCTGAGCTTAACAGACTCTAGAGCTTGAAGATGGGTGGCTTACAGAGCTGCTGCTGCTGCTGCCCTTTCTGTCTGCTGCCACTCTTTCAAACACAGCTGCAGTTCCATCCCTCAGTGCCTGCCTAGGGAATCACTTGCCCTTTCAGGCTAATGACATGCATTTTTGTAGCTCTTATAAGTCAGAGGAAATTCAAAAAAAATGCAGATGGTAAGTATTCTCTCTGCCGGAACAAAGCTTTTTCTGCTGCGTCCTGCTATGGCAGCTGAAGGAAAAGGAAGTAGAATCTGAAAGTGTTGATCCAGAGTAAGTGCCAGGCACTTGAGTAAGGTACAGTCACCTCGATATTTTGGATTAATCCTCAGAGCAAATCTGAAAAGTAAATATTACTACTTCTAGTTTACAGATGAGGATATTAGGGCTCACAAATGTTAACTAATGTCAAACTGGTAAATGCATTGGTAGAATTCAAGTCTGTCTGATGCCGCCCAAGTTTTCTTAGGATTACAGCCATCATTGTGTGTTAAGAGACTTCTCAATTCTCTAGGACTAATCCATAATAAATAGGGTAAAAGAAACCATTCGGAGAACCCACATGTCACATAGGGTTTGGCCTCTAACTTGCCTTGAGCAGAGTAAAGGACAAAAGAAATGGCAACGGAAGCATTGCAATGGTTATAGCAAACCTTCAAAAGGGAGTAAGTAGAAGAGAAAGAAGAGATTATTACATTTGAGGATGGATTTGGGTTGTTTTAGGGCCTAAAACTTACTAATATAAACTGGAGGGGACAGCGCTTTTAGGAAAATAAAACAAAATTACAAATATAAAATTAAGTACAATGTCTTTTCAAGTAAGAAACCCGATGATTAAGCTTCTCTCACTTCAAAATAAATTTGTCTCTGCTTATAGTATTAAATAAAGATAAATTTTGGAGCAAAGGGAATTATGAAGATGTGGATGGCGTTAAGAAATATGAGGTTACATGTTTCTGGGGTAAAAGAAAAATGATAGCTCTGCTTCTAATTTTTCACCTTTTATTAGCACACACACAAAAAAAACTAAAGAGTTATTAGCAAGAAATTAAGCCCTGCCAAGTAAAAGGGGTGGGCACAAATGGCCAGAATATCTCTTTCCTTTTGTTCTAGTCACTATTTTTTGGAAGTAGAGATATTTTCACATGAATCCCACCACCTGATCACTACCCATTATATAAGAGGACTGTGAAAATATGGACTTAGAACTTAATACAAGATGACAACAGGAAAAATAAAATGGTGTGTATAAGAATAAAAAATAGGGTAGGGTGAATAGAGACAATAGATTAGGGCAACTATTAGTACACTTGGGGGAAGAGCAGTATTTACATGAAGATGTCAATGTTATGTTTATTTGCAGTGGCATTAACCATTCTACGTTCTACATTCTACAGATCAATCTATTTAAAAGTCATCTCTAGATTGAAGGGTTGCTGTCACAGTAATTGAGTAGCTGACCTAAGTCCATAAAAATAACTGCAAACACCATTTCTGTTGGTTTTCATTCTAGTGCTTTAGTCACATAAATGAAGCTACTATGTGGACGACGTTCAGAGGGGCCTCCAGACAAAAAAAAAAGATATATTTGAGAGTATTGTGATAAAACAGTGTATCCAAGGTTTGACTATGGCCTCGAGACCAATTTTTCCACAAACATAACAGAACTGAGACAGCCAAATGAGCATTGTTGCAAAAAGTGGTCACACACTTATTTTAATGATAATGCTACTGCACAAACGTTTCTAAAATTACTCAGTGAGATTAGCTGCAGAGCCTAAGAAACACTGCCTGAGTTTCCTCACTTATGGCAAATCTTGATCCTCTGAGGGAGGATTTGACTTTTTAAAACAGCTAAAAGTCATTCAGAGTCAGATCTTATGAACACAGTGAGCATCAAATTGCTAACACATTTGGATCAAAAACGAAATGTAACTGTAAGTAATGAAACTGATCATCTGATGCAGTTCAGGATGTGGTTTCAAATGCAATTCCACAAAAGGTGTATTAGTTTGTTTTCATGCTGCTGATAAAGACATGCCTGAGACTGGGAAGAAAGAGAGGTTTAATTGGACTTCAGTTCCACACAGCTGGGGAGGCCTCAGAATCATGGCAGGAGGGGAAAGGCACTTCTTACATGGTGGTAGCAAGAGAAAAAATTAAGAAGAAGCAAAGTGGAAACCCCTGATAAACCCATCAGATCTCATGAGACTTAATTCACTATCACGAGAATAGCACGGAGAAGACCAGCCCCCATGATTCAATTACCTCCCCCGGGTCCCTCCCACAACACGTGGGAATTCTGGGAGATATAACTCAAGTTGAGATTTGGTGGGGACACAGCCAAACCATATCATTCCACCCCGACCCCTCCAAATCTCATGTCCTCACATTTCAAAACCAATCATGCCTTCCCAACAGTCCCCCAAAGTCTTAACTCATTTCAGCATTAACCCAAAAGTTCACAGTCCAAAGTCTCATCTGAGACAAGGCAAGTCCCTTCTTCCTATGAGCCTGTAAAATAAAAAGCAAGCTAGATACTTCCTAGATACAATGGGGGTACAGATATTGGGTAAATACAACCATTTCAAATGGGAGAAATTGGCCAAAACAAAGGGGTTACAGGGCCCATGCAATTCCAAAATCCAGCAGGGCAGTCAAATTTTAAAGCTTCAAAATGATCTCCTTTGACTCCAGGTCTTACATCCAGGTCATGCTGATGTAAGAGGTGGGTTCTCATGGTCTTGGGCAGCTCTGCCCCTGTGGCTTTGCAGGATACAGCCTCTCTCCCAGCAGCTTTCATGGGCTGGCGTTGAGTGTCTGCAACTTTTCCAGGTGCACAGCGCAAGCTGCCAGTGCATCTACCATTCTGGGTTCTAGAAGACGGTGGCCCTCTTCTCACAGCTCCACTAGGTGGTGCCTCAGTAGGGACTCTGTGTGGGGGCGCCAACCCCACATTTCCCTTCCACACTGCCCTAGCAGAGGTTCTCCATGAGGGCCCTGCCCTGCAGAAAACTTTTGCCTGGGCATCCAGGTGTTTCCATACATCTTCTGAAATCAAGGCGGAGGTTCCCAAACCTCAGTTCTTGACTTCTGTGCACGCGCAGGCTCAACACCACGTGGAAGCTGCCAAGGCTTGGGGCTTCCAACCTCTGAAGCCACAGCTCAAGTTCTACATTGGCCCCTTTCATCCATGGCTGGAGCAGCTGGGACACAGGGCACCAAGTCCCCAGGTTGCACACAGCATGGGGACTCTGGGCCTGGCCCACAAAACCACTTTTTTTCCCTGGGCCTCTGGGCCTGTGATGGGAGGGGCTGCCATGAAGGTCTCTGACATGGCCTGTGGACATTTTCCCCATGGCCTTGCGGATTAAAATTAGGCTCCTTGCTACTTATGCAAATTTATGCAGCCAGCTTGAATTTCTCCTCAAAAACTGGGTTTTTCTTTTCTACTGCATTGTCAGACTGCACATTTTCTGAACTTTTATGCTCTGTTTCCCTTTTGAAATGGAATGCTTTTAACAGCACACGAGTCACATTTTGAATGCTTTGCTGCTTAGAAATTCCTTCTGCCAGATACCCTAAATCATCTCTCTCAAGTTCAAAGTTCCACAAATCTCTAGGACAGGGGCAAAATGTCACCAATCTCTTTGCTAAAACATCTTCTCAGCAATGCCCCACTCCCGGTACCAGTTTACTGTATTAGTTTGTTTTCACACTGCTGATAAACACACACCAAAGACTGGGAAGAAAAAGAGGTTTAATTGGACTTACAGTTCCGCATGGGCTGGGGAGGCCTCAGAATCATGGCAGGAGGGGAAAGGCACTTCTTACATGATGGTGGCATGAGAAAAAAATTAGGAAGAAGCAAAAGTGGAAAACCCTGATAAACCCATAAGATCTCATGAGATTTAATTCACTATCATGAGAATAGCATGGAAAAGACTGGCCCTCATGTTTTCATTACCTACCCCTGGGTCCCTCCCACAACACGTGGTAATTCTGGGAAATACAATTCAAGTTGAGATTTGGGTGGGGACACAGCCAAACCATATCAAAAGGTGTTTACAGAAAACATCTTACCTATTGGGCTCCCATTCTCACTGGACTGTTGTTTCTAATTCTCCCTCGTAGCAACTAACCATCTGAGACTATTGGTTGTGTAAATTAATGACCAATACTTAGCATGATCTAGCTGATTAAGGCCTGGTTGATTCATACAAAGGGAAAAACATCACTTGCACATGCACAGACTTCACCCTAACAGGACTTCATAAATGTGTGCTGTATATCACAAGACAGAATGAGTATAACTCAGTGAAAACTCACCTTCAGGATGAAAGTGAGATTTGGGAGGAAGAAGAGAAAGAAAAGTGATAAAGTCATTCAGTGTAGTAATTTTCTAGGAATTATACTGGGCATTATGCTAGGAACTGTGCTAGATATGCACTAGGCACTTCAAATACCTTTTTATCATTTAATATTATCCTTGTTACATAGCATAAGTAATTTAATATGCTGCTGAAGAATTAAAATAAACCTAAGGATATGTATCGTTAGTCCCATTTTTAATAGACACAGAGTTATTAAGCAACTTGTTCAAGGTCTCATAGAAAGTAAATGGGAAAACTTGTAAAGAAATCCAGGTCTGGCTAAGCTCAAGGCAATGTTCCTTGCAGGATACTATGGGGCACATGTCCTCTTACTATAAGCATTTATAAAGTTAGCTACCTTATTTATTTATTCAATAAATATCTATTTAGCACCTATTATATTCTGGCACACTTCTAGATGCTAAAAATAAGCAAGAAAGAGGACAAAGCTCTATCCCTCATGAAGCTTACATTCTAGTGGGAAGAGGGAGACAATAATGAGATAAACAGGCAAATAAAATAGTATGTTAGGAGGGGTGGAGCAACATGGCTGAAAAGAAGGCACTACTGATTATCTCTCCATTAAGGACACCAATTTAGCAATGACCTACAAAAAAACATCTTCATAAGAATCAAAAATCAGGTAAGCACTCCAAATACCTGGTTTTAAATTGATATCATTGAAAGAGGCACTGAAGAGGGCAGGACAGACAGTCTAGAGTTGCCGAAGCCACCCTGCTCTCATCTCCTGGCAGTGGCTATGTGGTGCAGAGAGAGAATCTGTGTGCTTGGGAGAGGAAGAACACAGCAATTGTTAGATATTGCATTGAACTCAGTGCTGCCCTGTCACAGCAGAAAGTAAAACCTGGCTGAACTAAGCTGATTCCTGCCCATGAGGGAGTATTAAAACCAGCCCTAGCCACAGGAAAATTGTTCATCTTAGTGGTTAGAACTTGAGTTCTAGCAAGCTTCACCACTACGGGCTAAAGTGCTCTGGAGCTCTAAACTTGAAAGGCACTCTAGGCCACAAGCACTCCTAAGTGATTCCTCGTACTGAATGAGGCTCAGAGCCCATGGTCTTCGGGGGCATGACACCTACTGAAACAACAGTGAGGGCAACTAAGGGAGTGCTTGTACCATCCTTCACCCAACCCCAGGCTGCACAGCTCATGGCTCCAAAAGACAACCCTCCCTTCTGCCTGAAGAGAGGACAGAGAAAAGTAAAAAGGACTTTGTCTTGCATTTTGGATACCAGCATAGCTACAATAGGATAGAGAGCCGTGAGGCCCCCTTTCCAGGACCTTGCTCCCAGATGACATTTCTGGGCACACTCTGGGCCAGAAGGGAACCTGTTGCCTTGAAGGAAAGGACCCAATCCTGGCAAGACCCAACACTTGGTGACTTAAGAGCCCTTGGGCCCTCAGTAACCAGCAGTAATATCTAGGTAGTATGCCATAGGCCTTATGTGAGACTGTGAGATTTGCTGGCTTCAGGTGAGACTCAGCACATTACCAGCTGGGCTAGCTACAAGGGCAGACTCCTTCTGCTTGAGAAAAGTAGAGAGAAAACTTGAGAGGACTTTGTCTTGAATCTTATATAACAGCTAAGCCACAGTGGGATAGAGCACCAAGGAGGCTTCTGGGGTCCCTGATTCCAGGCCTTGGCTCTTGGATGGCATTTTGGCACCTGCCCTGGGACAGAAAGTCTTAAAACATTACAAAAAACTGAAATAATATCAAGCATTATCTCTGACCATAATTGAATAAAACTAGAATTAATAACAAGAAGAATTTTGGAAACTATACAAATACATGGATATTAAACAATATGCTCCTGAATGACCAGCTGGACTGTTGTTAACACAGAGGATAAATGCTTGAGATAATGAGAAAGAAAGAGGTGACAGATACTCCATTTACCTTGATGTGATTATTCTGCATTGCATGCCTATATCAAAATATCTCATGTATGCATAAATATATACCCCTACTATGTACCCCCAAAATAAAATAAAGTGAAATAAAAAGTACTATTGTTAGATAGAGATAAGTAGTATGATGAAAAATAAAAGGAGGGAGAAAGGGAAGATGTGTGTTGGGGGGATGTTTCAATATTATATTGACTGAGAAGTTGACACTGAGTAAATCTCTGAAGGATGTGAGAAATATAGAATATTGATCATAAAGGATCATATTCAGGAGATATATATATAGAGAGAGAGAGAGGAGAGAGAGCTGGGATTACAAGCACCTGTCATAATTCCCAGCTAATTTTTGTATTTTTGTAGAGACAGGGTTTCACCTTGTTGGACAGGCTTGTCTCAAACTCCTGACCTCAGGTGATCCATCTGCTTTGGCTTCTCAAAGTGCTGGGATTACAGGCATGAGCCACTGTGCCTGGCCAATATTTTAAAAGACAGTAGATACCACAAGATTTGCTTGTGCATTGGATATGAGATGAGAGAAAGAGAGGAATTACATGATTCTACATTTTGTTTGTTCTTCAAAATAGTAGATTTATCACAGAACAATAGTACCATAATACATTCTATGAAAAAATATTCTGTGGTCAAATAAGTTTTGTAAATTGCACATTCTATATGGTACATCATGCTTTTGCATATTAACTACACACATGAGCATATTATAGGTTCCTGGAAGACTTGATTTAAAAATAAGTGAACAGATGAATGAATGAATAAATGATGATGGTTAATTTTATGTGTCAACTTGATTCCATTAAGAGATGCCTAGGCAGCTGACAAAATATTATTTCTTGGTGTGTCTCTGAGGGTATTTCTAGAGAAGATTAGCATTTGAACCAATATACTGAGTAAAGAAGATCCACCCTAACAAATGTGGATGAACATCATCCAGTCCATCAAGGGCCTGGAAATGGAAGCAGCCTCCCCACTCACAATGGTTATCAGTCTTTTCACCTCCTTCTGAGAGGATTAACCATGCATTGGCTGAGGAGATGGTAATGGCCTTTACCTACCCTGAAGCAGTTGCCATGGAAGACAATGCCAATTCTTCTCAGGACCCACTGCCACCACTACTCTTTGCTTTTAGACTTATAACTAAAGTCACAGCAGGCCCCTAACGTTGAGGTACAAAGTGTGACTCATGAGATGGTGTACTACACCCCAAAACAATTACTTGACTTTCCCAATTAATAGAAACAAAAATCTGAGAACATGTGTGGAAATAAATATTAATGGCAAGAGATAATGGTGGAAACAACACAAAGTTGGATCCAGCTAAATTTCTTGATATGGGCCCACTAAGCAGAGATGTTGCATTTAACGTTACAGTGGCTTGGGGATTTGGAAAGGGCTCTAACAATTTGGTTGATTGGCTGAAACATGGATCAAAAGATAGCTCACCATGAGCAAATTGTAAATGAATAATCTCCCATTAACATAGAGGAAGGAAATCAAAAGCTTAAGGAGATTGGAATGTAAGAGCAAATTTGTCATTTAAGACATACCTACCCACCCTGGGTGGGTCCATAGGACAAATCTTTCACCAATACTTTGAGAAATAAATTTGTGAGGGGAGCCTCAGCATCCTTGAAGAGCTCAGCAATTGCTCTTGTCCATAGGCCAGACTTTATAGTGGGAATGGAAACTGCAGCCACTCAAATGAAAAACCTAAATGCAATGGAAGGAATTGGATCCCAGGATGCTAGAGGTCAAGCTGTGTCATTCAACTACAAAAGGCAGCCCAAGAAGCAGTTTTCTTCCAGCAAGGCAAACAAACACACCTTCACTGTTCTACCTCAGGGGTATATCAACTTCCCAGCCCTATGTCATTATTTAGTTTGTAGAGATATTGATTGCTTTTCCTTTTCACAAGATATACTGGTCCATTACCCTGATGACATTACAATGATTGGGCCTAAAAGGAAAAAAGTAGCACATACTCCAGATTCACTGGTAAGAGATTCATATGTCAGACAGTGGGAAATAAATCTGACAAAAATTCAGAGGCCTTCTACTCAGTAAAATTTCTAGGGTCCAGTGGTGTGGGGTATGTCAAGATATCCCATTTAAGGTGAAAGATAAGTTGATGCATCTGTCTCTCCTACAACCAGGAAAGAGGCTCAATGCCTAGTGGGCCTGTTTGGATTTGGGAGGCAACATATTTATCGTTTTGGTGTGTTACTCTGGTCCATTTACAGGGTGACCTGAAAAGCTGCTAGTGGATGTTGAGCGGATCCCAGAACAAAAGAAAGCTCTGCAACAGATCCAGGATGCTATGCAAGCCATTCTGTCACTTCATTCATATGATCCAATAGATCCAATGGTTCTTGAAGAGGCAATGGCAGACAGGGATGCTTTTTGGAGCCTTTGGCAGGCCCCCATAGGTGAGTTGCAGTGCAGGTCTTCAGGATTTTGGAGCAAAGCTCTGCCATCTTCTGCAGATAAATCACTCTCCTTTTGCAAGACAGTTCTTGGCCTGCTACTGGGCCTTAGTAGAACCTGAACATTTGACCATGGGCAGCCAGGTTTTCAGGCAACCTGTGCTGCCCATCGTGAACTGGGTGTTATCTGACTTACCAAGTCATAAAGTTGGGCATGCACAGCAACAATTCATTATCAAATGGAAGTGGTATGTACCTGATTGGTCCCAAAAAGGCCCTGAAGGCAAAAGTAAGTTAAATAAAGAAGTGGCCCAAATGCCCATGGTCCTCACTCCTGCTACACTGCCTTCTCTCAGACTGCACCTATGGCCCATGGATCAATTAACAGAGGAAGAGAAGACTGGGGTCTGGTTTACAGATGGTTCTGCACAGTATGAAGGCACCACATGAAAGTGGACAGACCTATCTGTAGCTAAGGTTTGGTGGATGGTAAGGAACTTGAAAGGAACATGATTGGAAAACCGGTGACAAAGAAATTTGGGAAGAAGAAAATTGATAGACCCCTCTGAATGAGCAAAAAAAAATGTGAAGAGATTTGTGTCGCAAGTGAAGGCATATTGAAAGGCTGATCTCAGAAAAGGAGAATTTTAATGATCAAGTGGATAGTCTGACCTGTTCTGTGCATACTAGTCATCTTGTTTCCCCAGCCACTCCTGTCATTGCTCAATAAGCTCATGAACAAAGTAGCCATGGTGGCAAGGATGGAAGTTGTGTATAGGCTCAGAAGCATGGCCTTGCACTCACCAAGGCCAACCTGGCTATAGCCACAGCTGAGTGCTCAATCTGCTAGCAGTGGTAACCAGTATTGACCCCCAATATTGCACCATTCCCCAAGGTGAGCAGCCAGCTAGCTCATGGCAGGTTGATTATACTGAATTTTTTTCCATCATGGAAGGGGCAGCATTTGTCCTTACTGGAACAGACACTTAACCGGATACAGGTTTGCTTTCCCTACACACAATGCTTCTGCCAAAACTACCATCCATGCAATTATAAAATGCCTTATCCACTGTCACAGCATTTCACACAATATTGCTTCTGATGAAGAAACTCACTTCACAGCCAAAGAAGTGCAGCAACGGACCCATGCTCATTGAATTCACTGGTCTTACCATGTTCCCCACTGTCCTGGAGCAGCTGGCTTAGTAAAATGGTGGAATGGCCTTTGGAAAACACTAGCTAGATGGCAATACCTTGCAAGACTGGGGCAAGTTTTGCAGACAGCTTTATATGCTCTGAATCAATTGTCCTATATATGGTACTGTTTCTCTCATAGCCAGGATTCACAGGTTCAGTAATCAAAAGGTGGAAACAAGAGTGTCACCACTCACTCCTATCCCCACTAGCAAATTTTCTGCTTCTTGTTCCCATGACTTATGCTCTGCTGGCCTACAGGTCTTAGTTCCACTGGGAAGAATGCTTCCACTAAGAGATACAACAATAATTCCATTGAACTGGAAGTTAAGACTGCCACCTGGCCACTTTGTACTCCTCATGCATGAGTCAACAGGCCAAGAAGGGAGTTATGTTGTTGTCTGGGGTGATCAATCTGGCTTACAAAGGGGTAATGGCTTACAACTCGACAATGGAGGTAAGGGAGAATATGTCTGGAATACAGGAGATCCCCTAGGGTGTCTCTATTATCATGTCTTCTGATTAAGGTCACCTCAAAACTATGACAACTCAATTCCAGGCAGCAAACAGCTCAGACTTTTCAGGACTGAAGGGTTTTTACCATGGGTAAAGAATTAGGACCAACCAAGCTTCTTGCTGAAGGCAAAGAAAACATAGACTGAGTAGTAGAAGAAGGTAGTTATAAATACCAGCTACAATCACTTGACCAGTTAGAGAAATGAGAATGCCATGAGTGTTTCCACTTTATTGTATTATTAATATGTTTGTGTGTATATATACATGTATTAAGCAAATATCTTTGTTTTATTTCCTCTTGTATTCCCTTATCATGTAACATAAGATGCATTGACTTCATATCAGTATTTAAGTGTTGCTAATTTTCCATCATAGTATTTGAGTTACGGGATATCAGAAGAGCGAACATCACTTAGAGACTTCACTGTGTCTTCTAGGGAGGGAACTCATATATTTTCAGTTATATGCAGGATAGTTGTATCCTGTTAGGTGGAAATATAAATTGTTACTGTCTTCATGTGGAGATTAATTATGGTTTAACAAGATACAGATGGGTGCCAGGTTAACAAGGGGTAGACTTGTGATGGATAATTTACATGTCAACTTGGATGTGTTAAGGAATGCCCAGACAGCTGGTCAAACATTATTTCTGGGTGCATTACTGACAGTGTTTCAGGAAGAGATTAGCATGTGAGTCAGCAGACTCAGTAAAGAAGATTCACCCTCACCAATGTGAGCAGGTATCATTCAATCTGTTGAAGGCCCAATTAGAACAAAAAGATGGAGGAAGGGCAGATTCTCAATCACTTTCCTTCAGCTGAAGCATGTATCTTCTACTGCCCTCAGACATCAGAGCCTTCTGGATTCTCCAGCCTTTGGACTCTGGGACTTACACCAGTGGCCCCCCAGGATCTCAGGCCTTTAGCCTCAGACTAGGACTTATACCATCAGCGCCCATGTTTCTCAATTACATCACTGACATTCCTGGTTCTCTGGCTGGCAGATGGCATATCATCTCAGTCCCCGTAATCACACAAGCCAATTCCCATATTAAATCTTCTCTTATATGTGTATGTATGTGTGCATGTGTGTGTGTGTCTATATTTATGTATGTGTATGTGTCTATATATATATATATACATATATATATGTAAAAATTCTATTGATTCTGTTTCTCTGGAGAACCCTAACTAATAAACAGTTTTCTCAATTATTTTGACCACACAACCCATTTTTTCTGGCATACAGGGGTTGGGGAGGCACTTATTAACATTTCTTGGAACCACTGTCCTGACAAAAAGCACATGGGAAAATACAGCACTACAAAAAAATTATTAATGATCTTTAGATGAAATTTTTCCAGATACCACTCTGAGTGGAAGAATGCCTCTCCAGCGGCAAAATATACAGTCTAAGGTTTCAACAGGAATAGTGGCATTTGTTAATACTGTACTGTCATTGTGATTTCTGTGAAAAAGTCCTCAATTGGGACCAAACTATGAGTTGTTAACAAAAGAATTATTACACCTTCTCTATAGTCAAAGGTTAGAAGTTACAAGGTGT
Source organism: Homo sapiens (assembly GCF_000001405.40). Lineage (NCBI taxonomy): Eukaryota > Metazoa > Chordata > Mammalia > Primates > Hominidae > Homo > Homo sapiens. Next base: position 96,236,363 of record NC_000023.11, read on the forward strand.
TAATAAGCAAACAGAGTATGAGCAGCATACCAAGAATACTCTTCTTTAGCTATTTAAAGCATGCATTTTTTTGGATCAGAAATTTCTAGCACAAATACTAAAAGTGGATTTCTTTACACAGCTGTCACCCTGGAGGAGTTCCTGTATGTCTTTCTTCATTCTGGTTCCTCAGAGGCATTTTAGTATCATGGAAACTCAGAGATGAAAAAGACTTTAAAATTTCTACCGAGCATAAGATTCTCTTTTACCAAGTCCCTGAAAGATTGCCATCTAACCACTTCTCAAAACTAGTAATAGGCAGATATCTGATCTATGAAATAATCCATTCTATTTTGGGGACATTCTAATTGTTAGTAAGATTTTCTTAATATTAAATGTAGACTGACTCCCCTTCCTAATTCCCACAATTACTCTTAGCATGATACTTTGGAGCTAAACAGAATGAGTTTTTATCTTAAAGGACTTTAACTAAATTTTCAATAAGATAGGAGGAATAAGTTTAAGAGATAGGTTGTACAACACGGTGACTATAGATAATAACAATGTATTGTATTTTGAAAACTGCTAAGAGAGTAGATTTTAGGTGTTCTCATCACAAAAAAATTAAGTATGTAAGATAATGTATAGGTTAAGTAGTGCTCTTGAGCCATTGCATAATGTACACATATTTCAAGACATCATGTTGTACACGATAGATATATAAAATTTTTATTTCTCAATTTTTTGAAATTATTATTATACTTTAAGTTCTGGGATACATGTGCAGAAGGTGCAGGTTTGTTACACAGGTATACAAATGCCGTGGTGGTTTGCTGCACCCATCAACCTGTCATCTACATTAGGTATTTCTCTAATGCTGTCCCTCCCCTTGCCCCCTACCCCCTGACAGGCCCCGGTGTGTGATGTTCCCCTTCCTGTGTCCATGTGTTCTCATTGTTCAACTCCCACTTATGAGTGAGAACATGTGGTGTTTGGTTTTCTGTCCCTGTGTTAGTTTGCTGACAATGATGGTTTCCAGCTTCATCCATGTCCCTGCAAAGGACATGAACTCATCCTTTTTTTGGCTGCATAGTACTCCATGATGTATATGAGCCACATTTTCTTAATCCAGTCTATCATTGGTGGGCATTTGGGTTGGTTTCAAGTCTTTGCTATTGTGAACAGTGCCACAATAAACATACATGTGCATGTGTCTTTACAGTAGAATGATTTCTAATCCTTTGGGTATACACCCAGTAATGGGATTGCTGGGTCAAAGGGTATATCTGGTTCTAGATCCTTCAGGAATCGCCACACTGTCTTCCATAATGGTTGAACTAATTTACACTCCCACCAACAGTGTAAAAGCATTCCTATTTCTCCACATCCTCTCCAGCATCTGTTGTTTCCTGACTTTTTAATGATCGCCATTCTAACTGGCGTGAGATGGTATATCATTGTGGTTTTGATTTGCATTTCTCTAATGACCAGTGATGATGAGCTTTTTTTTCATGTTTGTTGGCTGCATAAATGTCTTCTTTTGAGAAGTGTCTGTTCATATCCTTCACCCACTTTTTGATGGGGTTGTTTTTTTCTTGTAAATTTGTTTAGGTTCCTTGTACATTCTGGATATTAGCCTTTTGTCAGATGGATAGATTGCAAACATTTTCTCCCATTCTGTAAGTGGCCTGTTCACTCTGATGATAGTTTCTTTTGCTGTGCAGAAGCTCTTTAGTTTAATTTGATCCCATTTGTCAATTTTGGCTTTTGTTGCCATTGCTTTTGGTGTTTTAGTCATGAAGTCATTGTCCATGCCTATGTCCGGAATGGTATTGTCTAGGTTTTCTTCTTGGGTTTTTATGGTTTTAGGTCTTACATTTAAGTCTTTAATCCATGTCGAGTTAATTTTTGTATAACGTGTAAGGAAGGGGTCCAGTTTCAGATTCCTGCATATGGCTAGCCAGTTTTCCCAACACTGTTTATTCAATAGGGAATCTTTCCCATTGCTTGTTTTTGTCAGGTTTGTCAAAGATCAGATGGTTGTAGATGTGTGGTGGTATTTCTGAGGCCTCTATTCTGTTACATTGGTCTATGTATCTGTTTTGGAACCAGTACCATGTTGTTTTGGTTACTGTAGCCCTGTATAGTTTAAAGTCAGGTAGCATAATCCCTCCAGCTTTGTTCTTTTTGCTTAGGATTGTTTTGTCTATACGGGCCCTTTTTTGCTACCGTATAAAATTTAAAGTTGTTTTTTCTAATTCTGCAAAGAAAGTCAATGGTAGCTTGATTGGGGATAGCATTGAATCTATAAATTACTTTGGGGAGTATGGCCATTTTCACGATATTGATTCTTCCTATCCATGAGCATAGAATGTTTTTCCATTTGTTTGTGTCCTCTCTTATTTCCTTGAGCAGTGGTTGGTAGTTCTTGAAGAGGTTCTTCACATCCCTTGTAACTTGTATTCCTAGGTATTTTATTGTCTTTGTAGCAATTGTGAATGGGAGTTCACTTATGATTTGGCTCTCTGTTTGTGTATTATTGGTGTATAGGAATGCTTGTGATTTTTGCACATTGCTTTTGTATCCTAAGACTGCTGAAGTTGCTTATCGGATTAAGGAGATTTTGGGTGAGATGATGGGGTTTTCTAAATGTACAATCATGTCATCTGCAAATAGAGACAATCTGACTTCCTCCATTCCTATTTGAATACCCTTTATTTCTTTCTCTTGCCTGATTTCCCTCGCCAGAACTTTTAATACTATGTTGAATAGGAGTGGTGAGAGAGGGCATCCTTGTGCCAGTTTTCAAAGGGAATGCTTCCAGCTTTTGCCCATTCAGTACAATATTGGCTGTGGGTTTGTCATAAATAGCTCTTATTATTTTGAGGTATTTATTTGAAAACACTGATCATGTCCCATTGGTTCTTAATGTGAAGAAAAACTAACTTGAGGAGTAAATTCAAACTTTCTATTATCTTCAGATTACAGGATGCATCAAAACTTTTGGAAGATAGCAAACATGTACTTACTTGAAAAAAAAAATCCTACAATCAAAAAGTTAATGAGGGAAACTTTCTGTTTTAGAAATATTCAAGCTAATGAATGAAGAAGGAATGATGGAATTAAAATATAACCATTTATTGCAAAGTAATTTTAAAAATCTAGATAATGTTTATCATTAGCTTATCTTTCTTTACATTAAAAAGCAAAGAAAGAGATCCAGAAATTAAGTGTCTCTTAGTAGGAGAAATCAACACTGCCTACGAAACATTCTTTCAAAACAAAAAAAAAAAAACTAAATCTGACCAACCCTTAAGATCCAACAACTAATTCATAGGAAATACAGAGGTGGGGAAATGCATCACAATAAGTCAACCCATAAAATTCAGAGTCCAGAAAAGTCTAAAGGACAAATGATCAATAAATAACATGGTTCAAAGAAAAAGAGAGAAAAGACAAACCTATAGATTTAAATGGAATTAAAAGGTATATTAACCAATTACAATGTATGGATTAATTTTGATTCTGCCTTAAAGAAATTGTAAAACAATATTTTTGAGACAATTGGTAAAATTTGAAATCTAACTGGATGCTTAATGATATTAAGAAATTATTGTTAATTTTTTTTTTCGAGATGTAGTCTTGCTCTGTCGCCCAGGCTGGAGTGCAATGGCGCAATCTCGGCTCGCTGCAACCGCCACCTTCCGGATTCAAGCAATTCTCCAGCCTCATCCTCCCGAGTAGCTGGGATTACAGGCACACACCACCATGCCCGGCTAATGTTTGTATTCTTAGTAGAGACGGGGTTTCATCATGTTGGCCAGGCTGGTCTTGAATTCTTGACCTCGTGATCCACCCGCCTCGGCCTCCCAAAGTGCTGGGATTACAGGCATCAGCCACTGCACCCAGCCTATTGTTAATTTTTATGTGTGAAAATTGTATTGTAATTATCTTTTTAATCTTCTTGTCTTTCAAAGGTACACAGCAAAATATTTACAGATGAAATGACACATATATATGAAATTCCTGGATTTCCTTAAAAATAATTTTGCTGCCAGGCATCGTGGCTCACGCCTGTAATCCCAGCCCACTGAGGCAGGCTGATCACCTGAGATCAGGAGTTCAAGACCAGCCTGACCAACATGGAGAAACCCTGTCTCTACTAAAAATACAAAAAAATTAGCCAGGAGTGGTGGCACATGCCTGTAATCCCAGTTACTCAGGAGGCTGAGGCAGGAGAATCGCTTGAACCCGGGAGGCAGAGGTTGTGGTGAGCCAAGATCACGCCATTGCACTCCAGCCTGAGCAACGAGAGCGAAACTCCAACTCAAAATAATAATAATAAAAATAATTCAGTCAGGTGGATAACAGATGAAACAAAATTGCCCATAAGCTAATCATTATTTCAGCTGGGTGATGAGAATATAGGAGATTATTATAATAATCTTGCTGTTTTTATGTATGTTTCAAGTTCTCCATAATAAACAACTTAGAAAAATAAAACAAAAGATACTTCCCTTCATTGTATACTACCCAGTCCATATCCCATAAGTCTTTTTCTCCTCCAGCATAATGATTTTCAATTTTTAAGCCATTTCTACTATGAACGAAATTCCAGACTCTTCACCATTCTAGTTATTCTCTTCTGGGATAATCAATGTGCCCCTTCAATGTAATCTCCCAAATGTGATCTGTACTGCAAAGTAAGTGTTATCTCCCTTAATCAAAATACCATAGTTTTGCAAAAACTTAGATTGCATTAGCCGGCTTGTCATCCATGTCATATTGAAGTTATAGTCAACTAAAACCATCAAGTCTTATTCACATGAGATGTAATATATTCAAGTCCTCCATTTGTACAATTGATTTTAACCTTAATTGCTAAATTTCATCTTTAATTTCAGACCATCTTTCTGGCCTGTGGAAATCATAATGATTGTATGAGTGCCAATGAAGAACAGAAGCTATTCATTGTTTTGTGTGATCACTTGGTCTTCATGAGTTAGAGAAAAATAATTTTCTCCAGGTCATACAAGCTAGCAAGTGGCAGAGTTGACTCAAGACTTTAATCCTTGCAACTCCCAAACCCACGCTTTTATCCTCTCTGCTCTGGAGTGCTGTCTACAATATTAGGTATTCTTCTTAATGCCATCTGCATGCTTTATAAGGATGCCTTTTTCCAAATCTGTGATAAAATTTATTTGTCTGGTCATAGCTAAGAACAGAGCGTGGGGTATGTATAGATCAAGTCACCTGGTACTGATTTAGTAATCAGTGTACTTTGTTTAGGATTAGTTGACCACTTATAAAATTTAACTTTACTTTCACTCAGCCCACACATCCTTATCTATTCTAAATAAATAACATGCTCTAAATAGTGCCGAATGTTTGCCAAAAACAAAAGACAGCTTCCTATCTACCAAACTAGTAATGTGATAAAAAATCAAATGAGGTCCTTTTAGCATGACTTATTACTAGAAGAAAGCATCTGGTTTCTCCTGGTGATTACCAATTTCTCATCCTAATGTGCGTAAGACATTTATTTAACAAGCTAGTCTAGAATCTTGCCAGGAAAACATATCTAGATTATATCAGTATGGTCTGGAATCCATTTTTTTCTGCATTTTAAATCATCACATACACCTACTCCTGGCTCATGAAGTCTCAAAGATAACTGAAATGGTTCTAAAATCACATTTTCAGATTATTTTAGTACCCTAAGATGTAACTTTTCTGGGCCTGGAAACTTGTCCCCACTGAGAGTTGACAGCCGGATTGATTTAAAACTACACATGATATTTATTCGCAAGTTGTAGTTACTAAAAATGCAATTTATGATAAAGGTACACAGTTCTATGGAGCTTTAGAAATGGCAGAAAGGAGTCAATATGGACTGGAGTGCAGAGGAAGGACTTTATGAGGGTGAGGCTGAGGAAAGTGTTGAAAAATATACAGAAGATGTGAAACCGCCTTTGCCAAATTATAATCAACGAGAAGGTTATAGCAGTGGGGGAGATCTAAGTTAGCCCAACTGTCTCATGGCTCTTGCTCATGAGCTACTTTTGACTATTCCTGGCCTACCTTTGGGAGACATTAGTTCATAGTTTAAGTGATAATAGCCCTTCCCCAAAACTCAACTACCTTTGCAGATCTAATGAGAGACTACTGGGCTAGAAGGAGCAGAGGAGCCCTAACTTTGCTAAGGTGCAGACATAAATGATTGTCAGCCATTATTCCAGAGGTTATAGGATATGCACCTTCCCAAATTGCTCCTGCAAATAACATCACTATTGTAGAACCTAAGATTGACCTTTTGAGATATGTTTTCAGGTTTTTTGTATGTCTGACACTCATCGCTCCAACTTGGACCCAATGACTCCACCTGGACCCCCCAACCTTGCTCCTTTGGCCCCAGTCAGAAGTGATTCAGCCCACAGGAGGACAGCTTCAACACCCTATGATTTCATCTCTGCCCCAACCAATCAGCAGCAAGCACCTGTTCCTGGCTACCCGCACACCTTCCCCCAAACTGCCTTTGAAAAACAGCTAACCTACAAGCTTTGGAGAAGACTGTTTTGAGTAATAATAAAATTCCATTCTCCCACACAGCCAGATCTGCATGAATTACTCTTTCTCTATTGCAATTCCCTGTCTTAATAAATTGACTCTCTCTAGGCAGAGGGCAAGGTGAGCCAGTTGGGCAGTTACAGATGTAAAATGAGAATTCATGAGTTTCTTTTCATGTCTTGCCATCTGTCCCAATCCTTTTATGTCTTCCTTCAAATATTGATTTTTAAGTATTTTATTGACCTTAGCTTCTTGGCATTTCTCACGTAACAATTTTTGGCTTTATCCTTTACTATTCTACCTTTATTTGTGAGTAAACAGTGCTCAGGGCCCCTTCTACAGATAGAGTTCTGAAGTTGACCAGGCCAGCACGCAGCTGTGCAGTATAATTCCTGGAATAAAACCAGCTCAGGAAGGAAAGGCTGGGCCAAAGTGGAAAAAGGAAAGGAGTAGGACAAAAGCAAGAAATTATCCAAAATGAGGTGTCTGCAATCAGTGGCAGTCATTATCTAGTAGGCAGGTTTGAGTGGCAAAGCCAAAGGAGAGTTCTTGAAATAACAGTAAATACAAAAGCAAGAAAGCCTATTATGCAAGCAGAAGACTCTAATTGATTTGAACAGTCCTTACACTATTCTTCGGGGGGTAAATGTTAGCAGTGGAAGTTATCCGGGTCATGCGGCACCAAAACATGTTACTGGCAGCGAATACGGATCTGCAGCATCCTCAATTATCGCCTCCTCAGAAGAAAGAATTTGACTGAGGGGCATAAGGCAGAAGGAGAGACCGAGGCAAGTTTTAGAGCAGGAGTGAAAGTTTATTAAAAAGCTTTAGAGCAGTAATAAAAGGAAGAAAAGTATAAAAGCACACTTGGAAGAGGGCCAAGGGGGCAACTTATGAGATAAGTGCACAATTTGACCTTTTGACTTGGGGTTTCATACATTGGCATACTTCTGGGGTCTTGCATTCCATCTCCCTTGAATCTTCTCTTGGGGTGGGTGGTCCACATGTGCAGTAGCCTGCTGTCGCTTGGGAGGGGAGCATGCGCACTTGGAGCTGTACACATGCTCACTGGAGGCATTCTTCTCTTACCAGCCAAATGTCCCTAGGAGGTCATATACCAGTTAAATTCCACCATTTTGCCTCTTAGTGTGCATGTGTGAGCCCACTCGCCAAACTCCTGAGATTTTATCGGGAAACTGCTGATCACTGGCTTCAGGTATTTCTGTTTACTGGGAGACTGCCTTTCCCTGGTGCTGGCTGCGACCAATTATTGTTTTAGAGAGACAGTTAACAATCACCTGACCATCATCTGATGCGCACCTGACATTCCTGGTGTGTGTAGGGGTGAGGGAGGCCCTCTCCTGCTCTACTCATGTCTGACTAGCTACATTATTTATGTAACATAAATGTTTCTAAAGTTTAATAAGAGGAAATGGCCAATTAGAAAATTTCCTATCTAGAATAAATATTGTGGATTTGCTTGAATAATGTACTCTGTTGCTCAAAATAATAAAACTACACCTGTGGCTCAGTCAATAGCATACATTTCATGTAGCCTACAATGTTCAAGAAACAGCAATGCACCTGTGATAAGAAACAATATAATAAGGATGTTTAAGATGTAATCCTGAGAAGCAGGGACTTTATAATCATATCAGAGAGATGACATGTGAATACTCAAATATTTGAATAATAATAGGAGGCTGTATATAAGGATAAAATGAGTGATATGAATAAAATGTTACAAGTGTTTAGAGAAGGGAGGCGATTTTGAGTGGGAATAATTAGCAGAGGTTAACAAAATCGTATCTTGAAGATTCTGATAGGAAGAAAAAGATTTAAAAGAGCATTTCTCTAAATTCTTTACAGGCAATGTGAACACAAATGTTTCCTTCCAAAACATGCTTTGACTAACCAGATTGAATTCTACACAATCCCTTCTTCATTTTGTACTCCAAAAACTGTTGCCTCTTTTATGCCCCACAGCCAATATTGGGAGATGGGGAATGAGTAACTTCGCAAATATAGAAAGCCTTTGGGAACATTTTGTTAAGGAAGGAAACAAAATGGTCACCCTGAGGCTCCACAGTGGTAATCACTACTAAATACAAATTTTCCATCTGTCCTTTGGGTAGCTCTTTGGACCTACAAGAAGGCAAACTTCCAAAGCAAAGGTTGTAATAAAGCCCTTTTGTCTGGGACCACAAAAAACAAAAGGACTATTGAACAGCTTAAAATTTGCGTTTGTTTGCAACTCAGAGAACAGCTGCTTTCTGGCTTGTTAATAAATTTCAGTGGGTGTCCTCTGCTTTTTACAGTCCATCAGCATTTCTGGGAAAACACTGGAGTAAATCATGTAGTCAAGAGCCTGGAGTTACGTATACTCTGACGTTCATTTCCTACATTACAGTTAATGGGGACAACAGATGCCAAAAAAGAGCCAAACAATTAGTTACTTCGTTTCTGAGATTCTGTTAATGAAATATAAGTGGAATTTTACCTTATTAAAGATTGAGACAACTTTCAGTTTTAGTTACTGTCATATTTAAGAATGCATAAGCAATAGTTCAGGCACAAGAAATGACATACCATTTACAACTATTGTTTCCTGACTTTTAAATCAATAATGCAGTGGGCTGTCTTACCAAAGAGAGCAGTAGGATACATTTTTAAACCAAAAGCAAGTTAGAACAGGTCATAAAACTTGAGAATCTATGAAAATCCCCTAGAGAGCAATGTAAACTGTTCAGATTTCCTCTAAACAACAGGAGTTCTTTGAGTTCCAGTAACAAGATTTTAAAATGTGTGATTCCCAGATTTTGCACATGAAATATTATTATTATAATTGCTTAAAACACTGCCAAGTAAATAGATGCTTTTTGTGTCAAATAATTTACCTGGTTGAACAGAAGCTTGGAAAAAGCTCAACTATATCAAAAAATAAAACAGAATAAAATCTCCTGTCCCTATTTTTTATGCATTAATTCATTCATTCAAAAACACTTATTGAACCATTATGTGGGTTTTCTGAGATGAAAAAGACTTCTTGCACTCATTCAAAAAATACACAATCTAGTCAAATGACAAAATGTAAACAACTGTGATTTAAAAAAACAGAAGGTAAATGCTAAAATAGAAGTGCAGGTACAGTATGTTCTAAGTACAGAGAAAAAGAAAACAAAAAATAAAATCCATTATGAGTACTGAAACTGGACTAGGCCCTGTGCTAAGTACTAATACACATACTCTTTTATTTGTCCCACACAACAATCCAGTGATCTAGGTATTATTTCCCACATTTTACAGATGAGAAATCTGTGGCTCAAAAAGGATAGGTAACTTCTTCAAGGTAATACAGCTAAGAAGTGCAGAGCTGCAATGTAAACACAACTGTGCTTTATTCCAAAGCTTGCACTTTTGCGCTGTTCCTTATCAGGCGCAGAACTCTCAATGGCTGCTACACCCTGAAGGAAGCACAGCTAAGTATCCAGTCTGAAAGAGTGTAAGCATATCTGCATTTTTCAGGATGGTAGTGTAAGAAAGGCAACCTACTTACATAGTCAGATGATGACAGTAACCCAAGTTGCAATAAGAAAGCAGCTAGAAACCCAAAAGGGATAATTTGGATACTATTTTCCTTTTATATTCAACAAAAAAATAGAGTATCAAGTAAGTTCAGTTTGAATATTTGAGACTGAGGTGCTTGAGAGACATCCAAATAGACTTGAAGAGAAGCCAGCTGGATATGTGGCTCTGTAGGTCATCTAAAATGTCTTTGTTGGAAATATTATTTTGGGAGTCTTCAACATAATTGAAGCCAAAGGTATGAATAAGGTTGCCTCCAGAGAAAATACAGAATAAAGAGAAGAGGGCCTAGAAATGATGTTTAAGGAATGCCACACTTTATTACTGTGTGCACTGCTGTAAAATTATCTGTTTTTTTAAAAACAGCAATGCTGTAGAAAGAGGATCAGGGAAGACTTTATGCAGACTGTGATCAGACATTGGGGCTGAGCTTTGAAGTATGAGTATTATTTCCCTAGCTTGTGAAGGTAGGACGAGCAATTCATTCTTGAGGAAAAAGTATAAGCAAGGGCAGAGAGGCATAAAATGAAATGGTATATTTGGAAAATAAGTAAATCTTTTACTGCAGCCATAAAGACTAGTGGAAGAAAAGGTCACAAAGATAACCAGACACCAATTATGGGGGACTTTAATCTATACACAATAAGAATTTGTTGACATTTTTAAGAAAAGCAATAGGCAGATTTATATTTTAGGGAAAGATTTCTGATATCATTGAAAGGAATTGATGAAAATAATAATGTGCTTTTTATCTCTGTGTGATTAGATAAATCTCAATATATTAAGCTAATTATCCTGTATTCTCTTGTTTCTTTTGATTTTCCCTTCTCCCAAATTCATGCAGTGCCTTTCATTGCCTTGGGAAAAGGTAAGATGGTGTCTGACTGTTAAAAACTTATTTGAGTTGCAGGAATATGGGATGTCGAGTTTCCAAAGCCTCAACCCTGAAAATCTTGGAACTTCGAGTTTATGCCAAATTCGGGAGTCAAAGCCAGTTTTCCTATCCCGAACTAAAGAGTCCACAGGCTGGGGAAGAAAGAAGTGAAGGAAGAGCGAGATATTAATGGGTCCCTGAAAAAAAATGGCCCTGGGAAATATCTTCCACTCTAGGGGACTATATGCTGTAGGGGTAATTAAATCCCATAAGGATGTAGAGAACAGGAGGATAGAAATGATCTGTGTCTCCCTTTCTGGGATGTTTTTCTATGTCCTCCAAACCCAGCAGGAAATAGGAGCAGAAAATAGAGATGGCTGCATTCAGAGTCTGGAAAAATAGATCTCAGAGTGCCCCATTGTTCCGTAAGATATGGGAATGGTACGTGTTATCTATATTCTCAAGAAGAACAGGGAACTAACTTGACCAATCAGTCTGTGACAGGGATGAGTAGGATGCAACAGGGATCTTGATGGACCAAGGCCAGGGTTTAGACAGGAGTGGAGACTTACCAACATAGATGATGAAGACAGAAACATATCACCCATAAAATAAAAACAAATTAAGGAGAGAGATAGGCAATCTGAGATAACTGAGGAAAACTTGAATTGTTGAGGTTATTTCTACAACCCAGCTTATTGAAACCAGAGATCAGAATTTCAGTTCAGAGACATTAGCTGCTCACCAAAGTTTAAAAACTCAGAACTTACACCCACTGTATCTTTGTCTCTGATATCCAAGCCAGGGTCAGGGATATTAAAAACACTCAAAATTTTATTTTTGGTAACTTATAGAAGATCTGCATTTTAGCCAGGAATGGTGGCTGACACCTATAATCTCAGAGTTTTGGGAGGCTGAGACAGGAGAATTGCTTGAGGCCAGGAGTTCAAGACTATCTTGGGCAACATAACAAGACCTCTTCTCTACAATTTTTCTTTTTAAATTAGGCAGGCATGGTGTGGTGTGCCTGTAGTCCCAGCTACTTAGGAGGCTGAGTGGGGAGGATTGCTTGAGCCCAGGTGTTCCAGATTGCAGTGAGCTATGATTGCACCACTGCACTCCAGCCTAGGTGACAAGGCAAGATCTTGCCTCAAAAAAAAAAAGCCCTGTATTTTAAAGATACAAAAATTCAGGAAAAATACAATTAAAATGAGCCGTAATTCCCTTATTCTGATATACCTCATACCAATATTTTGGTTTATTTTATTCCAGTCCATTTTTCCAGAAAACACATACCATATAAAATATTTTGCATTTAACATGATGTCATCAACATCTTCCTATGACATTAAATATTCCATAAAATATTCCTTGAATAACCAATATTTCAACGGATGAATGCAGATTATTTATTTCCTTACTGGTAAACATTTAGATTGACTCTTTTGTTTTTCTAAACATAAATAATGTAGTAATTAATATTCTTACATAGAAATTTTGTGGCCATTGGGGTCATCAACTTTAGTTAAGTTTATAGAAGTAAAAAGGCAAAGGGTACATCTGGTTCAAGAATAAACACTGAAACCTCCCTCTCCCAAACATAGGAAGATATTAGAAATAGTATTAACAAGTATGTCACAACCTGACAAAAACAAGAAATGGGGAAAGATTCCCTATTTAATAAATGATGCTGGGAAAACTGGCTAGCCATATGTAGAAAGCTCAAACTGGATCCCTTCTTTACACCTTATACAAAAATTAATTCAAGATGGATTAAAGACTTAAATATTAGACCTAAAACCATAAAAACCCTAGAAGAAAACCTAGGCATTACCATTCAGGACATAGGCATGGGCAAGGACTTCATGACTAAAACACCAAAAGCAATGGCAACAAAAGCCAAAATTGACAAATGGGATCTAATTAAACTAAAGAGCTTCTGCACAGCAAAAGAAACTACCATCAGAGTGAACACGCAACTTAAAGAATGGGAGAAAATTTTTGCAATCTACTCATCTGACAAAGAGCTAATGTCCAGAATCTACAACGAACTCAAACAAATTTACAAGAAAAAAACAAACAACCCCATCAACAAGTGGGCAAAGGATATGAACAGACACTTCTCAAAAGAAGACATTTATGCAGCCAAAAGACACATGAATAAATGCTCATCATCACTGGCCATCAGAGAAATGCAAATCAAAACCACAATGAGATACCATCTCACACCAGTTAGAATGGCAATCATTAAAAAGTCAGGAAACAACAGGTGCTGGAGAGGATGTGGAGAAATAGGAACACTTTTACACTGTTGGTGGGACTGTAAACTAGTTCAACCATGTGGACGTCAGTGTGGTGATTCTTCAGGGATCTAGAACTAGAAATACCATTTGACCCAGCCATCCCATTACTGAGTATATACCCAAAGGATTATAAATCATGCTGCTATAAAGACACGTGGACACGTATGTTTATTGCAGCACTATTCACAACAGTAAAGACTTGGAACCAACCCAAATGTCCATCAATGATAGACTGGATTAAGAAAATGTGGCACATACACACCATGGAATACTATGCAGCCATAAAAAATGATGAGTTCATGTCCTTTGCAGGGACATGGATGAAGCTGGAAACCATCATTCTCAGCAAACTATCACAAGGACAAAAAAACCAAACACTGCATGTTCTCACTCATAAGTGGGAATCGAACAATGAGAACACATGGACACAGGAAGGGGAACATCACACACCAGGGCCTGTTGTGGGGTGGGGGGAGGGGGGAGGGATAGCATTAGGAGATATACCTAATGTTAAATGATGAGTTAATGGGTGCAGCACACCAACATGGCATATGTATACATATGTAACTAACCTGCACGTTGTGCACATGTACCCTAAAACTTAAAGTATAATTTAAAAAAACGAGAAAAAAAAAACAAGTATGTCACTGTTCTCACAAATAAGGAAACTCTCTGAAAACCAGAATTGAAAATGCTGAAGCTCATGAAATATTTTTGAGATATTTGGAAATGCTGACTTTCTTTACTTTTACAAAAGAAATATAAATTTAGGTATAATTTTTTTTTTGAGATGGAGTTTTGCTCTTGTTGCCCAGGATGGAGTGCAATGGTGCAATCTCAGCTCTCCGTAACCTCCACCTCCCGGGTTCAAGTGATTCTCCTGCCTCAGCCTCCCAAGTAGCTGGGATTACAGGCATGCGTCATCACGCCTGGCTAATTTTGTATTTTTAGTAGAGACGGGGTTTCTCCATGTTGGTCAGGCTGGTCTCGAACTCCCAACCTCAGGTAATCCACCCACCTTGGCCTCCCGAAGTGCTGGGATTACAGGCATGAGCCACCGCGCCTGGCTAAATTTAAGTATAATTTTTAAATGTATGTTTAGCAAAACAGAATAGAAGCAGAATATGTATCTTCCAAAATAGTAGGAAAAAAATCAGCAAAGTAAACCTAGTTTGCCCAAAGACTGTAAAGAATTTTTAAAAAGAGAAAGAAAGAAAATCCACAAAGAAAATCATTGCAAATAGAGAACATACACCAAAAAAGATATGATGGCTAAAATACATTCACATTTTTCATTAATCATAATAAATGCTAAATAACCAAAGTTACCCCTTAAAAGACAGACTCTGAGCTTGTATTTTAAAATATAAAACAATATACTATATATAAGGCCCACATCTAAGAACAAAATGTTGATATAGAAATGTTGAAAATAAAGGAATGGCAAAAGGTATTCCAGGCAAACATTAATGAAAATAAAGCTGGCAGAATAACAATAATAATAGCAGACAAAATAGAATTCAAAGCAAAGCACATTAAGAGGCATATTCATTAAAGGACTAATTCACTAAGATAAAACAGTCATAACCTATGGTTCCTTCAAAAAACAGTGAGCTTTTTCATATAAAATTTTAGTTTATGAAAAAGGTAGAAAGCTTCCAAACTCATTTTATGAAACTGGCAAATTTCCTTCCTATTAGTTAGGAACTCCAGAAAAAGACAGTGTCTTTTTTCTCTGTATGTTATTATGTGTGAATAAAGACCACTCACAAAGGAGAATGTATGTAGCTTAGGGTAGGGTCTCTCAGCTTCAGGATTAGTAACACTTTTGGTGGGGTAACTCTTTGTTGTTGAGGGTTGGCCTGTGCATTGTAGTATGTTTAACAGTATCCCTGGCCTCTACCCATTAGATACCAGTAGCCTTCCCCTTCCCACCCCATCTCTACCCAGTTGTGATAACTTAAAATATCTCCAGACATTGACAAATGTTATCTAGGTGGCAAAATCACTCCCAGTTGAAAAACACTGGGCTTAAAAAATCTCAGAGAAATGGAGCTGGAAAGACCACATTAAGTGAAAGCTGAATCCAACCCACCCCTAAATTTCCAGTTATATGAACCAATAGGTTTCCTTACTGTTTAAACAATTTTTGGACTAATTTTTTAGTTATTTGCAGACAAAAGCATTTAAAAAATTATACTCTATCCCTATGCTGAGTTCTTTTTTGTCAGAAATTATTTGCTATCCTGTATAGTTAATTTTTCCCATCAAACTTTACACTCTGTCATGTCAAAAAAAAAAAATCCAGCTGGAATTTCTTCAATTTTATAAAGTACTTGGAGAGAATTGGCATCATTACAACATGTAGGTTTTCCGTCAAAGACCACGATTTTTCATTCAATTTTCATATGGCCCTTTCTGCTCCTGAATAGAATTTTATAATTTTTGCCACACTGGACTTGCACATTTCCTGTTAAGAGTATTCTTGGATATTTTTGTTTCATTGCTACTGATTAATGGCATTATTTCCCTAATATTATTTCTTATTGATAATTACTAAAATTAGGATAATGTTTTGGTTTTTTATTTTGATTTTTATTTATCTTTGTAGAGACAGGGTCTCACTATGTTGGCAAGCTGGTCTCAAACTCTTGGGCTCAAGAGATCCTCCCACCTTAGCCTTCTAAAGTGCTGGGATTTCAGGTGTGAGCCCCGCACCCAGCCAGGAGAATTTAATTGTCTGTTTCAGGGGCCAGCAAACATATCCCTCAAGCCAAATCTGACCTACAGTCTCTTCTTGTAAATAAAACTTTACTGGTACACATCCAGACTTATTCATTTACTTAACTGTCTGTGGCTGCTTTTGCCCACAGTAGCAGAGTTAAGTAGCTGCAACAGACACCCTATGGTCTTCAAAGCCTAAAATATTTACTATCTTATTCTTTATAGAAAAAGTTTACTGGCCTCTGATCTATGTAAATGAATTCTTATTAGTTTCAATACTTTTTCAGTTAAGTCTCTGAGATTATTGTTATCTAGATCAACAATCTTTAGATAAACATACTTTTATCTCCCCTTTTCCAAACTGCATTCCTCTTATTTTGGGGTTAGTTTGGTTGACTGATTGGTTGATGCTACGGTCTGAATGTTTATGCCCTCCTAAAATTCATATGTTGAAAGCTAGTCACAATGTGATAGCATTGGAAAGTGAGGCCTTGAGGAGTTGATTAAATCATCAGGGCAAAGTCCTCATGAATGGAATTAGTTCCCTTATAAAAATAGACCCAAAAGATTTTATTTGCCCCTTCTACCACGTGAGGACATAGCAAGAAGGCATCCATCATCCATGAACCAGGAAAAGGGCCCTCACAAGACACTGAATCTGCTGATACCTTGATCTTCCCAACCTCAAGAACGGTAAGAAATAAATTTCTGTTGTTTATACATCGTCACTCAGCCTATGATATTTTGTTACAGGAACCTGAACAGACTAAGTCAATCTTTGTTTGGTTGTTATTAATGAACTACCAAAAGCTTTTTCTGATATTAACAAAAATGCTTTTAGGATTTTATTATTGAGTATAATGCTGACTTTGGATTTAAAATAGCTAATAGTTTTTCTTCATTGTGTTAAGAAAAAAAATCTTTATATCTCTCTTACTCAGACATTTTATCAGGAATCAATATTGAATTACATTAACTATCTTGTAATGATTAAAAATGTTGTCTCTTGATCTATTAATATGACTAATCATTTTATTACTTAATACTCAACCATCCTTGCATTCTTAAGATAAATTGTAATTATTAGTGATATGACATCCTTCCAATCTATTTCTAGACTTTTTTCAATAGTCTGTTATATAGGATTATTTGCCTCAACATTCAGAAGTATAATCAATCTGTTCAATATTTTCTGATATTTTTGTCAGGTTTTATCCAAATTATACTATATTAATGATATGAATAGGGAATCTTTCCCTTTTATTCAAGGCTCTGAAATAGTTTCTATAGAAAATAAATGATTTGTACCTGAAATATGGAAGATATTCCAATTTAAAACTATTGGGGTAAAGTGACTTTTTTTTTTACAATGAAATCTTTGACAGTTCTTGTGGTTTCTTCTATCGTCACTGAATTCTTCGTTTTTCTACATGTTGAGACAATTTTTGCCATTTGCGCT
This sequence comes from Homo sapiens, assembly GCF_000001405.40. Taxonomy (NCBI): domain Eukaryota; kingdom Metazoa; phylum Chordata; class Mammalia; order Primates; family Hominidae; genus Homo; species Homo sapiens. The sequence continues at coordinate 96,253,854 of NC_000023.11, forward strand.
TTCTGGCCCAGAAAATCAATACCCTGAGTTTTTCAAATCTATAAGCAGATAGTTGTATAAAGAAGTCTGTTATTTTCAAGAGTGGTTCTGTCTCGTTTTACATGATTTTGTATTGTTAATATCACATATTTTATTTCTCTTTCTTTTGCTTTTTTCTTACACTCTTTTTTCTTAATTAGATTTTCCAGGGAGGTTTCCTTCTTCCACCTTAATTATTAGCCCTTGAATTTATTTTATTAATTATATGTATTCAATTTTCTATGTATTCATAAATTTTCTTCTTCAATTGGCAATTATCGAGCCATTGGTTAACCTAAAAAAAACACAAAATATATTACTTTTAGCAATAACATGATTTTCTTTTTTTTTTTATTACACGTTAAGTTCTAGGGTACATGTGCACAACGTGGAGGTTTGTTACATATGTATACATGTGCCATGTTGGTGTGCTGGACCCATTAACTCGTCATTTGCATTAGGTATATCTCCTAATGCTATCCCTCCTCCCTCCCCCCACCCCATGACAGGCCCCGGTGTGTGATGTTCCCCTTCCTGTGTCCATGTGTTCTCATTGTAAAATTCCCACCTATAAGCGAGAACATGAGGTGTTTGGTTTTTTGTCCTTGTGATAGTTTGCTGAGAATGATGGTTTCCAGCTTCATCCACGTCCCTACAAAGGACATGAACTCATCCTTGTTTATGGCTGCATAGTATTCCATGGTGTATATGTGCCACATTTTCTTAATCCAGTCTATCATTGATGGACATTTGGGTTGGTTCCAAGTCTTTGCTATTGTGAATAGTGCTGCAATAAACATACGTGTGCATGTGTCTTTACAGCAGCATGATTTGTAATCTTTGGGTATACACCCAGTAATGGGATGGCTGGGTCAAATGGTATTTCTAGTTCTAGATCCTTGAGGAATCACCACACTGTCTTCCACAATGGTTGAACTAGTTTACACTCCCACCAACAGTGTAAAAGTGTTCCTATTTCTCCACATCCTCTCCAGCACCTGTTGTTTCCTGACTTTTTAATGATCGCCATTCTAACTGGTGTGAGATGGTATCTCATTATGGTTTTGATTTGCATTTCTCTGATGGCCAGTGATGATGAGCATTTATTCATGTGTCTGTTGGCTGCATAAATGTCTTCTTTTGAAAAGTGTCTGTTCATACCCTTTGCCCACTTGTTGATGGGATTGTTTGTTTTTTTCTTGTAAATTTGTTTAGGTTCTTTGTAGATTCTGGATATTAGCCCTTTGTCAGATGAGTAGACTGCAAAAATTTTCTCCCATTCTGTAGGTTGCCTCTTCACTCTGATGGTAGTTTCTTTTGCTGTGCAGAAGCTCTTTAGTTTAATTAGATCCCATTTGTCAATTTTGGCTTTCGTTGCCATTGCTTTTGGTGTTTTAGTCATGAAGTCCTTGCCCATGCCTATGTCCTGAATGGTATTGCCTAGGTTTTCTTCTAGGGTTTTTATGGTTTTAGGTCTAACTTTTAAATCTTTAATCCATCATGAATTAATTTTTGTATAAGGTGTAAGGAAGGGATCCAGTTTGAGCTTTCTACATATGGCTAGCCAGTTTTCCCAGCACCATTTATTAAATAGGGAATCCTTTCCCCATTTCTTGTTTTTATCAGTTTTGTCAAAGATCAGATGGTTGTAGATGTGTGGTATTATTTCTGAGGGCTCTGTTCTGTTCCATTGGTCTATATCTCTGTTTTGGTACCAGTACCATGCTGTTTTGGTTACTATAGCCTTGTAGTGTAGTTTGAAGTCAGGTAGTGTGACGCCTCCAGCTTTGGACATGAACTCATCATTTTTTATGGCTGCATAGTATTCCATGGTGTATACATGCCACATTTTCTTAATCCAGTCTATCATTGATGGACATTTGGGTTGGTTCCAAGCCTTTGCTATTGTGAACACTGCTGCAATAAACATACGTGTGCATGTGTCTTTATAGCAGCATGATTTATAATGCAGTTCTTCCATTTGTTTCTGTCTTCTTTTATTTCGTTGAGCAGTGGTTTGTAGTTCTCCTTGAAGAGGTCCTTCACATCCCTTTTAAGTTGGATTCCTAGGTATTTTATTCTCTTTGAAGCAATTGTCAATGGGAGTTCACTCATGATTTGGCTCTCTGTTTGTCTGTTATTGGAGTATAAGAATGCTTGTGAATTTTGCACACTGATTTTGTATCCTGAGACTTTGCTGAAGTTGCTTATCAGCTTAAGGAGATTTTGGGCTGAGATGATGGGGCTTTCTAAATATACAATCATGTCATCTGCAAACAGGGACAATTTGACTTCCTCTTTTCCTAATTGAACACCCTTTATTTCTTTCTCCTGCCTGATTGCCCTGGCCAGAACTTCCAACACTATGTTGAATAGGAGTGGTGAGAGAGGGCATCCCTGTCTTGTGCCAGTTTTCAAAGGGAATGCTTCCAGTTTTTAGCCATTCAGTATGATATTGGTTGTGGGTTTGTCATAAATAGCTCTTACTATTTTGAGATACGTCCCATCAATACCTAATTTATTGAGAGTTTTAAGCATGAAGAGTTGTTGAATTTTGTCAAAGGCCTTTTCTGCATCTATTGAGATAATCATGTGGTTTTTGTCATTGGTTCTGTTTATATGCTGGATTATGTTTATTGATGTGCATATGTTGAACCAGCCTTGTATCCCAGGGATGAAGCCCACTTGATCATGGTGGATAAGCTTTTTGATGTGCTGCTGGATTCGGTTTGCCAGTATTTTATAGAGGATTTTTGCATCTGTGTTCATCAGGGATATTGGTCTAAAATTCTCTTTTTTGTGTGTTTGTCTCTGCCAGGTTTTCATATCAGGATGATGATGGCTTCATAAAATGAGTTAGGGAGGTTTCCCTCTTTTTCTATTGATTGGAATAGTTTCAGAAGGAATGGTACCAGTTCCTCCTTGTACCTCTGGTAGCATTCTGCTGTGAATCCATCTGGTCCCGGACTTTTTTTGGTTGGTAGGCTATTAATTATTGCCACAATTTCAGACCCTGTTATTGGTCTATTCAGGGATTCAACTTCTTCCTGGTTTAGTCTTGGGAGGGTGTATGTGTCCAGGAATTTATCCATTTTTTCTAGATTTTCTCGTTTATTTGCGTAGAGGTATTTATAGTATTCTCTGATGGTAGTCTGTATTTCTGTGGGATTGGTGCTGATATCCCCTTTGTCATTTTTTATTGCATCTATTTGATTCTTCTCTCTTTTCTTCTTTATTCGTCTTGCTTAGTGGTCTATCAATTTTGTTGATCATTTCAAAAAACCAGCTCCTGGATTCATTGATTTTTTGAAGGGTTTTTTGTGTCTCTATCTTCTTCAGTTCCGCTCTGATTTTAGTTATTTCTTGCCTTCTGCTAGCTTTTGAATGTGTTTGCTCTTGCTTTTCTAGTTCTTTTAATTGTGATGTTAGGGTGTCAATTTTAGATCTTTCCTGCTTTCTCTTGTGGACATTTGGTGCTATAAATTTCCCTCTACCCACTGCTTTGAATGTGTCCCAGAGATTCTGTTATGTTGTGTCTTTGTTCTCATTGGTTTCAAAGAACATCTTTATTTCTGCCTTCATTTCTTTATGTACCCAGTAGTCATTCAGGAGCAGGTTGTTCAGGACCCATGTAGTTGAGCGGTTTTGAGTGAGTTTCTTAATCCTGAGTTCTAGTTTGATTGCACTGTGGTCTGAGAGACAGTTTGTTATAATTTCTGTTCTTTTACATTTGCTGAGGAGAGCTTTACTTCCAACTATGTGGTGAATTTTGTAATAACTGTGATGTGGTGCTGAGAAGAATGTATATATATTCTGTTGATTTGGGGTGTAGAGTTCTGTAGATGTCTATTAGGTCCGCTCAGTGCAGAGCTGAGTTTAATTCCTGGATATCCTTGTTAACTTTCTGTCTCGTTGATCTGTCTAATATTGACAGTGGGGTGTTAAAGTTTCCCATTATTATTGTGTGGGAGTCTAAATCTCTTTGTAGGTCTCTAAAGGCTTGCTTTATGAATCTGGGTGCTCCTGTATTGGGTGCATATATGTTTACGATAGTTAGCTCTTCTTGTTGAATTGATCCCTTTACCATTATGTAATAGCCTCCTTTGTCTCTTTTGATCTTTGTTGGTTTAAAGTCTGTTTTATCAGAGACTAGGATTGCAACCCCTGCCTTTTTTTATTTTCCATTTGCTTGGTAGATCTTCCTCCATCCCTTTATTTTGAGCCTATGTGTGTCTCTGCACATGAGATGGGTCTCCTGAATACAGCACACTGATGGGTCTTGACTCTGTAACCAATTTGCCAGTCTGTGTCTTTTAATTGGAGCATTTAGCCCATTTACATTTAAGGTTAATATTGTTAGGTGTGAATTTGATCCTGTCATTATGATGTTAGCTGGTTATTTTGCTCATTAGTTGATGCAGTTTCTTCCTAGCATCGATGGTCTTTACAATTTGACATGTTTTTGCAGTGGCTGGTACCAGTTGTTCCTTTCCATGTTTAGTGGCAATAACATGATTTTCCTTCTTCTTTCTAAATTCTAACCTGAACACAAACACCTGCAGGCACCTTCTAGTCTTTAGACTATTGTAGGGACCAAGGGCTTGGCCCTCTAAAGGTTCACTAAAAAATCAACTCATGACAGGCAGATTAACTGGAGAAAGTCTTACAAATGTATATAACATGCATACACAGGAGCCTTTAGAATGAAGACTCAAAGATACAGGGGAAATTATCCATTTTTATGCTTAGGTTCAAGAAAGTATGGACAGCCACATAGAAATATGATTGGACAAAAAGTGTATGATCTAATGCTAATTGGCTGAGTGGGGAAACCTAGCAAGGCCTGCCTGTCTAGATTCTACTTGCCTTGAGCACTCATTCCTTCCTTTTGGGTATGGGACAGGAATCTTCCTGGAATGGGAGTCTTAGTGAAATGAGGTACATTAGATAATTTCTTTATGGCCAGTTTTTACACATATAAGATGGAGAGAAAGTTAGAGTAGTAGTTATAGGTTTTATGGCTGGCTTTGGGAAAAAACTGGTTTTGGTTTCTATGACCCACCTTGGGGAAAAGGGATTCTAGTTTCTATGGCTAGCCTTAGGGAGAGACAGGGACTGAAAAACAGGAAGGCAGGAAAAGTTCAGAGAAAAACTTTTGCTTCTGAGGATGCTGCTGAGGCCTTCATTTGGGAGTATTGTTTTCTGAGCCTCAACACTATGCTTTTATATTCTGCAAAAAGCATAATGGAAAATAGTATAAAATTGTTGTAAGAATAACCAGAAAGAGAGTTATGACAGAAATTTCCAAAATTAAGAAATGCTATTATATTTTACAAAACATACAAACAGACCCACTAATAGAAAATGTAACAATCAACTAGGTAAAAGACGTACAATTTCTCTAACCAAAAATTGCATGAAATAAAAGTTAACTTTGCTTTATTTGTAAATTGGTAAAGATTTTCATTTCTAATGCTAATAGCACAAAATGCTGGTAAATGTCTATTAAACAGGCACTTTTCTGACAGTAGCCCCAAATCCCTGGCTTTGGAGGCCACTGCCTTACCCATTAGGCCACTGGAGGTTCATTTCTGACAGTAGTGTAAACTTATAAAACTTTTGAGGAAATAATTCACCAGTATGAAACAAAAGCTTTAAAAGAGTTATAATGGCCAAATTTACTTCCGGCATGCAATCTTAAGAAAATGGTTTCTTATGGTATTATGTAGAATATGAAAATTCATATATAACCTAAAAGTCTCAGAATAGATCAATTTTTAATAATGACTAACTTGATACAATTGCATAAGATGATTTAAAATGTTTATAGCACATGTTTGATAGCATGAAAACTATGTATCATCATTAACAGGTAAGATTTAAAAGCCATGTAATGTATTTACACCTATATTTCCTTTTCTACTATTATGTACAAAGACCAAAGATATATGTATTTATATATATATAAACATATACACACATACCACATACTAATACACCAAAATGTTAGCAATATTTATAGAAGATTACAAAGTTAATTATTTGTTTACATTTTATTATTTGTGACTTTCCATGTTTTTTATTGAGGTAAAATTCACATAGCACAAAATTCCTCATTTTAAAGTATACATTTCAGGGGTTTTTAGTATATTCACTATGCTATGCAGCCATCAATGCTAATTCCAGAATATTTTCGTCAACACTAAAAGAATCCTCGTAACTATTAGCAATTAATCCAGATTCCCCTCTGTTCATGGCAAGTACTAATTAATTTTCAATCTCATGAATTTATATGCACATTTATATGTGTTTATATAGATATTTCATATACGGGGAATAATATAATATGTGGCCTTTTGTGTTTAGTTTCCTTCATTTAGCATAATATTTTCAAGGTTAATTCATATTGTAGCATGTAATAATAATTAATTCATTTTTAGTGCTGAATAATTTCATTGTATGAATATACCAAATTTTCTTTGTCCATTTATCAGCTAATAGTCATTTCATTTGTTTCCAGTCTTTGGCTATTATGAATAAAACTGATGAATATGTATAAGTTTTGTGTGAACATATGTTTTTAATTCTCTCATGTGTATACCTAGGAGTAGAATTATAGGGTTATATAATAATTCTGTTTAACTTTTTGAGGAACGACTAGTAGCTGCACCATTTTGAATTCCCACCAGCAATGTATGAGGGCTCTGATTTCTGCACAAATCATTGAACAAAATCCCTTTCATGGTAAAAATATTCAACAGGCTAGAAATATTATAGAAGGGAATTTTCTCTACATGGTAAAGGGCACCTATGAAAATCCCCATATATTACATTATATTGAATGTTGAAATATTGAGATCTTTCATCCTAACACTTGGAACAAGACCACGATGTCCACTCTTGCCGTTTGTATTCAACATTATACATTGTACTAGAGCTTCTAACTAGAACTGTATAGTGGTCACTGAATGACTGAACAGAGATTTATTTAAACATCTGTAACCAAAATTCTTCCAATCTTTGTTCAGGGGCTCTGTGCTGGCCACACTTTCAACACTCAGCCCAGCAGTTCATAGCTCTGCCTTAGCCTTTACTTCTTCCTGCTTCCACAAAGCCTCAAGATCAGCAAGAGAAGAGAGCTTAGCACGTTCTCAGGTATTCCCTTAGCATGTGCATAGCCCTTACCATGTGCACAGCCTTCTAAATTCCCAGGAATACGATGGAGATTTTCAAATGCATTAAGGATTTCTCATTTCCCAGCCTTTCCTCCCAAGCTTTTTGATTAGTTTATTACTTGCTCCAACTCTTATCTATCACCTCTGGCAGAAGTAACTAACACATTAGCCTGTAAGTGTTTTCAACAAATGTCCCCTGGGAAGTAGTTTTAGCACAAAGCCAATTCTGAGTTAAGGACAAATCAAGACAAGCCTTTTCAGCCAGTCCTCTAGGAAGCCATGAGACAGGTCAGAACAAATACTTAATTACAGTTCTTCCTGGGTATATACCCAAAGGATTATAAAACATGCTGCTATAAAGACACATGCACATGTATGTTTACTGCGGCACTATTCACAATAGCAAAGACTTGGAACCAACCCAAATGTCCAACAATGATAGACTGGATTAAGAAAATGTGGCACATATACACCATGGAATACTATGCAGCCATAAAAAAGGATGAGTTCATGTTCTTTGTAGGGACGTGGATGAAGCTGGAAACAATCTTTCTCAGCAAGATATCGCAAGGACAAAAAACCAAACACTGCATGTTCTCACTCATAGGTGGGAATTGAACAATGAGAACACATGGACACAGGAAGGGGAACATCACACACCAGGGCCTGTTGTGGGGGGAGGGGGGAGGGATAGCATTAGGAGATATACCTAATATAAATGATGAGTTAATGGGTGCAGCACACCAACATGGCACATGTATACATATGTAACAAACCTGCACGTTGTGCACATGTACCCTGAAACTTAAAGTATAATAAAGAAAAAAAAATTACAGTCCTTCCAAATGAGAGGTACTCTGTTCCATCTGGCACCAAGGGCTGTTATTTTCATAGCCACTGCCAAGTTTGGTAGCAGAGGACAAGACTAGACTAAGTTAAAATTTTACAAAGTTTACTCTTCTTATTGAAAATCCACCATTTTCATGAATAGGTGCTCTCTGGGTTGCTGCAAGCCTTTGGTTTATTTCTACAGTTCCGCAAAAGTTGATTCTGACCATTTTTAACCATTTTTCATTGCTTTTTCAGAGGAGCAGAATGAATTTGGTGCTCCTTACTCTGCCATTTTTGCTGATATCATTCCGTATTTTTTATATTAATGCAGCAGTTACTTTTTATATTTTTAATTTACAAATAACAGCCAGGTCAAAAAAATTTTTACAAGTTTAATTGTATAAGATATTAAGTGTGTGGATTTTGTGAGAGAAAAGTAAGTCTGTTGAATAAGGACATAAAATATGAAGCTGCTCTTGTTTGTACAACATTATGCTATTATTAATAATAGTCTATATGTCAAGTAAGTCTTTTAGAGTAAAACATGAAACCTATATGTCTTCACAGTATTACTCCAGAAGTTTCCTGATCACTACCATGATCATTCTCCAAACAATTTCAGCAGATCCTGTGTAACCCCATTTAAAATAAGTAAAACAGACTTACTATATCTAAGACTTAACAGCATAAGACCATGTCTATAATGAAAAATATTATTGTGAAAAATTAATTTATTTCAAAATATTAATAATGCTTGTGAGACAACCAGTTTTCTAAACACTGGATAAAATAGCTGTTAGCTAGATGTAGAGGAGGTGGGAAAGGAAGACACAGTGATACATAATGATCCAACTTGAACCTGCCATTGCAAAATTATAACTGAGACAGTGAAAGAGATCTGACCTAACCAACTCCATCTTGCTTCTAACCTCCAAGCTGTCCTTGTTCATTCCTGAGCATAGACCAAACTAACTTTAGGAGGACCTCAGTTTATAATTTAGCTTCGAAACCAAGACAATAGCAGCCCTTTCCCAAAACAAATCCCCTTTTTCCTGGGGACTAGACTGCCTTTGCAGAACTAAAAAATTAGCCACAAGATTAGAAATTATGGTTTAGCTGGCACCACCCAGATCAATAAACTGGCTCATCTCGTCTTGTGGCCCCCTACCCAGGAATAGACTCAGCCCAAGAGGACAGCTTTGACTCCCTATTATTTCATCTCTGACCCAACCAATCAGCACTCCTGACTCACTGGCCACCTTCCCGCCAAATTATCCTTAAAACTCCAATCCCCTAATTCTCGGGGAGACTAATGTGAGTAATAATAAAACACTCCTACACAGGTAGCTCTGCATGAATCACTCTTTCTCTATTGCAATTCCCCTGTCTTGATAAATTGGCTCTGTCTAGGCAGTGGGCAAGGTGAACCCGCTGGGTGGTTACAAACTAAAAAATGATCACTTCCCTTTTTGTGAGATAAGCAGACATAAGAGACAATAATCAAACACATACCTTAACAAAATTATGAAACATTTATTACCTTAAATAGGCACCTATGTGAATTGCAATAGTAAAATAATGTATAATTAGTAAGATGCTAAGATCAAAAAACTTTGTTGATTTTTTTCTACCATTTTAAAAAGACTTCCTGGACTTCTCTTGGTGATGGGAAGTAGAGAGCTTATGATGTCAGAAGACTGTCAGCGGAAAAGAGTGAAATGTTTCAGATAGAGTCTACAACTTGGGAGAACACACACTGAATACATTTTTTGGAAGAAAATGAAGATGGAAAAGAAGACTACTAGAGAAGTAAAATCTGCAAAGCATTGGGCAAAAGACAGATCTCTGATTTAAGTCCTCAATGGTCACAATCGTGAAAGTTTAAAAATTCAAAACAGCACCCTAAATGCCAAATTTGCTCACAATATTTACTTGTAAAAATCGTATATGTTTCCCTCTTTTGTTTTTGTATTTTACTGATAAAACTATTTATCTCTATGTCTCCATTCTGAGAGAAATGAAGTTTTGTGCTCATAATAAAAATGTATTAGCTCAGACTGCCATAACAAAATACCATAGACTGGGTGGCTTAAACAACAGAAATTTACTTTTTCACGGTTCTGGAGGCTAGAAGTCTGAAATCCAGGTGTTCACAAGGTTGACTTTCTCCTCCTTGTGTCTCTACTGTTTTTTTTTTCTTCTGTGCATTTCTGTATCCTAATTTCTTTCTCTTATAAGGGTACTAGTTATATTGAATTAGGGCCTACCCATATGACCTCATTTTACCTTAATTACCTCTTGAAAGATTGTCTCTCCAAATATAGTCACATTCTGAGATACGTGGAGTTAGGACTTCAAAATATGAATTTAAAGAGACACAATTCAGCACATAACAGCCATACATTTTCCTACATATTTCTTGGGATGGTTGTCTTTTTCTCTGTATTTTGAGTTACTTATTAAGCAAGTATATTAATTATCTCAGGCTACTACAACAAAATACCACACATTAGGTGGCTGAAACAACAGCAGAGTATTTTCTCACAGTTCTAGAGGCTGGAAGTCTGAGATCAGGGCATTAGCATGGTCAATTTCTGGTGAGGACTCTTCCTGGCTGGTAGAATCCATCTTCTCACCATGTCTTCACAAGGCAGGGGGAGAGAAAGAGAGAGAAAGCTCTCTGGTATCTCTTTCTATAAGGCCACTATTTCCAACATTCTATTTGAATATCATCTAAATCATCTATGGGTTAAATTCAAAGTACAATTCATTCTAAGGCAAAATTCCTCTTCAGCTGTGAACCTGTGAAACCAGACAAGTTATGTGCTTCCCAAATACAATAGTGGGATAGGTATAGCACAAACATTCCTATTCCAATATGAAGAAATCAGAAAGAACAAAGAAGTGATGGGTCCAAAGCAAGTCCAAAACCTAGAAAGGCAAATTCCATTAGATCAACAATGGAAGAAGCAAATTCCATTAAGCTTCAACAATGATTCTCTTTGGTTTGATGTCCCACCTTCTAGGCCCACTGGGGTAGCAGCATCAATCCCAAGGTTCCAAATGTTCCTATCCCCATGGCTCTGCAGGGCAGTCCATCCCCCAAGGTTTCAAGCTGAAGCCATATGGCCCATTGAAACAAGGGCAATAACCCTGATGAACTCTGAATAATCACCTTTTAAGTCATTTTTCCCTGTTTTTGAAGAATAAAGCATGTTTTTAGTCAAACAGCTCCATTGTCCTGTCCTGTAAAATTCAAGAAGTTCGAAAGCTTTCCTTCATTTCATCCCATCTCCACCCCGTTCAGTTCCAACTGGAAGCATTTCTACCCATATAATCCCATAAGCATTATCAAATGTTTATTCAGCCACATCCTTGGTGTTCTCTTGAGAACAAGCTTTATCATTTTTTGCAATATGGATAGGCTGAGAATTCTTTTCAAATCTTCGAGTTATGGTTACTTTTTGCTGTACAATTCCTTCTTTAGTTCATCTTTCTCCTTTTACATTTTACTATAAACAGTCAGAAGGAACCAACCTGCTCCTTCAATGCTTTGCTTAGAAATCTCTTCAACTAAACATACAATTTTGTCACAAGTTCTACTTTCCACAGAACACTAGAACACAGTTGAGCCAAGTTCTCTGCCACTTTATAATAAGGATCACCAGTCTTCCAGTTTCCAATAACATGGACATGTTCCTTATTTCTTCTTTTATTTATTTATTTTTTTTTTTTTTTTTTTTTTTTGAGATGGAGTCTCGCTGTTGTCACCTGGGCTGGAGTGCAATGGCACAATCTCAGCTCACTGCAACCTCCGCCTCCCAGTTTCTAGCAATTCTCCTGCCTCAGCCTTCCAAGTAGCTGAGATTACAGGCACCCACCACCACGCCTGGCTAATTTTTGTATTTTCAGTAGAGACAGGATTTCACCATGTTGGCTAGGCTGGTCTCAAACTCCGGACCTCAGGTGATCCACCCGCCTCAGCCTCCCAAAGCTCATTTCTTTCTGAATTCTCACCAGAATAACCCTTACCATCCATATTTCTAGCATGCAAGTGAACATTCTTCCAGTCTATACCCATTACCCAGTTCCAAAGGCATTTCCACATTTTTAAGGTATTTGTTACTGCAGCACCTCACTTATCACTATCAAAATTTGTCTCTTTTGGTTTGGGCTACCATACAAAAATAGACATAAAAGCCATAGACTGGGTGGCTTAAGCAACATAAGCATATTAACTCATAGTTACAGAGGATGGAAGTCTAAGATTAAAGGACCAGCATGGCAAGGTATGGTGAGCTCTCTCTTCCTGGCTTGCAAATGACCACCTTCTCAATGTAGGCTCATATGGCCTTTCCTAAGTGAGTACTCATGTAAAGAAAAATAGAGTAAGCTCTCTCTCGTGTCTCCTCTTATAAAGATATAAATCTCATAATGAGCACCCCACTGTCATGACCTCATCTGAATCTCATTATCTCCCAAATGTCCCGTCTCTAAATACTATCACACTGGGGGCTAGGGCTTGAACATATGAATTTGGGAGCAAGGGCACAGTTCAGTACATAGCAGAAAAAATGTGTCATTAATTATGCTTCATTATTCTCCGAAGATTTCTATTTAATGGAAAAATTTTATGTGTGTGTATAATTCTTTATGTCAGCTTAATTTAAAGATGGAGTCAAGAGACGATTGTTAATCAAATGAAACATTTGAATATTAAAGTCCTAAGAGATTATATGTCTTGTTACCTAAGGAAATGGCCCTCTTTGAAGTAGGTAACAGCAAAAAAAGAGGTTCTATAACAGAACTAGAGCAGTTATTGGCAATGGGGCCATTAATGTTTCTCTGAGCAGGTTTAGTAATTCATCTCATCTCACCTGGGCTATACTGAGAAGTTTATTGAGGCAGTGTAATTTCTTCATATTGCAGTTTTAATGAGCCAGCCATTTCACTTTTATCTTAATTCAGTGACTTAACTCATTTACTAATTGTTCCAGTACAATGATCATCAGAAAGTTGAAGGATTCTGTGATCTACAAAGATTTTAATGTATGCACACTTTTTCATCATAGGAATCTCTCTTACTTCCAACTTGGGTGCTGCCAAAAACACCTTCTAAGAACATAGTAATAAATATGAATTTAATAAGATCAATACTTCATCATTCTAAATATCACAGTGTAATAGTTTCATTTTGTATTTAAAAATTATTTTAAGATTAAACATCTAGGTGCCTTGTTAACCCTGAGGTTAAAATTCTTAGTTCAAAGAAACTTTGATTCTTTAATTATTTCCATCATATTGTACACTGAATGGTGTTATATTTATTATTATTCAAGAAAATTAATCTAGTAAAACTACTGATGTGAAAGTTGATTATGATATGTTTGAAGAAATTATTTGTCTTGGTTTATTAAATATCTATCTCCAAAAATAAATGAAATTGATTAGTGGGTGTGTGGAAAGAAAATATTTCTAAAGATGATTTATAGTAAAAAGAGCTATCCTCTTAAGATTATTTAATTTGTAAAGATGGAACAAAGCTCTAGCCAACACTTCTGGCAAGAGAGATTTCACTTGAGCAAACTGACTACGTGACAGCTGGTTTGTCCTAGGTTTCTCCTTTCATTATTTAAGTCTTTGGCATTTTAAATTTATTTTCCCTGGTGAATGCTATGTTCTTTTACGTAAATGTTAACACTAATACATTATGTATGCAATAATAAATTTTTGGCTGGAGAAAAAAAAACTTAAAGACAAATATAATCCAAAGAGGCATCTTTAAGAGAAGAGCCAATGTAATCCAAAGAGGCACTATGAAGCACAGAGGTAATTAGTAATAACATGGAGCCTAGGCAGAGGAAACCTCATTTAATTAAAAGTTCTTCTTCTACTATTGGATTTAATCTCAATAGGTATAAAATAAGCCTAAAATTGAATTAGTTCATTTGGATCATATTGTTCACTTTTCCAACCGGATGGTTTGGCTCTGTTATATGCAACTGATATATCTGGGAGTCAGAGTTATGCCAAGTAAGAAACAATATTTAAATTTCCAACTGAATAATACCTCACTTTTGCAACCTAGATGAAATACCAAATGTGTATTCTGCTATGGCTTTGTAGAACTATAATTCCATAATGTAATTTTACCCCAAAATAAAAACTGTTGAACTAGTAACAGCATTTAAACAAATGTTCACCCACTTCACAAGTATTTTAGAAAGTTACAAAAACAAGGCCCTGTTTTGTTTTTGTTTAAATATAACATTTATTTATGTGTCTTTTAAAGTAGAATTTTAGCAGAAATGAGGATGTGATTAGTTGCCATTTTTCCAACTTCTGCTGATTTGTATTAATCAAATGTAATATATTGTAGTAAAACTGGCTAAGACAAAAAAAAGAGAGAAAATCTGAGTGTATAAAAACTGGAAATCAGCACATTTGCTTTAACTCTAATTGTCTAGTATGTTAACTTAACTCCACCAATTAGAAAACATGCAATTTGGCCCATTATTTATTTTTGAACATCCAGGGTTTAACACTTGAATTTAACCTTAGGGTCTAACTTGACTTTTAATTTATTTTTAATCCCTAGAGTTTAACACAATGTCTGGTTTGTAGAGAAATGTTCAACATGTATTTGCTAAATAAATTACTTAATAGACCCAAAACACTGGTGGATAAAATTTTAATTATACTTGGCTTATACATATGTGGGGATATATGCTTTAAAATTACAATGTATATTCAGGAGGCCAATGTGGGTGCATTGCTTCAGCTCAGGAGTTTGAGACCAGCCTGCGCAATATGGCAAAACACTATCTCTGCAAAAAATACAAAAATTAGCCAGGCATGATGGCATGCACCTGTGGTCCCAACTATTCGGGAGGCTGGTGTGGGAGGATTGCTTGAGCGTGAGAAACAGAGGTTGTAGTGAGCCAAGTTTATGCCACTGCACTCCAGCCGGGGTGAAAGAGTGAGGTTCTGTCTCAAAAATAAATAAAATTAAATTAAAATGTCTAAACCCATAGTCAACATCATACTGAATGGGGAAAATTTGAAAGCACTTCCCCAAAGAACTGGAACAAGACGAGGATGCCCATGTTTACCACTTCTATTCAACATAGTACTGGAAGTCCTAGCCAGAGCAATCTGGCGAAAGAAAGAAATAAAGGGCATCCAAATTGGAAAAGAGGAAAGCGGACTATCACTGTTCACCAACAATATGATCGTATACATGGAAAACCCTAAAGACTCTAAAGATCTGATAAATGAATTCAGTAATGTCTCATGCTACGAAATGAATCTACACAAATCAGTAGCACTGCTATACATCGACAACAACCAAACTGAGAATCAATCAAAAACTCAAACCCTTTTACAGTAGCTGCAAAAAAGTAAAATCCCTAGGAATAGATTTAACCAAGGAGGTGAAAGTTCTACAAGAACTACAAAACACTGCTGAAAGAAATCATAGATGAAACAAGCAAATGAAAACACATCCCAAGGCTGGAGCCAAGATGGCCGAATAGGAACAGCTCCGGTCTACAGCTCCCAGTGTGAGCGACACAGAAGACAGGTGATTTCTGCATTTCCATCTGAGGTACCGGGTTCATCTCACTAGGGAGTGCCAGACAGTGGGCGCAGGACAGTGGGTGCAGCACACCATGCGGGAGCCGAAGCCGGGTGAGGCATTGCCTCACTCAGGAAGTGCAAGGGGTCAGGGAGTTCCCTTTCCTAGTCAAACAAAGGGGTGAGAGACAGCACCTGGAAAATTGGGTCACTCCCACCCTAATACTGTGCTTTTCCAATGGGCTTAAAAAACGGCACACCAGGAGATTATATCCCACACCTGGCTCAGAGGGTCCTACGCCCATGGAGTCTCACTGATTGCTAGCACAGCAGTCTGAGATCAAACTGCAAGGTGGCAGCGAGGCTGGGGGAGGGGCACACGCCATTGCCCAGGCTTGATTAGGTAAACAAAGCAGCCAGGAAGCCGGAACTGGGTGGAGCCCACCACAGCTCAAGGAGGCCTGCCTTCCTCTGTAGGCTCCACCTCTGGGGGCAGGGCACAGACAAACAAAAAGACAGCAGTAACCTCTGCAGACTTAAATGTCTGACAGCTTTGAAGAGAGCAGTGGTTCTCCCAGGATGCAGCTGGAGATCTGAGAATGGGCAGAATGCCTCCTCAAGTGGGTCCCTGACCCCTGACCCTGAGCAGCCTAACTGGGAGGCACCCCTCAGTAGGGGTAGACTGACACCTCACATGGCCGGGTACTCCTCTGAGACAAAACTTCCAGAGGAATGATCAGACAGCAGCATTCGCGATTCACGAAAATCCACTGTTCTGCAGCCACCACTGCTGATACCCAGGCAAACAGGGTCTGGAATGGACCTCCAGCAAACTCCAACAGACCTGCAGCTGAGGGTCCTGTCTGTTAGAAGGAAAACTAACAAACAGAAAGGACATCCACACCAAAAACCCATATGTACATCACCATCATCAAAGATCAAAAGTAGATAAAACCACAAAGATGGGGAAAAAACAGAGCAGAAAAACTGGAAACTCTAAAAGGCAGAGCACCTCTCCTCCTCCAAAGGAACGCAGCTCCTCACCAACAACGGAACAAAGCTGGATGGAGAATGACTTTGACGAGTTGAGAGAAGAAGGCTTCAGACGATCAAACTACTCTGAGCTACAGGAGGAAATTCAAACCAAAGACAAAGAAGTTGAAAACTTTGAAAAAAATTTAGATGAATGTATAACTAGAATAACCAATACAGAGAAGTGCTTAAAGGAGCTGATGGAGCTGAAAGCCAAGGCTCGAGAACTACGTGAAGAATGCAGAAGCCTCAGGAGCCAATGCGATCAACTGGAAGAAAGGGTATCAATGATGGAAGATGAAATGAAGTGAGAAGGGAAGTTTAGAGAAAAAAGCATAAAAAGAAATGAACAAAGCCTGCAAGAAATATGGGACTATGTGAAAAGACCAAATCTACATCTGATTGGTGTACCTGAAAGTGACGGGGAGAATGGAACCAAGTTGGAAAACACTCTGCAGGATATTATCCAGGAGAACTTCCCCAAACTAGCAAGGCAGGCCAACGTTCAGATTCAGGAAATACAGAGAATGCCACAAAGATACTCCTCGAAAAGAGCAACTCCAGGACACTTAATTGTCAGATTCACCAAAGTTGAAATGAAGGGAAAAATGTTAAGGGCAGCCAGAGAGAAAGGTCGGGTTACCCACAAAGGGAAGCCCATCAGACTAACAGCTGATCTCTCGGCAGAAACTCTACAAGCCAGAAGAGAGTGGGGGCCAATATTCAACATTCTTAAAGAAAAGAATTTTCAACCCAGAATTTCATATCCAGCCAAACTAAGATTCATAAGTGAAGGAGAAATAAAATACTTTACAGTCAAGCAAATGCTGAGAGATTTTGTCACCACCAGGCCTGCCCTAAAAGAGCTCCTGAAGGAAGCACTAAACATGGAAAGGAACAACTGGTACCAGCCACTGCAAAATCATGCCAAATTGTAAAGACCATTGAGGCTAGGAAGAAACTGCATCAACTAACGAGCAAAATAACCAGCTAACATCATAATGACAGGATCAAATTCACACCTAACAATATTAACCTTAAATGTAAATGGACTAAATGCTCCAATTAAAAGACAGAGACTGGCAAATTGGATACAGAGTCAAGACCCATCAGTGTGCTGTATTCAGGAAACCCATCTCATGTGCAGACACACACATAGGCTAAAAATAAAAGGATGGAGGAAGATCTACCAAGCAAATGGAAAACAAAAAAAGGCAGGGGTTGCAATCCTAGTCTCTGATAAAACAGACTTTAAACCAACAAAGATCAAAAGAGACAAAGGAGGCCATTACATAATGGTAAAGGGATCAATTCAAAAAGAACAGCTAACTATCCTAAATATATATGCACCCAATACAGGAGAACCCAGTTACATAAAGCAAGTCCTGAGTGACCTACAAAGAGACTTAGACTCCCATACAATAATAATGGGAGACTTTAACACCCCACTGTCAACATTAGACATATCAACGAGACAGAAAGTTAACAAGGATACCCAGGAATTGAACTCAGCTCTGCACCAAGCAGACCTAATAGACATCTACAGAACTCTCCACCCCAAATCAACAGAATATACATTTTTTTCAGCACCACACCACATCTATTCCAAAATTGACCACATAGTTGGAAGTAAAGCTCTCCTCAGCAAATGTAAAAGATGAGAAATTATAACAAACTCTCTCTCAGACCACAGTGCAATCAAACTAGAACTTAGGATTAAGAAACTCACTCAAAACTGCTCAACTACATGGAAACTGAACAACCTGCTTCTGAATGACTACTGGGTACATAACGAAATGAAGGCAGAAATAAAGATGTTCTTTGAAACCAATGAGAACAAAGACACAACATAACAGAATCTCTGGGACACATGCAAAGCAGTGTGTAGAGGGAAATTTATAGAACTAAATGCCCACAAGAGAAAGCAGGAGAGATCCAAAATTGACACCCTAACATCACAATTATAAGAACTAGAAAAGCAAGAGCAAACACATTCAAAACTAGGAGAAGGCAAGAAATAACTAAAATCAGAGCAGAACTGAAGGAAATAGAGACATAAAAAACCCTTCAAAAAGTTAATGAATCCAGGAGCTGGTTTTTTGAAAGGATCAACAAAATTGAAAGACCGCTAGCAAGACTAATAAAGAAGAAAAGAGAGAAGAATCAAATAGATGCAATAAAAAATGATAAAGAGGATATCACCACTGATCCCACAGAAATACAAACTACCATCAGAGAATACTATAAACACCTCTACGCAAATAAACTAGAAAATCTAGAAGAAATGGATAAATTCCTGGACACATAACACCCTCCCAAGACTAAACCAGGAAGAAGTTGAATCTCTGAATAGACCAATAACCAGCTCTGAAATTGTGGCAATAACCAATAGCTTACCAACCAAAAAGAGTCCAGGACCAGATGGATTCACAGCTGAATTCTACCAGAGGTACAAGGAGGAACTGGTACCGTTCCTTCTGAAACTACTCCAACAATAGAAAAAGAGGGAATCCTCCCTAACTCATTTTATGAGGCCAGCATCATCCTGAAAACAAAGCCAGGCAGAGACACAACCAAAAAAGAGAATTTTAGACCAATATCCTTGATGAACATTGATGCAAAAATCCTCAATAAAATACTGGCAAAACGAATCCAGCAGCACATCAAAAAGCTTATCAACCATGATCAAGTGGGCTTCATCCCTGGGATACAAGGCTGGTTCAATATATGCAAATCAGTAAATGTAATCCAGCATATAAACAGAACCAAAGACAAAAACCACATGATTATCTCAATAGACGCAGAAAAGGCCTTTGACAAAATTCAACAACGCTTCATGCTAAAAACTCTCAATAAATTAGGTATTGATGGGACGTACCTCAAAATCATAAGAGCTATCTATGACAAACCCACGGCCAATATCATACTGAATGGGAAAAAACTGGAAGCATTCCCTTTGAAAACTGGCACAAGACAGGGATGCCCTGTCTCACCACTCCTATTCAACATAGTGTTGGAAGTTCTGGCCAGGGTAATCAGGCAGGAGAAGGAAATAAAGGGTATTCAATTAGGAAAAGAGGAAGTCAAATTGGCCCTGTTTGCAGACGACATGATTGTATATCTAGAAAACCCCATTGTCTCAGCCCAAAATCTCCTTAAGCTGATAAACAACTTCAGCAAAGTCTCAGGATACAAAATCAATGTGCAAAATTCACAAGCATTCTTATACACCAATAACAGACAAACAGAGAGCCAAATCATGAGTGAACTCCCATTCACAATTGCTTCAAAGAGAATAAAATACTTAGGAATCCAACTTACAAGGGACGTGAAGGACCTCTTCAAGGAGAACTACAAACCACTGCTCAATGAAATAAAAGAGGATACAAACAAATGGAAGAACATTCCATGCTCATGGGTAGGAAGAATCAATTCCGTGAAAATGGCCATACTGCCCAAGGTAATTTATAGATTCAATGCCATCCCCATCAAGCTACCAATGACTTTCTTCACAGAATTGGAAAAAACTACTTTAAAGTTCATATGGAACCAAAAAAGAGCCTGCACCGCCAAGTCAATCCTAAGCCAAAAGAACAAAGCTGGAGACATCACGCTACCTGACTTCAAACTATACTACAAGGCTACAGTAACCAAAACAGCATGGTACTGGTGCCAAAACAGAGATATAGATCAATGGAACAGAACAGAGCCCTCAGAAATAATGCCACATATCTACAACTATCTGATCTTTGACAAACCTGACAAAAACAAGCAATGGGGAAAGGATTCCTTATTTAATAAATGGTGCTGGGAAAACTGGCTAGCCATATGGAGAAAGCTCAAACTGGATCCCTTCCTTACACCTTATACAAAAATTAATTCAAGATGGATTAAAGACTTAAATGTTAGACCTAAAACCATAAAAACCCTAGAAGAAAGCCTAGGCATTACCATTCAGGACACAGGCATGGGCAAGGACTTCATGTCTAAAACACCCAAAGCAATGGCAACAAAGCCAAAATTGACAAATGGGATCTAATTAAACTAAAGAGCTTCTGCACAGCAAAAGAAACTACCATCAGCATGAACAGGCAACCTACAAAATGGGAGAAAATTTTCACAACCTACTCATCTGACAAAGGGCTAATATCCAGAATCTACAGTGAACTTAAATAAATTTACAAGAAAAAAACAACCCCATCAAAAAGTGGGTGAAGGACATGAACAGACACTTCTCAAAAGAAGACATTTATGCAGCCAAAAAACATGAAAAAATGCTCACCATCACTGGCCATCAGAGAAATGCAAATCAAAACCACAATGAGATACCATCTCACACCAGTTAGAATGGCAATCATTAAAAAGTCAGGAAACAACAGGTGCTGGAGAGGATGTGGAGAAATAGGAACACTTTTACACTGTTGGTGGGATGGTAAACTAGTTCGACCCTTGTGGAAGTCAGTGTGGCGATTCCTCAGGGATCTAGAACTGGAAATACCATTTGACCCAGCCATCCCATTACTGGGTATAGACCCAAAGGATTATAAATCATGCTGCTATAAAGACACATGCACATGTATGTTTATTGCGGCACTATTCACAATAGCAAAGACTTGCAACCAACCCAAACGTCCAACAATGATAGACTTGATTAAGAAAATGTGGCACATATACACCATGGAATACTATGCAGCCATAAAAAATGATGAGTTCATGTCCTTTGTAGGGACATGGATGAAATTGGAAAGCATCATTCTCAGTAAACTATCGCAAGAACAAAAAA
Organism: Homo sapiens; assembly: GCF_000001405.40. Taxonomy (NCBI): domain Eukaryota; kingdom Metazoa; phylum Chordata; class Mammalia; order Primates; family Hominidae; genus Homo; species Homo sapiens. The sequence continues at coordinate 96,275,268 of NC_000023.11, forward strand.
CCAAACAGCGCATGTTCTCACTCATAGGTGGGAATTGAGCAATGAGAACACATGGACACAGGAAGGAGAACATCACACTCTGGGGACTGTTGTGGGGTGGGGGGAGGGGGGAGGGATAGCTTTAGGAGATATACCTAATGCTAAATGATGAGTTAATGGGTGCAGCACACCAGCATGGCACATGTATACATATGTAACTAACCTGCACATTGTGCACATGTACCCTAAAACTTAAAGTATAATAATAATAAAATAAAATAAAATAAAAAGAAAAAGAAAAGAAAACACATCCCATGCTCACAAATGTAAAGAATCAATATTGTGCAAATGATGATACTGCCCAAAGCAATCTACAAATTCAATTCAATTTCTACCAAAATGCCAGCATAATTTTTCACAGAATTAGAAAAAATAATCTTAAAATGTGTGTGGAACCAAAAATGAGCCTCCACAGCCAAATGATACTAATGGGGTCGGGGAGGGGCATGCGGGGCGGTGGGGACCCTAAGCTCAAAGAACTCCTGGCAAATGTATTGCAAAAAGATAATCACCTAGGCACATAGTCATCAGGTTATCTAAAGTTGAGACAAAAGAAAGAATCTTAAGAGCTGTGAGGCAAAAGCAAAAGGAAACCTATAAAGGGAAGCCTATCAGATTAACAGCAGATTTCTCAGAAGAAACCCTACAAGCTGGAAGGGATTGAGGCCCTATCATGAGCCTCCTTAAACAAAACAATTATCAGCCAAGAGTTTTGCAACCAGTGAAACTAAACTTCCTAAATGAAGGAAAGATACAGTCTTTTTCAGAAAAACAAATGCTGAGAGAATATGCCACTACCAAGCCCCCACTACAAGAACAGCTAAAAAGAGCTCTAAATCTTGAAACAAATTCTCGAAAGACATCAAAACAGAACCTCCTTCAAGCATAAATCTCATAGGACCTATAAAATAACAACACTACAAATTAAAAAAAAAAAACAAGGTATTCAGGCAACAAAGAGGATGATGAATAGAACAGTACCTCAACTCTCAATACTAACATTGAATGTAAATAGCCTAAAATGCTCCACTTAAAAGATACAGAATGGCAGAATGCATAAGAATTCACCAACCAAGTATGTGCTGCCTTCAAGACACTCACCTAACACACAAGGACTCACATAAACTTAAGGTAAAAGGGTGGAAAAAGACATTCCATGCAAATGGACACCAAAAGCTAGCAAGAGTAGCAATTCTTATATCAGACAAAACAAACTTTAAAGAAACAGCAGCTAAAAAATACAAAGAGGGACATTCTATAATGATAAAAGACCTTGTCCAACAGAAAAATATCACAATCCTAAATATATATGCACCTAACACTGGAGCTCCCAAATTTATAAAACAACTACTACTAGACCTAAGAAATGAAATAGACAGCAACAGAATAATAGTAGAGGACTTCATTGCTCCACTGACAGCACTAGACAGGTCATCAAGTAAGCAAGTCAACAAAGAAACAATAAACTGTACCCTAGAACAAATGGACTTAATAGATAGTTACAGAACATTGTACCAAACAACCACAGAACATACATTCTATTCATCAGTTCATGGGACATTCTCCAAGATAAAACATATGATAGGCCACAAAACAAGTCTCAATAAATTTAAGAAAATTAAAATTATATCAAGTATTCCCTGCAACCACAGTGGAATAAAATTGGAAATCAACTACAAAAGGAACCTTCAAAACCATGCAAATACATGGAAATTAAATAACCTGCTCCTACATGATCATTGGGCCAACTATTAAATCAAGATGGAAATGAAAATATTCTTTGAACTGAATGATAATAGTGACATAACCTGTCAAAACCTCTGGGATACAGCAAAGGCATGGCTACAAGGAAAGTTCATAGCCTTAAATGCCTACATCAAAAAGTCTGTAAGAATACAAATAGACAATCTGAGGTCATGCCTCAAGGAACTGGAGAAACAAGAACAAACCAAACCCAAAACCCAGAAGAAGAAAAGAAATAACAAACATCAGAAAAGACATAAATGAAATTAAAACAAAAAAAAGATAATAAAACAAAACGCTGGTTCTTTGAAAAGATAAATAAAATAGACCATTAGAGAGATTAACCAAGAAAAGAACAGAGAAGATCCAAATAAGCTCAATTAGAAATGAAACGGCAGATATTACAACTGACAACACAGAAATACAAAAGATGATTCAAGGCGACCATGAACACCTTTACACACATAAACTAGAAAACCTAGAGGAGATATATAAACTCCTGGAAATATACAACCCTCCTAGCTTAAATCGGGAAAAATTAGAGAAGCCGAACAGACCAATAACAAGCAGCAAGATTGAAATGATAATTTTAAAAAAAGTTGCCACCAAAACAAAGTCCACGAGCAGAAGGATTCACAGCAGAATTCTAACAGACATTCAGAGAAGAATTGGTACCAATACTATTGACACTATTCCATAAGATAAAGAAAGAGGGAATCCTCCCTAAATCGTTAAATGAAGCCACTATTACTGTAACAGCAAAACCAAGAAAGGACATAACAAAAAAAGAAAACTGCAGACCAATATCCCTGATGAATATAGATGCAAAAATCCTTAACAAAAACTAGCTAACTGAATCCAACAGCATATCAAAAAGATAATTTACCATGATCAAGCAGGTTTCATATGAGGGATGCAGGGATGGTTTAACATATGTAAAGTCAATAAATGTGATATACCACACAAACAGAATTAAAAACAAAAATCACATGATCATCTCAATAAATGCAGAAAAAGCATTTGACAAAATCCAGCATCCCTTTATGATTAAAACTCTCAGCAAAATTGGCATAAAACAGACACTCTTTAATGTAATAAAAGCCTTCTATGACAAACCCACAGCCATCATAGTACTGAATGGGGAATAGTTGAAAGCATTCTCCCTGAGAACTGGAACAGGACATGGATGCCCACTCTCACCACTTCTATTTAATATAGTACTGGAAGTTCAAGCCAGAGCAACTAGACAAGAGAAATAAATAAAGGGCTTCCAAATCAGTAAAGAGGAAGTCAAACTGTCACCGTTTGCTGATGATATGATTATATACCTAGAAAACCCTAAAGACTCATTCAAAAAGCTCCTAGAACTGATAAATGAATTTAGCAAAGTTTCAGAATACAAAATCAATGTATACTCATCAGTAGCTCTGTTCTACACCAGCAGTGACCAAGCTGAGAATCAAATCAAGAACTCAATCTCTTTTAAAATATAAATAATAATACTTAGGAATATACCTAACCAAGAAGGTGAAAGGCCTCTACAAGGAAAACTACAAAACACTTCTGAAAGAAATCATAGATGACACAAACTAATGGAAAAACATCCTATGATCATGGATGGGTAGAATGAATATTGTGAAAATGTCCATACTGCCAAAAGCAATCAACTGTTTCAATGCAATTCCCATGAAGACACCACCATCATTCTTCATAGAACTAGAAAAGACAATCCTAAAATTTATATGGAACCAAAAAAGAGCCCACATAGACAAAGCAAGACTAAGCAAAAAAACAAATCTGAAGGCATGACATTACCAGACTTCAAACTATACTATAAGGTCACAGTCACCAAAACAGCATGACACTGGTGTAAAAATAGGCTCATAGACGAATGGAACAGAATAGAGAACCCAGAAATAAAGCCAAATACTGATCTTCAATAAAGCAAACAAAAACCTAAAGTGGGGAAAGCACACCCTGTTCAACAAATGGTGCTGGGATAATTGGCAAGCCACATGTAGAAGAATGAAACTGGATTCTTATCTCTCACCTTACATGGAAATCAACTCAAGGTAGATCAAGGACTTAAATCTAAGACCTGAAACCATAAAAATTCTAGAAGAAAACATTGGAAAAACCCTTCTGAACACTGGCTTCAGCAAAGACTTCATGATCAAGAACCCAAAAGCAAATGAGACAATGATAAATAGGTGAGAAGTAATTAAACTAAAATGTTTCTGCACAGCAAAAGAAACAATCAGCAGAGTAAACAAACAGATGACAGAGTAGGAGAAAATCTTCACAATCTATACATTTGACAAAGGACAAATATCCAGAATCTACAAGTAACTCAAACAAATTAACAAGAACAAAACAAACAATTCCATCAAAAAAAATAGGCTAAGGACATGAATCGACAATTCTCAAAACAAGATATACAAGTGGACAACAAATATATGATAAAATGCTCAACATCACTAATTATCATGGAAATGCACATCAAAACCACAATGCGATATCACTTCACTCCTGTAAGAACGGCCATTATCAAAAAATAAAAATAATAATGATGTTGGTGGGGATGCAGTAAAAAGGGGACACTTCTACACTGCTGATGGGAATATAAACTAGTACAACCACTATGGAAAGTAGTGTGGAGATTGTTTAAAGAACTAAAAGTAGAACTACCATTTAATCCAGCAATCCCACTACTGGGTATCTACCCAGAGGAAAAGAAGTCATTAAACAAAAATGATACTTGCACATGCATGTTTATAGCAGCACAATTTGCAAGTGCAAAAATATGGAAGCAGCCCAAGTGCCCATCAATCAATGAGTGGATAAAGAAATTGTGAGATATATGTATATATACATACACACCATGGAATACTATTTATCCATAAAAAGTAACAAAATAATGGCATTCAGAGCAACCTGGATGGAACTGGAGACCATTATTCTAAGTAAAGTAACTCAGGAATGGAAAACCAAGCACTGTATGTTCTCACTCATAAGTGGGAGCTAAGCTATAAGGACACAAAGGCATAAGAATGATACAATGGACTTTGGGGATTTGAGGGAAAGGGTAGGAGGGGAGTGAGGGATAAAAGACTACAAATTGAGTACAGTGTATACTGCTTGGGTGATAGGTGCACAAAAATCTCACAAATCACCACTAAAGAACTTACTCATGTAACCAAATACCACTTCTTCCCCAAAAACCTAAGGAAATAATTTAAAAAATTAAAAAGGCCAGGCACGGTGGCTCACGCCTGTAATCCCAGCACTTTGGGAGGCCAAGGCAGGCGGATCATGAGGTCAGGAGATCGAGACCATCCTAACTAATACGGTGAAACCCTGTCTCTACTAAAAAAATACAAAAAATTAGCCGGGTGTGGTGGCGGGTACCTGCAGTCCCAGCTACTTGGGAGGCTGAGGCAGGAGAATGGCATGAACCCGGGAGGCAGAGCTTGCAGTGAGCTGAGATCGTGCCACTTCACTCTAGCCTGGGTGACAGAGCGAGACTCCGTCTCAAAAAAATAATAATAATAATAAATAAAAAATTTAAAAAAAAAACCTGTAGACATCACATTACCAGACTTCAAATCATAGCACAAGTCCATATTTAACAAAATAGTAAGGTATTGGTATAAAAGTAGGCACATAGACCAATGGAACGGAATAGAGAATCCAGAAATAAAGCCAAATACTTAGAAGCAACTGATCTTTGACAAAGCATACAAAAATATAAATTGGGGAAACAACACCCTATTCAATAACAGTGCTGGGAAAACTATCAAGCCACATGTAGAAGAATGAAACTGGATCCTTATCCCTCACCTTATACAAAAATCAACTCAAGGTGAATAAAAGACTGAAACCTAAGACCTAAAACCATAAACATTCTAGAAGTAAACCTAGGAAAAACTCTTCTGGACATTGGACCAGGTAAATAATTCATAACTAAGATCCCAAAAGCAAAAGCAACAAAAACAAAAATAAATAAATGAGAACTAATTAAACTAAAAAGCTTCTGCACAACAAAAGAAACAATCAGCAGAGAAAACAGAAAATCCACAGAATGGGAGAAAATATTTGCAAACTATTCATCCAACAAAGGACTAATATCCAGAACCTACGAGGAAGTCAAATCAGGAAGAAAAAAAACAAATAATTCCATTAAAAAGTGGGCAAATTACATGAATAGATGTTTCTCAAAATATATACAAATGTATGAGTACACAAAGGCATACAGAGTGATATAACAGACTTTGGAGACTCAGAACTGAGAGGATGGGAGGGGTGATGAATAAAACAACTGCATATTGGTTACAGTGCACACTATTCAGGCGATGGGCACACTAAAATCTCAGAATTTACCAGTGTATAGTTCTGCCATGTAACCAAAAACCGCTTGTACCCTAAAAGCTATTGAAATTAAAAATATATTAAAATAAATACATAAATAAAATTACACTATCTACCAACTGGATTATTTACCACTGAATCAGATGTTTGTTATGAGGCATTTGATTGAACTTACAAGGGAATCATGGGTATGCCAACACTCCAATTGATAGAATTATGATAGAATAGTTTCCAGCATGGCATCAACTGGATCCAAGCAGCTACACTATCTACGTGGCAGCAGAAAAGACTGATACCTGGAAGTATCAGTCTTTCTGTAAGCATTACCATGGTGACAGTTTGTTGATGATTCCTTATATTAAAAGATATGGGCAAAACCATTCACTAACTTCCTTGCTGTTGAATATAAGTTCACTTAAAACAGGTAGACCAGTTGTATGCATACACATAACGTAGGTCTGAGGGTGTAATCTGAATTCTTGTTTTAGGCAAATGCTTGTTTTTTTCTGTGTCTAGTAACTAAAGAAGATGTAACATTTTCTAAAAAGCGAGACATAATTTAATCATGGTGGGTGAATATAATGCAAACAAGAATCAATAAAAATATTATTTTACCCTTTGGTAGTTATAATTTATTTGTATTATCAGTATTCAAAACACTAACTTACTTTTTAAATGTAAAGAAGCCATAACTCGACTTATGCTTCCATCTTTTAGTTAAATACTCATTAAACATATATTTCAAAATGATGCTGCTCAATAGAATTGTATCATAGACTGTTCTAAAATTTTGGTGCAATAACATTTGTGGTCCAGGGAAGTGACATTTTAATGAGATCCCTTACCATTTTTCCAGTTATGAATCAAAAGTCATAGAAATAGAAAGGACCCTAAAAACATCTTGCCTTTGGACACTATACATATTACTATGCATATTTTATAAGATAAAGTAAATGGAGCACGGAAGAGTTGATAATTGTCCCATATATTAGTATTTGTAGGGAGAAAAAGGACTAAAATGTGTGTGTGTTGTATCTATTAATATTATTATTAAAGCTATTGGCATTTCTTTTTCCTATCTAAATTTAAGGGTAAACTACAGGCCAATATCTCTGATGAGCATTGATGCAAAAATCATCAAAACAATACTAGCAAACTGAATTCAAGAACACATTAAAAAGATTATACACCATGAACAACATGGTACTGGTACAAAAACAGGCACATAGACCAATGGGACAGAAGAGAAAGCCCAGAAATAAGGCTGCACACCTAGGACCATCTGATCTTCAACAAGGCTGACAAAAACAAGCAATGGGGAAAGGACTCCCTGTGATGCAAGCTCATTTGACATGTTCAAATCAATCATTGTGGTACATCACATTAACAGAATAAAAGATAAAAATCACATGATCACTGCAATAGACGCAGTAAAAAAAACTGACAAAGTTCTACATACTTTATGATAAAACCTGAATAAAATAGGTATAGAAGAAAATTTCCTCAGTACACAATAAAGGCTATTTATAAAAGGCCCATGGCTAACATCCACAATCAATGGGGAAAAACTGAAAGCTTTGCCTCAAATATTTGGCGTAAGTCAAGGATGCACACTCTTGCCAATTCCATTTAGGATAGTACTGGAAGCAAGGGCAATCAGACAAGAAAAAATAAATATAAGGCATCCATATCAGACAAAAAGAAGTAAAATTATCTTTATTTGCAGATGACAAGATCCTATATGTAGAAAAGCCTAAAGACTTCAAAAAAACTGTATAAATAAACTAAAAAAAATGAATTCAGGAAAATAGCAGGATACCAAATCAACATACAAAAATCAGCTACATTTCTTTACACCAATAACGATCCAGGCTAAAAATGTAAAAATATCATTTACAATAACATCAAAAAGTATAAAATACTCAAGAATCAATTTAACCAAGGAAGTAAAAGATCTGTACACTGAAACCATAGAACATTGATGAAACTGAAGACATAAATAAAAGGAAATGTAACCCATGTTTGTGGATTTGAAGACTTAATATTATTAAAATGTCCATAGTACTCAAACCAATATATAGATTTGACAGACTCTCTATCAAAATTCCCATAGCATTTTTCACAGAAAGAAAGAAAACAATTCTAATATTTGTATGGAACAACAAAACATCCTGAATAGCCAAAGTAATCTTGAGAAAGAAAAACAAAGATAGATACATCATATTCTCTGATTTTAAACTACATTACAAAGCTATAATAATCAAAATAATATGGCACTGCCATAAAAACAGACACAGACCAGTAGAACAGAATAGAGAGCTCAGAAATAAACCTAAGCATATGCAGTCAACTGATTTTCAACAAAGCCACCAAGAAGACACAATAGAGAAGGGATAGTCTCCTCAACAAATGATGTTAGAAAAACTGGATATTCACGTGCAAAAGACTGAAACTGGACACTTATTTTACACAAAAAATAACTCCAAATGGATTAAAGACCTAATCATAAGACCTGAAACATTAAAAAAACTAGAAGAAAAAACAGAGGAAAAGCTTCTTGATGTTGGCCTTAGCAACGATTTTTTGGATGTGACATCAAAAGTTAAGGCAACAAAAGCAAAAATAAACAAGTGGGACTCGATCAAATTAAAAAACTTCTGCACAGCAAAGGAAACAATCAATAAAATGAAAAGGCAGCCTACAGAATAGGATAAAATATTTGTGCAACATATATCCAATAAGAGGTAATATTGAAAATATATAAGGAACTCACACAACTAAATAGCAAAAAAAAAAAAAAGAAACTTGTTTTAAAAATGGGCAAAGAAACTGAATAGACATTTTCCCAAAGAAGCCATACAAATGGACCATAGCTATATGATAAGGTGCCCAATACCACTAATCATCAAGAAAATGCAAATCAAACCTGCAATGAGATATCACCTCACACCTGTTAGGATGGGTATTATCAAAAATACAAGAGATAACAAATGCTGGTGAGGGTGTGGAGAAAAGGGAACCCTTGAACACTGTTGGTGGGAATGTAAATTGGTACACTTAGTGTGGAAACAGTATGGAAGTTTCTTAAAAAGTTAAAGATAGAGCACTATATGATCCATCAATCCCACTTCTGGGAGTATAGCCAAAGGAAATAAGATCAGTATATTAAAGAGATATCTGCACTCTCATGTTCACTGTAGCATTATTCACAATCACCAAGATAAGGATCAACTTAAATGTCCCTCAGTGGATGAAGGGATAAAGAAATTGTGGTATACATATACAATGAAATATTATTCATCTTTAAAAAAGAGGGAAATAGCTGCCATTTGCAGGACATGGATGAACCTGAAGGACATTATGTTAAGTAAAATAAGCCAGACACAGAAAGAAAGATACTGCATAATCTCACTTATGTGTGGAATCTATAAAAAATAGATTACATAGAATGTGAGAGTAGAAATGAGGTGATCAAGACCAGGAAGGGAGAGGAAATGGGGTGATGTAGATGAAAGATTACAAATGTGCAGTTATGTAAGATTAGTAAGTCTAGAGATCTAATGCACAGCATGAGGGCTATAGTCAATAAGATTGTATTATATGAAGAAATTTTGCTAAGAGAATAGATTTTAGATGCTCTTACCACTGGGAAAAAGATGATAATTCTGCGAGATGATAGATATGTTAATCTGCTTGATGGTAGGAATCATTTCACCATGTGTATGTATATCAAAATATGTTATAGGCCAGGCACGGTGGCTCACACCTGTAATCCCAGCACTTTGAGAGGTCAAGGCGGGTGGATCACCTGAGGTCATGAGTTTGAGACCAGCCTTGCCAATATGGTGAAACCCTGTCTCTACTAAAAATACAAAAAAATTGTCCCTGCGTGGTGGTGGGCACCTGTAATCCTAGCTATTCAGGAGGCTGAGGCAGGAGAATCGCTTGAACCCAGAAGGCGGAGGTTGCAGTGAGCTAAGATCGCACCATTGCACTCCAGCCTGGGCAACAAGAGCAAAACTCCATCTCAAAACAAAAAAATCATGTTATAAACTTTACATAATGAAATTAAATTAAAGGAAAACCTATTGGATATGGGAAAAATACGTTCAAATAAAACATATAGAATTAGAAACGTGGCTATAATGAATAAAGGATTCTACTTATTCTATATTTTTTCCATTCTCATACCTAGCAGTCACTTTTTCAATTTCCCTTAGGATACCTGGATCTCATATGAGGGGAAAATATTAGGTCAATTCCAATTTCAGATAAAATAACCACAATAAAATAATTTTGCTATCAACATCTCTATGCTTATCCAACATATCATGATTCTTCCAAAGTCACGTTTCTATACTTCAATGAAATACTATGTAGAAATCCATCATCTTCACTATAATGTGGTTATGTAAAATACTGTGTTCTTAACATTTCTTCTTCTTCCTGTACAATAAAACCAGAAAACTAAGCAGAGCATTCGAAACAAAACTAAACAAATAGCACACAAATCAAGTATGTCAACTTAATAGATCAGTTGGGTGGACTACTTCAATTCTCTTTTGGTAGCTAATCTCCAAAAAGTGTTCCTTTGCTTAAGACCATTGACTGATTAGACAATGAGTCAGGATAATATGAACTGATTCATGAGAATATGATGCCAATACATCACAAATAGTTTTTCACTTCCCATCCCCAAAACTCAAACCACCCCAGTTTAAATCCAAACATACTAAAATTTTGGGTGACCATAAAGGGAATTCTAGCTCTGAGTTTTAGTTAGCAACAAGTACCTAAAACGGTCTCTTGTATTTGTAAATGTATAGAGCTATCACTACGTCCTCTGTCATTCACATAGATATAATTTAGCAATCCACTTTATTTCCCAAAATTCATTCTGTTTTATATAGTATCAAATTTCCTGAGTGCTAAATTCTTGCATTATCTAACAGTTCTTAATTTCTAACTGTCAACATCTTTTTGCATTAGCTATTTCAATAAAGTCACAGAAATCCCCTAAATCTTTCAGTCTTTTATGCCAAAATGGGTCATTTCAGAAACACCAAGCCCCTTCCCTAATTACATTATAAATCCAAGTCTGACTAAGCTTTGAACTCTAAAATAAATAAAACAATAGTTTTAGTAAGGATTAATACCCATGAGAGAATACCTTTCTACAATGGATGATGAATCTCCATTGTATAGAGGAATATTAATAATTTCTGATGCAGAGACCTACAGGGTACATTTGAAATGTAGAGAGATCTACATTAAACAGACTACTCATGCCAAACTCATATTCCTGGCTTTCAACCTTTTAGTTCAATATAATCCAACATATTTTTATTTACTTAATCTACATGACATAAATAACCACATGCTGGTACTAACCTTGTAATTACGTGAGAACTTGAGCCCCCTATGGAAGTTGTAAGTTTATTATTATACTACAACACAAATGAGATTAGAGTTCTTCCATGTTTTCATAATGCTTACTAGGTAATAGAGGATCTCAGATCAGGGGGTAGCGGAAGGTCTCAGATTCAAGATCCCAAGAAAGCTTGTTTCTTTTGTGCAATGTCTCTCTTGATTAGCATTACGAAATGAATACAGTGATATACAAAATGCAGTGAATTAACTAATTTGCTGTGCAGTACTTGAGTCAATATCTCAAGTTTTCTGTAGCAATGAACAAATACAAATATGAAAGAAAGAGATGGAGGAAGGGAAGAATAAACTAAAATTAAAATTGTTTTCAATAGTCAATTTAATTTCTATTATGTATCTATACACAATATTTAATACAGTACATGACTGAGGTATTAATTAATATGTTTAACAAATTTTAACATTTCTTATGAAATAATTTATTTTTTCTGGCTGAAGTATACAGTTGGAAAATTATGTCAAAATTTACAATATTCTCTTGACATTTCTAAAGAGAGGTGAAATAAATTGCTGAATAAAAAATTAAAAATCACTCCTGTTCATGACAAAATTTTCATTATTTGAAAAGGGTTTCAAAGTTGTCAGTTATTGTTCCTCTAACCATTATGGACAGAAGATTATCTCATATGAAAGCTAAACTTTATTTTAGTCCAAAATATTTCAGAATCACAGCACCTAAAGTTTCACAACTATTAATTGAGACTGCATCATTCCAATCTAATGTCTTTCATCACAGTCCCTAAAGTGATTTTATACATGCTCTTTAATTAATACATGGAATTTCTTAATTCATTATAATGTGAAAGAAATGTGAAGTGAAGCCTAAAGGCTATCGATATTTTTGGATATTTTACTTGTAAGTTGCGGCAAAATTGTGTTTTATCCTTATCTTCCAAAATTTTTCCAAAATTGTCATATAAAATTAAATTTTATTTAAATACTAAAAATTACCTTTCACATGACTTTAGGTTTTTAGTAATGTTAAGATTCTTGGAATCATTCACTTCTAGCTATAAATGTCCACATCCCTGAATGTTGAAGTGAAAGAATGTGAAAAAGCACACAATGTTAAGAAACCTTATAGTAATTAATTATATTGTTTTCTGATATGTTTTCAATAACAAACTTGAATATGAAAAAGACAGAGCTATATCCCTCCTGTAAAGAAGATTAATAAGGCTCAATTTGTTGAATATTCAACTCAGTTTGTTACACGTTATGTCTTGGTTCTATCGTGTTCATACACATTTAAAAACAGGGAGCCTGTTATATGAAGGAATTCTTCAGCTTCCAAGCCTCTCGGTTGTTTTAGCTTTCCATCTTGAATTATTTTCACCTCCATTCTACTTCAGTCACCACTTAACAGCCACACCCTAGACCTTGTTATCTCCTGAAATTCCCCAACTCCTGAAATATTGAACTAAAATAACACATTCTCTTCAGCGTAATATTTTTCTAATTTGCTCTGTAACATACTCCTCTGTTCTTAAACCACCCAGACATTGCTGGTTACTTTCTTCCTTAACCAGCTTAGATCCCATGGGCCATTACATTTAAGAAGTCTCTTGCCTAAATCCCAATATCCCTTTTTCCACAGTTTTAACATGTCACCTGATTGGCAACACATCAAACATAGATGAATATGGCTTTTTCTTCAGGACTATATTTCCATGCTGGATACAAATAAGCAATTATGAAAATCAGTGACACTATAAATTAAATGCATGGTCTCCAACCTCAAAGGACATCTCACCGTTGTCTGAGAATATTTCTTTTTTTTTTTCCCCTAGATAAGCCTTTCTTTCAGTCTCCACAGCAGCTATTTCAAACCTGCATTCTTAAATCTCTAACGTCACCATATGTTCCCCACTCTTCACAGAAGGACTTACCTCCTCCTTTCCAGTAGAAATTAGAAGCTACCAGACAGTAAAAAGGGGCAGGAAGGTAGAATAAATTTTCAGAAGTACAGTCATGATACATCCACCCATGCCTTGTCCAACCCCTCTTTAAAGTATCACAATAGATTGGAGGACCACATACACCATCAAGCTGCTAATCCTTTGTTATCCTCCACTGAAGTGAGAATTGTACCATCTAATGTTTGTGGCACTACCATGACCCATTTAGTTGCCACTCAGATAAATATCTACTTGAACAGGAGCAAAAAATAAATATATTTTCTAACAAACACACATGTTTATCATTAACATACCCTCGCTGTCTATGCAAGAGATGCATAGATTTCTATGAGACAGAAATTTAACTAATTTTTTTTAAACTTAGATGCAATGGAAAGAAAAATACTTGCAATAAAAGTGGGCAACAACAGACAAAAAATAACTATGAAATAAGAATAATAATAACTGAATTTGAGGATATAAAAACATGGTAAAACTAAAAGACTAGATAACACTAAATTTTAAGAAAATGTAGGGTTAAAATAGGTTAAGGTTCCCTCTGTTCAGACTGATTAAAGTTTAGTCTTTGCTTTTAAAATACAGCATTGTTGACTATATGTACAGTGTTGCAGAGCAGATCTCTAGAACTAATTATCTTGCTTAATGCAAACATTATGCCCATTAATTAATAACTTCTCATTCCCCCCTCCATTCAGCCCTGAAAACCATCATTCCATTTTTTGATTTTATGATTTTGACTATTTTAGATACCTGATATACATAGAATCATGCAGTATTTGTCTTCCTGTGATTGGCTTATTTCACTTAGCACATTATACACAAAAATCTGTTGAGTGAAAATCTCATGTTAAGTGTTCTTACTACAGTGAAATCTAGTTTGAAAACTATTCTGTTGGACTCTTTATAAAAAATAGTATACACAGAGATTTAGCTACAAAAGTGTTTATGGCAGCAACGTACACGAAAGCAATGATTTATAAACAACCTAAATGTGTAAAACGAGGGTATTGGTTAAGTCAATTAAGGCATATTCCCCCAATGGAGACTAAGCAGACATTTAAAAGAAGTTATAAAACTTTATTTCCTTTAAAAAAAATTGTTTTGTCTTTTATGCTAGGCATATTGACAATTCAAGCTTAATCACTAAAACAATAGAAATATAATGTTCAACTTCAAAGCCAATAGAGTATGGATTGACAGGAAAAAGAAAACTCAATGATTCAAACAAAAGGAGAGAAACTGGAGGAAAAGTCAAAGAAAAAACATGGCATATAGAAAGGAAAAATTTGATGATATAAATATATCCAAATATATCAGAAATTCAAGAAATGTAGATGTACTAAACTTACCATTCAAAAAACAGAGATTATTAGAATGCTTAAAATAAACATGTACCATTAATGGTGGGAATGTAAAATGGCACAATCATGTTGGAAAAATGCTTAATATTTTATTTTATTTTATATAGTATATAAAAAGTATTTTTGTAATAGAGCCATACTGTTCTCATCACCTCCTACTCACTCCATTGCTGAAGAAAAAATTCCCTATTCTAAATAGTATGAAATGGCTGAACACACAATATCCAACACTGGAGACAGGTGAGACTGAGACAGATGAGTTTATTATTCACATATACTCACAGCCTGGGGAAGGGGGACACTGCACACTATGCATATCCAAACAAGGGTTAAACTCAAGAACAGAATAAACTGGCAGGGACTATGAGAACCAGGCTTTGTACTAACAAAGGGATAAGATAGCTTCTGGACAAGTGGACAACTGCAGCTGCCAATAGGAAAGAACAGCAACTTCTGAGGGGTGAGGGGAATTCATGAGCACTGAATACCAATGAACATCAATTACCAACCAGGGTGCAGCAAAGACCCTGTCTCAAGAAAAAAACAAAAATTATAGAAATTTATACAAATCCTGAAGTTGAAAAACACAATATCTGAACTAAACTCACTGAAGGGATCAACAGATTTGAAAACGCAAAGAAAAAATCGGCATACTTGAAGATAAAGCAATTGAAACACCCAATCAGAGGAGTGGAAATCAAAAAGAACAAAGAAAAATGCATACACAGCCTCAGAGACCTGCAGGACACCATCAAACATAGCAACATATGAATTATAAAGGTTCTAAAGGGAAGAGAGAAAGAAATGGAAAATTTGAGGAAATAATGTTCACAAACTCATCAAATTTGAAAAGACGTGAGCCTTCATTCAAGAAGATGAAAAATCTT
This sequence comes from Homo sapiens, assembly GCF_000001405.40. Taxonomy (NCBI): domain Eukaryota; kingdom Metazoa; phylum Chordata; class Mammalia; order Primates; family Hominidae; genus Homo; species Homo sapiens. The sequence continues at coordinate 96,291,033 of NC_000023.11, forward strand.
CAAGCAAGATAAACCCAGAGATCCACACTGAGACATATTACAATCAAACCATGAAAAGACAGAAAGAAAGATAAAATCCTTAAAGCAGCAAGAGAGGAGTGATGCAAGAGACGTGTGACTCATCACATAAAAGAGAGCCTCAATAAGAATAACAGTCAATTTCTCCTCATAAACCATGAAAATCAGAAAACAGTGGGATGATATTTTTAAATACTGACAGAGAAAACTTTCAATCAAAAATCCTATGTCCAGCAAGATTATTCTTCAAAAATGAGCAAGCAATTAAGAATCTCTCAGATAAACAAAGCTAAGGGAATCCATTGCTGGTAGATTTCCCTGTAATAAATGTCAAGGGAGAACACTTGAGGGTGTGGCTGGCAAGATGGCCGAATAGGAACAGCTCTGGTCTGCAGCTCCCAGTGAGACCAATGCAGAAGACAGGTGATTTCTGCATTTCCAACTAAGGCACCCTGTTCATTTCATTGGGACTAGTTAGGCAGTGGGTGCAACCCAAGGAGGGTGAGCAGAAGCAGGGTGGGGCATTGCCTTACCCGAAGTGCAAGGAGCCGGAGAGCCTCCCTTTCCCAGCCAAGGGAAGCTGTGAGGCACTGTGCTATCCAGCCCAGATGCTATGCTTTTCCCATGCTTTTTGCAATCCACAGGCCAGGAGATTACCTCATGTGCCTATACAACCAGGGCCCTGGGTTTCAAGCACAAAACTGGGTGGCTGTTAGGGAGAGAGCAAGCTTGCTGCAGTTTTCTTTTTTTTTTCTTTTTTTTTTTTTTTGTACCCCAGTGTCACCTAGAACCCAGCAAGACATCACAGTTAAAAGAACTAGAGAAGCAAGAGCAAACACATTCAAAATGTAGCAGAAGACAAGAAATAACTAAGATCAGAACAGAATGGAAAGAGATAGAGACATGAAAAACCCTTCAAAAAAATCAATGAATCCGGGAACTGGTATTTTGAAAAGATCAACAAAATACATAGACCACTAACCAGAAGAAAAGAGAGAAGAATCAAATAGACACAATAAAAAATGATAAAGGGGATATCACCACTGATCCCACAGAAATACAAACCACCATCAGAAAATACTATAAACACCTATATGCAAATAACCTAAAAAATCTAGAAGAAATGGATAAATTCCTGGACACATACACCCTCCCAAGACTAAACCAGGAAGAAGTCAAATCCTTGAATTGACTAATAACAAGTTCTGAAATTGAGGCAGTAATTAATAGCCTACAAACAAAACAAAGCTCCAGACCAGACAGATTCACAGCCTAATTCTACAGGGGTACAAAGAGGAGCTGGTACCATTCCTTCTGAAACTATCTCAAACAATAGAAAAAGAGGGACTCCTCCCTAACTCATTTTATGAGGCCAGCATCATCCTGATTCCAAAACTTGGCAGAGACACACACACAAGAAAGTGAAATTTCAGGCCAATATCACTGATGAACATCGATGCAAAAACCGTCAATAAAATACTGGCAAACCGAATACAGCAGCACATCAAAAAGCTTATCCACCACGATCAAGTCGGCTTTATTCCCTGGGATGCAAGGCTGGATAAACTAAGCAAATCAATAAACATAATCCATCACGTAAACACAACCAATGACAAAAACCACATGATTATCTCAATAGATTCAGAAATGGTCTTCAATAAAATTCAACACCCTTTCATGCTAAAAACACTCAATAAACTAGGTACTGATGGAAGGTATCTCAAAAAAATAAGAGCTATTTATGACAAACCCATAGCCAATATCATACTAAATGGGCAAAAGCTGGAAGCATTCCCTTTGACAATGGGCATAAGACAAGGATCCCCTCTCTCACCACTCCTATTCAACATAGTTTTGGAAGTTCTGGCCAGAGTAATCAGGCAAGAGGAAGAAACAAAGAGTATTCAAATAGAAACAGAAAGTCAAATTGTCTCTGTTTGCAGATGACATGATTGTATATTTAGAAAGCCCTATCATCTCAGCCCAAAAACTCCTTAAGCTGATAAACAACTTCAGCAAAATCTCAGAATACTAAATCAATGTGCAAAAATTACAAGCATTTCAATACCCCAATAATAGACAAGCAGAGAGCCAAATCATAAGTGAACTCCCATTCACAATTGCTACAAAAACAATAAAATACCTAGGAATACAACTCATAAGGGACATGCAGGACATCTTCAAGGAGAACTACAAACCGTTACTCAAGGAAACAAGAGAGGACACAAACAAATGTAAAAATATTCCATGCTCATGGATAGGAGGAATCAATATTGTAAAAATAGCCATACTGCCCAAAGTATCTTACAGAGTCAATGCTATTTCCATCAGGCTACCATTGACTTTCTTCACAGAACTAGAAAAAACTACTTTAAATTTCATACGGAACCAAAAAACAGCCCGTATAGCCAAGACAATCCTAAGAAAAAAGAACAAAGCTGGAGGCATCACACTACCTGGCTTAAAACTACACTAGAAGGCTGCAGTAACCTAAATAGCATGTTACTGGTACCAAAACAGATATATAGACCAATGGAACAGAACAGAGGCCTCAGAAATAACACCACATATCTACAACCATCTGATCTTTGACAAACCTGACAAAAACAAGCAATGAGGAAAGTATTCTCTATTTAATAAATGGTGTTGGGAAAACTGGCCAGCCATATGCAGACAGCTGAAACTAGGCCCCTTCCTTACACATTATACAAAAATTAACTTAAGATGGATTAAAGATTTAAACATAAGACCTAAAACGACAAAAATCCTAGGAGAAAACCTAAGCAATACCATTCAGGACATAGGCATGGGCAAAGACTTCATGACTAAAACACCAAAAGCAATGGCAACAAAAGCCAAAATTGACAAATAGGATCAAATTAAACTAAAGAGCTTCTGCACAGCAAAAGAAAATATCATCAGTGTGAACAGGCCACCTACAGAATGGGAGAAAATTTTTGCGATCTATCCATCTGACAAAAGGCTAATATCCAGAATGTACAAGGATCTTAAACAAATTTACAAGAAAAAAAACAAACAACCCCATCAAAAAGTGGGTGAAGGATATGAACAGACACTTTTCAAAAGAAGACATTTATGTGGCCAAGAAACATAAGAAGAAAAGCTCATCATCACTGGTCATTAGAGAAATGCAAATCAAAACCACAATGAGACACCATCTCACGCCAGTTAGAATGGTGATCATTAAAAAGTCAGGAAACAACAGATGCTGGAGAGGATGTGGAGAAATAGGAACACTTTTGCACTGTTGGTAGGAGTGTAAATTAGTTCAACCATTGTGGAAGAGAGTGTGGCAATATTCCTCAAGGATCTAGAACTAGAAATACCCTTTGACCCAGGAACCCCATTACTGAGTATATACCCAAAGGATTAGAAATCATTCTACTATAAAGACACATGCACATGTATGTTTATTGCAGCACTATTCACAATAGCAAAGACTTGGAACCAACCCAAATTCCCATCAATATTACAATGGATAAAGAAAATGTGGCACATATACACCATGGAATACTATGCAGCCATAAAAGTGGATGAGTTCATGTCCTTTGCAGGGACATGGATGAAGCTGGAAAGCATCATTCTCAGCAAACTAACACAAGAACAGAAAACCAAACACTGCATGTTCTCACTCATAAGTGAGAGTTGAACATTGAGAACATATGGGGACAAGGAAGGGAACATCACACACCAGGGCCTGTCAGGGGGCGGGGAACAAGGGGAGGGATAGCATTAGGAGAAATACCTAATGTAAATGATCAGTTGATGGGTGCAGCAAACAACCATGGCACACGTATACCTATGTAACAAACCTGTATGTTCTGTACATGTATCCTAGAACTTAAAGTATAATAAAAAAAAAAGGAATTCACCAACCAAGTATCTGCTGTCTTCAGTACACTCACTTAACCCACACACACACACAGAAAAAAACTCCTCGAAAAAGATATTCCATGCAAATGGACACCAAAAGGGAGCAAGAATCACTTTTTATTTTTATTTATTTTATTTTATTTTATTTTTGAGATAGAGTCTCACTCTGTCACCCAGGCTTGAGTGCAGCGGCACCATCTCAGCTTACTGCAACCACTGCCTCCTGGGTTCAAGCACTTCTCCTGTCTCAACCTCCCAAGTAGCTGGTACTACAGGCACCTGCCACCATGCCAGGCTAATTTTTGTATTTTTACTTGAGACAGGGTTTCACCATATTGCTCAGGCTGGTCTTGAACTCCTGACCTCAGGTGATCCACCCACCTCAGCCTCCCAAAGTGTCGGGATTACAGGTGTGAGCCACCATGCTCAGCCAGGAATACCTATTTTTATATCAGACAAAGCAAACTTTAAAGCAACAGCAGTTAAAAAAGACAAAGAGGGACATTATATGATGATAAAAAACACTAGTCCAACAGGAAAATATCACAATACTAAATATATATGCACCTAACACTAGAGCTCCCAAATTTAAAAACAATTACTACTAGACTTAAGAAATGACGTAGATGGAAACACAATAATAGTGGGGGACTTTAATACTCCACTGACAGCACTAGACAGGTCATCAAGACAGAAAGTCAACAAAGAACCAGTGGTCTTAATCTACACCCTACATAAAATGGACTGAAGAGATATTTATAGAACTTTCTACCCAACAACTACAGAATATGCATTCTATTCATCACCACATGGAACATTCTCCAAGATAGACCATATGATAGACCACAAAGCAAGTCTCAGTAAATTTAAGAGAATCAAATTATGTCAAGTACTCTCTCAGACCACAGTGGAATAAAATTAGAAATCAACTCCAGAAGGAACTATCAAAACCATGCAAATACATGATAATTAAATAACGTGCTCCTGAATGATCATTGGGTCAACATTGAAATCAAGATAAAAATTTAAAAATCCTTTGAACTGAACCATAATAGTGACACAACCTATCAAAACTTGTGGGATATGGCAAAAGTGGTGCTAAGAAAAAAAGTTCAAAGCATTAAATGCCTACATCAAAAAGTCTGAAAGAGCACAAAGTGACAATCTGAGGTCACAACTCAAGGAAATGAAGGAAAAAGAACAAACCAAACCCAAACCCAGCAGAAGAAAGAAAATAACAAAGATCAGAGCAGAACTAAATAAAATTGAAAGAAAATAAAAATACAAAAGATAAATGAAACGAAAAGCTGGTTCAAGTCCAAGGTGACTAGGGACAGAAGTAGTCCCCCACTGGGCAGAATCTCCAGGCCTAGGTCCACAACCACCTTTGCTGGTGTGTTCAGGCTGTCAACAGGTCTGTACTTCCCTGGGATGGAGCTCCCAGAGGCAGGGTCAGGCTGCCATCTTTGCTGTTTCGCAGCCATCACTGTTGATACCTTGAGGTGCTGGAAAAGTCAAGTTGATCAGGGGTTGGAGCAAACCCCCAGCATACTGCAGCAGCCCTATGGAAAAGTGGCCAGACTGCTTGTTACACAGGACCCTGATCCCATATCTCCTCACTGAGTAGGTCTTCCCAGCTTGGGTCTACAGCCACCCTTGGCTGGGGCTATCAAGCCAGTAGCAGCTCTGTGACTCCTTGAGAGAGAGCTCCTAGTGGGAGGGGTGCGTTGCCAACTTTGCTGTCTCAAAGCCCTCATGCTTGCTGTCTCTAGGCTCTGGAGAGACCATGGAGACCAGAGACCAGGAGCTGGTCACGACCCCTAGTACAGAGCACCCACCTCATGGAAAAGTGACCAGAGTGTTCTCCTGGTCCTCACTTCTTCCTAGGCAGAGTCACCCAACCTAGGACTCCAGCACAATCACTCTGTCCCCACCTGACCACTTCAGTCAGAGGCAGCCCAGCAGTTAAAGGTATACCCACATGCAGAGATGAGAAAGAACCAATGGAAGGACACCAGAAACTCAAATGGCCAGAGTGTATTATGTCCTTCAAACATCTGCACTAGTTCTCCAAAAAGTATAATTATCCAGGTTAAGTTAGCTGAAATGACAGAAATAGAATTCAGAATATGGGTATGAATGAAGATCATCAAGATTCAGGAGAATGACAAAACCCAATTCAAGGAAACTAAGAATCACAATAAAGCAATGTAGAAGCTAACAGACAAAATAGCTTGTAAGAAAAAGAAACTGATCTGATGAAGCTGAGAAATACACTATAAGAATTTCAAAATGCAATCACAAGTATTAACAAAAGAATAGACCAAGTTGAAGAAAGAATCTCAAAATTTGAAGATTGGCTCTATGAAATAAGACAGTCAGACAAAAATAAAGAAGAAAGAATGAAATGGAATGAACATAACTTCTGCAAAATATAGGATATTGGCATCCTTGAAAGGGATGAGGAGAAAGCAAACAACCTGAAAAACATATTTTAGGACATCGTCTATTAAATGTTCCCCAAACTTGCTAGAGAAGCCAACATTCAAATTCAGGAAATGCAGAAAACCCCAGTAAGATACTTCAGAAGAAGATCATCCCTAAGACACATAATCATCAGATTCTCCAAGGTTAAAATAAAAAAAAAAAGTTAAAGGCAGCTAGAGAGAAAGGTCAGGTCACATACAAAGGGAAGCTTATGAGATGCACAGCAGACCTCTCAGCTGAAACCCTACAATCTAGAAGAGATTGGGGGCTAATATTCAACATTCTTAAAGAAAAAAAAATATATCCAAGAATTTCATATCTAGCCAAAGTAAGCTTCATAAGCAAAAGAGAAATAAGATCCTTTTCAGAGAAGCAAATGCTGAGGAAATTTGTTTCCATCGGACGTGTTTTACAAGAGTTTTTGAAGGAAGCACTAAATATGGAAAGGAAAGATCATTACCAGCCAATACAAAAACACTCTTAAGTACACAAACCAGTGAAACTATAAAGCAACCACATAAACAAGGCTGCAAAATAACTAGCTAGCATCATGACGACAGGATCGAATTCACACATATCAATACTAACCTTAAATGTAAGTGGGCCAAATGCCCCAATTAAAACACACAGAGTGGCAAGGTGGATAAAGAACCAAGACCCATTGGTATGCTGTCTTCAAAACATCCAGCTCACATGCAATAACACACATAGGCTCAAAATAAAGGGATGGAGAAAAATCAACCAAGCAAATGGAAAACAGACAAAAGCAGGGGTTGCAATCCTAATTTCAGACAAAACATACTTTAAACCAACAAAGACCAAAAAAGACAAAGAAGGGCATTACACAATGGTAACGGGTTCAATTCAACAAGAAGGCCTAACTATTCTAAACATATATGCAACCAACATAAGAGCACTCAGATTCATAATGCAAGTTCTTAGAGACCTACAAAGAGATTTAGATTCCTTTACAATAATAGTAGAAGATTTCAACACTACCCTGACAGTATTAGACAGATCATTGAGGCAGAAAATTAACAAAGATATTCAGGACCTGAACTCAACATTAGAAAAAAATGGATCCAACATACCTCTCCACCCCAAAACAACAGAGTATGCATTATTCTCATTGCCTTCTTTACTGCAGACCACGGTGCAATAAAAATACAAACCAAGACTAAAAAATGTTTTCAAAACCATTCAATCACATGGAAATTAAACAAGCTGCTCCTGAATGACTATTGAATAAATAATGAAATTAAGGCAGAAATCAAGAAGTTCTTTGAAACTAATGAGAATAAATAGACAATATACCACAATCTCTGGGACACTGCTAATGCAGTGTTCAGAGGAAAATTTATAGCACTAAATGCCCACATCAGAATGTTAGAAAGATCTCAAATTAACAACTTAAAATCACAACTAAAAGAACTAGAGAACCAAGAGTAAACCAATGCCAAGCTAGCAGAACACAAGAAATAACCAAAGTCAGAGCTGAACTGAAGGATACTGAGACACACACACACACACACACACACACACACACACAAAACACTCAAAAGATCAACAAATCCAAATGTTGGATTTTAGAAAAAAACTAATCAGATAGGCCACTAGCTAGACAAAGAAGAAAAGAAAGAAGATTCAAAAAAACCTAGTTAGAAATGACAAAAGGGATGTTACCACTGACCCCACAGATTAATCATCAGGCTTAATAAATTCCTAAACACATACATCCTCCCAAGACTGAACCAGGAAAAAATTGATTCCCTGAACAGAACAACATTGAGCTCTGAAAATGAATCAGTAATAAATAGCTTACCAACCAAAAAAGTCCAGTACTAGATAGATTCACAGCCTAATTGTACCAAATGTACAAAGAAGAGATGCTACCATTCCTACTAAAACTATTCCCAAAAAATAGGAAGGACTTCTTCCCAACTCATTCTATGAGGCCAGCATCTTCCTGATACCAAAACCTGACAGAGATGCAACAAAAAAAGAAGACTTCATGCCTATATCCTGCATGAATATTGATGCAAAAACTCTCAACAAAATACTTGCAAACCAAATCCAGCAGCAAATCAAAAAGCTAATCCACCACGATTAAGCAGATTTTATCCCTGGGATGCAAGGTTGGTCCAATGTATGCAAATCAACAAATGTGATTCATCACATAAACAGAACTAAAGACAAAAAAACACGATTATCTCAATAAATGCAGAAGAGGCTTTAGATAAAATACAACAGCTTTCAATAAACTAGGTATTGAAGGAACATACGTCAAAATAGTTAAGACCCATCTATCACAAACCCACAGCCAACATAATACTGAATTGGCAAAAGCTGGAAACATTCCCCTTGAAAACCAACACAAGGATGCTCTCTCTCCCCACTTCTATTCAACATAGTATTGGAAGCCCTGGCCAGAGCAATCAGGAAAGAGAAAGAAATAAAGCGTATCCATATAGGAAGATAGGAAGTCAAATTATCTCTGTCTGCAGATGACATGATTCTACATCTAGAAAACCCCATAGTCTCAGCCCAAAAATCTCCTCCAGCTGATAAGCTTCAGGATACAAAATCAATATACAAAAATCACTAGCATTGCTATACATGACCAACAGTCAAGCTAAGAGCCAAATCAGGAATGCAACCCCATTCACAATTGCCACAGAAAGAATAAAATACCTAGAAATACAGCTAACCAGGGAGATGAAAGATATTTACAATGAGAATTACAAAACATTGCTCAAATAAATCAGAGAAGATGCAAACAAATGGAAAAACATCCCATGCTCAAGGATAGGAAGAATCAAATATCATTAAAATGGCTATACTGCCCAAAGCAATGTACAGATTCAATGCTATTCCTATAAAACTACCAATGACATTCTTCACAGAACTAGAAAAAAAACTATATTAAAATTCATATGGAACTGAAAAAGAGCCTAAATAGCCAAGGCAATCCTAAGCAAAAAGAACAAAGCTGGAGGAATCACATTACCTCACTTCAAACTATACTACAAGGCTACAGTGACCACAACAGTATGGTACTGGTACAAAAACAGGCACATAGACCAATGGAACAGAAGAGAGAGCCCACAAATAAGGCTGCACATCAAGGACAATCTGATCTTCGACAAAGCTAACAAAACCAAGCAATGCGGAAAGGATTCCCTCTTCAATAAATGGTGCTGGGATAACTGGATAATGATATGCAGACAATTGAAGCTGGACCCCCTTCCTTACACCATATACAAAAATCAACTCAAGACTGAATAAAGACATATATGTAAAACCCAAAACTATAAAAACCCTGGAAGACAATGTAGGCAATACCTTCCTGGACATAGGAATGGGCAAATATTTCATCAAAAAGACGCCAAAAGCAATCATGACTAAAGCAAAAATTAACAGATGGGATCTAATTAAACTTAACAGCTTCTGCCCAACAAAATAAACTGTCAACAGAATGAACAGACAACCTACAGAATGGGAGAAAAATTTTGCAAACTATGCATCTGACAAAGATCTAATATCCAGTATCCATAAGGAACTTAAACAAGTTTACAAGAAAAATAAAACAACCTCATTAAAAAGTGGGCAAAGGACATGAACAGACACTTCTCAAAAGAAGACATACATGCAGCCAACAATCATATGGAAAAAAGCTCAATATCACTGATCATTAGAGAAAGGCAAATCAATACCACAATGATATATCATCTCACATCTGTCAGAATGGCTTTTATTAAAAAGTCAAAAAATAACAGAATCTGGCCAGGCTGCAAAGAAAAGGGAATGCTTATACACTGTTGTTGAAAGTGTAAATTAGTTCAGCCATTGTGGAAAGCAGTGTGGTGATTTCTCAAAGAACCAGAAACAGCACTGCCATTTAACCCAGTTTATCCCATTACTGGGTATATACTCAAAGGAATATGAATTGTTCTACCATAAAGACACATGCATGCATATCTTCACTGCCATACTATTCACAGTAGCAAAGACATGGAATCAACCTAAATGGCCATCAATGGCAGACTAGATAAAGTAAATGTGGTATATATACACCATAGAATGCTATGCATCCCTAAAAATATAAAATCATATCCTTGAAGAAACATAAATGGAGCTGGAGACCATTATCCTAGCAAACTAATGCAAGAAAAGAAAACCGATACCACATGTTCTCACTTAGAAGTGGGAGCTAATATTATGTGCACATGGACATAAAGATGAGAATGACAGACACTGGAAACGACTCAGGGGGAAGGGCTGAAAAACTACTTATTGGGTACTATTCTCACTACCTGAGTGATGCAAACAATCATACCCCAAACTTCATCATCATGCAATATAACCACTTAATAAACCTGTACATGTACCCCCTGAATCTAAAATATAAGTTGAAATTTTTTTGAAATGATAATATTATGAAAAATATATAAATAGTTTGAAAATGTAGATAAAATGACTAAATTTCTGTAAAAATTTCACTTTTCAAACTGAGTTAAGGAGAAATATAAAATCTTAAAATTATTATAATTATTTATGAGATCAGTAGTTAGAATTTTCTACAGAGAGAAAGCAAGCACAAATGGTTTTTCAACTGAGCTTTTGGCAGGCAGAATTTTTGGCCCCCATGATCTTTTTCCATGGTGTTATGCTTTTTAACATGTTATGTTGCATGTCAAAGGGACTTTGCAGATGGAATTAAGGTTACTAATTATCTTATTCAAAGAAAAGGAAACCTCATTCCTATAGCTGTATGGAACTGAATTTTGACTACAACCTGATGAGCTTCAAAATGGATTCTACCCTTGATGCTAAAGAAAGAAATATGGCCCTACTGACACCTTAATTTTGGTCTTATGAGATTCAAAGAGATGAAACCAGCCCTGCCCCCTTACTTATCCACAGTACTGTGGGATAATAAATTGGTGCTTTTTTAAGTTGCTAAAATTTTTTGTAATTATTTGCCACAGCAAAAGAAAGTGAATATAGAACTTTCTCTTAACACATAAGGAATAAATAAATCCAGTCTTACAGAATATATTTCAAGAAGGAAAAAATGAAGAATCACTCCCTAATTTATTTTATGAGGCTGGTATGACTTTGATACAAAAGCTGGGCAAAAAAAAAAAAATACCACACATCTACAACAATCTGATCTTTGACAAAACTGATAAAAACAAGAAATGGGGAAAGGATTCCCTATTTAATAAATAGTGCTAGGAAAACTGACTAGCCATATGTAGAAAGCTGAAACTGGATCCCTTCCTTACACCTTATACAAAAATTAATTCAAGATGGATTAAAGACTTAAATGTTAGATCTAAAACCATAAAAACCCTAGAAGAAAACCTAGGCAATACCATTCAGGACATAGGCATGGGCAAGGACTTCATGTCTAAAACACCAAAAGCAATGGCAACAAAAGCCAAAATTGACAAATGGGATCAAATTAAACTAAAGAGCTTCTGCACAGCAAAAGAAACTACCATCAGAGTGAACAGGCAACCTACAGAATGGGAGAAAATTTTTGCAATCTACTCATCTGACAAAGGGCTAATATCCAGAACCTACAAAGAACTCAAACAAATTTACAAGAAAAAAAACAAACAACCCCATCACAAAGTGGGCGAAGGATATGAACAGACACTTCTCAAAAGAAAACATTTATGCAGCCAACAGACACATGAAAAAATGCTCATCATCACTGGACATCAGAGAAATGCAAATCAAAACCACAATGAGATACCATCTCACACCAGTTAGAATGGCAATCATTAAAAAGTCAGGAAACAACAGGTGCTGGAGAGGATGTGGAGAAATAGGAACACTTTTACACTGTTGGTGGGACTGTAAACTAGTTCAACCATTGTGGAAGACAGTGTGGCGATTCCTCAAGGATCTAAAACTACAAATAACATTTGACCCAGCCATCCCATTTCTGGGTACATACCCAAAGGATTATAAAACATGCTGCTATAAAGACATGCACACGTATGTTTATTGCAACACTATTCACAATAGCAAAGACTTGGAACCAACCCAAATGTCCATCAATGATAGACTGGATTAAGAAAATGTGGCACATACACACCATGGAATACTATGCAGCCATAAACAAGGATGAGTTCATGTCCTTTGTAGGGACATGTATGAAGCTGGAAACCATCATTCTCAGCAAACTATCACAAGGACAAAAAACCAAACACCGCATGTTCTCACTCATAGGTGGGAACTGAACAATGAGAACACTTGGACACAGGGAGGGGAACATCACACACTGGGGCCTGTCATGGGGTTGGGGGAGGGGGGAGGGATAGCATTAGGAGATATACCTAATGTAAATGACGAGTTAATGGGTGCAGCACACCAACATGGTGCATGTATACATATGTAACAAACCTGCACATTGTGCACATGTACCCTAAAACTTAAAGTATAATAAAATACAAAATAAAAAAAGAATAGAAGTCAAAAAATATTTTTTAAATAAAAAAATAAAAAAAACTATGAGGACACAAAGTATAAAGTCACTGGCCAAACTCAAAATCAGGAAAGAAATGCAAAGAATATAAGTAAAATATTAGCAAACTGAATCCAGCAATGGATAAAAAGGTTAATACAGAATGACAAAGATATGTTTATATCAAGAATGGAAAGTTAGTTTAACAAACCTATAATGTAATTCACCATATTAATAGAAAAAAGGAGGGAAGGAAAGAATGATTATCTCAAAAAAGCCAGGAAAAATGGATCTAATCAAATTAAAAATCGTGCAGGATTAGTCCTTCTTTATATGTTTGGTAGAATTCAGCAGGGAAGCCACCAGGTTCTGGGCTTTTCTTTGAGATGAGACTTTTTATTATGGCTTTGATATCATTATTTATTATTGGTTTGTTGAGGTTTTCTGTTTCATCATGGTTCAATCTTGGTAGGTAGTATGCATCCAGGAATTTACGTATGTCTTCTAGGTTTTCCAATTTGCCAGTGTATAGTTGTTCATAATAGTCTCTAATGATTCTTTGGATTTCTTAAGTGTCAGTTGTTATGTTTCCTTTTTCATTTCTGATTTTATTTATTTGGGTCTTCTCTCTTTTTTTCTTAGTCTACCTAAAGGTTGCCAATTTTGTTATCTTTTCAAAAAATCAACTTTTCATTTTATTGATCTTCTGTGTTCTTTAGTCTCAATTTTGTTTATTTCTGCTCTAATCTTTATTATTCCTTTCCTTCTTGTTTAGAGTTTGGTTTGTTCTTGCTTTTCTCGTTCCTTGAGGTGCACTGTTAGATTGCTTATTTGAAGCATTTCAACTTTTTTGATATAGGCATTTATTGTTATAAACTTCCCTCTTAGTACTGCTTTTACTGTATCCCATAGGTTTTGGTATGTTGCACTTCCACTTTAATTTGTTTAAAGACATTTTAATTTTCCTTCTTCATTTCTTCATTGACCCATTGGTCATTCAGGAGCATGTTGTTTAATTTCTATGAATTTTCTAAGATTCCTCTTGTTATTGATTTCTAGTTTTATTCCATTGTTGTCAGAAAAATATACTTGATATGATTTTTCCTTTTTGAATTTTTTGAGACTTGTTTTGTGAACTAATATATGGTCTATTCTGGAGAATGTTCCACTAACCGATAAAAAAGAATGTGTATTCTGCAGCAGTTGGGTGAAATGTTCTGCAGATGGCAGTTAGGCCGATTTGGTCTAGTATATAGTTTAACTCCAATGTTTCTTTGTTGATTTTCTGTCTAGATGATCTGTCCATCACTGAAAGTGTGGTGCTGAAGTCCCCTATGATTATTATATTGCAGTCTATATCTGCCTTCAGACCTATTAATGTTTGCTTTATATACTTGGAATCTCTGGTGTTATGCACATAGATATTTATAATTATTATATCTTCTTGCTGTATTGACTCCTTTATTATATAGTGACACTCTTTTTCTCTTTGTACAGTCTTTGACTTGTAGTCTATTTTGTCTGAAGTTAGTATAGCTACCCTTGCTCTTTTTTGATTTCCACTTGCGTGGAATATCTTTTTCTACCCTTTCACTTTCAGTCTATGTGTGTCTTTAGAGGTGAAGTAAGTTTCTTGTAGGCATGATATAGTTAAGTCTTTTTTCTTTATCCATTAAGTCATTCTATGTCTTTTAATCAGAGAACTGAGTCCATTTACATTCAGTATTATTATTGATAAGGGAAGACTTACTGCTGCCATTTTGTTTCTTGTTTTCTGATTGCTTTGTAACTCCTCGCTTCCTTTCTCCCTTTCTTACTGTCATCTTTTGTAGTTAATTGTTCTCTGATAGTATGTTTAATTTGTTGGTTTTTATTAGTTTATTATAGGTTTTTGTATTGTGGTTATCATGAGTCTCACAAGCACATCAAATTTAAAAGAGTAGAAATTATACAAAGTATGCATTCAGGCCATAAAAGAATTAAATTAGGAATCAATAACAGAAAGATAAATGGGAAATCCTAAAATACTTAGAGATTAAACAACACACTCCTAAGTGACACACAAGTGAAAGAAGATGCCTCAACAGGAGAATCACTTGAACCTGGGAGGCAGGTTGCAGTGAACCGAGATTACACCACTGCACTCCAGCCTGGGCAATAGAGTGAGACTCCATCTCAAAAACAAAAACAAAAACAAAAGAAAGAAGATGCCTCAAGAGAAATTTAAAAATACTTTGAACTAAATGAATAAGAAAATGTAACCTATTTAAATTTGCAAGTTGCAGCAAAAGCAGTACTTTGAGAGTAGTATGTAACATTGATTGTGTTGGGGATCAGAAACCAATACTCCAAAATATGGTGCTTTGACAGGCTGAACTGAAAAAGAAGACTCAAGGTCTCTCTGACCTCTCCCTGCCCCACCCCTATTTCAATCCTCTGTGTCTCCCAAAGCACAAAGTGAAGTTGTTCTCTGAAGTTATCTTATCTACCTAGAAGTCATACTTTCCAAATAAGATCACAACTGCCTTTCCTGAGGTTTTATTAGCTTAACTCATCACAGGAAGAAAGACTGAGTCTGTCGACACAAATGGACAGACTTGTCACTAGTTATTGAGGGCCAAGTAGACTTTCTCCCAGGCTAATGTAAAGGAAAGCATTAATAAAAATTAGAACATAACTCGATGAAATTGAAAACAGAAAATCAAGAAAGAAAATCAATGAAACCAAAAGCTGGTTCTTTGAAAAGATCCATAAAATGGATAAACCTCTAATCAGGCTATCTAAGAAAGAAAGAAGGAAGATACAAATTACTAATATCATAAATGAAAGAGGAGCTATCACTACTGAGCCTATGAACATCAAAAGGATAATAAAGAAATGTTATGAACAGCTCTATGCCCATGATTTTGATGAAATGAAACTTATATGAAACGGACCAATTTCTTGAAAGACTCAAACTACCAAAACTCATACAAGGAGAAACAGATAATCTGAGTATGCCAATATCAATTGATGAAATTGAATCAATAATTAATATCCTCTTAAAACAGAACTCACTAAGCTGAAATAGTGTTTGGTAGGTTGAATCCTACCAAAAATTTAAGGAAGAAATGATACCAATTCTTTAAAATCTCTTCCAGAAAATAGAAGTGAGCAAATACATTCTAACTCATTCTATGACGCCAGTATTATACTAATACTAAAGCCAAAGAAATTACAAGACGAGAAAAACTATAGGCCAATATCTCCCACTAATAGAAATGCAAAATCCCTCAACAAAATATTAGCAAATGGAATTCAATGATATATAAAAGAAACTATACAGTGCAACCAATTGGGATTCATTCCAAATATGCAAGGTTTGTTCAACATTTGAAGGTAAATTATTGCAATAGATCACATTAACATGCTAAGGAATAAAAGTCCTACAATGATATCAACAGATGCAGAAAGACATATGGCAAAATCCAATACCCATTCATGACAAAAACTCTCAGGGATCATCTTCAATGTGATAAAGAACATCTACAAAAATCCTACAGTTAATATCATATTTAATGGTGAGAAACTAGAAGCATTTCCTCTAAGATCAAGAACAAGGCAAGGATGCCCCCACTCTAATTTACCAATCCTAATCAGCATCATAGTGGAAGTCCTAATTAATTCAATAAGACAAATAAAATAAATAAAAGGTATGTAGATTTGGAAGAAAGGAAAAAAGGTCTTTGTTCCCAGATGATATGATTGTTTATGTAGAAAAATCTCAAAAGAACCAACAACAACAAAAATCTCCCAGAACTAATAAACGATTATAGCAAGGTTGCAGGATACAAGATTAATATGCAAAAAATCAATTGCTTTCCTACATACTAGCAATGAACAATTGGAATTAGGAATTAAGAACACAACATCATTTGTACTAGTGCCAAACAAATGAAATACTTAGGTATAAGTCTAACAACATATGTACAACATTCATTTTGAGGGAAACTGCAAAACTTATGAAAGAATTTCTTAAAACCACACACACACCTAAAGAAATAAAGAAATAGTCTATGTATTCATGCCTGTAATCCCAGCGCTTTGGGAGGCCGAGGTGGGCGGATCACGAGGTCAGGAGATGGAGACTATCCTGGCTAGCATGGTGAAACCCCGTCTCTACTAAATATACAAAAAATTAGCCGGGCACGGTGGTGGGCGCCTGTAGTCCCAGCTACTCGGGAGGCTGAGGCAGGAGAATGGCGTGAACCTGGGAGGCGGAGCTTGCAGTGAGCAGAGATGGCGCCACCGCACTCCAGCCTGGGTGACAGAGCGAGACTCCATCTCAAAAAAAAAAAAAAAAAAAAAAGTCTATATACATGAAAAGGAAGACTCAATATTTTTATCATGTCAGTTCTTCCCAAACTTATCTAGAGATTCCACACAATCCCAATCAAATATCTGTAGAAATTGACAAACTTATTCTAAAGTTTATATCAAAAGCCAAAATACCCAGGATGGCCAACACAATATTGAGGGATAATAAAGTTGAAGAACTGACACTACCTGACTTCAAGATTTACTTTAATTTACAAGATTTACTTTACTTTACAAGATTTACTTTACAGTCTTCACTGTAGCTATACAGGCAGAGTAGTAAACAGAGTATGGTACTGGCAAAAGAAGAGACAAATAGATCAACAGAAGAAAATATAAAGCCCAGAAACACAAATATAGAAAACCACACAACTATAGTCAACTGATCACTGACAAAGGAGCAAAAGCAATTCAATGAAGAGTCTTTTCAACAAATGATGCTTGGACAATTGGACAGCCTATAATAACAAAATGACTCTAGACAGAGACTTATACCTTTCACAAAAATTAACATAAAACAGGTCTAGATCTGAATGTAAGATACAAAAGTATGAAAGTTCTAGAAGATAACATAGGCAGAAATCTAGGTGACCTTGGGTTTGGCAATGACTTTTAAATATAATGCTAAAAGCAAAATCCATGAAAGAAAAATTTGATAACTTGGATTTCATTAAAATTGAAAGCTCTGCTCTGCAAAAGACACTGTAAAGAGATTGAAACAACAAGCCACAGACTAGGAAAAAATATTTGCAAAGCATATCTGATAAAGGACTGGTATCTAAAATACACAAATAACTATTAAATCTCCATAAGAAAACAAACAACCAAATTACAAATGGACAAAAGATCTAAACAGACACCAGATGAAAAAAGATTTATAGATTGCAAATAAGCATACGAAAATATGTTCAACAACTAATATGACCTATTACCTGATAGGTCATTAGGGAACTGCAAATTAAAACAAGATATCACTACACTAATAGAATGTCTAAATTCAAAAACAATAACAACACAAAATGCTGGTGAGGATGTATAGTAACAAGAACTCTCATTCATGGTGAGGCAGGAGTGGGAAATGCAAAAGTATAAAACCACTTAGGAAGACAGTCTGACCGTTTCTTACAAAGCTAAATATAGTCTTACTATGTGACCCAGCAGTTACACTCTTTGGTATGTACCCAAGTAAGCTGAAAATTTATGTCCACACAGAAACTTGCATGCAAATATTTACCGCAGCTTTATTCATAATTGCCAAAGCTTAGAAGCAACCAAGATGTCTCTCAATAGGCAAATGGATAAGCGAACTGTGGTATGCCCATACAGCAGAATATTATTCAGTTATGAAAAGAAATGTGCTATCAAGCCAAGAAATGGTCTGGAGGAAACTTAAATGCATATTGCTAAGTGAAAGTAGCCAGTATGAAAAGGCTACATAGTATATGATTCCAACTATATGACATACTGGAAAAGGCAATATAATATATCATACAGATATGTCAAATATATCATTACTGTCCCTTATAGGGACAGTAAAAAGATGAGTGGTTGCCAGGAGTTCAAGAAGAGGAAGTGAGGGATGAATTGGTGGAGCACAGGGCATTTTTAGGGCAGTGAAACTCTTCTGTGTGATACTGTAATGGTGGACATATAACATTATGCAGTTGTCAAAACTGTACAACACAAAGAGTGAACCCTAAAGTAAACTATGGACTTCAGTTAATAACGTATCAATATCAATATTGGTTCATCAATTGTAACAAATGTGCCACACTAATGCAACATGTTAATAACAGGGGAAACTGTGTGGGGTAGGGGATGGAAGGAATATTTGGGAACGCTGTACTTTCTGCTCAATTTTTCTGTAAAACTAAAACTGCTCTAAAAAATGTAAGTCTATTAACAAAGAAAAAAGTTTAAAGCCAAGGGGATGTTTTAAAGGTACAGAAACACAAAATTGGAGAAGATGGGAGAGGAGATGACACTGACAAAATTTTGGAAGCTGAAAAGTATATGGAAAATGGAAAATGACTCAGTAGTTCCTAAGAAAAGTGAATATAAACTAGTAGTGAAGAAGGCAATAACCAAGCTAATTTGACTCATAGAATCCCCCAAAAGGCTCACTAAATAGTCACTGGAAGTAGAACTGTGTTGGAGGGGATTCTTAAATAAGGAAGATTAACTGCAAATCTCAGAAGCACTCAGCTTTCTAGATCCCCAAATGCCCACCCTCATTCTGGACAGAAAATTAACCAACCATCTCCCACTTCGAGGTTTATTTTTAGAAGAGGTTAAGACAGAGGATCTTATGGACAGGAGGACACTAGGAACAGTCCAGAGTGGTGGTGGGTAACATATTGGGAAAAAACAAGAATTAACTGGATATATGCATATAAACACAATACAACCCCTGACTTTCTTCCCACCTTCAACACTAAGGCCTTCACCTTCAAGGTACTATGCAAATTAAGATCCAGTATGCTTCTGGGGTAACCAAAAAACATCAAAGTCTGTAGCTTAAGAGCATAAGCTAAAAACGTATGTAACTAAGTCTCAAACAATAATTAGTCTACTTATGTTGTTTTAGTGTTCAGATAATCAGTATAAATTTTTTGTAATTTGCTTTACTATACACAAACATGTTATTTTTACTTTAGGAAGATTTTAGTTTTAAAAAGTTTTTGCATAAAACTATTTTATAAGTCCATTAAAAAAACAAAATCAATTTGTGGGTCAATACATAAATATTTCCAACTATCGTTTAATTTTAATTGTTTTTAGAACCACCCTTTCACTCTCAATAAAAGTGCCTCAGTTTAGACAATAAATTATATGGTTCATCTTATAATTACCAGTTAGTAAAACATGCCTAGAGAAGCTAAGAAACTTGTCCAACTGATGCAGGTAGGATTCAAATCCAGGTTTGCACTTTCTCATAGTCCTCACCATATCCTGTCTTAGCAGCAACCACTCTACCTAGCATTCAGAAATAAATAAGTGATATATTGTGATAAATGTGCTTGTGTGGATATAAACTAGTGCTGAAGGTGCAAATTATTTTTCCTGTGAGATATGGCAGGCTCATGATGTGTATATCTATTAGTCCTTTCTCATGCTGGTATAAAGACCTGCCCAAGACTGGGTAATTTATAAAGGAAAGAGGTTTAATTGACTCATGGTTCAGCATGCCTGGGGAAGCCTTAGGAAACTTACAATTATGGCAGAAGGCAAAAGGGAAGCAAGACACCTTCTTCACAGGGCAGCAGGAAGAGGAAGTGCTGAGTGAAGGGGGAAGAGCCCCTTATAGGAGAACTCACTCACTATCATGAGAACAGCATGGGGGAAACCGCCCCTATCATTCTCTCCCTTGACACATGGAGATTATAGGGGTTACAATTCAAGATGAGATGAGATTTGGGTGGAGACACAAAGCCTAACCATATCAGACTTGTAGAATGAGAAGTTTAGCAGGGAGAGAGAGAAATGCATTAGAAGAAAAGGGAGTAACACAGCCAAAGGTGTGGCAACCTAGAAAAACATGGAGAGAAGTGATAGAAACTCAGAAGGGTACTGAGTAAAAAAGATACAAATCCATAAAAGTAGAAAAACAAGGAAGAAGACACAGATAAATGAAGAAAAATAAATCCCAAAAAATTATGATACTGACAAAAACCTAGCAGAGATACCAGGAGAGTAAAATATGTTAGCTTGAGCTGAAAGGGGAGGGAGAAAAACATGGAGGAGAGGGAAGAGAGCCTCAGAAGAAGAGAGAGAGTGTGTGTGTTTCTAATATGGGAGAAACATGGAAGAGTGTGGAGAAAGAAAAAAATGAGGAGATTAGAGAAATGTGAAGGAAGAGAGAACTAATGATTGGTTTAGAAAAGGAATGAGAGAAATCAAAGAGATTTGGACTTTGGGAGGGGGAACATGGAAAAAGAAAGTTAAAAGGGGATGGAAAACAGAAAGAGAGAAATGGAGAGGAGGACCATCTTAGTCCATTTTGCACTGCTAGAACAGAGTACAACAGAATGGGTAATGTATAATGAGCAGAAATCTATTGGCTTACAGTTCTGGAGGCTGGGAAGACCAAGATCAAGGGGTTGGTGCCTAGTGAGGGCCTCCTCGCTGTGTCATCCCATGGTGGAAGGGCAAAGAGCATGAGACAGCAAAAAGGGGTCAAATGTGCCCTTTTATAATGAACCCACTCTCATGATAGCAGCATTGATATTCCCTTAGCCATTATGGCCTAATCATGTCTCAGTAGACCCTACCTCCCACACTCTTGTATTGAGGATTAAGTTTCCAACACATGATTTTTTGGAGGGACACATTCAAACCATAACAGGGACTGAAAAAGGAGCGGATTCTAAATGAAACACACATGTGGCATTGAATGTTTATACATATTTACTGTTATATATATAATTATATGTACATACAGACACACACATATATTCATTATACACACATACACATGCATATATACATGTATATATGTATATGTGTATGTACATGTGTGTATGTGTATGTATATGTGTGTATATGTGTGAAAGGGAAGAAAAGAGACAGCAGGGGTAAAGACATGATGCAAAAGAAATATGTAAAAGATATAAGTGAGGAGAGGAAAGACATCCATAAAGTTATCTCTAGACTATATAATAGCTATTTTTATATTTTTCTTAGGAGAATTTCTTTAAAATCATATAATTGGGTGATTCTGATAGATTATGAACTCATTTCATTCGTTCTTATATTCACTCAAAAATTATCTCTTGTAACTGACTACACACCTTAGTTATAACCTTCTTATACATATAAAGTAAAAAAAGATTACTATATCCTAGAATCTTAGAATATTAAATACAAGAAATAGTACTTGTGTAGTACTATAGTTAAAATACCAACTTAGGGACATATTTTTCCACCGAAGACTCTAAAATTTCCCATTATTCTCTTCCCTCCACATTTCCCTATGAAGCAGCTGCAAGAACAGCAGGTCAAAGCAACTAGAGGAAATAAGTCACTCCAAGAGATAAAAGAGGTGAGGAGTAAGGCTGTGGGCTATCTGTCCAAAACCATGGGCACTAGGTTTTTGTCATCCCTGAATATCTTGCCCTACTGAGTTCTCTAGAGAATATGAGATGTGTGACTTCTGGAAATGTGTCTTACTAGGGCACACACCATGCTGACATATTCATTTCTTCATAACTGGAAAAGTCAACGCTCTGACATGGATTTTAATCTGCAGTTCTCAGGAGTTTTCCCATAGAGATTTTGCAAATGATCAACTTTGATTCTCCCAAACCTGTGACTCTGCCTTCCTAATAGCTAGTACTGAAAGAAATGCACATAAGATCATAAGAATTCTGTGATTTCATTACTTTTAATTATCAGAACACTAAAAGTTTGTCAAAGGTATGTTGATTGTACTGGAAATTTATATAATATTGAATGTGATATATAGGTAAATATTATCTTAAACACCTAAATGTAGGCTTTCAGGAAAGCTCATATGTTCACAGAAACTTCATAAATGTTAAAGCTGCCTGTCATCTTATAAATGTTTTAAATGCAGTCAGAGTTCCTAACTTATTCCTTCCTACTCCTTTTCTTTTCTCCTGTGTACATACAGTGGTGCTTTTCCCACTCACTTTCTACAATGTGGCTAGGCCTATATTCCCCAAGACCTACCTGAACAATGTTATTTAAGCTCCTACAGGAAGAAAGATTCATAACACCAATACAGCTTTTGGTTTCACCATCATTCCAAATATGAATACTTTAAGACTAAATCTGGCATTTCCAAAGATTCCCCACAGCCAGATAATTTGACTCAAGTTTTGTTTGTTTTTTAACTTTTAAAAACCTTTAAGGATAGCTATCCAATGTATTCTACAAAGTTATAGTAACTCTCACAAAAAATCGTGATTATTATAGTTCAAAAATGTTAATTTCACTTCTAAATAGAGATGCAAGATGCTGAATAAAATCCTGGAAAATAAAATTCAATACTAAAAGAACAACCCACCATGATCAAGTAAGTTTCACCTTAAAAATGCAAGGAAGATACAATACTAGGCAATCTATCAATATAACATATCATACCAATATGTCAAATATATCATTTTTTGACAATTGAAACAGAAACCCCAAAAAAAGTTTACTATCCATTCCATATATATATATATATATATATATATATATATATATATATATATACCATTGCAAACCCATTAGAAGGGATAAAATCAAAGAGACTGATAATACCAAGTGGTGGCTAGAATGAAAAACATTAGGAACTCACATCTTATAAACTACAGTGACTGGTCCAGGGATAGATTTACAAACATGCTAAGTCAAATTCCTTCTCTGAGACATGGAGTTGCTTAGTTGCTTGAGGACATATTCCCTGCCATTTGCAGAAAACCTGTCTACAGTGGGAAAGAATGAAGCCAAAGAGAGATAATTAGAGTTGAAAAATGGTGGCAGAGATAGAGAAATATGTATATATTTCAATATATAAATTATACCTCTTTGTATATGTATACATTTCTATATATGAATTATATATGTATATGTGTATCTTTCTATATATATTATATATATTTCTCTAATATTTATATATATGAGAATGACAGAGACAGTGACAGAGACAGATGACCCTATGTCTTAGTCCATTTTCTATTGCTATATCTGAATACCACAGACTAGGTAATTCATAAAGAAAAAAAATTTATTTCTTAAAGTTCTAGAGGCTGGTAAGTCCTAAGCCAAGGGGCCATACCTGGTGAGAGCCTTTACTGTGTCATAACATGATGGAAGACATCATATGGTGAGAGGGCAAGAGCAAAAACAAAACCGGCTTTCATAACAGACTCATTCTCATGATTTAAAAAAAAACTCACTCCCATGATACCCCATGAGTCACTTGCATGAGTCACTTAATCCATGAATAGACTTTACCCATTCATGAGAGCAGAACTCTCATGAACCAATCATCTTTTTTTTCTTTTTTTGAGACAGAGTCTTGCTCTGTCACCCAGGCTGGAGTGCAGTGACGTGATCTCAGCTCACTACAACCTCCACCTCCCAGATTCAAGCTATTCTCCTGCCTCAGCTTCCCGAGTCATTGGGACTACAGGCACACCCACTGTGCATGGCTAATTTTTGTATTTTAGTAGAGATGGGGTTTTGCCATGTTGGCAAGGCTGGTCTTGAACTCCTGACCTCAAGAGATCCGCCCACCTTGGCCTCCCAAGGTGCTGGGATTACAGGCATGAGCCACCGCCTCTGGCCCCAATCACCACTTAAACACCCCTCTTCTTAATACTGTTACACTGGGGATTAAGTTTCAACATGAGTTTTGGTGGGGCAAACATTCAAGCCACATCACCCTGCAATACTGAGTCTCCAGCCAGTATTACCTTAAAACAAATTCACTTTTGGAATTTTTATTAATATGAAACCATAAATTTCCATTTATTCTCAGGCTCATTTGAATTATTTCTCTTACTTTCAAGAGAGCTCACCCAATTATGAATGAGAACATACGATGTTTGGTTTTCCATTTCTGAGTTACTTCACTTATACTAATGGTCTCCAATTCCATCCAGGTTGCTGTGAATGCCATTAATTCATTCCTTTTTATGGCTGAGTAGTAGTCTATATATATATATATCATATTTTCTTTATCCACTCCTTAATTGATGGGCATTGGGGCTGGCTTCATATTTTTGCAATTGCAAATTGTGCTGCTATAAACATATGTGTGCAAGTATCTTTTTTTGTATAATGACTTCTTTTCCTCTGGGTAGATACTGAGTAGTGGGATTGCTGAATCAAATGGTAGATCTACTTTTAGTTCTTTAAGGAATCTCCACACTGTTTCCATAGTGGTTGTGCTAGTTTACATTCCCACCAACAGTGTAAGTGTTCCCTTTCCACATCCATGCCAACATCCGTTATTTTTTTATTTTTTGATTATGGCCATTCTTGCAGGAGTGAGGTGGTATCACATTGTGGTTTTGATTTCCATTTCCCTGATAATTAGTGATGTTGAACATTTCTTCATATGCTTCTTGGCCATTTGTATATCTTAATTTTCTCTCTTGAGAATTACCTATTCATATCTTTAGCCCACGTTTTGAAGGGCTTGTTTGTTTTTTTCTTGCTGGTTTGTTTGAGTTCTTTGTAGATTCTGGATATTAGTCCTTTGTAGGATGTATAGATTGTGAAGATTTTCTCTTTTTCTGTGGGTTGTCTGTTAACTCTGCTGATTATTATTATTATTATTATTTTTGCTGTGCAAAAGCCTTTTAGTTTAATTAAGTCCCATCTATTTATCTTTGTTTTTGTTGCATTTGCTTTTGGGTTTTTGATCATGAAGTCTTTGCCTAAGCCAATGTCTAGAATTTTTCCAATGTTATCTTCTAGAATTTTTAAGGTTTCATGTCTTGCATTTAAGTCTTTGATCCATCTTGAGTTGATTTTTGTATAAGGTGAGAGATGAAAATCCAGTTTCATTCTTCTACATGTGGCTTGCCAATTATCCCACCACCATTTGTTGAATAGCGTGCCCTTTCCCCACTTAATGTTTTTGATGGCTTTGTCATAGATCTTTTGGTGATTAAATATATTTAAAAGACTAATAACATACAATGTGAACTGAGTTACAAAACAATACTTTATAACATGTGATTTCATTTAGTAGTGACAATTTGGAAGGCCCTTAAAGAGATAAGGACAATTCATTAAATATTGAAAGCTTTATTACAAAAATACAGTATCTAGTATTGAATGATAAGGTAGTATCTTCATGCACCATACACATGTCCGAAAAGTAACATATCAGTCACTCAAACAGACATTTTGTGTTTATTAGGTTAGTTTGGTATTTTTTAAAACGGAATTATCTGGTTTGGTTGGAATAATGACACAATCCTGACAATATGTCTTTGTATAATAGTAACCAAGAAATGGCTAAGATATTTATAAGGGATGTGAAGTGTCTTTCTCCAATAGAAATCCAACCAATTGTTCTCCTACTAATATCATCACTTCAGAATCTGAACACTTAACTGCCAAACATATTCATGTCTCATTAATCTTGTCCTGGATATATGTAATTTACATATTACATATAGCTAGGACATTATCAGTACAATATTCATATTCCTATCAAGGTTTATGTTTTTGCATGTTTGTTCTCTTTTTTAATCAGAAGATAGTACAACAGGACTACTGCAGTTCCATATAGCTAATGATTGTTTCATTTCTATCACCTATGAGTAGCACACATGAATAATTTTGCTATAGGCACATCATGAGCCATTTATAATTGACAGTTCATGCAACTAGAGAATAGTCAAAATCCCATCAGCTCTATTTTGGGGAAAGACTAATTATTGCACAGTTTCTAGAGAAGCATGTTGACAAGTAGAATGAAATGGTTTTATATTAAAAATTCCATGAGAAAAAAAGGTAATTTCTTTTTAATTTTTATAAAGTGACTTCTCCTATTCACAATGTTAGAAATTTCCATTTCTAACATTCCTAAAGCTATCTGGAAATTATCCCTAAGGATCGTTTTTTTAATTTCAAGAGCTGTTAGGGTACAGATGATTTTTGGTTATATGGATGAGTTCTTTCAGGGTGAATTCTGATATTTTAGTGCACTCATCACCCAAGCAGTGTACACTGTATCCAATATGTAGTCTTTTATCCCTTACTCACCTCCCAACCTGCCCCCACCAAGTCCCTAAAGTCCATTATATCACTCTGTATGTTTTACATCCTCATAGCTTAGTTCCCACTTGCAAATGAGAACCTACGGTATTTGGTTTTTCATTCCTGAGTTACTTCACTTAAAATAATGGCCTCCAGCTCCATCCAAGTTGCTGCAAAAGACATTATTTCATTAATTTTTATGGCTGAGAAGTATTCCATGGTGTAGAGATATCACATTTTCATTATTCACGCATTGGTTGATGGGCATTTAGCTTGGTTCCATATCTTTGCAATTGTGAATTGTGCTGCTATAAATATGCCTGCGCATGTGTCTTTTTGATATAATAACTTGTTTTCCTTTGGGTAGATACCCAGTAGTGGGATGGCTGGATTGAATGGTAAATCTACTTTCAGTCTTTCAAGGAATCTCCACACTGTTTTCCAAAGTGGTTCTACTAATTTACATTCCCACTAGCAGTGTATAAGCCTTCCTTTTTCACCACGTCCATGCCAACATCTGTTGTTGTTTGACTTTAATTATGGCCATTCTTGCAGGAATGAGGTGGTACCTCATTGTGGTTTTAATTTGAATATTGCTGATGATTCGTGCTGTTGAGCATTTTTTCATATTTGTTGGCTGTTTGTATATCTTCTTTTGAGAAATGTCTATTCATTTCCTTTGCCCACTTTTTGATGGGATTATTTGTTTTTTTCCTGCTGATTGATTTGAGTTCCTTGTAGATTCTGGATACTAGTCCTTTGTCGGATGCATAGTTTGCAAATATTCTCTGCCACTTTGTGGGTTGTCAGTTTACTCTGCTGATTATATCTTTTGCTGTGTAGAAGCTTTTTAGTTTAATTAGGTCCCATTTATTTATTTTTGTTTTTGTTACATTTGCTTATGGGGGTCTTAGTCATAAATTCTTTCCCAAAGCCAATGTCCAGAAGAGTTTTTCCTAAGTTTTCTTCTAGAATTTTTATGGATTCAGGTCTTAGGTTGAAGTCATTCATCCATCTTGAGTTGATTTTTGTATAAGGTGAGGGATAGGGATCCAGTTTCATTCTTCTACATGTGGCTAGCCAGATTTTCCAGCACCATTTACTGAACGGAGTTTCACTTCTCCAATTTATGTTTTTGTATGCTTTGTAGCAGTTTAGTTGGCTGTAATTATTTGGTTTTATTTCTGGATTCTGGGTTCTCCATTCTGTTCCGTTGGTCTAAGTGCCTGTTTTCATACCAGTACCATGCTGTTTTGGTAACTATAAACTTATAGTGTAATTTGAAGTCTGGTAATGTGACACCTCCAAGTTTGGTCCTTTTGCTTAGTATTGCTTTGGCTATGCAGGCTCTTTTTTGGTTCTACATACATTTTAGGATTTTTTTTTCTAGTTCATTAAAGAATAATAATGGTATTTTTTTATGGGAATTGCACTGAATCTGTAGATTGCTTTGGTCATCTTCACAATATTGATTCTTCTCATCTATTAGCATAGGATGTGTTTCCATTTGTTTGTGTCATCTATTTCTTTCAGTGTTGTTTTGTAGTTTTCCTTGTAGCGATCTTTCACATCTTTGGCTAAGTGTATTCCTAGGTCTTTTATTTTATTTGCCGCTGTTGTAAAAGAGATTGAGCTTCTGATTTGATTATCAACTTGGTCATTGTTGCTGTATAGCAGTGCTACTGATTTATGCACACTGATTTTGTAACTTGAGACTTTACTGAATTTGTTTATCAGATCTAGGAGCCTTTTGGATGAGTCTTTTGGGTGTTTTTTTTTTTTTTTTTTTTTAACGGAGTCTCACTCTGTCGCCCAGGCTGGAGTGCAGTGGTGCAATCTCGGCTCACTGCAAGCTCCATCTCCCGAGTTCATGCCATTCTCCGCCTCAGCCTCCTGAGTAGCTGGGACTACAGACGCCCGCCACCATGCCTGGCTAAATTTTTTGTATTTTTTTAGTAGCGACGGGGTTTCACCATGTTAGCCAGGATGGTCTCGATCTCCTGACCTCGTGATCCGCCCGCCTTGGCCTCCCAAAGTGCTGGGATTACAGGCTTGAGCCACCGCGCCCGGCCAAGCCTTTAGGGTTTTTAAAGTATACAATCACATCATTGGCAAACACTGACAGTCTGACTTCCTCTTTTCCAATTCGGATGCCCTTTCTTTCTTTCTTTCTCTTGCCCAAATGCTCTGACTAGGACTTCCAGTACTTTGTTGAATAGAAGTGGTGAAAATGGATAGCCTTGTCTGGTTCCAGTTCTCAGGGGGAATACTTTCAACTTTTCCCCATGCAATATAATATTTTCTGTGGGTTTGTCATATATGGTTTTTATTACTTTAAGGTAAGTTCCTTTTTGGCATTTGTTGTATTTTGTTGAGGGTTTTTATCATAAAGCGATAATGGATTTTATCAAATGCTTTTTCTGCATCTACTGAGATGATCACATGGTTTTTGTTTGTAATTCTGTTTGTGTGATGTATCACATGTATTGACATGGTACATATATTAAACCATCCCTCCATTCCTGGGATGAAACCCACTTGGTCATAATGTATTATCTTTTAGATGTGCTGTTAGATTTGGTTAGCTACTATTTTGTTGAGGATTTTTGCATCTATGTTCATCAGGGATATTGGTCTGTAGTTTTCTTTTTTTGAAATGTCTTTTCCTGGTATTGGTATTAAGGTGACACTGGCTTCATAGAATGATTTAGGGAGGATTCCTTCCTTTCTCTGTCTTTTGGAATCATTTCAGTAGTATTGGTACCAATTCTTCTTTGAATGTCTGATAGAATTCAGCTGTGAATCCATCTGGTCCTAGACTTTTTTATTGGCAATTTTTTAAAGTTTTTTTTATTATACTTTAAGTTCTGGGGTACATGTGCAGAATGTGCAGATTTGCTACATAGGTATACATGTGCCATGGTGGTTTGCTGCACCCATCAACCCATCATCTACATTAGGTATTTCTAGTAAGGCAATCCCTCCCCTAGCCCCCCACCCTCCAACAGGCACCAGTGTGTGATGTTCCCCTCCCTCTGTCCATGTGTTCTCATTGATCAACTCCCACTTATGAGTGAGAACATGTGATGTTTGGTTTTCTGTTCTTGTGTTAGTTTGCTGAGAATGATGGTTTCCAGCTTCATCCATGTCCATGCAAAAGACATGAAGTCATCCTTTTTTATGGCTGCATAGTATTCCATGGTGTATATGTGCCATGTTTTCTTTATCCAGTCTATCATTGATGGGCATTTGGGTTGGTTCCAAGTCTTTGCTATTGTGAATAGTGCCACAATAAACATACGTGTGCATGTGTCTTTATAGTAGAATAATTTCTAATCCTTTGGGTATATACCCAGTAATAGGATTGCTGGGTCAAATGGTATTTCTGGTTCTAGATCCTTGAGGAATTGCCACACTGTCTTCCACAATGCTTGAACTAATTTACGCTTCCACCAACAGTGTAAAAGCGTTCCTATTTCTCCACATCCTCTCCAGCATGTGTTTTTTCTTGACTTTTTGATGATCGCCATTCTAACTTGCGTGAGATGGTATCTCATTGTGGCTTTGATTTGCATTTATTGGCAATTTTTTTACTACTGATTCAATCATACTGTTTGTTATTGGTCTGTTCAGGGTTTCTATTTCTTCCTGATTTAATCTAGGAGGGTTGCATGTTTCCAGGAATTTATTCATTCCCTCTAGGTTTCCTAGTATGTGTGCCTAAAGGTGTTCATAGTAGCCTTGAGTGATCTTTTGTATTTCTGAGATATCAGTTGTAATAACTCCAGTTTCATTTCTAATTGAGTTTGTTTGGATCTTCTCTCTTCTTTTCTTGGTTAGTCTCACTAGTGGTCTATCACTTTTATCTTTCAGAGAACCAGCTTTTTGTTTCATTTATCTTTTGTATTGGTTATTGTTGTTTCAATTTTATTTAGTTCTGCTCTGTCTTTGTTATTTTATTTTATTATTATTATTATACTTTAAGTTCTAGGGTACATGTGCACAACGTGCAGGTTTGTTACATATGTATACATGTGCCATGTTGGTGTGCTGCACCCATTAACTTGTCATTTACGTTAGGTGTATCTCCTAATGCAATCCCTCCCCCGTCCCCCCACCCCACAACAGGCCCCGGTGTATGATGTTCCCCTTCCTGTGTCCAAGTGTTCTCATTGTTCAATTCCCACCTATGAGTGAGAACATGAGGTGTTTGGTTATTTTCTTTCACTGGCTTTGGGTTTTATTCCTTCTTATTTCTCTAGTTCCTTGAGGTGTGATATTAGGTTGTCAATTTGTGCTATTTCAGACTTTTTGATGTAGGAATTTAGTGCTATGATCTTTCCTCTTAACACTGCTTTCGTTGTACCCCAGAGGTTTTGATAAGTTTTGTCACTATTATCATTCATTTGAAATAGTTTTTAAATGTCTAACTTGATTTCATTATTAACCCCCAAATTATTCAAGAGTAGATTGTTTAATTTTCATGTATTTATATAGTTTGAGGTTTCCCTTTACAGTTGATTTCCAGTTTTATTGTGCTATGGTCTGAGAAAATACTTGATATGATTTCAATTTTCTTAAATTTATTGAAACTTGTTTTGTGACCTATTATATGGTCTATCTTGGAGAATATTCCATGTGCTGATGAGAAGAATATATATTCTGCATTAATTGGGAAAAATATTCTGTAAATATTTGTTAATTCCATTGGTTCTTGGGTATAGTTTAAGCCCATTTTTCCTTTTTTGACTGTTGACTTTCTGTCTTAATGATCTATCTAGTGCTGTCAGTGGAGTATTGATGTCCCACTATTACGGTGCTGCTGTCTGTCTCATTTCTTACGTCTAGTAGTTTTCCCCAGTATTTTGTTTGCTGACTTGATGCTTCAGGAGTCAAACCAGTAGGGGAGGTATCCCTGGGTAGGAACCAGCTGTAGCTAAAGCAGATGGGTAGAAGCAATATCCAGTGGTGGGTGGAGGCCCCCACCTTGAAGAGGGTGGCTGGGAAGGCTGTCAGTTAGACGCACTGAGGTTTTATCAGGGTCAAGAGTGGGAGTTACCTCAGTTCCCTTGCCAGGCCAGCAGGAAAGCTATCTACATCCAAGCTTCACTCCTGTCCTAGTGTTCTGGCTATTCAGATCAGACAGGCACCTCTTTACATCTGTAGAAATATTGATGTTCTGAATAGAAAGGAATTGTGATTCTGCCTCTCATGCAAGCCTGAACCTGGGGAGTGTTCCTCCTCTGAGGATGCAATCACCCTGAATTGGTCCAGGAAGGTTGTCTATAGGTGCACTCATGCTGAGTTCCTATGGGAGAGGCCCCGCATATGTTGGCAGTGGCGAACAAGGGGGGAACAAGGAACACAGCAAAAGAAATAATCATCGGAGTTATCAGACAACCCACAGAGTGGGAGAAAATCTTCACAGTTTATACATCCCACAACGGACTAATATCCAGAATCTACAAAGAACTCAAATAAATCAGCAAGAACAAAACAATCCCATCAAAATGTGGGCTAAGGATATGAACAGACAACTCTCAAAAGAGGAAAAAGAAGACATACAAATGGACATCAAGCATATGGAAAAATGCTCAACATCACTAATTATCAAGGAAATTCAAATCAAAACCACAATGGGATACCACCTCACTCCTGCAAAAATGGCCATAATAATAAAAAAAAATGGATGTTGGCGTAAATGTGGTGAAAACGGAACACTTTTACACTGTTGGTTGGAATATAAACTAGTACAATCACTATGGAAAACAGCGTGGAGACTCCTTAAAGAACTAAAAGTAGATCTACCACTTGATCCAGCAATCTCAGTACTCGGTATCTACCCAGAAAAAAAGAAGTCATTATACCAAAAAGATACTTGCACATGCATCTTTATAGCAGCACAATTTGCAATTGCAAAAATACGAAACCAGCCCAAATGCCCATCAATCAACGAGTGGATAAAGAAAATGTTATATATACACATATATATACTCGTGTGTGTATACATATATACACATATATATACACACACACATACCATGGAATACTACTCAGCCATAAAAAGGAATGAACTAATGGCATTTGCAGCAACCTGGATGGAATTGGAGACCATTATTCTAAGTGAAGGAACTCAGGAATGTAAAACTAAACATCTTATGTTCTCTCTCATCATTGGGAGCTAATCTATGAGGATGCAAATGCATAAGAATGATACAGTAGACTTTAGGGACTCGGGGAAAGAGTGGGAGGGGAGTGAAGGATAAAAGACTACACACTGGGTACAGTGTACACTGCTTGGGTGATGGGTGCACTGAAATCTCAGAAATCACCGCTAAATAACTTATTCATGTAACCAAACACCACTTGTTTCCCAAAAACCTATTGAAATAAAAAATTAATTTAAAAAATTCAAAAGGCAGAATGAATAAATCACATTATTTTAACAATCACTGCTGGCATCTCTCAATGAACAGACATCACCACGCCAACTGCTAAGTTTTTATGTGCTCAATGCAAGGAAGTAGACAATGGAAACTGCAGTGCATAGAAATATACAATCCCCAGGCTGTGGCCATTTTTATTCTACCTTTAGAAGCTGAAATATATAAAAATCGTGCTTTATTTAACAAACTCACATTTTCTTGTGCATTCATATATATCATTATCATTCCTTGCAATAACACCTTGAACCTCTAACAATGTGGATTTGTTGAGGAAAAGGCTATGTCACATTGGTTTTTGAAATTTCCCAAAATAATGTACCATGCCAGTCTCATAAACTTTTTAGACTGAATTATATTCACATTACCTTTTTTCTGGTTCACTTTGCTATTTCTGGTAGAGTGGTTCTGCCTACATGAGTAAAATTTTATTACACTCTTATCCTTCACTATTGGCTCTACCTTGGCAGTCCGGTTTAATCGTCCCAGATGTTGTTTTTGCAAAGCTCAATCCTTCTGCACAGATAATAGCCAGCCTAACCAATTCTTCCACTAAAAGAACCACCCTCCCTCAGAAAAGTGGTAAATTCAGGGGATAATTTCTGACAATTAAGCAAACTAACCTTTCAATCAACTTATATGTTGCTATTTTACCAAAAAGATGTGATCTTTTGTACTCCAAATGGTAACCGTTTTATCCTGGCTAGTCTAAAATACCCTCCATTTATTGTTTTTGTCTTATTATGTTTCTTTTACTACAGAGTATTAATATCTCATATAGAGAATATAAATATTAATTTTAATTATAAGGCAATGAAACAGATTTTCCATGTGAAACTTAAGAAGTCAATCACATTGATTTTTTGTATCACCTACATCTATATGGATTTTTTTTTCTCTTTTCATACACAGGAAAGAAGTAATTGTATATACCTCCAATGATCCATCTCCTCCCAATTGGAAATGCATTCATGAAGAAATCCTATTTCTAACAAATACATATCCTCTGCTCTTAAATTTCCTTCTTTCTTCTATTTCTCTGCCTTTGTAAATAAATGTATCGAAAAGCATACAGAGTAACATGTCACTTATCCAAAGAACAGATTTCTAGTAACTTCAACCATCAGGAAAAACATGCCATAAACTTTACGAAAGAGAAAAAGTCTTCTGAGAATACAGTTGTCAAAAACCACATACTTATTTCATATGAAGAAAACCCAAAATGATCTCTCCTTTCCCTGAGTCCCAATCACTTATTGTCTGTATTTTTCGCATAGCACTGAAAATTTCTCCTTATTCTTCTAGTTATTTATGTTAATGTGTTATGTTCTTTACCAACATAGAAGATCTTTACCGGCAGGATCCATGTCTAAGTTATTCTCCACAATGCCAGTTTCTTCATTTATGTTTTATAGAGAATCAGTTTGCCATCCTTTAATGCCCCATGAAGGTTGCAGAAAGGTCAGGGTAATGAGGACTAGGAAAAGGCTATTTGATTTGTCCAGTTTTTCACTAGTGTCTGACACTTAGCACATGCTTTTATTATGTGTATTTTTATACACTTCTTATATTTTCAACTGCATCAACTAAAAAGGAAACTTTATAAGTTCCTTGTGGGAAAGTTCCATATGCTGCTCATCTTTGTATCTCTCAAAGCAGGGTTCACTCCACTATATATAGATGTACTAGACAAGGATTATTTCAGCATCTTAGGAACAGATTTTTTTCTCTGCTTATAAAAAACAATACATTCATTATAGAAAGTTTGTAATACCTAAAAAGAACAAATAATGTCATAACAACCACCATCATTGTCCCAAAACTCAGAATTAATGATTTTCAATATTTTGGTGTATTTCCTTCCAGTATGTATGTCTTTGTGTGTGTGTATGCTTTATATGGTATATAGAAGGACTTCATGTTCATGGCGTATATATATATATATGTTATATATACATATATATATGTTATATATACATATATATGTATATATAACATATATATATATACCTCAGACTATGATGTAGAAATTAACTCCTATCCGTAGATATAAATCTAATTTTGAATGGTTACATAGAATTTCATACTATAAATGGACCATAAGGTATTTAACCAGTGACTTACTATAAATCTTTAAGCTATTTCCAATGTTTCATTATGAAAAGTAGCTGTATAATAAATATGTCTTTTCATAGATCAATTATTTTCCTAGGATAAATTACTAGAGAAGAATTAGCAAAATGGTAAAAATATTAATAAATATCACTAAATTGCTTACAGGAAAGGTTTTACACTATCATCAGTATATTCTATGTGTTTCCCTCACTAACACTGCATTGGATGGATGAATGGATGGATAGAAGGATCAATGGCTCAATGGACAGAAAGACTGATAAGGATGTATATAAATGCATACATAGATATATAGATATATACATACACATATACATACAGACACACACACGTATTTCAATGGCTTATGTTAAAGAAGCCGAGGGGAATCTCATTATTAATTTGTATTTCTTGGTCGATGGTATTCATTTACATAAATAGTAATTATATACTCTGATTTTTTATATTTTTTCTTAAATATTTGCCCTTTTTCTACTGATTACAGCACCTTCTCATTTTCTTAATGAACTGTACGTGCTGCCTGAATATAAAAATATTAGAACACTATCTACCAATCAGGGTTGCAATTTTATTATGAAAATTATCAAAATAAGGCTGGGAGCGGTAGCTCACACCTGTAATCCCAGCACTTTGGGAGGCGGATGGATCACGAGGTCAAGAGACTGAGACCATCCTGGCCAACATGGTGAAACCGTGTCTCTACTAAAAATACAAAAATTAGCTGGGCATGGTGGCGCGCGCCTGTAGCCCCAGCTACTCAGGGGGCTGAGGCAAGAGAATCGTTTGAACTCAGGAGGCGGAGGTTGCAGTGAGCTGAGATCGCTCTATTGCACTCCAGCCTGGTGACAGAACAAGACTCTGTCTCAAAAAAAAACTATTAAAATATATAGAAAACTAGAAAGAACTATAAACCACAAGTACTTTTATCCACTGTCCAGAACTAATAAATATCAACACTATCATACTTTACAATTTGTCTCTTTTCTTTAAAATAAATAAAATATTACAGGTAGAGTTCAAGTTCCTTTGTAGTCTTCCTCAAACCAATTCCCCTCCATCCCTACCCAGAGCCATCAATGATCATGAAATTGGTGTGTATACTCCCCATCATGTTCTTATACATTACAAGTATTCATTCAGTATTGTTTAGGCTGCCTTAAAAATAAGTTAAATGCCCATCAACGGATGATTGGATAAAGAAAATGTGGTATAGATATACATGTATACCACTGAATACTATTAAGCCAAAAAAAGAATGAAATGTCTCTTTTGCAGCAACATGAATGGAGCTGGAGGCCATTATCTTAAGTGAAATAATTCAGAAAGTCAAATGCTGCACATTCTCATTATAAACAGAAACTAAATAATGTGTACATATAGACATAAAGTGTGGAATAATAGACACTGGATACATGGAAGAGTAGTGGGGTGGGAGAGAAGTGAGGGATGAGAAAATGCCTAATGGATACCATGTACACTATTCGGGTGATGATTACACTAAAAGCCCAGACTTCGCCACTACACAATTCATCCATGTGCCAAAACTGCACTTGCTCCTCCTAAATGTATACAAAAAGTTAAATAGCATAGGCATCATCCTTTGACTTACATTTTGGCTCAACATTATGTTTTTGAAATCTATGTTAATATATAAAGGTAACTCATTAATTTATACCAATCTATCCATGTTAATTATATAAAGATCTAGTTTATATCATTTTAATTGCTATATAATACTCCATCTCGTCAACATATCATCATTTATCAATTCACTATGATAAACATTTAAATTTCTTCCTATTCTTAGTATTGTAAAGCTTGATTAGGCAACCAACCATGTGTAGATGTGCATGAATTTCTCTATGTTATATACCTAAACATGAAGTATTGAGTCACATGATATCAGCACTTTCAACCTTATTATATATTGTCAAATTTCTCTCAATTTTCTAATGCTTTATTTAGAAATTTTGTATTTATGTCCAGAAAAGAGACTTACTATAACTTTCTTTTGTTATGCTTTCTTTGTCTATTTTTCAGAAACTATTCATTAATAGTTTCATAAAGTAAGCTGGGAGCATACCCTTATTTTCTAGACTGAAAGAGATTTATGTAATAGAGATTATTCCTCAAAAGTGTAATAAAAATCACATCCACTTGGGCCTGATACTTTAGAATGGAGTAGGAATTAGGGCAATATTTTTAAATTTCAGTTCAATTTCTTTAATGATAATCAGTCTACTTAGATTTTCTACTTCTTCCGGTATCACTCTGATCATGTATATTTGTCTGGAAAACTGACCATTTGTTTAAGCATGAAATTATTTCCTATATGGTAAAAGCCTGAGACAAGGACTTCTAGGCAGATAATATATTTGAGTGGTATTATCCCAGGGAATGGGTGTGTGAGATTGGAGAGGAGTGAAAGAAGGAAGGAAAAATAGCCTTTCCAAGGTTGCATTATTGAGTTGATCATGACTGTGGCCAAGTGGGTCTAGATTCCACTAGGGATCTGATGGAAAGCCATATAGAATACACTTTAGAATGGTTTACCATTCACCCAATAGCTCCTTTACCTCATCAGACAAGGATGACCCCATGGGCTATTAAATCCCTCTTACTTCCAGATGGCATATGCATATGAGTGCTATGGCTTCCTGCACATTGGAAAGAAAAATGAGGTGACCACAGCTATTAGGTCACACCCATGCAAAGCTGTTTGGCACAACAATGACTACAGTAAAATGTGGGTTGACTGCATGGAAGATGGAGAAAGGTGTCCAATACATCATTTCATGGAGGAGTCAGGAAGAGATCTACATTATTTTAAGCTTCTATAGGGCACAAACTATATATATGATTTTAGTTTTCAAAATCGTTTAGTCTTTTATGATATCTTCTATCTATTCTTATGTTATCCTTTTATTCCCAATATTATTTGTTCATTTTCTCCTTATTCCTTCTTCCCAGGTGTTTTTCTTGTTTATCAGTATTTTCTACAAATTAACTTTTATTGATTGGCTTTTTTTTCTATTCATTAATTTCTGCTTCTATATTTATTTTCTCTTCCTTCAACTTACTTTTATATATGTCTATCAAATCAAATGTTAGAATTTGTCACCAAGATTTTCTAAAGTTTATTTTCTAATCATACTTTCCTTCTCTCTTCACATAATTGCTCTGTTTTCCTGTGAGGTCCCCAAGTTTTGTGGTTCTGGTGAACCTAATATTGCTATAACTTCAGCCACATGAGTGGAATCACAACAAGGTATGGTCAAGCAGAGTATTCTACTTCCTTACTCTCAAAGATAGTTGAGGAATGGGCACATAGCTCAGGCAAAGCTACTTTGTTCCCTAAGAACTGCTAATATGGATGTTGGGAGAGACAGAGACTCTTCTATGAGTGGTTTTAACTGTACAATTGTTATATAAATTGAATGCATTTATCATATATCAAATTAAAATGTTTGGTAGAACACGTGGGATTTATTAGGCACCAATATATGTTAATACTCTCTTCACTTCTCTGGTGATTATATACACTAAAGGCAAGCTAAATGTCAATTATGAAAAAAATCCTCTTCACTTCTGAAAATTTAAATATCTAAAGTAATAGTAGCATTACATTGTCCAGGAATATTTGTGTTTTAATTAACATTGAAAAGTTTTCTAAAGGGATTTTAATAGGTAATAGTGAAACTTAAGGCACTATATTTCGACTACATTTGTTACCGTCTAAGATACCTGGATGACCAGCTGCCCTTCAGGCTGAGTCTGGCTGCTGTAGTAAATGAGGCAGTCAACTCTTATTTAACCTAAGAGAAATTAGAAGCCATGAGGCTTTCAAGAAACATGTTCAAGGTGGTTATGTCTTCTGAATTGCCCATGTATTTTCAGTCCATTCAGGCAAACACTGCCATCAAGAAATCACTGTGCAATTTAAAAACAGGAAATCTGGGTGCATTTCTAAAATAAACTGGTCATCATAAAATGCATTTATGCCCATTTATCGAAAGGCAGTTTCAAACACAAGTGAAGTTGTGGCTTGCTTCCCTGTAATTCAAAAATGCAGGCAATTCAGTAGACAATATGAAAAATTTTGAAAGTAGAAAACAAATATACTGAAAAAGTTTCAAATTACATATGAGTATCATCTATGCATAGAAGGAGTCAGGAAGAAATAAATCTATGTTATTTTAAGCTTTTATTGGACACAAACTATAGCAACCATTAAATTATTCACAAAGTTGTAACTTTTCAAAGCTGAAATGCAGGTGGCCTGCCCTCATCACAATGAAAACTATCCAGAATTTTATATTCTTGCCAAATCACAGTGATAAAACCAATATGGAGTGTTTGTAATAGGAAGTGTGGACATTCAATGATGGACTGATTAGCTACTTCTACACCAACAAAATCAATCCTCTAGACAGCTTTGGAAAGGAATAATGGCTGATTTACTTGAAGGGTCATTGAGGAACCATTCAAAGAATAATAATAAGTCCAATAATACTTAGCAATATATTTGGCTTCAAATTTCTAGATTTAGCCTAAATTACCCAGTGTTTGCATTTATTTGAGCTAAATGAAATGCGCTATGCCTACACACAGTAGAAAATTATAGTAAGTATCAAGCACTTCTTTTTTTATTGTGCTAAGAACATTTAACATGAGATCTACCATCTTAAATTTTTAAGTGTACATTACAGTATTGTTAACTATAGGCACCATGTTGTATAGCAGATCTTTAGAACTTATTCATATAGCAAAACTAAAACTTTGCACCTATTGAATAGCAACTTCCCATTTTCCCTTGCCCGCAGCCACCAGCAACCACCATTCTACTCTCTGTTTCCATGAGTTTGACTATTTTAGATACCTCATAGAAATGAAATCATGCAGTATTTGTCCCTCTGTCACTGGCTTATTTCAGTTACCACAATCTGCTCTAGGTTTATCCATGTTGTTGTATATGGCACAATTGCTTCTTTTGTAAGGCTGAATAATATGCCACTATATGTACATACCACATTTTCTTTATATTTTCATTCATTGGTGGATATTTAGGCTTTTTCCACATCTTGGCTATTGTGAATAATGCTACAATAAATATGGGAGTGCAAATCTCTTCAAGATCCTGATTTCAATTCTTTTAGATAAACACACAAAAAGTAGGATTGTTAAATCATATGGTATTCCTATTTTTAATTTATAGAGGAACCTCTATACTGTTTTCCATAACTTCTGTACAATTTTACATTCCCACCAACAGTGTATAAGGGTTCCAATTTCTCCACATACTTACCAATACTTGTGATCTTTTGTTGTTTTTTTTAATAGTAATCCTTACAAGTGTGAGGTGATATCTCATTGTGATTTTGATTTGCATTTCTCTAACTATTAGTAATGTCAAGCACCTTTCCATATATGTGTTGGTCATTTATATGTGCTAATTTTTGACAAGGGTGCCAAAAACACACCACAGAGAAAGGACAGTCTCTTTGACATATGCTGCTGGGAAAACTGGATATCCACATACAAAAGAATAAAATTGGACTCTTTTCTTACACCATACACAAAAATCAATTTAAAATGGATTAAAGACTTAAACCTAAGACCTGAAACTGTAAAACTCCTAAAAGAAAACATAGGGGAAAAGATTTACAGCATTGGTCTTGGCAACAATTAATCCTATATGACACCAAAAGCACAGGCAACAAAGGCAAAAACAAGCAACAAGCAAGTGGGACTACATGAAACTAAAAACCTTCTACACAGCAACAGAAACAACAGAGTAGAAACACAGTCTATGAAATGGGAGAAATTATTTGCAAACCATTTATCTGTTAAGGGGTTAATATCCAAAATATATAAGGAATTTCTACAACAACTCAATAGCTAAAAACAAAAACAACAAACACACACACAGACAGAGAGAGAGAGAGAGAGAGAGAGAGAAACCAAATAACCTAATTTAAAAATGGGTAAATAATTTGAATAGATATTTTTTCCAAAGAATCAGGCACATTGAGGCTTAGTCTCAGCTTGATTTGTGTTGCCTTTTATGTATGGGCCAGTTTCATAAAAGGGATAACACCTGTGCATATTTTACTCCCAGGGCTGTTGTAAAGACAGTTAAGTCAGGAAATGGTTAAACTTTTGGCCTGAAAGTGCAAGTCAAATTCAAATAAGACAGTAAACACAAACCCACCTGTTCAATACCTTATATCCATTAAAGGGAGGACCCAAGAAAATATTTGATAAATACACTTTGTCACTTCTTCCTAAGGTTACCTGCTGTAATTTTTAAAGGAGAAGGAGCTATCATATAGCATATTGTTACACATAGTACCTCTAGAATGGGGCATCCTGGGCTTGAATACCGGCCTCAATGCTTATTAACAGTGTGGAATTTTATAGTTGTTCATCCTTTCCAAGCCTCATTTCCTGCTCTAAAAATGGACACAAGAAAAAAACATACTTCATTCAAAATGTTCTGAGGATTGTTTTGATTATTTGAGCATTGGTGAATGGCATATTATAAACACTAAACATACGACTAATTATGTTATTATAATGGTGTATTAGTCAGAGTTCTCCAGAGAAGCAGAACCATTAGGATATCTATAGAAAGAGATTTATTATAAGAAATTGACTTGTGATTATGGAGGCTGACAAGTCCCAAGGTCTGTGGGGTGAGACAACAAACTGGAGACCCAGGAGAGCAGATGATTTAGTTCTAGTCTGAGTCCAGAGGCCTGAGAACCAGGAGAGCTGATGGTATAGTCCCAGTCTGAAGGCCAGCAGGCTCTAGACCCAGGGAGAGCCAGTGTTTCAGTTCAAGTCTGAAGGCAGGAAAAAAGCTGATTCCCTAGTTTGAAGGCTGTCAGGCAGAAAAAATTCTTACTTGGAGAAGGGTCAGACTTTTGTTCTATTCAGGCTTTCAGCTGATTGGATGAAGCACATCTACACTGGGGAAAGCAATCTACTTTACTCAGTCTACCAATTAAAATATCAATCTCATTTTAAAACACCCTCATAGAAACACTCAGAATAATGTTTGACCAAGTATCTGGGCACTCCATGACTCACTCAAGTTGGCATGCAAAATTATCCATTACAAATAGATATTAGTAAATTATTGTAAATTATTATACTATACATATATGATGCTACCATAATGTATTAAACCTGCAAAATGCATTCAAATGTTATGTTTCTACACAATATTAAGCAACTGATTTGACTGACGATTTTGTAAATTAGCAACATTTTGCTTTTTTAACAAAGTGCCCAGTTATTTGACAAATTAATTGTCCAATCCTTTCCAAATAGCAAGTTGTGCCTATGGTTAAATTGAGTGGAATTTTTCTAACCTAGTAATTTTTGAAAAGGG
This sequence comes from Homo sapiens, assembly GCF_000001405.40. Taxonomy (NCBI): domain Eukaryota; kingdom Metazoa; phylum Chordata; class Mammalia; order Primates; family Hominidae; genus Homo; species Homo sapiens. Next base: position 96,333,964 of record NC_000023.11, read on the forward strand.
GCAAAGCTCCCAAACACAGAAAGTCCTCACTATACAGTACTAGGTTTGAAAGCCCATGAACAATCTTTGCCACCATTACTTCTCAGATTGGCTCAAGGAGCATTGCTGAACATATCTGACAAATAGAGATATAAACTGATACCAATATGAAATTTTAGTTTTATTATTCATCAGCTCAAGTCAATGATTTAGAGTGAGAATTAAATGCATTAAAGAGAAAATATAATTTATAGAATGAAAATTAGACTAGAATTTTCACAGAGGTAGTGAGAGTGGCAAGAAATGCATGACATAAAAATCACAACAAAATTTTCTAAGCTTTAATTGAAATTAATATTGCTCAGCATACCAAAGCTGCATTTAAGTCATTTTGTTTTAATTGACCACATTGTGCTTTCTTACAAATTTTTCAACAAGTAGTCATGAGGATTTAAATTTTGTACAGAAGATTATACTATGATGCTTAAAACATTATATTAAAGGAACATTTTTAAATCAATGTAGTATTGAACAATACCAAGAAAAATTATATACCCTTAAATCTAGAAAGTTGTCCTATACATGACAGAACACAATCTATTGCTTTTCCCTTGCTCTCGGTTCATTTGTTTGATATATGAGCATTTAGTAGAAAATAAAGGGTTAAGAAAATACCTAGAGAATGCCTTGCCTCTGTTCCTGATAGATTCTAAAATTGAACGTTTTTGAAAAAAACGTTCATTTTTAGTTATTCTAGGCTTTTATAGAGAGATAATGTTTGGGAAGATATGTGTATAGATATTTTAAAACAAATAGCAAAATCCAGAGGCCTTAACAAAATATACAATCTAAACAAATGAACAAATAATGTCTATTGAGGTCTATGTAACAGGCACTTTATCAATATTATCTCTAATTGTCACATTCACAAGATAGGTATCAGCTATCCCTCTTCCAAAACCTAGCCCTCCACCACACACTCAGCTTTCTCCCACTACAAATGAGAAATATGAAATTCTGAGATATTAAGTAAGATATTAAGGCTGAAGGCCATAAAGTAGAGTGGATTTGAAACCAGTTTCACACAGCACCAAAGCTCATTATGCCATCCTAACTCTAAAGAAATATTCAAGTCCCAGGACCACAAGCATACATAGTATTTCCTTTCTAAAACAGTGCAGCAATTTTCTCTTTGGAAAACAAAAGTTTTATTGATGTTTTTCTAATTGTAAGTATTATAATTGTTTATTTTAGAACATTTGTAACACATACAGGCAAAATAGAAAATAGAATAATTAGTAATTGCATCAGTAATATTATGGCACATGCCATGGATGCTGTGATGTGCCACCCAATCTCCCCTTCAGGGATTTATCCTTCAAACTATTAGAAAGGTTATGACTGCCAGCTTTCCACTTTCAGCCTTCTTTGGAAATTTCATTGGCTGAGGAGTGACACCTAGCCTAAAGTCACAGCCCCTTCCAAGGGGGCAGTCTACATACAATGACTAATTTCTGTGTCGTTACAAAGACTCCCCAATTGCCCCATGGTTTCCCTTTCCCTCTTTTCTCCACTTTTCCCCCTTCCTCAATTCTGGAACTCTTCCTCAATTTAGAAATAGCCATGCCTGTGTAATCAGATGACTACTTGCTGTGGCCAAAGCCACAGCAAAACTTCTCCCTCTACCCAGTCACATTTTGTTCCTTTCCCCCATACAGGAATTGAACCTGAGGGTATTCCCTAGTAAATATCCTTCTTGCTCATATCCATTCCTGAGTCTGCTTTCTAGGAAACCCAACCTACAGCAGCATATATCTGTCCAGGCTTGGAGTATGTATGTGCAAATTATGAGACAATAGTGTACCTACTGCATTGTAACCAGCTTTTATTTTCACTTAACATAGCACAATAAATATATTTTCACAGTTTAAACATTCTCATAAGACATTATTTACAGTGATTGTATTGTATTCCATTGTATATGTCATAATTTAAACAATCTCCAATATTGACATGTTTCCAATTTTTTGGTTCTAAACATGATATTTACATAGTCTCAGAGTATATCCCCACAAGATACTTGTTAACTACTTTATAGTAGAGAAATCTTGCAGGCACCATTGCAACAAAATGATGCCAGTGAACATTGCCAGTAATGGGACCAATCAATTTCACGTGCCCTATTGATATGATGCACTAAGAATTCAGAATTGCTTCTGTGGTGATCCTGCCAAAAGTGCTTAAGCTAAAACTAATCATAAGAAACAAAAAATAAACTCAAATGGAGAGACATTCTACATAATTACAGACCTATACATTTCAAAACTGCCAATGTTGTAAAATACAAATAAAGCCTTGAAATTTTCCCAATAAAATAAGACACTGAACACAATACAAAACACAACTGAACACAATACATAATTCTGAGTTTTCTTTTGCTATAAGGACTGTATTAGGACAATTGGCAAAAACTCAATAACATCTATACACTAGATAATAGTATTATATCAATGTCAAGTTGTTAATTTTGATAAGTGTTATATGATCAAGTAAGCGAATTCTTATTCTTAGAAAATATCCAATAAAGTATTTAGAGAGAAGAGGAATCGCATCAACAAGACATTCTCAAACAGTTCAGGAAAAATAAGATGGTATGTGTGTGGAGAGAGAGACATTCTGACGGGTGTGAGATGGTATCTCACTGTGGCTTTGATCTACATTCCAATAATGATTAGTGATGTTGAGCTTTATTTCATATGATTGTTGGCCACATGTATGCCTTTTGCAAAGTGTCTATTCCTGTCTTTTGCCCACTTTTTTACAGGGTTGTTTTTTTTTCTTGTGAATTTGTTTAATTTCTTATAGATGCTGGATATTAGACCTTTGTCAAATGTATAGTTTGCAAAAATTTTCCCCCAGTCTGTAGTTTGTCTGTTTACTCTATTGATAGTTTCTTTTGCTACGCAGAAGCTCTTAGGTTTAACTAGATACCATCTGTCAATTTTTGCTTTTGTTGTAATTGCTTTTGGCATCTTCATCATGAAACCTTTGCCCATTCCTATGTCCTAAATAGTATTGCCTAGGTTGTCTTTCAGGGTTTTCATTGTTTTGGGTTTTACAGTTGTCTTTTCTTTCTATTTTTTTGTAAGTGAAAACCATTTAATCATTTTAGAGTGGTCAAACTACAATATAAGATTGGTATCTTGTTATCTGAAAGCAATCATTTTACCATATGCATTTTGATCTTTTACCATTCATTTTAAGTTGACGGTTAATTTAAAAACTGAGTTTTAATCAAAGTTGTTTTCAAACATTGTCATAATGTCTCTTTGAAGTCATACCAATGGTACCTGCCATTGCTTCTCTCCTTCTCCACTCTTGTGCTTTCTCCCGTGTTAAATTACGGTCTTTGAGAAACCAGAGTTTGCATTTATCTTGAGCTTCCAATGACTGCATATGTTCTTTCTGCTCTTCTCCATAGCACTTGTTTTGCATTTTATCTGAAAAAGATTCTACAGTCAATTAATTTCCCAGATCCCTCTGATTTTCTTGAGATGCTTTTGGTTCCTTTGTCTTTTGTTCCAAATGTCTCCGTACAGTTCCTGGGTCTGAGCTTTTACTTCCTTTTCTATGGCTGCTTTTCTAAATTGGTTGAAGAGCTCACCTGAGGACTTCAGTATACCTGATGGTTTCACTGGTTTGCCTAAACTTTTCCATGAATCTGCATTCTTAATCTTTACATCCTTCTGCACAGGATCTTGACATTCAAATTCTAACATAGTTGTGTCATTATCACCAGGTGGATGCATCACAGTTATGCCATTCGAAAGCTGCTCAGAATCACCTGAGGGAGGCAGAATTTGTAAAGATGAAATGTTTTTCACAGTCTGTAAATGTTCTAATTCTTGATAATTAAATGCTAATTGGTGCTGATTTTGTGGCTTTCCACAGGAAGGTGTGTACAGTTAAGTCTTTAATCCATCTTGAGATAATTTTTGTATGTGGTGTAAGGAAGCTCTTCGGGTTTGATCTTCTGTATATGGCTAGCCAGTTGTACCAGCACCATTTATTGAATAGGGAATCCTTTTTTCCATTGCTTGTTTTTGTCAGGTTTGTTGAAGATCAGATAGTTGTAAGTGTGTGGTCTTATTTCTGGTTTTTCTATTCTGTTTCATTAGTCTATGTGTCTCTTTTTCTATCAGTACCATGCTATTTTGGTTAGTGCAGCCCTGTAGTATAGTTTGAAGTCAGGTAGCATGGTGTCTCCAGCTTTGTTCTTTTTGCTGCAGATTTTCCTTGGCTATTCAGCTCTTTTTTGGTTCCATATAAATTTTAAAATAGTTTTCTCTGTTTCTGTGAAGACTGTCAATGGTAATTTAATAGAAGTAGCATTCAATCTATAAATTGCTTTGTGCCATATGGCCATTTTAACATTACTGATTCTTCCTATCCATGGGCATGGAATGTCTTTCCATTTCTTTGTCATCTCTAATTTCTTTGAGCAGTGGTTTGTAGTTCTCGTTGTAGAGATCTTTCACCCCCCTAGTTAGCTGTCTTCCTAGGTATTTTATTATTTTGGGGCAATTCTGAATGAGAGTTCATTTGTGATTTGGCTCTCAGCTTGACTGTTGTTGTTGTATAGGAATGCTAGTAATTTCTGCACATTGATTTTGTATCCTGAGACTTTGCAGAAGTTGCTTATCAGCTTAAGAAGCTTTTGGGCTGAGACTAGTGTTTTCCAGATATAGGATCATATCATTTGAAAACAGAGATAGTTTGACTTTCTCTCTTCCTATTTGGATGCCCTTTATTTCTTTCTCTTGCCTGTTTGCCCTGGCCAGAACTTCAAATTCTACATTGAATAGGAGTGGTCATAGAGGGCATCCTTGTCTTGTGCTGGCTTTCAAGAGGAATGCTTCTATCTTTTGCCCATTCAGTATGATATTGACTGTGGGTTTGTCATACATGGCTCCTATTATTTTGAGATATGTTCCTTCAATACCTACTTTATTGAGAGTTTTTAAATGAATGGCTATTAAAAGCCTTTTCTGCATCTATGAAGATAATCATGTGGTTTTTGTCCTTAGTTCTGTTTATGTGATGAATCACATTTATTAATTTGCATATTTTGAACCAACCTTGCATCCTGGGGATGAAACCTACTTGATCATGGCAGATAAGCTTTTTGATGTGCTGCTGGATTCAACTTGCCAATATTTTGTTGAGGATTTTTGCCTTGATGTTCATCAAGGATATTGGTCTGAAGTTTTCTTTTTTGTCTTGTTTTGTTTTGTTTTGTTTTGTTTTGTATGTCTGCCAGGTTTTGGTATCAGGATTATGCTGACCTCACAGAATGAGTTAAGGAGGAGTCCCTCTGCCTCGATTTTTGGAATAGTTTCAATTTGAATGAATGGTACCAGCTCCTCTTTGTACATCTGGTAGAATTCATCTGTGAATCCATCTGGTCCTGGGCCTTTTTTGGTTGGTATGCTATTTATTACTGCCTCAACTTCAGAACTCATGGTTGGTCTGTTCAGGGATTCAATTTCTTCCTGGTTCAGTCTTGGGAGGGTGTATGCATTTGGGAATTTATCCATTTCTTCTAGATCTTCTAGTATATGTGCATAGAGGTGTTCCTAATATTCTCTGACAGTTGTTTGCATTTTTGTGGGGTCAGTGGTAGTATTTCCCTTGTCATTTCTGATTGTGTTTATTTGAATTTTCTCTTTTCTTCTTTATTAGTCTAGCTAGTATTCTATCTATGTTATTATGGTTTATCAGAAAACCAACTCCTGGAGTCATTGATCTATTAAATGGTTTTTCGTGTCTCTATCTCCTTCAGTTCAGCTCTGACTTTATTTCTTGTCTTCTGCTAGCTTTGAGATTTGTTTGCTCTTGGTTCTCTAGTTCTTTTAGTTGTGTTATTAGGTTGTTTACTTGAGATCTTTCTAACTTTTTCATGTGGATATTTAGTGTTATAAATTTCCCTCTTAACGTTACCTTAGCTGTGTTCCAGAGATTCTGGTACGTTGTATTTTTGTTCTCTTTAGTTTCAAAGAACTTCTTGATTTCTGCCTTAATTTTATTATTTACCCAGAAGTCATTCAGGAGCAGGTTAATAAGTCTCCATGTGATTGCAAGGTTTTGAGTGAATTTCTTAATCTTTTCTAATTTGATTGCACTGTAGTCTGAGAGATTATTTCTTATGATTTCAGTTCTTTTGCAATTACTTCTGATTATGTGATCGCTTTTAGAATAACTGCCATGTGGCAATGAGAAGAGTGTATATTCTGTTGTTCTGAGGTAGAAAGTTCTGTAGATATCTATCAGGTCCATTTGATCCACTGCTAAGCCCAGATCCTAAATATCTTTGTTAATTTTCTGTCTCGGTGATATATTTAATATTGTCAATAGGCTGTTAAAGTCTCCTACTATTACCATGTGGGAGTCTAAGTCTCTTCAAAGGTACTCCAAGAACTTGCTTTATGAATTCTGGGTGCTCCTGTGTTGGTTGCATATATATTTAGGATAGTTTAGATCTTCTTGTTGAATTGAACCCTTTACCATTATGTAATGCTCTTCTTTTATGATCTTTGTTGGTTTAAATACTGTTGTGTCAGAAACTAGGATTGCAACCCCTGCTTTTTTCTGTTTTACATTTACTTGGTAGATTTTCCTCCTTTATTTTGAGACTCTGTGTGTCATTGCATGTAAGATGGGTCTATTAAAGACAGCATACCAATGAGTCTTGGTTCTTTTTCCAGCTTTCCACTTTGTATATTTTAATTGGGGCATTTAGCCCATTTACACTTATGGTTAGTATTGCTATGTGTGGATTTGATCCTGTCATCATGAGGTTAGCTGATTATTTTGCAAACTTGTTTATGTGGTTGCTTTATAGTTTCACTGGTCTGTGTACTTCAGTGCTTTTTTTGTATTGGCTGGTAATGGTCTTTCCTTTCCATATTTACTGCTTCCTTCAGAAGATATTATAAGGCAGATCTGTTGGTAACAATTTCCTCAGCATTTGCTTGTCTGAAAAGGATCTTATTTCTCCTTTGCCTACGGAGCTTAGTTGGCCAGACATGAAATTATGGGTTGCAATTCATTTTCTTTGAAAATGTTGTATATTGGCCCCCACTCTCTTCTGGCTTGTAGGGTTTCTGCTGGGAGATTCACTGTTATTCTGATGGGCTTCCCTTTGTATGTGACCTGGCCTTTCTCTCTAGCTGCCGTTAACATTTTTTCCTTCATTTCAGTCTTGAAGAATCCAATGATTATATGTGTTGGGGAGGATCTTATTGTGGAGTATCATACTGGAGTTCTCTGCATTTCCTGAGTTTCAATGTTGGCCTCTCTAGCTAGGTTGGGCAAGTTCTCATGAATGATATCCTGAAATATGTTTTTCAAATTGGTTCCGTTCTCCCTATCTCTTTCAGGTACACCAATAAGTCATAGATTCTGTTTGTTTACATAATCTCATATTTCTTGTAACTTTTGTTCATTTTTCATTCCTTTTTCTCTATTTTTGTCTGCCTTATTTCAGACAGCCAGTCTTCAAGCTCTGAGATTCTTTCCTCCACTTGTTCTATTCTATTAATACTTGTGATTGCATTATGAAATTCTTTTATTTTGTTTTTCAGCTCTGTTAGGTTGGTTAAGTTCTTCTCTGTACTGGCTATTTTCACTGTCAGCTCCTGCAATGTTTTATCACGATTTTTAGCTTCCTTGCATTGGATTACAATGTATTCATTTAGCTCAGTGAACTTTGTTCCTATCCATATTTTGAATTCTACTTCTGTCATTTCAGCCATCTTAGCCTCAGCCTGGTTCCAAGCCCTTGCTGGAGAGGTGACATGGTCAATCGGAGGCAAGAGGGCACTCTCAGTTTTTGAGTTTTCTGTGTTCTTGTGCTGATCTTTCTCATCTTTGTGGGCTTATCTATCTTCAGTCTTTGAGGTAGATGACCTTAGAATGATTTTTTTTCTTTTAACAATCTGGCCACCTTTCCAGACGGCTGCTGTGGTATGCTGGGGGTCCACTCCAGTCCCTAGTCACCTCAAATTTACCAGTACCTGGAGGTATCACCAGTGAAGGCTGCAAAATAACAAAGATGACAACCTGCCCCTCCCTCTGGGAGCTTTGCATCAAGGAGGTACATACATGTTTCTGGCTCAAATGCACTGTGGATGGAGACCCCGGATGGGAGATCTCACCCAGACAGGGGGAATGGGATCAGGGACCCACTTAAAAAAGTAGTCTGGCCACATTTTTGTAGAGCAACTCTGCTGTGCTTGGGCTCCAGTTCAGGCCCTGGTCGCCTCAGACACTCTGAAGCCTGAAGGCTGGAATGGCTAAGTTGCCCAAACAGCAAAGATGGTGGCCTGCCCCTCCTCCTGAGAGCTCTGTCCCAAGGAGGCCTGAAACTTCTGTCAGCCAGACAATACTAGTGGCGGTATCCAGAGATCCCGGTTGGGAGACTCCACGCAGTAATGAGGAACAGGGTCGGGGACCTGCTTAAAAAAGCAGTCTGGCCATGTCTTCATGGGGCTGCTGTGTTGTGCTGGGGTGCCACTTCCACCGCTGTTCAGCTTGGGCTTTTCAAAGCCTGCAGGCTGTAACAGCTAAGTCGCCCAAAAAGCAAAGATGGTGACCCACCCCTCACTCTGGGAGCTCTGTCTCCAGGACTTTTCAAATCGCTGTCGCCAGAAAACACCAGCAGGGATGGCTGGAGGCCCCAGTTGGGAGGTCCCACCCAGTGAGGAGGAACAGGAAGGAGGGCCCACTTAAAGAATAAGTTTGGCCATGCTTTCATAGAGCAGCTGTGCTGTGCTGTGCTGGAGTACCATTTCTGCCCCTGTCAGCTTGCACTTTCCAAATCCCACAGACTGGAATGGCTAAGTCACCCAAACAGCAAAGATGGCAGCCTGCCACTCCCTTTGGAAGCCCTGTCCCTGGGAGTTCTCAAATCTCTGTTAGAGAACACCAGCAGGGGTGGCTGAAGACTCCGGTTGGGAGGTCCTGCCTAGTGAGGAGGAATGGATCCGGGACCCACTCAAAGAAGCAGTCTGGCCACACTTTGGTAGAGTAGCTGTGCTGTGCTGTGGAAGGGGGGGATCCCTTCCACCCCAGGTCAGTTCAGACTCTCCAAAGCCCACAGGCTGAAATGGCTAAATCACCCAAACAGCAAAGATGGTGGCCCACCCTTCCCCAGGAGCTCTGTCCCAAGGAGGCACAACATTGCTACCAGTGCCTGGCTGGAATTCCAAGCCAGTGGGTTTTATCCTGTGAGGTGCCATGGAAGTGGGGTCCGCAGACCATTGCTGCTTGGCCCCCTGGATTCAGCCTCTTTCTTAGGAGTATTTATGGGGAGTCTAACCTCCCACTTTGCTGGAATTTCAATTACTTTTGCTGGGAAGCCCAGAGCTGGAGTACCTAAAGCTCCTGGGTCTCTGCACGTGCCCGAGCAGTTGCTCTGCAGAGACTCAACATAGTTCTGTGTGTCAGACTGAAGGCCCTGATGGAGTGGGTTCATGAGGGGATCTCCAGACCCAAGAGTTGCAAAGATCCATGGGAGAAGTCTGGTTTCTTGGGATCACACATTCACTCACCACTTCCCTGAGTGGGGAACTTCCCTTGGGTCCATGTCACTCCCAGGTGGGCCATCGTCCTGCCTTGCTTTTCTCTGTTCTCCAGGGGTCAAGTTGTTTTCTTGATTAGTCCCAAGGCAAGTAGCTAGATGTTTCAGTTGAAGGTGCTGTATTTACTCACCCTATCCATTCCTCTTTGTGAGAGCCCCACACCTAACCTGCTTCTGGTCAGCTATCTTGGACACTTCTCCAATAACATCACTATAAAAACTTTTCTTCTAAAATAAAATTCTGACTTCTAAATATGTCAAAATTTTTCTAAATTTCTTCTAAAAATATCTGACCTCAAAATATGCAAAATTGCCATGATATAGTTATATTTATTAATAAAACCTTATTTGTTTATTATACAGCATTTTCTTCCTTACTGGAAAAGCTATAGTATAACGACTGCCAAAGGAATGTTTTAATATAATTTAACCACTAGAATCAAGGAAAAAAAAACTATTGTCTCATGGTTTATTGATCTACTTGATTTTATAATGCATCATTGATTTTATATTTTATCAGATATAGTCCTGTTTACTATCAGACATATAAATGAACAATTTACCATTCAGAAGTTTCAAAATTCATGCTTATACTGTAACCATGGATTTGAGGACCAGAAGACTTTTCCCAAAAAAAGAGGTTTTTATGGTCTTGGCTAAACTATTATACAGTTTACAGACTCTGTAAAATCTTTAGGATTCATTTTCAACTTTCTTGTTTTTCTCATCATTTTATTAGGTTGATCAGATCATTGTAGCTTTTGATAAATATTAAACAATGAAGAAATGATTCTATATCTCACCAAATTTACAGATACCAAAATAATAGGTATTCATTAGTTTTCACATTCATGTAGGAGTAACTATATTTTTAGGGAAAGCTATATTTCCACCCGCTTTTTTTTTTTTTTGAGATGGAGTTTCACTCTGTCTCCAGGCTGGAGTGCAGTGGTGCGATCTCAGCTCACCGCAACCTTCGCCTCCCGGGTTCAAGCATTTCTCCTGCCTCAGACTCCTGAGTAGCTGGGACTACAGGCGTGCACCACCATGCCCAGCTAATTTTTTTATTTAGTAGAGACAGTGTTTCACCATGCTGGCCAGGATGGTCTCGATCTCCTGATGTCATGATCCACCCGCCTCAGCCTCCCAAAGTGCTGGGATTACAGGCGTGAGTCACCGCACCCGGCCTTCCCTCACTTTTAATTCAAGCTTTTCAGCAACAATGTATAATGAAAAAAAACAAACAAAAAAAAAACATGCAATTTAGAGATAGGATACCTGGGTGCAGTCCAGGTAAATGGGAATGGATTTATATAATAATAAATAAGGATGGAGATAGGGGAAATAATCTAGTTTGGGCTAGCCTACAATATGGTTTAAATCACTGTCTGAGAAGGTGTAAATCTACTTTGACAAGGGAAACACACAAGTTTTTTTGTATTACAATAGCATCTTTATTTAAAATTTCCAAAACTTGAAAGCAAACAAGATGCCCTTCAGTAGATGAATGAATAAATAAACTGTGGTGTATCTTCTTTTTTAACTTTTAAGTTCAGAGGGACAAGTGCAGGTTTGTTACATAGGTAAACTTGTGTCATTGGGGTTTGTTGTACAGATTATTTCATCACCCAGGTATTAAGCCTAATACTTAGTTCTTTTTCCTGATCCTCTCCCTCCTCCCACCCTCCACCCTTCAAAAGGCCCCAGTGTGTTTTGTTCCCTTCTATGTGTACATATGTTCTCATCATTTAGCTCCCACTTATAAGTGAAAACATGCGGTATTTGGTCTTCTTTTTTTATTATTATTATACTTTAAGTTCTAGGGTACATGCGCACAACATGCAGGTTTGTTACATATATATACATGTGCCATGTTGGTGTGCTGCACCCATTAACTCGTCATTTACATTAGGTATATCTCCTAATCCTTTCCCTCCCCCCACCCACCGCCCCACAACAGGCCCCGGTGTGTGTTCACCTTCCTGTGTCCAAGTGTTCTCATTGTTCAATTCCCACCTCTGAGTGAGAACATACGGTGTTTGGTTTTTTGTTCTTGTGATAGTTTGCTGAGAATGATGGTTTCCAGCTTCATCAATGTCCCTATAAAGGACGTGAACTCATCTTTTTTTATGGCTGCATAGTATACCATGGTGTGTATGTGCCACATTTTCTTAATCCAGTCTATCATTGATGGACATTTGGGTTGGTTGCAAGTCTTTGCTCCTGTGAATAGTGCTGCAATAAACATACGTGTCCATGTGCCTTTATAGAAGCATGATTTATAATCCTTTGGGTATATACCCAGTAATGGGATGGCTGGGTCAAATGGTATTTGTAGTTCTAGATCCTTGAGGAATAACCACACTGTCTCCCACAATGGGTGAACTAGTTTACAGTTCCACCAACGTGTAAAATGTTCCTATTTCTCCACATCCTCTCCAGCACCTGTTGTTTCCTGACTTTTTAATGATTGCCATTCTTACTGGAGTGAGATGATATCTCATTGTGGTTTTGATTTGCGTTTCTCTGATGGCCAGTGATGATGAGCATTTTTTCATATGTCTGTTGGCTGCATAAATGTCTTCTTTTGAGAAGTGTCTGTTCATATCCTTTGCCCACTTTGTGATGGGGTTTTTTTTTATTGTAAATTTGTTTGAGTTCTTTGTAGATTCTGGATATTAGCCCTTTGTCAGATGAGTAGATTGCAAAAATTTTTTCCCATTCTGTAGATTGCCTGTTCACTCTGATGGTAGTTTCTTTTGCCGTGCAGAAGCTCTTGAGTTTAATTAGATCCCATTTGTCAATTTTGGCTTTTGTTGCCATTGCTTTTGGTGTTTTAGACATGAAGTCCTTGCCCATGCCTATGTCCTGAATGGTATTGCCCAGGTTTTCTTCTAGGGTTTTTATGGTTTTAGGTCTAACATTTAAGTCTTTAATCCATCTTGAATTAATTTTTGTATAAGGTGTAAGGAAGGGATCCAGTTTCGGCTTTCTACATATGGCTAGCCAGTTCTCCCAGCACCATTTATTAAAAGGGGAATCCTTTCCCCATTTCTTGTTTTTGTCAGCTTTGTCAAAGATCAGATGGTTGTAGATGTGTGGTATTATTTCTGAGGGCTCTGTTCTGTTCCATTGGTCTATATCTCTGTTTTGGTGCCAGTACCATGCTGTTTTGGTTACTTTAGCCTTGTAGTATAGTTTGAAGTCAGGTAGCGTGATGCCTCCAGCTTTGTTCTTTTGGCTTGGGATTCTCTTGGCAATGCGGGCTCTTTTTTGGTTCCATATGAACTTTAAAGTAGTTTTTTCCAATTCTGTGAAGAAAGTCAGGGGTAGCTTGATGGGGACGGCATTGAATCTATAAATTACCTTGGGCAGTATGGCCATTTTCATGATATTGATTCTTCCTATCCATGAGCATGGAATGTTCTTCCATTTGTTTGTGTCCTCTTTTGTTTCGTTGAGCAGTGGTTTATAGTTCTCCTTGAAGAGGTCCTTCACATCCCTTGTAAGTTGGATTCCTAGGTATTTTATTCTCTTTGAAGCAATTGTGAATGGGAGTTCACTCATGATTTGGCTCTCTGTTTGTCTGTTATTGGTGTATAAGAATGCTTGTAATTTTTGCACATTGATTTTGTATCCTGAGACTTTCCTGAAGTTGCTTATCAGCTTAAGGAGATTTTGGGCTGAGACGATGGGGCTTTCTAGATATACAATCATGTCATCTGCAAACAGGGACAATTTGACTTCCTCTTTTCCTAACTGAATACCCTTTATTTCTTTCTCCTGCCTGATTGCCCTGGCCAGAACTTCCAAGACTATGTTGAATAGGAATGGGGAGAGAGGGCATCCCTGTCTTGTGCCAGTTTTCAAAGGGAATGCTTCCAGTTTTTGCCCATTCAGTATGATATTGGCTGTGGGTTTGTCATAAATAGCTCTTATTATTTTGAGATAGGTCCCATCAATACCTAATTTATTGAGAGTTTTTAGTATGAAGGGTTGTTGAATTTTGTCAAAGGCCTTTTCTGCATCTATTGAGATAATCATGTGGTTTTTGTCTTTGGTTCTGTTTACATGCTGGATTACATTTATTGATTTGCATATGTTGAACCAGCCTTGCATTTCAGGGATGAAGCCCACTGGATCATGGTGGAAAAGCTTTTTCATGTTCTGCTGGATTCGGTTTGCCAGTATTTTACTGAGGATTTTGCATTCATGTTCATCAGGGATATTGGTTTAAAATTCTCTTTTTTGGTTGTGTCTCTACCAGGCTTTGATATCAGGATGATGCTGGTCTCATGAAATGAGTTAGGGAGGATTCCCTCTTTTTCTATTGATTGGAATAGTTTCAGAAGGAATGGTACTGGATCCTCCTTGTACCTCTGGTAGAATTCTGCTGTGAATCCGTCTGGTCCTGGACTTTTTTTGTTGGTAGGCTATTAATTATTGCCTCAATTTCAGAGCCTGTTATTGGTCTATTCAGGGATTCAACTTCTTCCTGGTTTAGTCTTGGGAGGGTGTATGCATCCAGGAATTTATCCATTTCTTCTAGATTTTCTCATTTATTTGCATAGAGGTGTTTATAGTATTCTCTGATGGTAGCTTGTATTTCTGTGGGATTGGTGCTGATATCCCCTTTATCATTTTTTATTGAGTATATTTGATTCTTCTCTCTTTTCTTCTTTATTCGTCTTGCTTAGTGGTCTATCAATTCTGTTGATTGTTTCAAAAAACCAGCTCCTGGATTCATTGATTTTTTTGAAGGGTTCTTTGTGTCTCTAACTCCTTCAGTTCTGCTCTGATCTTAGTTATTTCTTGCCTTCTGCTAGCTTTTGAATGTGTTTGCTCTTGCTTCTCTAGTTCTTTTAATTGTGATGTTATGGTATCAATTTTAGATCTTTCCTGCTTTCTCTTGTGGGCATTTAGTTCTATAAATTTCACTCTACACACTGCTTTGAATGTGTCCCAGAGATTCTGGTATGTTGTGTCTTTGTTCTCATTGGTTTCAAAGAACCTCTTTATTTCTGCCTTCATTTCATTATGTACCCAGTAGTCATTCAGGAGCAGGTTGTTCAGTTTCCATGTAGTTGTGCGGTTTTGAGTGAGTTTCTTAATCCTGAGTTCTAGTTTGATTGCACTGTGGTCTGAGAGACACTTTGTTATAATTTCTCATCTTTTACATTTGCTGAGGAGTGCTTTACTTCCAACCATGTGGTGAATTTTGTAATAAGTGTGATGTGGTGCTGAGAAGAATGTATATTCTGTTGATTTGGGGTGGAGAGTTCTGTAGCTGTCTATTAAGTCCGCTTGGTGCAGAGCTGAGTTCAATTCCTGGATATCCTTGTTAACTTTCTGTCTCATTGATCTGTCTAATGTTGACGGGGGGTGTTAAAATATCCCATTATTATTGTGTGGGAGTCTAAGTCTCTTTGTAGATCTCTAAAGACTTGCTTTATGAATCTAGGTGCTCCTGTATTGGGTGCATATATATTTAGGATAGTTAGCTGTTCTTGTTGAATTGATCCCTTTACCATTATGTAATGGCCTTCTTTGTCTCTTTTGATCTTTGTTGGTTTACAGTCGTTTTATCAGAGACTAGGATTGCAACTCCTGCCTTTTTTTGTTTTCTATTTGCTTGGTAGATCTTCCTCCATCCCTTTATTTTGAGCTTATGTGTGTCTCTGCATGTAAGATAGGTCTCCTGAATACAGCACACTGATGGGTCTTGACTCTATCCAATTTGACAGTCTGTGTCTTTTAATTGGAGCATTTAGCCCATTTACATTTAAGTTTAATATTGTTATGTGTGAATTTGATCCTGTCATTATGATGTTAGCTGGTTATTTTGCCCATTAGTTGATGCAGTTTCTTCCTAGCCTCGATGGTCTTTATAATTTGTCATGTTTTTGCAGTGACTGGTACTGGTTGTTCCTTTCCATGTTTAGTGCTTCCTTCAGGAGCTCTTTTAGGGCAGGCCTGGTGGTGACAAAATCTCTCAGCATTTGCTTGTCTGTAAAGTATTTTATTTCTCCTACACTTATGAAGCTTAGTTTGACTGGATATGAGATTCTGGGTTGAAAATTCTTTTCTTGAAGAATGTTGAATATTGGCCCCCACTCTCTTGTGGCTTGTAGAGTTTCTGCAGAGATATCAGCTGTTAGTCTGATGGGTTTCCCTTTGTGGGTAACCCGACCTTTCTCTCTGGCTGCCCTTAACATTTTTTCCTTCATTTCAACTTTGGTGAATCTGACAATTAAGTGTCTTGGAGTTGCTCTTCTCGAGGAGTATCTTTGTGGCATTCCCTGTATTTCCTGAATTTGAATGTTGGCCTGCCTTGCTAGTTTGGGGAAGTTCTCCTGGATAATATCCTGCAGAGTGTTTTCCAACTTGGTTCCATTCTCCCCCTCACTTTCAGGTACACCAATCAGACGTAGATTCGGTCTTTTCATACAGTCTCATATTTCTTGGAAGCTTTGTTCATTTCTTTTTACTCTTTTTTCTCTAAACTTCTCTTCTTGTTTCATTTCATTAATTTGACCTTCAATCACTGATACCCTTTCTTCCAGTTGATCGAATCAGCTACTGAAGCTTGTGCATTCGTCGTGTAGTTCTCCTGCCATGGTTTTCAGCTCCATCAAGTCATTTAAGGACTTCTCTATGCTGGTCATTCTAGTTAGCCATTCGTCTAATCTTTTTTCAAGGTTTTTAGCTTATTTTCATTGGGTTCGAACTTCCTCCTTTAGCTCGGAGAAGTTTGATCCTCTGAAGCCTTCTTCTCTCAACTCGTCAAAGTCACTCTCCATCCAGCTTTGTTCCATTGCTGGCAAGGAGCTGCATTCCTTTGGAGGGGGTGAGGTGCTCTGATTTTTAGAATTTTCAGCTTTTCTGCTCTGTTTTTTCCCCATCTTTGTGGTTTTATCTACCTTTGGTCTTTGATGATGGTGATGTATAGATGGGGTTTTGGTGTGGATATCCTTTCTGTTTGTTAGTTTTCCTTCTAACAGTCAAGACCCTCAGCTGCAGGTCTGTTGGAGTTTGCTGGAGGTCCATTCCAGACCTTGTTTGCTTGGGTATCAGCAGCATAGGCTGCAGAACAGCGAATATTGCTGAACAGCAAATGTTGCTGCGTGATCATTCCTCTGGAAGCTTCATCTCAGAGGGGTACCCGGCCGTGTGAGGTGTCAGTCTGCCCCTACTGGGGGGTGCTTCCCAGTTAGGCTACTCAGGGGTCAGGGACCCACTTGAGGAGGCAGTCTGTCCGTTCTCAGATCTCAAACTCTGTGCTGGGAGAACCACTACTCTCTTCAAAGCTCAGTTGGAAATGCAGAAATCACCCGTCTTCTGCGTCGCTCACACTGGGAGCTGTAGACTGGAGCTGTTCCTATTTGGTCATCTTGGAACCCTCCGGTATTTGGTCTTCTGTTCCTGTGTTGTTTGCTATGGAAAATGGCCTCCAGCTCCATCCTTGTCCCTGCAAAGACATGATCCTGTCATTTTTATCACTGTGTAGTATTCCATGGTGTATATGTACCACATTTACTTTATTAAGTCTATCATTGGTGGGCATTTAGGTTGATTCCATGTCTTCACTATTGAGAATAGTGCTGCAATGAACATATGTGGAAAGACAGAAGTTTGTATGCTGTTTGCACTCATATATACATGTCAGATTAGTCTGTAATTTACCCTTTTTTCTTAAAGTTTTTTTCAAGTTTGATTTAAAGGTTGTGTTAATCTCTTAAAGTGAATGTGGAAGTTTTACCTTTTCATGCATGTTCTGGAGTAGTTTAAATCACTAGTCCACTAACCACCAATATATGTAACATAATGATCTTACCATTTATGGTTAAATAGAACTTCTCTGGTATTTTGTGGGCAGTAGATCATTTGAGATGTATGTATTACTTTTATAAATAGGAAAAAATCAAATATATTCCCTTTAAGAATCTAATAAAAGCTATGGATGCTTTTCTACTACCAAGACCAATCATAAATAAATACAAACTTGGGTGTTCAATTCCAGGTAGCTCATAGAAGCCTTAAAATATGTGCACAGAGTCTCTAAAGATCCATCAATCATGGTTTAGAAAACTTATCTTTGATCTTTCTGTACTCTCTTTATATTTTTAGCTTGTTCTTCCCCTTAAGGAAAAATTTGAGATGTTTGTTAACTACAGTATAGGTCATGTTCTTCTAATTTAAAATATCTAAATCTGGAATAACATCAGCAAAATTGCATACTAGGAAGCTCCAATCTCTTGTTCCCCTATGGAAACATCAAAAACTACCAGAAACTGACTAGCATAACCTTAGAGGAGCAATCAACTGAATACTCACTTAAGGAAAAGCCAGATTCAAAATTGTGGAAAATTCCATGGCATTTCTGCTCACCTTTGCCCCACTTCCTCCTCTGCACAGCACAATCTTGGTCTGGCAAAGTGGTAGCTCAGTTCTCAATTATCTCCCATAGAGAATACTTTATTTGCAATCTTCTAACATGTGTGAGGGCTGCCTGAAGGACTGATTTCAGTTTTGCCTAACTCAGAGCTCATGCAGGAAAGCAGCAGGCATTGCTTTTGAAAGCTGCAAGAGAGCAACAGACCTGTAGTTGTGTGGGACAAGAAAATATAGGTGGAGACATACAATGGACCATCTAATGTCCCAAGGAGAAACTGGAATGAGACATTTTTGGAAACTAAGATATTCAAATTTCAGCTATCTATACAGGGGATTTAAAAAGCCACACCAGGGCCCAAGCAAGACATATACACAGAAAAGACTTAAGAAGACCTTCAGCTATCACCTCAGGCTGATCCCAAGACTCAGGGCATGCATACCTGACTAATTGTGCAGGACTGTTCAAGCACAGAGCAAATCTGTAAAGACTGAAAGAGGTGGTTGTTTTTTCAAATGCTCAATTATCAACACACAAATAATAATCACAAGGCATATAAAGAAACTGAAAAACATGTTCATTCAAAGAAAGAAAATAAACTGGGAGAAACCACCCCTGAAGAAAAACAAGTATTGGACTTACTAGACAAAGACTTTACATCAACTGTCTTTTATATGCTCAAATAACTAAAGGAAAACACAGGAAAAGAACTAAAGGAAATTTTAAAATATTAATATATAAACAAAATGAGAATATCAACAAAAAGAGAAATTTAAAAAGGAACCAAACAAAAATTCTGGAGTGGAAAAATATAATAACCGAATTTAAAAATTTACTAAAGGGCTTAAACAGCAGGTTTGGGCAGACAGAAGAAAAAAATTGATGAACTGGAACATAGGATATTAGAAATTAACAAGTCTATGGAGTATAAAGAAAAAAGAATGAATAAAAATGAACAGAGTCAACAGGACTTATGAAACACCATCAAGAGTATCAATATACATATTATGGGAGTCTCAGAAGTAGAAGACATAGAAGGGCAGATAGCATAGTTAAAGAAATAACGGCAAAAACTTCCTAAAGTTGATAAACAACATGAATTTACAATCCGAGAAGTTCAATAAATTCCAAGTAGGAAAAACCTGAAGACACCCACACTGAGATACATTAAAATCAAACTGTCAAAAGCCAAATACAAAGATAACCCTGAAAGCTACAAGAGAGAAGCAGCTTATCATACATAAGACATCATCAATAATAGTATCAGCTGCTTTCTCAACAGAAAATTTGGAGGCCAGAAGGCAGTGAGATGATATATTTAAAGTGCTGGAAGAGAAAAATTGTCAATGAATAAATCTATAATTGGCAAACCAGCCCTTCAAAAATGAATAAAACATTAAGACATTTCCAGTTAAACAAAAGCTGAGGGTATTCATTATTACCATAACTGCCCTGTCCTTTGGGTTGAAATGAAAGGCCCTAAACAGCAATGCAAAGTCATATGAAGCTATACACATCTCTGGTAAAGGTAAGTACATGGGCAAACATAAGAACCAGTATCATTGTATTTTTGGTTTGTAACTCCACTTTTGTTTTCTATAGAAATTAAAAGACAAATGCATAAATATAATTATAATTATAAATCTATGTTAATGGGCACACAATGTATGAAGATGGAATTTGTAACTTTGAAAACAAAATGGTGGAGGCAGGGAAGAGGCTATTAAGGAATAGAGTTTTTGTATGTAATTGAAGGTAAGCTGGTATCAATTCAAAATAAATTGCTGTAGCTTCAGGATGTGATATGTAATTCCCATGGTAACCACAAAGAAAATACCTATAGAATATATACAAAGGAAATGAAAAAGGAATCAAAACATGTCACTACAAAAAGTCAACTAAACACAAAGGAAAATGGTAATAGAAGAAATGAGGGATGAAAAGCTTTAAGACATACAGAAAATAAAATAACAAAATGGTAAATATAGGTCCTTCCTTATCAGCAATCGCTTCAAAAGTAAATGAATTAAATTCCCCAATAAAAAGGCATAGACTAGCAGAATAGATTTTAAAAATATTAGTCAACTAAATGTCATATACAAGAGACTAACTTTATACCTAAGGACACAAACATGGTGAAAGTGAAAAGATGTGGAAAGATACTCCATACAAATAGTATCCAAAGAAAGCCAGGTGGCTATCTTAATATCAGGGAAAAAAAAGGACTTAAAATCAAAAACTGTTATAAGAGACAAATAAGCATATGGTATATTGATGAAGGAGTCAATTCACCAAGAAGATATAATAATTATAAACATATACAAATCAAACATCAAACCTCCAAAATATATGAAGCAAACATTTACAGAATTAAAGGGAGAAACAGACAGATACATAATTACTGGATACTTTGTCACTCCACTTTCAATAATGGATCAAAAACCCAGACATAAGATCAACAAGGAAACAGAGAATTTGAACATTATAAATCAATTGGGCCTAACAGACATGTACAGAGCACTCCATCCAATAGCAGCAGAATACACATTTTTCTCAAGTGCACAAGGAACATTCTCCAGGGTAGGCCATATTTAGACCATAAAAAATGTCTTAATAAATTTTAAAAGATTGAAATCATATAAAGTTTTTCCAATCATGATGGAATGAAACTAGCGATCAATAGCAGAAGGAAAATTGGAAAATTCACCAGTATGTGGAAATTAAACAACGTACTTTTAAATAACCAATAGGTCAAAAAAGAAATCACAGGGAAATTAGAAAATATTTTGAAACAAGGGAAAACAAAAATATGACATACCAAAGTGTATACAAGAGACAATGAAAGCAGTGTGAAGAGGAAATTTATACCTGTAAACACTTACCTTTAAAAAAGAAGAAAAATTTCAAATCAGCGACCTAAATTTACACCATTAGGAACCAGTAAAACAACGAACTATACCCAAAACTAGCAGAAAGATGGAAATAATAGATTAAAGTGGAGAAACATAAAATAGAGAATAGGGGAACAACAGAAAAAAATCAAGAAAACCAAAAGTCAGTTCTTTGATAAAATATACCACTCTTCACCTAGTTTGACTATGAAAAAAAGAGAGAAAACTCAAATTATTAAAATCAAAAATGAAAGTGAAGGTATTCCTTACTGGTTTTAAATAAATTTTTTAAACCAGATTATAAAAGAGTACTATAAAGAATTGCATGCCAACGAATTGAATAACCTACATGAAATGGACAAATTCTTAAAAATATACAACCTACCAAGATTGAATCATGAAGAAATAAAAAATCTTCATAACTTATAACTATTAAGAAGATTGAATCAAAAACCTCCCAACATAGAAAAGCCCTAGACCAAACAGCTTACTTGATTAATTCTATCAAACATGTAAAAAAAACCAAAATGAATACCAATCCTACTCACACCCTTCCAAAATACTGAAGAGATAACACTTCTTAATTCATTCTATGAGTCCAGCATTACCCTGATACCAAAACCAGACAAAGACACCACAAGAAAAGAAAACCACAAACCAAAATCCCTTACGAATGTTGGTGTACAAGTCTTCCAATATTAATAAATACTATCAAACCAAATTCAGCAGCATATTAAAAGGATTCTACAACAAGAACAAGTGGGATTTATTACTGGAATGCAAGGGTGTTTCAACACATGAGAATCAATGTAAACACATATAATACACCAATATAATGCACCTAAATATAAGAGCTAATACTATAAAATTCTTAGAAGAAAACAGAGAGCAAAAACTTCAAGACATCAGATTTGACAATGATTTCTTGGATATGACACCATAAACACAGGCAACTAAATAAAAAAATGATAAATGGAGTTCACCAAAATTTAAAACTTTTGTGTACCAACAGATACTCTGAAATGAAATGGCAATGACAGAATGGGAGAAAAAATTTTCAAATCACATATCTGATAAGGGTTAAGATCCAGAATATATAAAGAACTCCTACAACTCAACAACAACAACAAAAATTCAAAAATGGGCAAAGGACTCAAATAGACATTTCTCCAAGGAAGATATGCAAATGGTCACTAAGAACATGAAAGATGTTGAACAGCACTAACTGTTAGGAAAATACAAATCAAAAGCACAGTAAGATACTATTATATTTCACACCTATTAGCATGACTATTATTTTTAAAAAACAGAAAATAACAAGTGTTGAGAATGTGGAGAACCTGGAAGCCTTGTGCATTGCTAGTGGAATGTAAAATGGTGCAACCACTGTGAAAAACAGCATAGCAGTTCCTTAAAAATTTAAACAAGTAATTACTATATAATCTAGCAATTCTTTTGGGTACACACCTGAAAGAATTGAAAGCAGGGACTCGAACAGATATTTGTACACCAATATTCAAAGCAGCATTATTTACAAAAGCCAAAAAGTGAAAAGAATCCAAATGTCCATCAATAGATGAATGGATAAACAAAACATGTTATTTATATACAATGGAATATTATTCAGCTTTAAAAATGAATAGAATTTAATACATTCTAAAACCTGGATGAAGCTTGAAAACATTATGCTAAGTGAAATGAAATAAGCCAGACACAAAAGGACAATTAATGTATGATTTCACTTATATGAGTTATCAAGAATAGTAAGATTAATAGGAGTAGAAAGTAGAATGATGGATATCAGAGATTGGAAGGAGGTAGATACCGGCAGTTATTGTTCAATGGGTGTGGAGTATCCATTTAGGGTGATGAAAAAGTTCTGGAGATAAATAGTTGTAATGGCTGCCCAACATGTCAAGGTATTTAATGCCACTGAGTTGTACACTTATAAACAATTAAAATGGTTAATTTTATGTATATTTTACCACAATAAAAAATCATCTTAGACTCACTCATAGATCCCAGAAAAAAAACTTCTATATCTATACAAGACATAACATGAAAGAAGCTTGAGAAAGTGCTCATTTTGTTGGTTCTCAACATAATGTTAGTCATATTTTCTTAGCATCTTTACATTTACATGATGCCTATAAATGCATGCAAGCGTCCTCCTTTATAGCATGCTTAGCCACAAATAAAGACAACCTAGGGACTTGGATAAACTAGGGACAAATGTTAGGAGTGGGTGGTTTCTGTTTTGTTATGTTTGGCTTTTGCTTGAATTTTCACACACACAAATAATTCAATACTTGTTTTAACAATGGTAGATTTAAAAAATAGAAACACTCAGTTTTCAATCTAGATTGTTGTTTTCATTTTATCTTGAATCTTCATAAACATACAAAGCAATGTTCTACTTACTACATCACTGCTTCCTATCTTTCTTTTCCCATTGTTATTAACCAACTTGTGTATGGACTTGCACAGGTATAATTTGCATGGATATAAACTTTTAATTTGCTCTAGTACAGAGGAAACTAATTCTGCAGGTTTCTCCCAAAGAGTACATTTGTGCTCCCTTTCTTATTTTAAAGCCTAATAATGTTACACATGTGGAGATAATAACACCACCCATTCATTAAATTGTGAGGATTTAATGCAAGAACAGAATACAAAGTATTTAGCACAGTGTCCGGCATTATAATAAATAAGTAGTATTTATTTATACTACTATTATATTATATAATATAATATATTATATAATATATATATTATATTATATTACTATTATTATATTATATTTATTACTATTATAATAAATAAGTAGTATTCCCTTCCCACCCTGCCCATGCAGTATTATGCCATGTGTATGATGGCCATATGTCTTGGAATTTCCAGCATGATTCTAATATCAGATATGTTGTTCTCCTAACCCCATCATATATTTCTATAGATCACAATCCTCAAGTCAGTATTTAGAAAACAGAGTATTTATTGATATGACACATAGCCCTTAAACAATAAGAGTACTCACTAGATTTTGAGTGCTTACTATGTTAATTATGTAATGTGTTCTGCACTGTCATTTAATTCTCCTAACATCCCTATGAGATGGATGGTATCATTGCCATTTAAGAGATGAAGAAATTGAGAGACCTGTTAGCTCAGCCAATGTCACACACTTGGCTTACCAGGTCTCCTGACTCCCTATCTGATGCTTTTTCCATCACCTCAACGATTTATACTTTATCGACATACATGAAAACACAGGTTTTTTAAGTAGTGCTAGATATTTGTTCAGTTGTGCTCTGAATAAAGGAAGCTAGCAAGATTTATGATGGAATCATTCTTACACAATAAACACGTTGTGGTACCTCAGTTTCCTTGTCTCTAAACTAGGACTGATTTATCTTACATGGTGGTGAGGACTGATTGGGGAAATTGGTATAAAGAACATTCATATTTGAAGTACTAATTCTCAGAAATATAAATACAGATACAAAGCAAGATACCCTGAATACTCGTGCTTGTACTTTGAAAAGAGGTTGACAAGAAAAAGCTTGATGTTGAAAATGGCTCAGTTATAATCAGTTGCTGAAGTTATTCTGACAATCAGGTACAATGCAGAAGGGCAGACATTCTCAGGAAAGGTTAAGGTTTCCTTGGCAACTATCAAATGCATTGTTAATATCCCCTAGGAACTTTTTGGTCAATAATGACTGAAGTGCTAGAAAACTATTTTTAAACTATCTTTTGAGTTAATTCTACTCTCTTTTCAAAATTCTTTTTTCCTTAAATTTACTTTAATTGCTTAATTAATGGTTATTTGGTGAAGTTTACTGAACATTCTGTTGAAGGAAAGGTTTTGACTCTTTCTGTCAAATAGCATTAAAGATGCCAATGAACAGGGAGCTGCTTGGAAAAGATTTGAGCAAACTCTAATGCAAAGGAGGAGTAACCCATAAGATATTCACCCAAAGTTATAATTATGAGTGTCTATCTAAAATTATTATTAATATCTATTATAGAATTTTCATATTTGCAAATGTCTTAATAATTCATTTGTATTGGTTATTCCACATGTCTATCCAACCAACACCTTCAGTGACTATTCTCATTTTATGGATCAAAAACTTTAGACCAATTACAAATAGCCCAACTTGGCCGGGTGCGGTGGCTCACGTCTGTAATCCTAACACTTTGGGAGGCAGAGGCGGGCGGATCACTTGAGGTCAGGAGTTCGAGACCAACCCGCCAACATGGTGAAACCCTGTCTCTACTAAAAATACAAAAATTATCTGGGCATGCTGGCACAAGCCTGCAATCCCAGCTACTCAGGAGACTGAGGCATGAGAATCGTTTGAACCCAGGAGGCGGAGGTTGCAGTGAGCTGAGATCGTGCCACTGCAATCCAGCCTAGGTGACAAAATGTGACTCCATCTCAACAACAACAACAAAATAGCCAGACTTTCTTCGACCATTTATTAGTGGGCAATCATTAACAAGTATGGATCAGAATCAAAAGAATTGAAATAGTTATTTATATCATTAGAATTGGTATATCACAGCACTTGTCATTCCATCAAGTAATATTTGACAGGATTCTTGGTACCCCAAGAATATGATAGTGAAAGGCAAAAGATTTGTAAAATCTGAAGAGAAACGAGTGTATTGCTTGAGGTGATGGATACTCCACTTACCTGGATGTGATTACTATGCATTGCATGCCTGTATCTGAACATCTCATGTACTCCATAAATACGTACACCTACAATGTACCCACAAAAATTAAAAATTAAAAATTTTTAAAAAGAATGTGACAATGGACAAGATAAATCAATCAAGCCTCTATACAAACCAATGACACATGAGAATACTTAGAGACCCTGTGATTTTAAAATAATTGATGACAGCTTCATTCATTGTTACCTTCAGCTGAAGTCATTGGTATTGATAGAGTCTATTCTCAACTTTACCAAGAAGGAGCAGTTATTTTAAACTATATCCTTCAAGAAATATACTTTATATTTGCTTTTCTTAGTCCAAATGCTTTTCTTAGTATTTGAGGGCATTATAAAATAGTTATTTTTGCTAAGTTGAATAACTGTTTGTTAACATGAGTTGTATTATTAATTGTTACTGACTATTGCCAAGAATATTTTATTGATTTTTAAAACTGTCTAGTACAAAGGTAATTATCTTAGAAAGGTAATTGAAAAAAACAATTTCAATAATGCAATTCCAGGTTATACCTATGTCTTAGTGACAGACACCATAATACAGTAGAAAGAAAAATAGATGAACAAAAATAAACCTATAAATGAATTGTGTAGTTATTTAAGAATAACCTTGAGTCAGATATTCCTTTACTTCCAAGTGGTCTTATCTCCATCCCCTTTTCTTTGTCTTATAAGTCAGTATGAAAATATTTACCTGCTCCCTGGGTTGGAGCTTCCTTCCTATTTTCTAAAAATAAATTTCCTTCAACCAATTTCTATGTCTGCAAATCAGCCCTTATAGAACTGTAAACAATAAACGATTTTTTTAAGATTGGATGTTTTGGCCGGGCGCAGTGACTCATGCCTGTAATTCCAGCACTTTGGGAGGCTGAGGCGGGTGGATCACGAGGTCAGGAGATCGAGACCATCCTGGCTAACATGGTGAAACCCCGTCTCTACTAAAAATACAAAAAAAATAGCCAGGCCTGGTGGCAGGCATCTGTAGTCCCAGCTACTTGGGAGGCTGAGGCAGGAGAATGGCATGAATCCGGGAGGCAGAGCTTGCAGTGAGCCAAGATCACACCACTGCACTCCAGCCTGGGTGACAGAACGAGACTCCATCTCAAAAAAAAAAAAAAAAAGATTGGATGTTTTATCACTGATCATTAGAGAAATGCAAATCAAAACCACAATGAGATACCATACCATCTCATGCCGGTCAGAATGGCAATTATTAAAAAGTCAAGAAACAATAGATGCTGTCAAGGCTGTGGAGAAATAGGAACGCTTTGGCACTGTTAGTGGGAATGTAAATTAGTTCAACCATTGTGGAAGACAGTGTGGCAATTTCTCAAGGATCTAGAACCAGAAATTCCATTTGACCCAGCAACCGCATTACTGGGTATATACCCAAAGGAATATAAATCATTCTACTGTAAAGACACATGCACACATATGTTTACTGCAGCACTATTTACAATAGCAAAGACATGGGACCAATCCAAATGCCCATCAATGATAGACTGGCTAAAGAAAATGTGGCACATATACACCATGGAATATTATGCAGCCATAAAAAGGAATGAGATCACGTCCTTTGCAGGGGCATGGATGAAGCTGGAAGCCATCATGCTCAGCAAACTAACATAGGAACAGAAAACCAAACACCCCTCATAAGTGGGAGCTGAACAATGAGAACACATGGACACAGGGAGGGGAACAACACACACCAGGGCCAGTTGAGGGGTTGGGAGGAGAGGGGACGGAGAGCATTAGGACAAATAGCAGATGCATGCAGGGCTTAAAACCTAGATGACAGGTCGATAGGTGCAGCAAACCACCATGGCACATGTATACCTATGTAACAAACCTACACGTTCTGCACTTGTATCCTGGAACTTAAAGTAAAATAAAAAAAATAAAAGATTGGATGTTTTAATTACTTCAAAATATAACTTCTCTTGAAATTGTATGTTCATTTCAGCACCTGGTATATCCAGGTTGCTAACAACAGAAACTAAACAATCAGAAATAACCATGCTGAGGATATTTGCCTTGTTATATTTTTTCTCTTCCTCAGTTTTTATAAACAGGAATGAAAAATCTACTGTCCAAAGTGACTGGGAAAAGGGCTAACAACAATATAAAGGTAACAGTATTACACTGAATATTTTCTGGCTGCTCTTAAGGAAAATGAATCCCATTGACAATTTAGCACTATAAACAGAAGCTTCAGCAACAAAACAGTTCATCATCATAATCACCAAAAATCACATTCAAATAACCAGTATGGTCACCTTTTCACAACAAACTGGATAGACACGATAGTTGCCTACAATGGTGCTATTTTCCTACCACATAAAGCATCAGATACAGTGCCTACTACATTATAGTTACTGAATAAGTGTTTGTTCTTTCTCTGCATACTAGCATACCTCTAAGAACTTCCGGTGGTTGGCCACACTTCTTGCCTTGGCATGTTTTGATCAAGAGAATACACGTTGGTCATGATCAGGGGAGAGAAAATGGAAAGCATGGTGTGGTAGCTAATCATGGTATATGAGTAGAAAGTATGATCTCTGTAAGCAGACCACTAGACTTGTGGAGGGCTAGTTGGGCAACTGAAAAGGGAACATGAAAGAGAAAGAAGTTGCAGAGGACAAAGAAGAAATTATGACACCATATCAAGTATTAGTACATCTAAGGAAGGTCAAGGGCTAGGGGAAGGGCACATTCCTCAGTCACATTTCCTGGTCTCATAATATACTGAATAATAATTTATACTAACTAAATAATCCCTGACACTGATATTCTAAAGCATCTGCCACATGCCATCATCTTCTTCACAAAACATGCAGAAGAGGTTTCCTCTGAATAAGCCTCCATGTTTTGTTATGAGACACTGCAATCTTGCCACACGGATTGAACAGGTTACATACCTGACCCAGAGGCAGCTGGACTTGAGGGGAGATCAGCAGCTTATGGTAAAGAGACAAGGGAGCTTGGCCCATCCAGGTAGTTTTGTGTTGGATGATAGTACCATCTCAAGTATGAAGACAGGCTCATCCTTGAGATGAAGCCATTATATCACCTGGAGATTTGAAACTCCAAACACCACGGAAAAGGTCAAGAGATAGTAGAGTACAGACAGAAGCTGAAAGATGTGTCAAGAAAAGGCAGGAAGGAGAATTCACACGGCAGGGGAAAGCGATGAAGTTGAGAGCTGAGAGCATTTGGCAGCAATAGAAACAGACAGAATTATGGTAGGAAGAAGTAAAAGCAGAAGGCAGAACCCAAATCATGAGAATTATTTACTACTAGAGCTGCTTTTGGTGCAAGAGGGTTATATAGTATCCTAAATATGGTCTTTTTGGCCATCTGTAAGGATGAATTGCCCGAGTACTGAAATAGTTTCTTCTGCTTCCTTACTTTCTGACATATCTTTATAACAGCCACATTGCCTGAGGAAAACTGAGTTGCTGCTGTTCCTTGCAATGTGAAGTTACCAACAAACACACCTAGACACAGGTCAGTAACCACCTAGTCATTGTTTATAGCCTCCTTATCACTGTGCACGTGCTATCTGTCAGAGAAGGAAGGACAGACACCACAATTCAAGTCAAGAGACCCAAGTTAGGTTGCTTTTGGCCACAAGTAACAGAAAACCCTGAATAAAACAGAACTTTAAAATAAAGTGTTTTCTATTTCTCCACATCCGTTCAACCATTGTGGAAGTCGGTGTGGCGATTCCTCAGGGATCTAGAACTAGAAATACCATTTGACCCAGCCATCCCATTACTGGGTATATACCCAAAGGATTATAAATCATGCTGCTATAAAGACACATGCACATGTATGTTTATTGCGGCACTATTCACAATAGCAAAGACTTGGAACTAACCCAAATGTCCAACAATGATAAACTGGATTAAGAAAATGTGGCACATATACACCATGGAATACTATGCAGCCATTAAAAAGGAAGAGTTCATGTCCTTTGTAGGGACATGGATGAAGCTGGAAACCATCATTCTCAGCAAACTAGCGCAAGGACAAAAAACCAAACACCGCATGTTCTCACTCGTAGGTGGGAATTGAACAATGAGAACACATGGACACAGGAAGGGGAACATCACACACCAGGGACTGTTGTGGGGTGGGGGGAGGGGGGAGGGATAGCATTAGGAGATATACCTAATGCTAAATGACAAGTTAATGGGTGCAGCACACTAACATGGCACATGTATACATATGTAACAAACCTGCATGTTGTGCACATGTACCCTAAAACTTTAAGTATAATAATAATAATAACAATAAATAAATAAATAAAATAAAATACAGTGTTTTAAATCTCACATACTGAGAAGTCCATAGGTAGGCCAGGCACTGGTTTGGTATGTCAAGGCTTTGTCTCTCCTTTTCTGTGTTTCCCTGGTCTCTGTCCTTCTCTGTCAGTAGACCTTCCCTTCAGGCTTGTAGCATGATGCTGGCAACAGTTCTGAGGAAAATGAAGAAACATTTCCCAGAAACCTTTCTGGAGTTGGGTCATGTACTTGTGCCTAAACCAATCAATCTTTGGCAAGGAGAACAGGACTACCAGGACCTCTCTTACATCAGTTAGGACCCATCCCCTATGGTCTGAAATGGGGTCAGCCCCATCAAGAAGAATTGATACCTGGACAAAATCTGGGCTCTGTTAGAAAGTGGAAGGATAGTAGGGAGCACATATTCGGTGAGCCATCACAGTATCTGTTCCAAGAGCTGATGCAATTTGGATACTTGTCCCCTCCATATCTCACACTGAAATGTGATCCCCAATGTTGGAGGTGGGGGCAGGTGGGAGTTGTTTGGGTTATGGAGGTGGATCCCCCATGAATGTCTTAGTGCTATCCTCATGATAATGAGTGAGTTCTAGCTCTATTAGTTCCCAGGAGATCACATTGTTAAAAAGATCCTGGCACCTCCCCTCTCTCCTCCTCCTCTTTCGCCATGTGATGCCTGCTCACCTTCGCCTTCTGTCATGGGTGGAAGCTTCATGAAGCCTTCACCAGAAGCAGATGTTGGTGCCATACTTCGTGTATATCCTGCAGAACCCTAAGATAAATAAATTCTTTTCTTTATAAATTACCCAGCCTCAGGTATTCCTTTACAGCAATGGAATTAGACATGAACTACATCACACCATACTTGAAAGCAAGAAGAAGATCAGTGGATATATTTTGTGAGTTTCTGAAGCACATAGCATTATCCCCTATTTTATTTCTACCTGTAACAACAAAGTTTCTGACAACAAAGTGTGTAATTAGAACACTTCTTCCTTGTTATTATGTTGGCAGTTTTCAAATCACAGTATATCAATTTCCAATGATCCAGCCACTGTTCCCATATTATCAACTTAAGGCATTTAAAGCTAATAACCCACTAACTAAATTATTAATCAATTATCAATTCAGTGCCTATATGCCAGTCACCATGTTAGGTGCTAAAGATAGAGAAGTAAACAAGGTACATTTCTTTTCCTCATACGTCTCAATCTGCTTGCAGAGGGGCCCATATCTTCACTCTCCTTGCTAGACAATATGAAAGAGGCTGATCCACCATGGCATCCCCAGAACCTAATGCATGGTTGATATACATTGATTGTTGAAAGGATGAGAAATACAAAGAAATAATAAGGTGAGTGGTGAGAATAAGGGACCAAGAGACTTCTGTTACTATAAAGTAATAAGACTGGTTTTATTGTGTTTTGTGTTGCTCATAAACTATCTCCAAAAGCAGTTTAATAGAGGTTTAAAAAACATTTGAACTATGGCAATATTATTTAAGTGATTATCTTGTCCCAGTGTGATTACTTTTAAGGAAAATACTCATTTAAATATAGAAGTTATGGCACATTTGTCACAAAAGAAGTATTGTTACATGATTGTACTCAAACCTTAAGATTGCTTCTAAAAAGAAAAACTAGTATCCTAGTGACAGTTGCAATCTACCACTAAATGACCACATGCAGAACTTGTACATAAGATGGAAAGGGTTTTTTTCTGTGGATTTGGGATCAAGTTCAGCCCTGTGTAACTTTAAGTATGGCCAAGCCAAGGCTTTGAGGTTTTCTGACAGTGAGAAGCAGGAACATGGTAAGGTATCAAAGGATGAAAATTTCAGTGCAAATCAAGGTTTGTTCATAAGGTCTGCCCTTGCATAACATCAGGATGTGAATGAAACGGCTAGTACTGATGAGATGGGAGCTCAACTTAGCCTTTCTGTTTGAAGGCAGCAGAGGAGAAAAGAAATTATTTGCTACATGGCAATTTGCATTAGCAAAAAAGCAGCGGCTTCTATGATTGTCTCCTAAGAAATTATCAAATGTCCCTAGGTAACCCCCAAAACACTTCTTTAAAAATGCCTATGAAAATCTCCCCTAGGCAGAATATCTGAATGAATCTATTCTAATGAAGATATTACTTCCAATTCTGATTTATTTTGTCATCAAAATAAAGTGGAAATTATAAAGAGTAAGCTGAGAACTATAATTGTATTACTAAACACAATTTTCTATATTATTCTTTTTTATTTTTCCATAAGTTATTGGAGTACAGGTGGTATTTGGTTACATGAGTAAGTTCTTTAGTGGTGATTTGTGAGATTTTGGTGCACCCATCACCTGAGTAGTATACAGTGAACCCTATTTGTAGTCTTTTATCCCTCGTCCCCCTCCCATCCTTTCCATCAAGTCCCCAAAGTCCATTGTATCATTCCTATGCCTTTGTGCCCTCATAGCTTAGCTCCCACATATCAGTGAGAACATACAATGTTTGATTTTCCATTCCTGAGTTCCTACACTTAGAATAGTCTCCAATCTCATCCAGGTTGCTGTGAATACCGTTAATTCATTCCTTTTTATGGCTGAGTAGTATTCCATCAGGTATATATACCGTAGTTTCTTTATCCACTCATTGATTGATGGGCATGTGGGTTGGTTCCACGTTTTTGCAACTGCGAATTGAGCTGCTATAAACATACGTGTGCAAGTATATTTTTCGTATAACAATTTCTTTTCCTCTGGGTAGATACCCAGTAGTGGGATTGCTGGATCAAATAGTAGTTCTACTTTTAGTTCTTTAAGGAATCTCCACATTGTTTTCCATAGTGGTTGTACTAGTTTACATTCCCACCAGCAGCGTAGAAGTGTTCCCTAATCACCACATCCATGCCAACATCTACTGCTTTTTGATTTTTTGATTATGGTCATTCTTGCAGGAGTAAGGTGGCATTGCGTTGTAGTTTTGATTTGCATTTCCCCGATCATTGGTGATGTTGAGCATTTTTTAATATGTTTGTTCGCCATTTGTATATCTTCTTTTGAGAATTGTCTACTCATGTCCTTAGCCCACTTTTTGATGGGATTGTTTGGGTTTTTTTACTGATTTGTTTGAGTTTGTTGTAGATTCTGGATATTAGTCCTTGGTCAGATGTATAGATTGTGAAGATTTCCTCCCTCTTTGTGGGTTGTCCATTTACTCTGCTGACTGTTCCTTTTCCCGTGCAAAAGCTCTTTAGTTTCATTAAGTCACAACTGTTTATCTTCGTTTTCATTGCATTTGCTTTTGAGTTCTTGGTAATAAAATCCTTACCTAAGCCCATGTCTAGAAGGTTTTTCCAGTGTTATCTCCTAGAATTTTTATCGTTTCAGGTCTTAGATTTAAGTTCTTATCCATTTGAATTGATTTTTGCGTAAGGTGAGAGATGAGGACCCAGTTTTATTCTCCTACATGTGGCTAGCCAATTTTCCCAGCACCATTTGTTGAAAAGGGTGTCCTTTCCCCACTTTATGGTTTTGCTTACTTTGTCAAAGATCAGTTGGCTGTAAGTATTTGGATTTATTTCTGGGTTCTCTATTCTGTTCCATTGGTCTATGTGCCTATTTTTATACCAGGTTACCATGCTGTTTTAGTGACTATGGCCTTATAGTACAGATTGAAATCAGGTAGTGTAATGCCTCCAGATTTGTTCTTTTTGCCTAGTCTTGCTTTGGCTATGCAGGCTCTTTTTGGGTTCCATATGAATTTTAAAATTGTTGATTAATCAATTTACATGCACTTTTTTAAAAAGTCTTTATAATATACAAGTTTATAATTTTAGTTAACGAAGTATGGTGTCTATGGTAATTTCCAAAAAGAGTGGGAACAGATTCTTGGTTAGGAAGGCCACATTATTTGATTGGAAACGTCAGTTTTAACTTAAATATTTTCGCTTACAGCATCATTTCTAGAATAAAATCTAACATATGCCCGGCAGTTTCTGTTTCATGTTTTGAAGTTAAAAATAAGTCTTTTAATATCTAAAACTTATGTAGTCATGCACTGCATAATGATGTTTTGTCAACATTGAATAATCTTATGGGACACTGGTCCCGTAAGATCATAATGGAGCTGGAAAATTCCTATCACCTGGTGACATTGTAGCTGTCCTAATGTCAAAGAGCAATGCATTACTCACATGTTTATGGTAGTGCTGGTGTAAACAAACCTAATGTACTGTCAGGCACATATAAGTGTGGCACATACAATTATGTATAGTACATAATACTTGATAACGATAAACAACTATGTTACTGGTTTATGTATTTACTATACTATACTTTTATCATTATTTTAGAGTGAATTCCTTTGACTTATTAAAATAAAAAGTTAACTGTAAAACAGCCACAGATCCTTCAGGAGGTATTTCAGAAGAAGGCATTGTTATCATAGGAGATATGATATTGCCCATGAAGACCTTCCAGTGGGACATGACATGGAGGGAAGACAGTGATATTGGTGATCCTGACCCTGTGCAGGCCTCGGCTACTGTGTTTGTGTCTTCATTTTTAACAAAGAGTTTTAAAAGTTTAAAAAAATTAAAATATTAAAAATAGGAAAAAAGCTGTTGGAATAAGGATATAAAGAAAGGTTTTTTTGTAAAGGTGTATGATGTATTTGTGTTTTAGGCTAGGTTTTATTACAAAAGAGTAAAAAAGTTGGCCAAGGGTGGTGGCTTATGCCTGTAATCCCAGCCCTTTGGGAGGCCAAGGCAGGCGAATCACCTGAGGTCAGGAGTTCAAGACCAGCCTGACCAATATGGAGAAACCCCATCTCTACTAAAAATACAAAAATTGGCCAGGCGTGGTGGCGGGTGCCTGTAATCCCAGCTACTTGGGAGGCTGAGACAGGAGAATCGCTTGAACCCAGGAGGTGGAGCTTGTGGTGAGCCGAGATGGTGCCATTGCACTCTAGCCTGGGCAAAAAGAGTGAAACTCCGTCTAAAAGAAAAAAAAAAGAGAGAGAGAGTAAAAAAGTTTACAAATATTTAAAGGTTATAAAGTAAAATAGCTGCAGTAAGCTGAGGTTAATTTATTATTGAAGAAAGAAAAATTTTTTGGAAATTTAGTGTATAGCCTAAGCATTTATAAAGTCTACGGTAGTGTACTGTAATGTCCTAAAGTCTACGGTAGTGTACAGTAATGTCCTAAAGTCTACGGTAGTGTACGGTAATGTCCTAAAGTCTACGGTAGTGTACGGTAATGTCCTGATGTCATCACATTCACTCACCACTCACTCACTGACTCACTCAGAGCAACTTCCAGTCCTGCAAGCTCCATTCTTGGTAAGTACCCTATACAGATGTACCATTTTTTATCTTTTACACAATATTTTTACTATACTTTTTCTATGTTTATATATACAAATCCTATTATCTTACAATTGTCTTCATTGTTCAGTATAGTAACATGCTGTACAGGTTTGCAGCCTAGGAGCAATAAACTACACCTATATCTAGGTATAGATATACACACTATACAACTATGCACACTAGGCTATATCTAGCCTAAGTGTGTAGTAGACTATACCATCTAAGTTTGTGTAAGTACACTGTTTGCACCACAACAAAATCACCTAACAATGCACTTCTCAGGGCATACATAACTCCATCATTAAATGACACATGGTCAAAAGCAAGAAAATAAATTTCTCTGAAAAAACTTGTTCTTATAACCAAATTGATTTAGTTGTATATTTTATACCTCTTCCTCTTCTGTCACCCTCTCCTTCCTCATTGTCATGCTATCTCTTCTCCACATCCCCACTTCTACCTCACTTAACAAGATATAAAACATCCCTGACCAATATGCTCTTTGGCATCACTGCCTGATTTATTATATCTTTTCTCCTTCTTCACTAACCCAACTGATTGAAGCCCCCTCTATTTAACAGTAGATAGCTCTATTTGATTGCAGTCCTCTCCATTAATGAGAAGGCATAGCATTCCCTAAATTATTTCTACCTTAATGAAAAAAAGGCTGAAGCATTTTGGCCCTAACTTTGAAAGTGAAAAGAGCTTCTGGAGTCTGGAATCAATGCCTTTCCGAGTGCCTCTTCCTTCCTTTTTGTCCTTCCTTTTCCTCACTCATACATTCAACAATTTTTTCATTGTTAAATATGCCAGGGGACTATTCAAGGCACCAGGACTACAACAATGAACATGACAGACAAAAATTCCTGCCTTCATGGAACTTACATTCTAGTTGGGGATACAAGCAATAACCAAGTTTAGAAAAAATAAAATATTTTATATTTTACATAGTAATGCATGCTAAAAAGAAAAAATAAAGCAGGGAAGGAGATATGAAGTGTGTGTGTGTGTGTGTGTGTGTGTCTGTTTGTGTGGGGGAGGGCGGGGGGGGCAGGTTGAAATTTCAAATAGGATGGTATACAAGGCCTCAATGTAAAGGTGACATGTGAAGAAACATCTGATGGAGGTGAGGAGAAAGTCAAGCAATTATTTTGGGAAGAGATTTCCAGAAAGAGGCAAGATCTAGTTAGGATACTTTTCTAAAGATAATTCCTTGCTCCACGGAAATTTGAGGGTTGTGACTGAGATAAACAGAAGTATTTATCCAGCAAGTAGTAAGATACTCCCCATCACCTGCAGTAACCTAGGCCTGTCCCAACTCCTCCCAGAGAAATCATAACTCCTTAAAGTCTGCATTAAAGGGAGTTGTCCTTGCCCCCAAAGACACTCATAGAGATAAGTACCAAGACCCTCTCTCTGTCATTCCATATTAGATCATTGTTTTCAGGTAGCATTTTTCAGCATGCAATTTACGCTATCACCTATAGGCTATGTGCTGTAGATAACTGTTAATTAGACAAAGACCCTAATCTTCCACTTGTCCAAAGATGGAGTAAGTATCCAGGCCAACAGGCTTGTTTTCTCTGAAAAGTACTAATTAAGTTGGGCCAGAAAGCTTCTCAACATACGAGAGAACCCAGTGACCCCTCAAACACAACTTGACAAAATGTTCAGGGCGTGATTGTAGCTTAGTCATTAACACAAACTAATAATAGCACATATACTTACATGTACTTTTTGTTAAAACTGTTGTCAACACACTGAAAAGTGTGTATATAAGAAAAATATCAGGTATCAATTGCAGATGAGCCTTGGGGTTAAAAATATGTGTCTAGAGAAGAGTAAAGAAATCAGTGGTTTATAAGTTTCCCTCACTCCCCCATTATTCTTAAAAAAGCTTTGTGATAGAAGAGATTTAGCCAATTTGAGGATTTTTTCCCTGAAAAAAATGCCACTTCTAGTTTTTCTTCTGCCAATTAAATTATTAAATTATTATCTTCTGCCAATAAATATGTGGGTATAATAATCTGTAACAAAATTTTTTAAATCGTTGATTGGTTTCCCAGCAACCACAGAACTTCCATCTCTAATTATCTCTTGGTAATCAAATGTGAAATCACTAGATTAAATGAAGAGGAGAACACATATTTAACTCCAGGGTAAATATAGCAACATACAATCAAATCCCACATAATTAATCTAAGAGTAGAAAATGAAATCATATACCTTGTCCAAGATCACATAAGAGATTCTGACAAAGCAGAATATACCTAGAAGAGTGAACATGAGGTTCCAGTTAACTGAGCCAACCATACATTGATAGTCTTTATCCTTACAGTATGACTTTATGTTTTATGTTTCCAGGTAGAGAGACAACAATCTTAACCGAGAAACACTTCTCTAATGAGGAGTACTGCACAGGTATAAACTGTATTGCTTCAAACCTATGTCATGGCTCAAAAAAGGTACCATACTGTATGCTCAAAGGCACTGAAATAAAATGAAAACACAAATATATTCCAAGTCACGTAGTTGCAGAGGGATGAAATGAAACCACTGCTGCACTAGTATGTGGATTAATGTTGTCTTTTGCTGTCAATTCCAGCAAACACTACATCAAATTTGTAGCTAGGGCTGATTCATGTTATAATGTTCACTCTCAGATCTTTGTCTCCAGAAAGCCTACTCCACAGTTTATGAAGCTGGATAGACAAGAGTTATGCATAACCTCAGAAAAGCTAAGGGGCATCACATTCACTGGTATGGATCAGTGGTCAAATAGTTAATTATTTTGCTCACAGCAAAGAAGGAAGATTTTTCCATTTGAAGATTTTTTTACCCTATATACAACAGATTTGGGGAATGTACTGTATACTGTGCATCAGTTGGTTTAAAAAAATTACTGCAATCAACCTCCTAAAAACAGACATTGCAAAGGCTTATTACATTATTTTTAATACTTCTAAAATTCTATAAGAGAACAGATACAGTTCAGTTAAAAACAAACTCAAAATCCTAGGAGTATGAATCATTAAACATGCATACATAATGCCCAGACATCCCCTGAAAACATTGGGATTAAAGAAAAGAGGCTATGGTTTCTATAGAGAAATGCAAAAATCAAAAACACTTTTATCTGAAGTACAGGCTACCAGAAGCATAGGCTTAAGGGATCCTAAAGCAGCATAAATCAGCCAGGCAGACTGAAAC
Source organism: Homo sapiens (assembly GCF_000001405.40). Classification (NCBI taxonomy): domain Eukaryota; kingdom Metazoa; phylum Chordata; class Mammalia; order Primates; family Hominidae; genus Homo; species Homo sapiens. The sequence goes on from NC_000023.11 coordinate 96,372,466, forward strand.
CAACTGACCTACCTGTCAGGACCAAAGCAGAAGGCACTGCCGAGATCTATGGGGGAAAGGGGGAAGTGCATGGGGCCAACAGCATGCCACAGTAAATGCACTGTCGTCCTGCTGCACTGCAATTGCAGAATGGAGCTCAGGAAGACGGAGAAAGATGTTTGCTGCTCATCCACTTAAATATTAAGAAGTAGCCAAATAGTTCTCATCTTAGCCCTATGCTTGGCTACCAAGGAATGCCGTGGTGTATATCAATACCCATGGGTTACATCTCCGAAAATAACCCCAGTTGCTTCTCACAGAGGCTGAATAGACCTTTTAGAAACTTTGGGCCCAGCTATAAACCTTAAAAAAGGTAAAAATTTAAACTATATATATTTCCTACAAAGGGTTTATGTTTCGTTTGGTGGTGGTTCCTGTTGTTTCTAGCAGTAATAACTCGGCTGCAGTAATCCTGCAGCCAAGAAATTTTGCAACCTTCCCACTAGGAGGAGCTACAGGAACACAAGGATCAAGATTTGAAATGCTAGGGCTCTGGTTGTCAGGCTATAGTTTATGAGAAAACTATTTTCCAATTTACTTCAAGTAAGCGCTGGTCAGAACTATTTTAGAGCCCCACAAATGCAATCCAACTAATTTCAACCAATACCGTTTAAGCACCTACTGTGAGCAAGGCTCATTGCTAGATGTAATGAGGGACATGAAGATAAGTGACCCACAATACCTGCTCTCAAGTAGCTCATAAATTAGTGGTGGGGAGAGGGGGAAGGAAGGACAGGTGGCTACAACATATTCAGAACTACCTGTATTACAGCATGGAGTGTGATAAACTGCACAATGACGAATCTGAAAATAAAGCGACATTGTATTGATAAGGAGGATAAATCATACTTGGGTTGGGGGAAAAGTAGGAATTAGGAAATAGTCTCATGGACACCCTCAGCACTGTGAGTGATGGGAAGCATGCAAGTGCTTATTATATAATCTCAGAAATAGAAACCATTCAAGAGTTTAGGACCTTCTTTTGCTAGGTGGTTTCCGAATGCCCAAAAATAAAACAGATGGTCTCTGCCAATGATAGAAAGTTTCCATATGGCAGGTGCTTGGCTCCAGTGGATGCCTTGAGAGGAGGCCCATTGCCCCACACATTGTGTCCTCCACAATGAAATAGAGAAAACCATGACTTATATGACTATGATGTTTAATTGTATGTGTCATCTTGGAAGGTGTTTCTGAATCAAGTTAACATTTAAATCAGTGAACTGTGCATAAAGCAGACTGATCCTTGTAATGTGGGTGGGCCTCTTCCAATCCGTTGAAGGCCTCAATAGAACAAAAAGACTGGCCTGCCCAAACAAGAATGAATTATCCAGCACACTGCTTTCAGATTTTATGTGCACCATCAGCTTTCCTGGGTCTCTAGGCTGCCAGCCTTCCTACTGGAACTGGAATATCAGCTCTCCTAGGTCTCAATCCAGCTGGCCCACACTCTAAATTTTAGGCTTGCCATCCTCCATAATCATGTGAGTTAATTCTTTTCCTAATAGGATGTGTATGCATATAGAAAAAAATTTTTCTATATGCATACATATCCTAAGGAAAAGAATCTTATTGTCTCTGTTTCTCTGGAGAATCTTGACTAATACAAAGACTTTCTGGCATGCAGCTCATATTTGTGTATAAGAGTATTATATGATAATAAAGTATAGTAACTACAGTCTCTCATCATATGTGGTTCTTACTATGAAACCAGCTAAACAGAAATATTTCTCTGTTGATCTTAGTCCCCCAAGAGTGGAAGAGTATATCTTGGACCACAAGTCAGCCACATTGCCCCTCTGTCCCTCTTCCTGCCCAAACATTCATCTCCCCTTTATATATGGGCAAAGGACTACCCTTGCAGAGGGTTAATGTCAAAGATCTCATCTGTCCTTCTTGCAATTTTCCAAGAAATGTGGCTACCATATAACATATAGGTCCTCTTTTCAATAATGAAAATGCTTCTTTATGAAAAAAGCCTGCATTTTCTCTTGCATTGTCCTGGATATGCAAAATAAATAGATGCAATAAGTCAATTCACTAAATTTAGGCATTTTGTGACATATTCATTTTGTGGGCATGTGAAAGAATGTGTATATTTCATGCAGAGAAGAACAAGACATGAAGAAGCAGTAGGAATGGCGATTGTGGATGTGGCTCTAGAGTCGCATAGCCATGAGGACCATTGCCTTCTTTAAAAGTTATCTCTGGCTTCTTCTTCCTATTTTTCTAACCATTTTGTCAAGGTAGAATTGACATATAAAAAGCTGTACATATTTAATGTCTACATCTCAATGAATTTGGGGACAAATATATACCCATGGAACTATCACCACCATCAAGACCATAAAAATATTCATTATCTCCAAGTTTCCTCCCTGCTCCTTTATTATTATTGTGCTGTGGAGTTTTTCATTTGTTTGGGGAGGTTTTCTTCTGGTAAGATCACTAAGATCTATCCTCTTAGCAAATTTTAAATATACAATATAGTACTGTCAGCTACAGGCACTATGCCGTATAGTAGATCTCCAGAATTTATTTATCTTGCATAACTGAAACCTTTAACCATCCACTGGAGAATAAGGTCCTGCTCCTTCCCTCAGGTGCCTTCTCTGTGCTGTACCATGTTTCTCAAAGTGTGAAATATAGGTAGATACCTCAGACCACAAAAGCTCCAAGGTTCCAGGGCTCAAACTCAGATCTACTGAATCTGAATCTTGAAGCATGGGCCCCAAGAATCTACATTTTTTAACATACCACTCACATACATTTAATGCACCCTGCACCCTAAAGGTTGTTCATCACTACCCTAGCCCACAGGCAGACTTACCATGAAACTAATGAAGCTTTAGGTCCCCCAACTTGCCCAGGTCCCTTCTAAGAATCTTCACTAATTTTTTATTGGTAAATGTTTATTTTTTTTATTTTTATTTTTTTTGAGACGGAGTCTCGCTCCGTCGCCCAGCCTGGGGTACAGTGGCCCGATCTCGGCTCACTGCAAGCTCCGCCTCCCGGGTTCACACCATTCTCCTGCCTCACCCTCCCGAGTAGCTGGGACTACAGGCCCCTGCTACCATGCCTGGATAATTTTTTGTATTTTTGGTAGAGGCGGGGTTTCACCGTGTTAGCCAGGATGGTCTCGCTCTCCTGACCTCATGATCCACCTGCCTCAGCCTCCCAAAGTGCTGGGATTACAGGCGTGAGCCACCGCGCCTGGCCAATGTTTATTCTTTTTTTAAAGATCCCTTCTCTAAAGTGTTTAAGTATTAGGTACCACAATACCTGGATGCACCCCTGCTTTGGGCCATATTTGCAAAGCAAGTCAAACTCAAATTAGTTAAATTATTAGATGATAAAAAACCTTATTATGCCCCTCTCCTTGGGGCATTTGCATTTTAGCAAACATCTTTTGAGAAACTGAAATCTACAAGATTCAAAGGTATAATAAATTCCCCAACAGAGGAAATTCTGGTACTATGCCCAGCATTGGAAAGAGTAGAGGCCCTTACTAGCACACCTCAAATCAAACTGGGGTTGCAGCAGACCTTTTGCCTTCTTTAGAGGCTGGAAATAGACCCTCAAATCCAGAACCTATTCAAGGCAGTTCATTAATATGAAGCTATTTGTGCCTGCTACCCCTTCTTCCATCCTGCAAAATACTAAGGAAGCAATGTGGAGACAGGCTTAATGAAATTATATTCTCAACTGGTAAGTCTGCCTGCAGCCAACTATGACTTTCTTAGAAAAGAAAAGTAGAAGCCATCTCTAGCAGTATAAATTAGCTGGATGAGAGGGTGACCTGTGTTCTGAACAGATGTCTCAGCTTACCAAGGCTGACATTAACTCAGACAACTGAAACATACCACCTCACAAGTTAAACTCTTAATTAAGAGGAATTTTGTCCTTGAAAGGTTAACAGAGGGAAGAGAAGAAGGCTGTGACATTTGTAAACTCTCATCGGGAAAAGGACCTCCAGACCTATTGGTGTGAGTGATGTAAACAGGACCGTTAGACAGTGCATTTATGTAAACATAAGATTTTCTTTGTACTGAAAAAAATGCTATTACTGAGAGAGAACTGAATACAAAAGGAAAATTTGGGGATTGAAAATAACATTTGTGGTACTTCAAGGAAATGATTTAATTTGACTTTAAAAAGAGAATTGTATGGAAACTCACTGCTATTACTTAGGTTTTGTTTGAAATTAGATTTGGGTTTCTATTTGCACTGACAGCATACCATGGTGACCAGGGTGACAAAAAGGTGTCCTTTCCACTCTGGCCACCATCTTAGCACCCTAATATCTAAGATTTGCTAAAATGGCTCAAATCCAACCATCTCCATTTTAATATGATTATTGATGCATCTTAATCACTTCGCAGACCTTAACAAATTAAGTTACATTATTTTTGCTTTGTGTGTTACAAAACACATCCACTTTTCCATATTCAAAAATAATATGACTGCACAGTTAACAGAACTTTTGTTTTAAATTTTATTTCTATTACGGCAGCATTCTCCATTCAAACTGTGTTCCATGGATCAAGTGTCTGGCATGATATTGTTATTTTCTTTTTCTTTAGAGACAGGGTCTTGCTCTGTTACCCAGGCTGGAGTGCAAAGAAGTGGTCATAGCTCACTGCAGCCTCCAACTCATGGGCTTAAGCGATCTTCCCAAATTAGCCTCCTGAGTAGTTGGGACTACAGGCATGCGCCACCATGCCTGACCTTTTTTTTTGGCGGGGGAGGGGAGAGAAAGGGTCTCACTATGTCGCCCAGGCTTGTCTGGGACTCCTGGCCTTAAGCAACCCTCCTGCCTCGGCCTCCCAAAGCCTTGGGATTACAGACGTGATGGCTCACGCCTGGCCTGGCAAGATATTATTAATAGAAAACCACTCTACCACATATTTACAAACATTCAAAGAGTCAATGATCAAATAAATTTGGAAAAGAGAGCATAATCTATCTCCATCTAGGAGAGTCACATTTCATATTAGCACATGAAATACTATGATAACTTTTGTAGCAAAGAAATCTATTTAACTTCACGTAACATAGGCCTTCTTGCTCTAAAGTCCCATTTACTAACTTCTCCAGGTTTGCCCCTCGGCATTTGGATGGTTTGGTATTCATGCCTTGGCACAACATATACAGCCATGGTAGAGCTGTGCTCCTAAGTCCTACTCCAGCCTTATGGAGCTCATCTGAGCTTTCCCCAGCTTCCACGCCAGGGAAGAAGGATCAGAGAACTGATCACTCATTTACATAGAATCTCCCTATGCCCAACCTCACATAGCCACATGACAGCTGGATGCAGTTGTTTAAACAGCCTGTAGATAGAAAACAGATTGTTTCTCTGTGGGAAAGAAAACCCATAGGAGACAGTGTAAGAAAAGGTAAACTGTTTAATTTGTGTTATAAAAACTATATAAAATGCAGGTTTGAGATTTATGGACAGATCAGGTGATGGATTTGGTAGTTTAAACACCCATTATCGTGCTTCCTATGATAGAACCAAACCAACATTATGGCTTTATGTTATAAAAAACTGAACAAACTAACCTTCCAGTTTCTAAACAGAGCTGAGAAGTATACTGTGGGAGACCAAATGGAAAACACTGCATGGTAAGCCAATTAGCCCTTCACCATTTATTAAAAACAAACAGCCAGTTCTGGATTAATTTCAAAAGTAGATGAATAAAAAGCAGTATCATACTTACTCCTGTTGTTACTTTAGACTTTTTCAAACTCAACTCTTGAACAGTTGGCTCAATAGTCCTGATATTGATTCTATCCTTTGACTTGGTGTTTGTGTGTGCTTTTCTAAATGTTTTAACTCCAACTTATTCTCTACGGAATTTTACTCGGCTCTCCATCCCTGCTTTTTTAAACTCATTTTAATGAGTTGGACAGGAAATGCCCTGCTTCATCTCAAAACACACAGTACCCAACCCTCACATTTCCCATTAATCAGTGGCCATCTGGGCCAGCCCTCTCCCATAACAAACTTCAAAGGAGAAACAAAAGGAGGGTGGCCAAAAACATTATACCATACTACTACCATTTTGGTAATAGCCCACCTAAAATGACAGGGTCAGATTTGGAGAGCAGAATCCCATGAACCACTTTGGGAATTAAATCAGCAAAAGCAATCAAGTGGCAATTAAGTGGTATCAAGCTCTAACCCAAGAGCTCCCAATCTCTGTACCATAGATGCCTGAGAGACTAATCAGTTCTTACAAAGATTTTGCCAATCCATATATATAGGAATCTGCTAGCTGAATAATAATATGTGCTACTATTGTTGAATATATGCAGGTGCTTTTATGGTTATTAATGAAATGTAAATTCATTAAAATAACACTGAATTAATAGAAGATATATGACATCATAACAGAAAAACAGAAAAGGAAAGCTATTTTCTTGGTGGCAAGGGTAAATGGGGAGTTGTTCCAAGAAGTATTTTGATACATACAAGAAATCTTCATCCTTGAAAATGTTGGGAACAGCTACTCTAATCTATTGAGATAATGGCAAAAGTCAACTATTTAACAAATGCATTATCTGATAGATTTGTAGACAATATATTATACAAAATGTGACAAAATGCACTTTAGTCTTAGTGTAATAAAAAAGATAAGAAGCAAAATACAATTTTGTTTTAAAGAAACTGTGGACATAAGGCCCCTAGGAAATGCATGGTAAAAATTGTTAAAAGCCTTCTGCAATTGCATAATCAAAAATCATTTCAAAGAACAAATGTATTCAAATTACTATGACAACCCAAATGCTACGTTTGTAATTTAGGCAAGTAAAATCGATACATTTTCTAATTAATACCTTCCAAATACTATTTATCCGTATAAATGTCATTCATATGGAACTACTCAATTTCCATTCTTAGTTTTTGAGAACTCCACTATATTTTCTGATTATTCCAAAGACTTTCTCATTAATCTTGTCTCTTATGATTTATTATACATTTCTTTCTTGGCATGAGGCCAACCACAATTGCAATGGTTAACTTATATAGAAACTTATAAATATCTGATTCTAGATTTCTATTTCAAACTCTGTCTTTCCTAGGTCTGGCTTCTTTTAATGAAAAACTAAAGAGAAATGGGGGAAAGCTTGAATCTACAAAGTGAATAAACAAGGAAATTTTAAAAAGATAGAAGTGAAAAACTGCAAAGGAATAGAGAAACTGTCAGAAGAATAAATCACAATATGTGGAATATGTGGAAGACCTTTGGACTCTACGGTTTCATACACACACAAACACACACACCACACACATACACAAAAGCACACGTACTTCAGTATAAGGGAGGAGAGGCCAAAAAACAAAAGGAACTTGTATATGAGTAAGGACTTTTAAGTATGCATATAAAGTATGCATATATTGTGGCCACCATTGTAATTCATATGATACGTGAAGGTTAAATAGTGGAGTGTAGCTTTCTGAAATGTATCTTACTTGAAAACAAGTTTCCTAATATATTTCATCAAAACACACTTTAGACTCACATGAAAATCTTAGCTCTATATGAAAGCAATCTATAACAGGTACTCCACTAGAAGGCAATCCAGTTATTTTTCTTCTAGCTACGTGTTTTCCTTCCTGCTGAACCTTTATTGTTAAAGAGAATTCAGGCCAAAAAATAGTTTGTGAAAAAAAAAGGAAGCCAACTGGTTTTGTAAGCTATAAAGGTTAAAATGCTTCTATGAAACATTTCCCCTAGAAGCTTTGTAAGCAACACTTTTCTCCAAAATTTTATGACAGCTGGTACAGCATGAAACCATATGCCTTTTTATATCTCCTAAATAAAAATGACTAATTTGACTTATTAGCACTGATTCTCTGGAGACAGAGCTAAGAGAGTTCCCGCAGATTTATCTGGTTCTTATTATATTTTAACAATGTCTGCTTTTACTGCAGAAACAATTATGCTAGCCATCTGTTTGCAAATATTTGTGAAGTAAATGATGAACTTTACCTTTATGCACTTTGGATAGCTTTAAAAAATAGAATATGTTGGGTGATTCACATCACAAAACTCTTCAGAGTTATATGATATTACCTATGAGAGAAAGAAGATGACATACCCAGAGTGGATTTCAAGTAATAAAATCACCAAATGTTAGAGTTAGAAGGACCCTCAGAGACCTCTACTGTCTAACTCTTGTTTTAAAGCTAAAATTCTATGGTCCAAAGAGGTTAAACAACTTGACCATAGTCACAAGGCTATTTGCCAACAGAGATAAAACTAAAAGAGAAGTTTTCTGACATATCCAGTATTATTTGCATTAACCCCATCCTCCCACTGAGAGCCCTTTCTCTCTAGAGAGACACAACTGTGGAACTACAGCAAATAATGCCCAGAAATTTAAATCAGGATTGAAAGTTCCTTAAGAAATTCAAGATTCTAACTTGCATAGCACTGGCATATTGAGAGAGGGCCTGATCAGAGGTGACTGCTCACCAGATATTCTAAGCAAGAAGTACACTACAGAATAGACCCTGTCTATCATGAGAATCTGGTGTCATTTCTCTTCAGCCAAAGACTACCAAGAACATACCTGTAGCTGAATAAATTGAGCCCATTATTTGTTGCAGTGAGAAAGAACATACATCAAGGGAACCATGGGCATCTCAGAAAGAAGGCATTAGAAAGAATCTATTAAAGAACTTGGGATTAGGCTGCATAATTTTGGGCAGGGTCTAAGGAAAAAGAAGTTCTCTCTAGATGGGATGCTATCAGAAAGTGGGGTCGAGTCTATGATTGCGTATTGTATTAGTCCATTTTCACGCTGCTGATAAAGACCTACCCAAGACTTGGCAATTAACAAAAGAAAGAAGTTTAATGGACTTACAGTTCCACGTGGCTGGGGAGGCCTCACAATCATGGCGGAAGGCAAGGAGGAGCAAGTCACATCTTAAATGGATGGTATCAGGCAAAAAAGAGAGAAACTGTGCAGAGGAACTCCTCTTTATAAAACCATCGGATCTTGTGAGACTTATTCACTATCACGAGAACAGCACGAGAAAGACTTGCCCCCATGACTCAATTTTCTCCCACCGAGTCCCTCCCACAACACATGGGAATTCAAGATGAGATTTGGGTGGGGACACAGCCCAACTATATCAGGTATCTCAGTGAATTGTATCTATAGGGAGGGAAGATTCGATGAAGTTAAAGCTACAATTGGTAAACAAGTAACAATCACTTATTTTAGTTGAGATTGAAGGAGGCATTGGTGTTGAATGGTTTGTACAGTGACCTTGTTTTTGTCTCACTCCATCATAGTTTCAGAGTGATCTTGTCTGGTGTTGATGTTCTGTGATGTTCTCCTGTTAGCCTAGTTGTATGTAACAGTCCAGCCTGCAGTAATATAAATAAGACCTAGTTGTGAGCATCAGACCAGCTCCTGGATATCATGGGCTACGTTTTAAAGATTTTTCAATGTGTATTCAGTGGATGGGGCAGATGAACAGATCTGATTCCTCAGTGCCAATTTTGCCTAGCCCTCAAATGGAATGCCTAAGTCACTGTAAAGAAAGATTGGAAATCCTCTTTTACAAAATCAAACAACCAGATCAAAACAGCACAAATCAGCACTTACTATCTACTCATACCATAATAACTGTAAATTGGAAAGCAAAATGAATTTGACACCTGGAAGTTTGAATCCTGACACTGTTTCTTGATAACTATGAGACTTGATAGATATGTCACTCTGACACTCTCAAAGCCACAAGGATTGAATAAGATAATATAATTTGTCTCAAGAGACTCACAATCATGCCATCTCAAACTGTTGTCTCTTTCTCAGTTTTTAGTCCTAAGAAACATTTCCTTCTACAAGCCTTCCTATAACCAGGGAGCATTTACCTACAAGCACTTCATGGGCCTTGATTACTTAATGTCCTATCTTGACTTCTAACATCAAGTAGTTGGATTAACCTTTTTAGACATAGTAACAGTTTATCTTTGCTTCAGGTTCACACTGACATAATTCCAACTGACACAATTAAAAGAATGATTGATTAATAGAAAAAGTTTATAGGTGGGGAGAATGGTATGAACAGATAAGACCAGAATTGGCAATTATGTATGGGAAAGTTGAAGGTAAGATATTCAAGCTTACTTAGCTTATTCTAAAAATACTGATCAAGAATAAAGTGAAATTTAATAGCATTGACAAATGAAACATGATATTTATCATTAAAGTCAACACTTCAAAATTTCTATGACCTATAAAGCTTTTTTTTTTTTTTCTTGTGACAGAGTTTCACTCTTGTCACCCAGGCTGGAGTGCAATGGCACAGTCTCGACTCACTGCAACCTCCGCCTGCCGGGTTCAAATGATTCTCCTGCCTCAGCCTCCTGAGTAGCTGGGATCACAGATGCCCACCACCACGCCCAACTAATGTTTGTATTTTCAGTAGAAATGGGGTTTCACCATGTTGGCCAGGCTGGTCTCGAACTCCTGACCTCAGGGGATCGACCCACCTCAGCAAAGTGCTGGGATTACAGGCATGAGCCACCACACCCAGCCTATAAAGCTCTTTTTGATTAGATGTAAATTAGTTCTCTGACTGAATTAACAAAAGGAAGAAGGAGGAGAAGGAAAGGAGGTAGCAATAATCACAGAAGTGAATAACACACAGGCAAAGAGTACGTTTCAAGTTCTTAGAATTTTAAAACCTTTTTTACAGAAGGTTTTGAAGAAGCCTCCAGCCAGAAAGCAGAAGGGAATTGGCATTTCTGGCAACAATTACTCAAAACATAGGAACAGTCACTAACCTCTTGGATTGCCTTTGATCATTTGGATACCTTGAGGCTCAGGGGAAATTTGAAAGTTTCACAAATATCTCTTGACATTTTTACTTAGTGGAGTCTTGTTTACCTTTCTAATAAGATTGCAAGGTTTCTAATATGTAGCACTGACGATTCTTCCCAAGTTGTTTAACTATTAGTATCCTTAAACCTCAGTTATCCATTCACACAGTTGAGTGAGATGGCGAGATACATAACACAAAATGTCAATCTCCTGCAGAAAATTCTGTTAGCATTGCAACTCCAAGTTCCTGAGGTGCACACATCAATAGAACATGAGAGGCATGGACCTGGAACAGTTTGAGAGAAATTCTGTTAAATGAGGGCACTGGAGTTGCTCTGCAAGGACCATTCTGGCTCTCACATTATTTGACTTAATAACTACTTCAATGGGATATAAAGCAGAAAAAGAAACAAATGTCAAGAAAAATAAAATGTCAAGAGCCTCATTAGCTCAGTTGGCTAGAAACAAGTGCTAATGACCCTAGAGCATAAGGTCACGGATGTGATTGTTTCCTGGGCTAGTTGGCTGCCACATACCTTCCTTATACCTCTGCCTAGCACTCGCACAGATCCTTCCTAGTGGTCATGGGGGAACAGCATCGATGAATCAGTATAATAAATCCCCACAATAAGAAATAGGGCAGAAATCTGCATTATCCAGATCATTATGGGGCATGTTTACTAAAGACCTGACTGTCCTTCAGATTAAAGAAACAGAATACAAAATAACAGTACTCACTAACTCATCTCCAGGCCCATGGGATGTTGAATGCACATAACCAGGATACTCTCATAGCCACGGATATCTGGGCAACTCTGCTCACACCAGTTGAATTGTATGTCTACCAAAGATCAGTGTGATTATTCACAAGTCTATTGATGCTAGTTATACCTTGTATATTACATAACATGGTAATGGTGAAGGACAAGTGCAAAGGGAAAAACAGACTCATTTCCAGGAAAAAAAAAATTGCAACTGATTAAAGGACAGCTACTGAAAAAAAAAATAAAAAAGCTATCAAATTGTGGATGAAACAACTATAAATGATTGGTTAAGGGTGGGAATCACAAACATTCAGAAGGACTCCATACCCAAATTGTATAACAAGTCCTGTTAAATTGGTGGTCTACTTCAAAGAAACCAAAACTGGAAATCATAGAGGATGCATTATATTGTGGTTTCTGAAAGAAAAAATACCAGTGGTATACCGGTTACAAGAGCCAATTATTAAATTTTCAGGAATTGTGTGAGTCTGTTATTAAATATTGCCATTATTAATAATTAAATGATACAAACTTGTTATATTAAAAATAAAAGTACTAAATACAGAAGATTCATCACTTCCTAAATATTTTACTGCATTTTACAGTTATCTATGTTCTTGAGGTTATTTACCTTTATTCTGTCTGTATAAGTGGAAATACTGTATAATGGTGTGCTGCTACACACTTCAACTCTACATTAAGTGCTATGTTGGTAGCTTAAAAGTGGCCATGGTGAGAGTATTTACACCACTGGAATCATGAAACACAATAAACAGGGCCATTTTTTTCCAGAAAGTTGGTTGTTAGACATTTATCAGCAGATCACTAAACAACAGTGAAATCAAGTAAATGAGACCATACTCAAAGAAAAATTCTTAACCCTACAGCAGAAGGCTGGCAAATGCACACATGTATTTGGAAGTCTTGAGTTAAAATAAAAGTGCCTTAAGATATGTATATATTTTTAATGTCCTCTACTTTAATATTTTCAATTAATCTACAACTATTGGTCCTGATTCAGATGAGGGCTTCCCCCAGAGATACTAAAAAAGTAGAACAAATTTGTACAACCTTTTGGAAAGTAGTTTGACAACATTTATTGAGAAATTTGAAAGTCCATACCTCTTCACCCAGAAACTTCACTTCTATTACTTTATGTTAAGAAAATCATAATTGATGTAGTCCAATATGTATAAATATGTTCATTATATTGTTTAAAATAACAATACATACATACATACATAACCTAAATGTTCAACGTAGGAAAATGATTAAGTCATAATACATCTATATAATAGAATACAATACAATGAGTAAAATCACGTTTCAAAGAATGTTTAATGACTAAGAAGAAATTCACCAAATATTAATGGTGGTTATCACTGCATGGTTGGACTTAAATTGATTCCATGTTTTACACAAGTAATGCATATGCATTATTGAAATGTCATAAAAATAGAGATAAATAAAAATAAGAAAATAACAATCATCCATAATTCCACAACACAAATATAACTGTTTTAGCTTTTGTTGTTTATCCTTGCAGATTTCTTATCTTGTGTGCTCATACACACACACATACACACACACACACACACATTTTCAACCAAAATGGCATTATAAGGTGCATATTATTTTGTAACTATTTTTTTCATATAAGTTTTGAAATCCCCATGGAAAATTTTTACCTTATTTTCATATATCCAATTTTAAAAATAATGACCATAAAATAGGTTCTCTCCAAAGACAGTCCCCAATAAACTATGCCTGTGGATGTTGGCAGCTACCCTAATGGAGAAACTATGTGAAGAGGTCATGTAGGTGGAAAGAGGCCTTAATATTATATGGATAGAAGGAAGGCCCAGCCTTTTCAGCATCCTCGCTGGGCCCAACCTTTCAGCAGTGCCCACCATGGCACGTAAGTGAAGACATCTTGGATTCTCTAAACCAATCAAACCCTTAGATGACTGCAATCCCAGCCAACACTACATGGAGGAGAAGACCCATTCATCTGAGGCCAAGTCATCCAAAAAGAGATGATAGATAATAAAATGTTGCTGTTTAAGATGCTAAGTTTTGGAGGTTTGTTTAGCAGCAATAAATAACCAAAACAGAACATGCATTTTTCATATAATATGGAAAAACAATATTATTTTTAAAGATATTATAACACATGTCTGTACTTTTGCATATACAGACACATATACATACATACATATGGCTTATTTCCTGCCTGAATAAATAGTTGCTGTTGTCCAGTACATACTCTATTCTGTACGATGTGTACCTAATTTCACTATTCAGATTCATTCTGTGTATAGGAAAGAAAAATTGCTGACATTGTAAATTATTTATTGAATGTAAATCTAAAAACCACAGACTGATGTAGTTTTGTGAGTTTTTTTTTTTCACACGAGGAAACCAAACCACTGAGAGTAAATGACTAGTCCAAGGTTATCAAAGTCACACTAGTAGTTAGTTGCTGAGTCAGCACTTGAAACCAGGTCTCTGGTTCCCAGGTCTATACCCCTTCCTCTATACTACATTGTCTCTTTTAAAAATGCACCACCTTGTTTCAGACAACCGTGGAACTGAAAAAAACCTTATCTATCAGAAGATAGATGCAGTCTCTACTTGTCTAAAAACTAGAAGAATCATAAATCTTACAGAATAGCCTGGTCTTCAGGGATTTCTAGTCTGATAGATTTGGGCAGGCCAGAAAAGTTCAGATATGTTGCAAAAATCTATGGGTAAGCACTGAAAATATTGTTGCTTGGAGTGAAGGTCACATGACAGAGAATCTACTTGCTTATCCACCCAGCACTATTCATTTCAATTTATGAACCAGCCATTCCCATGTGAACACAGCTGGAGATGGTAAGAGGGAAGCTAAAAATTGAGAGTGGTAGAAGAGAGAGCTAAAAGAGAAAAGGAAAAATGAGAAAATTGAAATAACAAAAATATATATAATGAACTAATCCCTACTTCTTCCTGTCCTGTGAGCCATGAAACACCAAAGAAATAGTTCTAAGGAAAAGGAGTCTGATTCACTGGCAGGTAACCTATGAACCGTAACATACCAAGACAGCTCTTTCATCTTACCGCCTCCTCATACTAACCCAGTAAGGCACTACAGAGCTAGAAGGCACCTAATTTCAACTTACCTTCTGCTTTTCTTTTCTTGGGCAATATCTAATGTTAATGTGTTAAGTAAACAATACACCCTTGTAAGACACAACTAGAGAAGAAAGTCATTTCCAATTTTATCAGTTATTCTATACTGAGAAATATAGTAATTCCATATGTAAGTCTAAGAAGTCAAAAGAGGCACTGGTTGGTAAGAAATATTTCCCTTTGTCTTCAAAATGTGATTGTCACAAGCACTGATCCATATAGCCATGAAGACGGGGCTTAGAAGATCAGCTTTGTCAAGGGCAGAGCATTTACAGAAGTTTAGAACTGAACTCTGTCAAAGGTAAATACCCACCTCTATATACGCATGTGTACCTTAATGATGTCAACGTACTGACTCCAACACAGTTAGATTTCCTTGCTGCAATAACTGCCTAGTACCCATAATATAGAGAGTGCACTGTTTCCAAAATAAACTAGGAAAAATTGTACATTTTTTGGGATAGAGAAATTCAGGTTACTTGCCTTGATTTTCTCAGTACAATGAGTCTATTAAATTACTTCACACTACCAAATAAAATCATATAACACAAATGCCATGCCCTATTAAACTGCTAAGGGTGAAATTCTCAGCTTCCTTTGGTGGAATTCTGGTAATCACGTGGCAGGCAACCTGTAGTTTTCCCACCTTTCTTGACCTTTCCTTGTGTGCCGAATGTGAATAGAAGCTCCAGTGCCAGGTGCTATAGACAGTACTTACACTGACCACTGTTTATTTGTCTTGGGTCAGATGTTTTTCAGACTTCTCAGAGCAATGCTCTTTCTAATCTCAATCATTTATGCATGGATCCTATTAAAGGGAAACTGCACCTAGTCTAAGAACTCCATGTTTTGAGGACAATGAGGTGACTTATACAGATACTTAAACTCAGTGGCATTTTCTGGTTTTCCTCCTGGAAAGAATAATTGCTTTGACAGTGTGTGCTGCCCCTCCCCTTCAGTAAAGTATTCTGTGTACTTTCTTTACAGGTTGTTTATTTCAATAGACATTCTTGCACCTCTCACTTTTTTTCTTAAAAAACAAGGCACGTTTTCTAAGGGCCTTCTGAAAAATACTGGAAAAATCCACAAAATCTACAGACAGTTTGCTTGTGTCAAATCTTCTCCTACATAATATAAACTAGCATATAAAAAATAGGTTTCTTTTCCGGAAAGGAGGCACTTCCTTCAAACAAAAAGTATTCAAGACTCAAAATTTGCTGCATGAACATACTTTAGTGAGAATGCAAAGTTTTAAATTCACATTATGTGTGAATATTATAAGAGAAGCAATTATGGAAAGTTGTACTGTCATATTCTCACCATCTAGAGGAGTAACTGAAAGTACAGAAGTCCCCTTCCTTACCCCCTGTCACTTTCCACAGTTTCAGTTATCCAAGGTCAAACAAAAATATTAATTTATTTTGAGAGACACCACATTCACATAACTTTTGTTACACTATACTGTTATAATTATTCTATTTATTATTAGTTACTGTTGTCAATCTCTTGCTGTGCCTAATTTATAAATTAAACTTTGTCATAGGTATGTATGTATAAGAAAAAAAATAGTATATATAGGGTCTGGTACGACGCAGGGCTTCAGGCATCCACTGCGGGCGTCTTAGATCATATCCCTTGTGGGTAAGGGGGGACTACTGTAATCCAAAACTGTACTCTAGATGACATTTCTAGTTGACTCAGTTTCTTTTTTCAGAAGAGGAAATTATTCTTTCCCTTTAGCCTAGAGCAATATTTTAATCATAAAATCACAGAATTTAAAGTGAGAAGAGTCATTGAAGCCTCTAAATACAGATATAACTTTGTAAACTCCCTAAATTCTATTTGAAAAATAATTTGTTATTTTCATGGTTTCTTTGTAAAATTACATGACGTTCTGAAGGACTTGCTATGACAACCCCAGGAGTGCAAAAATGCTGTTTACACATAGAACAAGTATCACAAGAGATAAAATAATACAAACATTCTTGCAGTGTGCTTTAGTGCTGACCTGGAGGGCTGCATTTATGAGAAAGGGCCATGATATATGTACTAAATTTGTAAAAATGAGTCCATCTTCAAAGGCTTCAGGGTATATGTATGTGCAAGACACTAAAGCATGAAAAAAACTTTAAAATGAATATGTAAGGCTTAATTCCCTAAAACCACCAGATCTATGTCTTCAGAGAAACAGAAAGAACACTCCCCTGGTTTTTTAGAGCAGTTCCCAACCATGAGGTTATGACAAATAACTGTGTCACAGACAAATTTTGAGCTGTGCTGCAAGGAATATGTTTATAATAATATTTTAAAAGGAAAGTTTGTAACTGATTTATTTATTTTGAAGAAAATAATTTAAAGCCAATTCATAGTGATCCTCACTTACTTGCATTCCTGTATGCTTTTTGAGTAGAAGAGAGAAGTTGAGTGAGGTTACAACTTGTTCCCAGATATTCTTCCCTTGTACACATGAATGAATCCATTTATTCATCGATTTAACAAATGCTTTTTAAGTTTCTAGAATGTTCCAGGCACTATGCCAGGTACTGTAAATGCAAAGATGATTAAAGCACGGTCCGTACCCTTTGGAGAACCCATATAACCAGTATGGGAGGCAGACATGTAAAAAACGTAAGTGAAATCCAAAGCGATGAGTGCTAATACAAGTAAATGCTAAGTGATAAGGAAATACTGGAAAGAAAATAGCTTTTTCTGTATAAGTCAAGAAAGATTCCACACAATTAGGTTAGTTGAGATAGGCCTTACACAATTACTGAGAATTTACTCAGACAGGAAAACAGGCAGGGACTTTGTAATTTATTCTCTAGAAAGAGGGAAAACATTGGAGTTGCTCTTTTTGTTGTTTATGACTTTTTTAAAAGTAGGGAAGCAGCATGACTAGACTTGTCTCTCAGAAAGTGAATTTTTATCGATACATAATAATTGCATACATTTATAGAGTACATATATTTTGATATACACATACAGTGTATAACAATCAAATCTGGGTAATTAGGTTATCCTTCACCTCAAACATTTATCATTACTTTGTGTTGGGAAAATTTTAAACTTCTAGCTATTTTTGAAATATCCAATAAATTACTGTTACCTGTTGTCACCCTACTGTGCTGTTGAACACCAGAATGTATTCCTTCTATCTGACTGTATTTTTATACCCATTAACCAACTTATCTTCATCCCCCTCCCACACACACCCTTCCCAGCCTCTGGTAACCACCATTCTATTCTCTACCTCCATGAGATGAACTTTGATAGTTCCCACATATGTGTGAGGACATGCAATATTTGAGAGAAAGCTAACCTTGATGATTATATAGAGGATGCCTGGGAGAGGAGGGAAACCGGAAGCTGGAATTCCAGTTAGAAGGTTATTATGAGAGTCAAGGTAAGAAATGGTGAGAGCCTGAACCAAACAGTGACTGTAGGAATAAAGAGACTGAAATAGATTTAAGTGATATTTAAGCAACAGGACAATCAATAGGATATGGTGACTGACTGGATTCAAGAGGTGAGGAAGAGATAAATTAATAAAAAATGACTCCAAGTTTTCTAGCTTGAGTAATTTAACAGACATTGGCATTATTAATCAAGGAAAGAGGCTTGCAGAAGAAAAAATAGGTTTCAAGAGATGAGTTTTGTTTTGGACATGTTAAGCTTGAGATGTCAGTGGGTCCTTTTAAGTAGAGCTGTTCCACAGAGAGACATATTGTAATCAGATTTCAAGAAAAAGTCTTGGTTACCAATAAAGATTGAGATTCACTACGTATAGGTTGTAGCTAAAAATGTGGAACTGAATGACATCACCCAAGAAATGTGAAAACAGAAAGGGGTCCAGGCCAGAATTCCAAGGAACACTAAGCCTTGGAGAGTGGGCAGAAGAAGAGTGGGGAAAGCTGAGAAAAAGAAGGCATTAGGCAGACAAACGAATAGAGAAATGTGCTTTGGAAAAAGTTTTAAGAAGGAGGAAGTTGTCAAAAATATTATGTGCCAAAGAAAGTTAGAATGAGCACAGAAAAGAGGCCACTGAATTTGGCAAACAGGGTGTTATTAAGTGATCTTAGAGCAATCTCAGGAGTAGTAGAGAAGAAACCAAGAATCCATTAAGCTAAAAGACATAAAGGATGTTCTCTGAAGATCAGGAAAGGGGATTTAAAAGATACAACGATACTACCCAGCTCCCATGGAAATCATTGTTCCTTCTGCCATGAGCCCCATAGATGGTTACAAATATATTAATGGAAGGAGGGGTGAAGGAGAGGTAAAACCCCTACTTTTTGACTATGATCCTCTGTGCCAGTTATTAACTTGGTGTCTCTCAGACTTACCTTCTGTGTTCTACTTTGTGAGGCCCTGTGGTGCCGGGGCTGCAACTCTGCAAATCACATTTCCAGCTGGCTCATTTGCCGTGGGTTCCCTGATAGGTGCTGAAGCTAGGGAGCACAGGAGGGAGAATGCAAGCCTGAAGGAAGGGCAGAAGGCGTTACTCCTTCCCGTTTGCTTTCTGGTTTCTTAAATGTTACCACAATAATGGCCCTTCACCAAGGCCAAGGTTTTGGTTCCAGTCTGCAGCTTTTGGTCCCATTGTTCCCAGATTCAGGCTTATTGTGTTCCTCAAGGGACAACTGCATCAGGCTGCCAGCACCCTCTCCTCAGGAATGCGTGTTCCAGCTCTACATGGACCCTCCTCCAAGCTTCCTGGTTCTGATAACCCCAATCTCTTCCTTTTGTCCCCCTAGTCCTAGAGGTGGTAGTGATTTCCTGAGACAGGGAATAGTAATAGGCAAAGAACAGGTTTGGAGAAGAAAACTCCAGTATTCTGTGTTGGAGAAGTTAAAGACATCTTTGTGATTAATATAGTGACTACAAGACTTCAGGCACTTTTTATCCATCATTTATTCAAAAACACACACACATTATATATATATATATGTATATGTATGTATGTATTATGTGTATACATAAAATATTAAAATACATATACTGTTAAACTCTATACATAATATTGAACTATATATAATATTAAACTATATACATATGAATAATATTAAAGTAGCCTATCATAAGGAAGCTTGAATGTTCTGGGTTGTTTTCCCTGTAGTGAAACAACATTGGACTGAACAAGCTGATTTGCGCTAATATTTGCACTGCCGATAATTGGTTGTGTGACGTTGAACAAGTCATTTCTTTCTTTTCTCAGGATTAGTTTTCATGTTCGTAAAATGAGTAAATTGATTATACTTTGATGGTCACCCTAGAGAGTACTGTTGATTGTGGCAAGAGGTAGAGAAATAGGGGTGAGGATGGCAATTGGCAATAGAGGGGTAGAGCATGGGGGAAGCTTGTGTGACTACTTTTAAGAGTCCAAGTTGGCATCTCTGTTGAAATTTTAAGTCACTTTTTGCTTGAGAGACAGGACAATGCAGCGGTTAAGAACACCGTCTTGGATGTCAAAAAGACTTGGTTTGTTTTATTTTTTTCAGAGGTAGCTTTAAATCCTGTATCTACCACCTGTTAGCTCTGGGATGCTAGGTAAAACAACTGACCTTTCCAATTCTTACTTTCATAATCATTAAAATTATTATCCTGTTTTGTAAAATAGAGGTCTAGGGTTTCTGAGTATGAAGCAGTAGGAGGGACAACTACCTGAAGCATTAGGAGCTTGATCTGTTTACTGAAACCACTTTAAAAGGTTGTACTGCCATATCTCCATGTAGAAAGAAATGTTTCAGCCCCTTACCTGGATTAAAAAGAACAGAACCCACAGATAGATGCTATTATTTTTAGTCATTTGATATTTTTCTAGTAATGAGGAATGGCTGCTCATTGGTGGATTCATTTGGAAAGAATGAAATGTTCCTGGATTTCATCAAATTACATATACTAAAAGCATATATCCTGGTGAATACCGACTTAAATCTGCTTGCTTTCCTCATACCTGCATTAAGGAAAAAAGCATCTTAAGGAATTTTTTAAGGTGCTGGGATATACTCCACAGATGTCAAGGAAAAAATAAGGATGAGTACATCAGGACCTATACTGAATATAAGAAACTATAGTACATTCACAGATGCATGAGTGATGTTTTTTCCCATTACGGGATTAATCTGCATAGAATACTGTGGCACATTTCTTAGCATTTCTAGCCAGTGAAAATGGCTGGGAAAAAATTAAGAGCAAGACCATCTTTCTGACCAAAGCAGACAATTGTTTAAATTCCCTATGTTTACTTTCTAAGCATTATTCTGCTGTGCTAGCTTGCCTCTTGGTCTTAAAATAGAATTTTGCAAGTACCATTTACATCCTTATGTCAGTCCCTTACTACAAAATAGGTGAAAATTAAACATACAGTCCCTGGATTCAGAAACTTCAAGGCAGATTTCTAAGGCCAAGAGGTCATCTCCTTAGGTTAACATACATTAGGATACATTAACGGGTTCTTCACCCATCCCATCCCTAAACAGCCACACTCACATGCAAATTTTCCCTATAATTTGAGACATCTGTAAATAATGCAGATGATTCTAAGTCCCGAAGGTGCCAAGACAGAAATTAGGCTCCTTTGGCAATTGCAGTAACTTTTTCGAGTTACACAGATTATCATTTAAGTGTCTGGATCATCAAATATAATATGATATATAAGGAAAGGAGTAGGAGGGAAATGTGGTAGAGACATGTATTTGAACTGATTTAAAAATATGTCTCCTTTGAATGACTAATGTAATGTTCCAAGGTTGAATTTTGCGGTTTCTTAAATGCTTTGCTCTAAAAACATATTTACAACCTGTACTCAGAATGAAAAGTTGAATATGAGGAGTATGTGAGACAGCAACAAATCTTTATTTCAAAATTTTTGTGCAGGCTTTAAGAACAAACGTTAAAGTTAAATGCTAGCTCTTGCATATTCTAGGTGGAATAATAAGTAGGTTTTCATGTTCTTTGAAAAAGAAAAGAAAGAAAAAAATCTGTGATTTTTGGTCATGAAAGAGAAATCCTGTGGTAAGAGATTTAACTATAATGGTTTGGGCATGGGCTTATGCTTTTCCAGTGTCTATAATAATTGACTGAATAGTGTTTCTTTGTTTTCTAAAGAAAACAAAATCATAGTAAACAATATCTCTTTATTCTTCAGGGATACACACTAATACTTATCCTTTTTTTCCCAAACACTTACAGTTGTCAAAATGTATTCATGTACATTTCACATAAATGTGAGCCTCTTAATGTCCCTGTGTGATGAGTAAAAAAGGAATCATCCTGTTTTACAGCTGAACTGACCTTCAGAGAGACTATGACTTGCCCAAGGTCAGGTTGTGTATCTATTTAATGTTATTTGATTACAAGCAAAATAAGCCCAACTCACACTGACTTAAGGAATAAACAAGTTGCTCATTGGCTCATGTAACTAGAAGCCTGCAGGGGTGGCGTGGGAGGGGAAAGAAAAGATGAACTGTCTTCACCCATGGCTAGATCCAGAGGCTGAATGATGTCATCATGTCTCTCTTTCCCTTATCTTGGTCACTCATCTCTGCTTTTCTCTGCATTGCTTGTGTTCTTGGACAGGCTCAATCCTGACTGGAGAAAGATCACAGCCATCAGCTCTACTCTTATATTACATCCTCTTAACAGAGTGCTTCATTTTCCCAGTTGATACACATCAACCTGGCTTTGGCCATAAATATGGAATATGCTGATTGGCCAGGCCTAGGTCATGTGCCTTCCCTTGGAACTGAGGACAGGGGTGTGTTAATCCCATGTTAAGCCCTGTGAATTAATCACAGAAAGGAAATAATTCTCTTAAAGGTAAGTCAGTCTTCGGTTAACAAAAGAAGAGGGAATAGATGCTGGGCAGGCAAAAAAATTACCCATACCTTCTAGCTTCTAAGTAGGAGGACAAGGATTCAAACCCAGGTCAGCTTGACTTCAACGTGTTCCCTCTTTACACTATATTATGCTACCTCCATATGTTATTTTGTAAATATTATACTGTTTTGCTCAGTACACTTATAACTCAAAAATAATCACAAAATCTATTAGTACTACCTTAGGAAATCTCTACACTGCATATAAATAGTGACAAAGAAAATTACTGGCATGTGTAAACAAATTAACATTAAAGATTAAATAATTCAATGTTTTCACAGAGACTGCCAAGACAAAGGCTGAGCTATCTCTTATTAGCCAAACCTTTCAGTGATGGCTTCCCAACTATATCAACTCCTTACCTCATTCTAATTCTACATCAGTCCATGTCAAAAATTGCTTATGCTAATTTCTGAAGGGGATAAAACATGAGCAGTACCCAGATCCTGTCACTGAGTAATTTGAAATTTATTGGGGGCTAGAAGATGAGAGTGAGAATTAGGTGTCCTTACAAATAGCTACAGTTATGCACTGCATAACGATGTTGCGGTCAACCATGCACCACGCACACAGTGGTGGTCCTACAAGACAATAATGGTCCTGAAAAATTCCTATCACTTGGTGACATTGTAGCTGTCCTAATGTCATAGCACAATGCATTACTCATGTATTTGTGGTAATGCTGGTGTAAACAAACCTAATGCACTGCCATTCATATATAAGTAGAGCACGTACAATTATGTAAAGTACATAATACTTTACAATGATAATAAACAACTATGCTACTGGTTTATGTATTTACTAAACTATACTTTTTATCACTTTAGAGTGTACTCTTACTTATTAAAAAATTTTAACAGTAAAACAGCCTCAGGCATTTTCTTCATGAGGTATTTCAGAAGATGGCATTGTTATCATAGGAGATGACAGATCCATGAGTTTTATTGCCCCTGAAGACCTTCCAGTGGGACGAGATGTGGAGGTGGGAGAAAGTGATATTGATGGTCCCGACCCTGTGTTGGCCTAGGCTAATGTGTGTGTTTGTGTCTTAATTTTTAATAAAAAAGTTAAAACTGTAAAAAATTAAAATTAAAAAGCTCATAGTATAAGGATATAAAGAAATATTTTTGTACGCTGTACAATGTACAGGTCTACCATTTTTAATCTTTTATACTATATTTTTAGTGTACCTTTTCGATGCTTACATACACAATACTGACCGTTGTGTTACAATTGCCCACAGTATTTTTTTTTTTTTTGAGATGGAGTTTCGCTCTTGTTGCCCAAGCTGGAGTGCAATGGCGCGATCTCGGCTCACCAAAACCTCCGCCTCCCAGGTTCAAGCGATTCTCCTGCCTCAGCCTCCCTAGTAGCTGGGATTACAGGCATGTGCCACCAAGCCCAGCTAATTTTGTATTTTCAGTAGAGACGGGGTTTCTCCATGTTTGTCAGGCTGGTCTCGAACCCCCGACCTCAGATGATCTGCCCGCCTCGGCCTCCCAAAGTGCTGGGATTACAGGCATGAGCCACCAAGCCCGGCTTGTCCACAGTATTAAGTACAGTCACATGCTATACAGGTTTGTAGCCTAGGAGCAATAGGCTAAACCATATAACCTAGGTGAGTAGTAGGCTATACCATCTAGATTTGTGTAAGTACACTCTATGACATTCACACAACAAAATCGCCTAGTGACACACTTCTCAGAACATATCCCTGTTAAGCAACGTGTAACTATACATTATAAATTTGTATAAGAGTTCCCAAATAGCATGGAAAGTAATAGAGGAAAGAAAATCCAATTTGGGAGGAGAGGGACAAGAAAGATTTTATAAGGATGTAGTGGCATTTGAGATAAATCTTAAAAGAGAGGGTAAGATTTTGATACAGAGTTGAGTGGAGATAGAGGAAATAGAAACATTAATCTGGAAATTGTGGCAGAATGGAATTTCTTGACTTTTATTCTAAATTAGACTGAAGTGGTGAATTTCAGTTTTAGTTTGTGAAGATACAGTCCAAAAGCAAAGAATTCTACTAAACTTCCAGCCTCTTGAACACAAGTTAGAGTCCCTTTCTCACTTTGATCTTTTTGTTTCTACACCTTAGCCAATTCTTTTTTTTTTAGAAAATTAAATTTATTTAGTTTATGAGAAATTATGTGGTTATTAAAATTGTTTATTTCTATGTAATAGCTTTCTCTTGATATAGCAAAGAAGAAAATAGATCAATCTTCATGAATTAAGATTTTTAACCATCTGAAATAATAAAATGGATGCATATAACATCTTGAAATTAGTTTCACCTCTATTACTCTAGTTTTGTAAAGCAGACACTAAAATATATATGTGTGTTTGCATATGTGTGCGTACACAAACATAAACATATATACATACATTACTTATTATTTCTCCTCTGTATAGTATATATAATGTGTGTATTATATGAGTATGCATATATAATTACGGTGTCCATATACTATATATATACATGTATAGCGTTTATTCTTAAATAACGCCTTGCTGATTTTCTAGCATGATTCCTACAATGATCAGGTCTTTCCAATTTGTCTTAAGGTAACTAACCAACTCCAAGATATAGAAGAAGCCCACTTCTAGTTAATTGCAAAATCAGCATTTCAATCCTAGGCAAGCATTAAGGCCCAAATAAAAACTCATTTCTTATATGAAGCATTGCCCCATCTGCTCAATCCACAGACACACTTGCTTCTTTTCAAGTCCTACAGCAATTATTAGCAATATCACATTTTCAGAAATTACCATATGCTGCATATGTTATTTGGTTGTTTCCAACTATAAGTTTCTTGAGGATAGTGATCATATCAAACAACAAACCTATGTTAATTGAGCACCTACCTTGTACAAGATGCTATTAGATACTACTGGGAATATCAAAAACAAACAAAACAAACAAGATAACCCCATGGTTCCTGCCCTTATTTAAAGAGGTTTTACTTTATTAAGCCTACATAGCACATTAGTGCATGTTGTTCATTTTGATTGATTGAAAATCAGTGTCAATTTCCATGAACTTCCTAACCTTTCCACCACTTCAATTCAGAGTTTCTCTGTTGCTGCATCTACTCTCTCACCCTTCTCTCCAGCCTCAGAGGAAAAAGGATCTTCTTCCTTTAAAATTTCACACTAGCACTTGTGATCTTGAACACATCTTTCAATACTGTCCAGGCCCTTGGACTTCAAATTATCCCATCTTTCAAGCATTTTCCAAACGTTTTCAGTTGCCTCCTCTCCTCTTACCTCTCCTGCCACTCCCTTCAATTCTCTTACCCCGAACCCAAATCCAAACTCCCACAGATCTCAACTAGTCTGAAAAGACCTTTGCTTGAACTTGCTACTTCTATCCATCATTCTAGTTTATCCCCACGTTGACTAACAAATTTTCAGCAGTGTGGGCCTATACCTTCATTATTAGTTATGGAAGCTACACGTTCAGAATGGTTTCCTGCTCCCAAGTATATAGGCTTTTTCTCAGACCTCATTCCTCCCTAAGATATTTGCATGTAACATGTAACCGTGTTGTCCATGCTCTCTTTTGTGAAAAACTTCCTTACGTGGACTTCCAGAACGCCTTTCCTACTTCTCTAAACACCCCTCACTCCTCCTTGCTGGCTCCTTCTCCCATCATATCCTAATAATGAGCATTCTCTAAGACTCAGTCCTCGGCTTTTTATTTCTGTGTTTATACGCTCTCCATCTAAGAATGCATCTGTTCTCAAAGCTTTAACTATCTGCTAACACAAAGAAACCTAAAAGGTAAATTAGATCATTTTATTGCCCCAGATAATATCTTTCAATAACTTTCTGTTACAAAAAAATAAAATTGAGGCCGGGCGCTGTGGCTCATGCCTGTAATCCCAGCACTTTGGGAGGCCGAGGCGGGTGGATCACTTGAGGCCATAAGTTTGTGACCAGCCTGGCCAACCCTGTCTCTACTAAAAATACAAAAATTAGCCAGGTGTGGCAGTGCACACCTATAGTCCCAGCTACTCAGGAGGCTGAGGCAGGAGAATCGCTTCAACCCAGGAGATGGAGGTTGCAGTGAGCCAAGATGGCGCCACTGCACTCCAGCCTGGGTGACAGAGTGAGCCTCCATCTCAAAAAAAAAAAAAAAAAAAAAAAGGAAAAGAAAAAAGAAATAAACAAAATTTAATGTTCTTTAGATGCTTTTCAAAGCCGTCCATGATCTGGCTTCTGCCTTCCTCTCTAGCTTCATTCTGTGCCACCATGTCCCTTGCTCTGTAAGCTCCAGTCACCTTGGCCTTCTTTCTGTTCTATAGCACAACAAGATCTCTTTCACATCCAATCCTTTTTGTTCCCTCTTCCTGGAATGCTCTTGTTTCTACTTTTCCTGGCTGTTCCCTTCTCATCTATCAGTTCTCAGGTGAAACAGCACTTTATCCCAGGCTTTCTTTGACCATCTAATATAAATAGCACTTTCTCCCAGGCTTTCTTTGACCATTTTACCTAATGTAAAGTAGCCCTCCCTTCATAGAACTGACCATGATTCTATTATTATATGATTCTATGATTATACATAAACATTTTCCTAGTTTATTGTCTGTCTCTCCCTCTTGACTGTAAGCATCTTGAGGGAAGGTGCCATGTCTGTCTTATTTGCATTCTAACTAGCCCCAGTGTCTAGCATAGTGCCTGACAGAATAGGTGCTCATTATATATTTGATGAATGGATAATTCAAAGTTGGAATTGTCCAACTTTGACCTGAGTTCCTGTCTCATATCCTAGTTCCCTATTGGTCCTTTACATTTGGATGTCCCTTCCCTAACATGCTATATCCCAAAATTATCTTATCTCACAAAACTGCCCTCCTCTCCTAATGATAATTTTATATGTTTATGTTTTAATAACCTCACCGAGGCTTGAAATTCAGAAGTTATCTTTAACTCTTTAACTCCTTCCTCTCCATCCCTCTCCCACTCCTTTTTTTTCTTTTTTTTTTTTTTCTTTTTTAGGACAGATTCTCTCTCTATCGCCCAGGCTGGAGTGCAATGGCACAATCTCGGCTCACTGCAACCTCCACTTCCTGGGTTCAAGAGATTCTCCTGCTTCAGCCTCCTAAGTAGCTGGGACTACAGGCATGCACCACCACGTTTGGCTAATTTTTTTTTTTTTTTTTTTTTGCATTTTCAGTAGAGATGGGGTTTCACCATGTTGGCCAGGCTGGTCCCGAACTCTTGACCTTAAGTGATCTGCTCACCTTGGCCTCCCAAAGTGCTGGGATTATAAGCATGAGCCACCGCACCCGGCCCCACAAAAACCTTTAATCTCTCTGCTGGGGTATCATTTGATGATATCCTTTTCTTTACATCCATGGTCACCACTCTAGTTCAGCCTGTTATTACCTATAGTCTAATTCAGTGAGTGATCTCCAAAGTTTTTTATCCTGTACCCCACCCAGATTTTAATAAATGAACACTCATCCTCAATATTTGTATTTATATATTAGATACATGTAATCCAATGATAATATGCTGCCATTCCTCATTCTACTCCCTCTACTTTAGTAATCCTGATGTATTTTATAGTTCCTCAAATGTATCAAGAATGTACCTTTGCAAGTGTTCTTCATCCCTGAAAATCCCCATTTTACCTCTCTATTCTATAGGATTCTGTTTAAAGTATCACCTTCTCTATGAAACTTTTTCTGAGCTCCCGTCACATACATACCAGTACCACCACAAGCACCAGCAGCACCACCACCACCTTGAAGTATATTTGTCTATTTGTATAGACATCTATAAGCAAGTAGAACACCAAATTATACATATCTGCTTATGTTTATTTCTCCCTCTGGACCAAAAGTCTCCAAACACAGACAACTAGCAGTAAAAATGTTTGAGTATTCACCCCCCACATAAACATATGATTGTATTACTGTGTGTATCATATTACTGTATGTTATATCCTACTAGATTATATTTATTACACTGTATTTATATTCCTATAATATATACATTATAAATTATGAAAAGTATAATTGCAAAAGGATGAATTGAAACAAAGATGAATAGTAATTGAAGTTCTAATCCTCTTTCCCTCCCACTATATTTTTTTGAACACACCTTTGAGGCTTTGAGGTGTTCCCATTCTTTTTTGTTGTTGTTGTTGTTGTTTGTTTGTTTTGTTTTGTTTTTTAAGAGACGGGGTCTTACTCTGTCACCCAGGCTGGAGAGTGCAGTAGTATGATCATGGCTCACTGCAGCCTCAAACTCTTGGGTTCAAGCAATCCTCCCCCTTCAGCCTCCCAAGTACCTGGGACTATAAGCACGTGCCACCAAGCCAGCTACACTCCTTTTCGGAGGCGTGTGGTCTATTCTATACTATTGTAATAACTTCCAACACACAGTAATCTCACCCTCGGATAGACCCTTATGGCACTTAATTGGCATTTTTGGTAGTTCTTATACAACTATCTAATTTGAAATTAACAAAAAACTTTAATGATTACTTTTATTTGACATTATTTACTGAGTGCCTATAATATACCAGAAACTTTTCTGGACCCTGGGTTTACAGAAATGAACAAGACAGACAGGGCCCCTGTTTTTATGAAGCTTACTTGCTGGGATGGGGAGAGATAGAAATCAAGATAATTGTATCATATGATCGTAAGCAGTGTGAAGATCTATAGTCTTAGAGTGAGAAAATAACAAGCTTTCAAATTAGGCAAATCTGGATTCGAATCTAGAGTTTACCACATATAAGGTCTGTGATTTAGGCAAATAATTTAATCACTCTGATTTTGTTTTCTCATCTGTAAAATAAGATTAATAATTATCCTCTCAAAAGGTTATGAGAATTAATAAGGTAATGTATAAAGTTTCTAGCATAAATGTCTAGCCAGTAATATTTTAAGTGTATTTTGTAAAATCTTCATAGCTAAAACAGCATATATTATATTATATCTCTATTTAAAGGAATTTACAGTAATACTAGAAACAGGGTATGGAAATTATCTTTTCAGTTCACCTTAATTAGATAAATTTGAGGGCAGATTTGAATGCGAGGAATATACTTTGGAAAATATTAAGGAAGGAATGTTTGGAGCTAGTTATCTGCCTAAGAAAAATAATTGCTGTTGACAGTTTACTTACCTGACAACTTTCCTAGAAGCTGAAGCTTTGGCAATTTATCTTTACTGAATATTAGTTGCGTTTGAGGCAGCCTCGAGCTCCACAGATTACAACAGGCTGGAGAGAAGCAAATATAAAAGAAGAACAAATGGAACCCCAAATTGTCTTTCATGTTCAATCCCCTACCTTCATATATAAAATGGCCTAACCCTACAGAGTTAAGATATTCATCATTTGCTTCCTAGGTTTTCATCTGAAAGATATAGCAAAGCTTAGCACAGCCTCTCTTCCCAGACTGAACACAGAGATAGATAAAGCCTAAATACCAACAGCCAAGACAGTAAAAAGCTATACTACCAAGTTTAATTAAGCAAGTAGTGGTGACCGGGGCAGAGGAGTTGTAAGGTTCAGTGTGACTTCTGAGAATACACTAGTACTTGATGAAGAGTAATAATTATTGTGAATATGCACATTTAGGTGACAAAAGCAATTTAAGGGGCATATGTTGCTATTTGTTTAAAATCTTACTCATAGCTAATATTTCATTTGATTATAGCTATGTGATTTTTATTAAAATCTTTTATTTTCTAATAGTAATTGAATCAGCATTGATATGCTCATCTTATTACATTAGCAATTAATGTCTTTTGTGTGTTTTATAAAACACTTAGACAACAAATTCACTGTTTTTTTTTTCTCTCACTCCACTTCCTAATGGTTTTTCCAAAAACCTGAGACTCAGTGAAAAATAACAACTGCAATGCTGAGTTAGCCAAGATTTTCTGAATTGTATATGTCTTTTTCTGATGATTTGTGTAGTTTAAATTCTGGCCTCTCAACACTTTTCTGTAAGGAAATAACTAATTAAAATCCACACCTGCCAAAGAGCTCTTTAATCTTTTAATATTCATAAGCCTTAACCTTCATGGCTAATGTCATGTCACCTAGGTAACTATGCATTAAACTTCATAAATATTAGACCAACCTTTTGAAGCTCAGTTTCTCTCAGGTCTATCATGAGTGATCAACATCAGAAAATAGAAATGAGTAACTGAAAACTGCCCTTTGGTACTCCAAGAATGATGACTTACTTGGTAACTCATATGATGTTGGAAGAAAATTACCAATACAG
Source organism: Homo sapiens (assembly GCF_000001405.40). Classification (NCBI taxonomy): domain Eukaryota; kingdom Metazoa; phylum Chordata; class Mammalia; order Primates; family Hominidae; genus Homo; species Homo sapiens. The sequence continues at coordinate 96,403,423 of NC_000023.11, forward strand.
TCAGCAACTCATTCTCACTGCTAGGGTAACAAGGTTCACCCAAAGCATGAAACAACAAATGGAAAGTCTACCTTTCTTTTTATTCATGAATGCAAAAGAATCAGGTTAAGTTCAAATATAGCAAAGGAAGACTTTAGTTATGGTGCAGAGCCGAAAGAGAGTGCACCTCATGCACAATCATTTCATTTGAAGGCCAAGTTGATGTATTTTGACCACGTCCCAACAGTACACTTGAAATGAATCATGGTTTTATGTGACAGGAAATGATAATACAGGAAGGTAATTAGTTACCAGGAATTAAAGGAGCGAAAATAAACCATTAGCAATTTTATTTTCAGTCTCACTATGGAAGTGAGTTTTTACTCTCTGCACTTACTAATGTTAAACTTTATTAGTCATTTGAATATAAGTCATTAAACATTCCTACTTAAATTAAATGTTTGGTATTCATTAATTAAATGTTATTAACATGATGCTTTCCTTTCCCACTGCTCTGCTCCAGCCTCTCATTTTAACTCCCCTGGATAGTTACAGTAGCCTCCTGACTGATCTCCATGCTTCTAGTTTGTCATATATCCAACCCAGAGTCATCATCACCATCATGATATTGATAATAGCAACTGCTATCATTGAATGAGTACATATGATGTGCCAGTGTATAGCGGGGCATTTTAATTTAATGCTCACAGCAACTCTATAAGGTCAGTACTAATGTTGTAGAAAAAAACAGGTTCTTGTCACACGACCAGGAAAAGTTAGGCACGCAGACACTTTAAAGTGTGAGGGGAAACGGAATTTACTAGGTGAAAAGGAAGAAAACGCTCGGCAAAGCAAGAGGGTTTCCTGTTAAGAGGCCCCCAGCTCACCGATTGAATCCCAGGTACCACAAAGGAAGAGGAGAGGCCAGACTCCTGCACCCCTGCAAACGGCACGAACTTCCCATGACTCCACCATGTTCTCCCAGTGCCCAGGCAGATAGATGGGAGATTCTCCGGGGATCCTCCCCCTTATCTTCCTCCTGCATCTATCACTAATGTCATCCCCTTTTTACAGATGAGAACACTGAGGCTGAGCTGAGGTTAAGTAATTTATTCAAGGTGAAATAACTAGAAAACAATAGATCTCAATTAAGTTTTGCCTGTTCTAACTTTAAAACATACACATAGTCCTCCACTTCTGTCTACATCCCCTACAAATTCAGCACCTATCAGGCAGAACTAACTTTTTAAAAATCTAAATCATGTCATGTCAAACCCTACTTAAAATTTCCTCTAACGGCTTCCTGATATGATTAGAGTAAAAAACAAAATCCTTACCCTGGTCTACAAAGACATGATAATCAGACCCCTACCTTCCTCTAGATCCTAATCTCTTGCATGTCAGCCCTTTAGTCACTTCAATCCAGCCACATCAGCCTTCTGTCTGTTTCTAAAACGCATCAAGTTCATTCCCACATAAGGCCTTTAAATCAGCTATTCCCTTTTATTGGAAGTCTTTGCCTCAGATATTCACCTCACTAATTCCATCTTCTGCATAGCACTTACCACCATCTAAAGCTATCTGTAAAATGTATTTTGTTGTTGTCGTTACTGTCCTCTGTCTCTCCTGTACCCTGCTAAAGAGTAAGCACCATGAGAGCAGAGGACTTGCCAACACTCATCACTACTATGGCCCAGGTGACTAGAACAGTGCCTGGAATGTAGGAGCTCAATAGATATTAACTTATCAAATCCAATTTTGTCAGACTTCAGAGCACTTAGCTCTTAACCACAATGCTAACTTCTTTTTTTTTTTTTTTTTTTTTTTTGGAGATGGAGTTTCACTCTTGTCACCCAGGCTGGAGTGCAATGGCGCGATCTCTGCAATCTCCACCTCTTGGGTTCAAGCGATTCTCCTGCCTCAGCCTCCCAAGTAGCTGGGATTACAGGCATGCGCCACCACACCTGGCTAATTTTTGTATTTTTAGTAGAGATGGGATTTCCATATGTTGTCCAGGCTGGTCTCGAACTCCTGACCTGAGGTGATCCACCCGCCTCTGCTTCCAAAAGTGCTAGGATTACAGGTGTGAGCCACCACGCCCGGCCCACAATGTTAACTTCTTAAACGATAGATTTGTTCACCTTACTTCTTTCTTCAAAAATCACCACTATTGCCATTTTCTAGAAAATAAAGTTCCAGCTGCTCAGTGTTGCTTTCAGGGGCCTTCACATCTAGCCTGTCTTTCCATCTGACCTCCACCTGCACCTCACCTCATGTGTTATGACTGAAACACAGCAAAGGATCTGAATACTCCCCATACTTCACACTCTGCACTTCCCCACACTGCCACCTCCCCTGACTAACCATTTCTACCTATAAAATATGACATACATCCTTCACAGCCAAGGTCAAACCGCACTTCTTATCCAGAACTTTCCTAACCCTGAAACTGCCTTTGCAAAAATTATTATCAGTGAGAAAAATTCTAACAATAAGCTGAGCTACCCTGCCTTCCCTATCTTGCCTTTCCCTTAGTTATTCCTGGGCTATTGGGCCAAGCTCACTTTGGAAGACCTTTAGGCTATTATTTAAATGATAATAGGCCTTGCCCAAAACTCAATCACCTTTGTAAAGCTAACAGGAGGCCATCAGGCTGAGGGGAGGAGGGGCCCCTGAGTCCTGCTAAGGTGCAGACACAAAGGACTGTCAGCCATTATTTTGGAAGTTATAAGATCTGCAACTTCCCCAATTCTTCCTACAAATAATACTACTATTGTAGATTGACCTTTTGGGATATCTCTTCAGTTTTTTTGCATGTCTGACATCCATCGCTCCACATGGACCCACCAACCGCACTCCTGTGGCCCCATCCAGAAGGGATTCAGTCCACTAGAGGACAGCTTCAACCCCCTAAGATTTCATCTCAGCCCTACCCAATCAGCAGCAAGCACCTGTTACCCGTCCATCCCCACCCCTTCCCCCAAACTGCCTTTGCAAAACTCCCAAACTAGGAGGTTCCAACCAGATGATTTGAGTAGGAACTCCATCTCTCATCTGAGGTGGCCGGCCTCATGTCTATTAAACTCTTTCTCTACTATAGTGCCATAGTCTTTAGGCAGCAGGCAGGAAGAACCCCTTGGGCAGTTACAACCCCCTCAGACATAATTAATTTCTCCCTCTATAATTCCCCCCCATGGTACTGTGTAGATCTTAAAACATTCACTACAATGTGCCTCGCAAGAAAGTTAACTGTCTCTGCCTCCAGATTGTTACCACTGTTATCTTATTTTCTGTCATGTTTTTTTAAAATACAGGATCTAGCACATAATGTTTACTCAAATATTGAACTGAACTAAACGTTTGTGGGCTCTCACATCCCTTTCACCACTCATGTATGCTGGTTCTATTATATTACATTTTTCCCCTTGCTTCTTAATTGCTTTAATTTATTTGACTTGGGTATGTAATTTTTCCCCAAGCTAGATTTTAAGATAGTGAAGACTTCTGTTTCTATTCCTTGTCCTTTCTCTTGTCAACAATACCCCTCTACCCTGTGGTCCCCCATTACTGCTCCTTTACATTTAACCTGTTGCTGAACATGTAGGGAGTATATTCTATATAACAATGAGTGAAGAATAACTGACTACACAAATAAATAAATGGATTAAAAGAAGAGTTCCACTAGGTTTAGTGTAAGTTTAAAAAAATAGCATCAAAGTAGTCCAACTAGTTTTTCCCTTTCTGTGTTTCAAGTGGAACAATGGTTAATCAGAGAGGCGGGGTATGATAGCAGCCCTGGGCTACTGGCCAGAGGGAGGAACAGGAGATCAGAGTCTTTCCCTCACGATTTCTGGCAGATTTGCAGGGAGGTTTAAGAGCAAAGATTAGATCAAGCTGACAAAGCAGGGTCAGGGTATTATTTGCATTCTCCTCCCTCCATACCTTCAACTCCCCCAACGCAGACATGAACAGCTTTGGGATGGGTAAATGCATAAATTGATTTTCCCTAGCATTATTATTTGAGGAGACCATGGAAGTCTTGAAAATAGCTACTTCTCAAGAGTAACCATTTGTGGAGAAAATAATGAAAACCGATTACGTTTACGAATTTTATGTGTATCTCTAGAAGGATAGATAACTATCAAAATATTAGTGGACTGGTAAATAGTGGTTAATTAAGAGGTTGCAATGGCCATGTTTATTTGTTTTTTAAACATAAAATTTAGTCTGGACAAGCATCAATATTTAAGACATCTCATTTTTGCCCAAAATGGCTTATGGCCCAGTCTGGATGAGTCAGACCAAACAAATGTCTCCTGTGTATTTCCAGAGTAAACATTTCTCAGAGGCAGAACTCTGCCCTCAGCCTTGCCTATTAACACATAAGACTGCTTGAGCTTTTCCATAAACATAAGGAAGAGGAAGAAAAGGCTGAGGAGGAGGGAGAGAAATATAAGGCAAAGTTTCTTAAGGAATAAATTAAACATCGACCCTCTTGAGGAAAACCAGCAGGTTTGACTGTTTTTGTGTTTGGTGAATTGTATATCTATTTACTGTGGAAAGACCTCCTTAGCCATAGGCAAAAAACAACACCAACAACAAAAGAAACCCAAAAATTAAACACCAGGAATTGGACAAGTGACTTAGCCTCTGAAGACAACCTCGAATAACCATCAAACTCTAGTTAGGTAACTCTTTGGCAAATAAAAAATAAAAATCAAGACAAAACCACCAAGATGCCTAAGTATGTGCAGTAGCATCTCCAGGCGGACATTTCCTGATCCAGACTGTAAATAAGAGGAAGCAAAAGAATGATGAATAATGGACAATGAAGCATGTCAATCCTGTGGTAGCTAAAGAAAGGGATTTTTACCCTTAGAATCAGAACAGTCTCTTGATGACTTAGTATAATTATGCTATCAGCCAGCAAACACACAGAATATTCTTGATTGCACCAGGTCCTTAATACACCAGCAAAACCATCAAATAAGGAACTGTTAACAGTCCAGTAAAGAACAGCAGCATTTGAAAAGGTCTGTCTTTTAGGTTTTAAAATAAAATTCCCAGGCCCGGTGTGGTAGTTCATGCCTGTAATCCCAGCACTTTGGGAGGCCAAGTGGGGTGGATCACTTGAGTCCAGGAGTTTGAGACCAGCCTGGCCAACACAGCGAAACCCCTTCTCTACTAAGAATGAAACCACCTTTGCAAAAATTATAACTGAGGAAATTATGACACTGAAAGAGATCATACCTAATCAACTCCATCTTGCTTCTAACCTTTCAGCTGTCCTTGTTCATCCCTGTGCAAAGGCTGAATTAACTTTGGGAAAGAATTCAGTTTACGGTTTGACTCTGAAACAAAATTGATAGTAGCCCTTTCCCAAAAAGACCCCCTTCTCACCTGGGGACCAGTCTGCCTTTGCAGGACTAACAAATTAGCTATAAGATTAGAAATTAAGGTTAAGGAGTCATGCAGCCTCTGACTGCAAGAGTCTGAACCTCCCCAAATTGCTCCTAGGGATAACATCACTGTTGTAAAACCTAAGATCAGTGCTTGAGATATTTTGCAGACCCTGCACTGGACAGATCAGCCAACACCACCCAGACAGGTAATCTGGCTGAACCAGCTCTGCCATCCCACCCAGGAACAGAAGACAGCAAGAAAACCTCACTTCGACCCCCTGTGATTCCATCTCCAACCTGACCAATCAGCACTTCCCACTTCTCTATCCCCTACCCACCAAATTATATTTAAAAACTCTGATCTCCAAATGTTTGGGGAGACAGATTTGAGTAATAATAAAACTCCTTTCTCCCGCACAGCCGGCTCTGTGTGAATTACTCTTTCTCCATTGCCATTCCCGTCTTGATAAATCGGCTCTGTCTAGGCAGCGGGCAAGGTAAACCCATTGGGTGGTTACAAAAAAAAAAAAAAAATTAGCCAGACACGGTGGCGCACACCTGTAATCCCAGATACTGGGGAGGCTGAGGCACAAGAATCCCTTGAACCCAGGAGGTGGAGCTTGCAGTGAGCTGAGATTGTGCCACTGCACTCCAGCCCAGATGACTGAGCGACACTCTGTCTCAAAACAAAACAAAACACACACACACACAAATTCCCCTTACTAATGAAATCACTTTATGCAAGTAGGCTGCCAAGTATTCCGTTTTCCATACAATGGATGAATTGGGATTTCTTTTTTAAAAAATTCTGGCATATTTTACTTCAACTCTAGGTATATGATAGTTTAACATAATAAACTCCTGCAATCTATAACTGACAACTAAATACACAATCTAATACCCCAATCCTTGAGGTATTTTTTATTGTCATGCTATAAATATTGCCTTATTTACCTACAATATCTTCCTCTGTGTGGTAGAAAAGTTACTTTTTGTATATAACTTAGAAAATCCTCTTTAAAGCCAATAAATTGAAATTGTAGCTGATAAGATGTTAAGCCCAATGAATAATAATGAGTCAGGAATGGTATGAGCCACTTGAATAAATTGATGTCAGGACCATTTGGGGAGAGAAGAGACACATACAAACACCCTCTCAGAGAGAAATGTTGTGGAAGAATGGGTTACACTTGTATGTTACAAAGTTAATTATATTAATAAGCAGATTGAAATCCATCAAACTCAGACTTTTTTTGGAGCCATGTGAAATAATACATTTAAAGATCTGAAGGTTGCACATTTTATCTATTTGATTCTTGAAATTTCTGAAATCCAATAAAGAAAGGCACTTGCTGTCAGACCAAGAAAGTAGAAGTTAAGGAACATAAGGTTTAGAGCAATATTATTCAAAGTGCAGTAGCTGGACCATGCACCATCAGAATCACTCAAAATATGTAATACAAAGAATGATTCCAAGTTTTACCACTTCAGATATTCCAGAGTATATCTGAAATCTCTCCTTATAACACGCTCCCCTCCCCAGATTATTCTATGGTCATTAACAGTTGAGAAATGCTAATTTAGGTATTTATTCCGGGTTATTCTTGCTTATTCCTTTGATGCTCTAACAAATCTTTCTAACCTCTATGTGAAAGGTTACTACTATGCTAAATTTATGCATTGCCCTATTCCCAAATGACACCAAGATACAAAGTTTTAATAGGGTTAAGAAATAGCCCCACTTTCTGGGAGCTTGCTTGGAGGTTCTAGCAGAGGAGCACAGCTACTCATATATCCTTGACCGAAGAATGGTCCTTTTCTACCAGGGAAGATTCTCTGACTGAATGTGCAGCTTCAGGTGGGATGTACATGGAGAAGTGAGGGAGGAAGCAGACACCTGCCTAGCCAGCCAAATCAGCCAAAGGCACCCTGGTGATCAATGGGGTGAGAGATGTCGCAGCCAGATAGCTCTTACATCCACCCCTACTTTCTGGAAAGGGGCTTTGAGTTTTCTGCAAATCCCAATCTCCCCTGCCCACATTTATTTATGTAAAGGACAAGTCGAAGGCTTTTGGATATTTTAATCCAAAAGTTTTATCAAAACATAAATTGGTAAAGTATTAATGTTTTAAGCCACAACTTCCTACAGGGCAAAGAGTGTTTACCTGAACCAGGAACATGTGGGAATTTTTTTAAAAAGAACTTTTTAATGATGATGACCATTAGCAAAAACAGAAAAGTGCAGTTTAATATTTACTCAGTAGAATGCAAGAAACTCTCAGTGAATGTTTATTTAAACAACACACACCAAACCAGTTAGCAATTTTTGCTGAGCGTGTAAAAAAACTGCTATGTCTTCTGATTTAGACATTGCAGTCAATTGCAGAAAGTTCACAAAGTAGTGGTTTACAATAAGCTCCAAAACTTTCCGTGTCTTTCTGGTGAACTTGATTATCACAGTGTCTTTTAAACCCCATATGGGCAATTTCTATTGATTATAATGCTGCCTACTGCTGAGAGCAAAACTGATCCAGTGCACACTCCAAAGTGGATAATCCCTGCCAGCAGGTCGCTTGTGCCTCCGGAGGTTGCCTTTTAACACAATTAATGATGATGACGATGACGGTGATAATAATAATAATAATCCTCAATGCTTACTCAACACATTCTATTAAGATAGCTGGAAAATTAAATAGGGCTAACGTAATGTCATTTCCTTGACAGTGAAAACATAGGGTAGAATATTCCAAAGGCCTAATTACATTTTGATGGTAACTGGAGATTTTTTTCAGAAACTAGATCCTAAAGACATCCTTGAATTAAAAAGAGGCTCAAAACATCTTTAATAAACAACTACAAGACAACTACAGATTTTCTACAAAGTTACATGCTCTACTGTATAAGACTTAGCTTTCTATTTTCCATAACATATCAAAATAATTCCCAAAGGGTATATATGTAGCAGCTGGCTTTGCTTAATAAAGAAGGAAAATAACCTCATAGTTCTCCAGTAAGTTTTGCAAAATATACCTCCTTAAACCTCTAAGTCAATAAAAGAAATATACCCAAAAAAGTAGCTCCACCAATTACCAAATTTGCTAATGTATTATCATACCCTTACCAGCTTCAAAAGTGAAGACAGTAGCTTTCATTTCATTAATATGGTGACCAAATGTATTTTCTGAAATTCCAATTGTATTTGGACCCCAAGTTGAATTAAATTTCTTTTTAATAAAATAAATATAAAACCTAAATCTACTGGGCCGGGCACGGTGGCTCACTCCTGTAATCCCAGCACTTTGGGAGGCCGAGGTGGGTGGATCACGAGGTCAGGAGATCGAGACCACGGTGAAATCCCGTCTCTACTAAAAATACAAAAAAAAAAAAAATTAGCCGGGTGTGGTGGCAGGCACCTGTAGTCCCAGCTACTCGGGAGGCTGAGGCCGGAGAATGGCATGAACCCGGGAGGTGGAGCTTGCAGTGAGCCGAGATTGCACCACTGCACTCCAGCCTGGGGGACAGAGCGAGACTCCATCTCAAAAAAAAAAAAAAAAAAAAAAAAAAAAAACTCCTAAATCTACCTAGTATTCTTTATATAATTTTTGTCTTTCTGTATGATTATTTGGTAAAGGTCCACTTGCATCATCGTTTTAAAATGTCCTTTGGTAATGAAGCTATAGTTATTCTTTCATTCTTATTTCCTTGGAAGATTAAAATGAAGAGGCTGGAAAATCTTACCTTTATGGTTCTTCCTATGAGTCTATGATTGTTGCACACCCATTAGAGAACAGCTTAACTGCCCACATAGATTAGAAGGAAAATGCAGGCTGAGAAGAAGTACCTCTCATTTGAATGCAGATCTTTCAGGTGCACTGGCACCAAACTATAAAGCTGTTTCTTATGAAGCAAAATTTATTATAAGGTACTTTCAATTGTATAGACTCGAAAGATAGTTATTTTCTAACAACGAAAAGGACTAACTATAAGGCAGGATAATTACAGAAGGAGAAACTCACCAAAACCAGTAAAAATGTTTATGCCATCAATATCTCTGTAATTCCAAAAACTGTTACTTAGAACTACCATTGTGTTAGTCTACTCAGGCTACCATAACAAAATATCATACACTGAATGGCTCAAACAGCAGAAATTTATTTCTCACGGTTCTGGAGGTTGGGAAATCCAATATCAAGGTGCTGGCAAGGTAGATTTCATTCTGAGGACTCTTCCCTTGACTTGTCATCAGCCACCATCTTGCCGTGTGCTCACATGACCTCTCTTTGTGAGCTAAAGGGAGAGGGAGTAAGCTACCTGGTGTCTCTTCTTAATAGGGCACTGTCTTAGTCCATCTAGGCTATTACAACAAAACACCTTACAGTGGGTAATTTATGAAAGACGGAAATTTATTTCTCCCAGTTCTGGAGGCTAGGAAGTCCAAGATCAAGTCCCCAGAAGATTTCATGTCAAGTGAGGGCCCATTCCTCATACAGAGCACTTTATATGTGTCCTCACGTGGCAGAAGGCAAGGCAGCTCTCTGGCGCGCCCCCCACCCCCCCCCCATTTTTTTTTGAGACAGAGTTTCCCTCTATCTACCTGCTTCAGCCTCCCAAAGTGCTGGGATTACAGGCGTGAGCCACTGCACCCGGCCTCCGGTGCCTCTTTTTATAAGGGCATTAATCATATTCAGGAGCCTGGAGCTCTCATGACCTAATCACCTACTAAAGGGCCCACCTTGTAATACCATCACCTTGATGATTAGGTTTTAGCATGAATGGAAAACACAAACATTCAGATCATAGCAAGCACTAATCCCATCATGAGAGCCCATCCTTATGACCTCATGTTACCTTAAATTACCTACCCAAATACCATCAAAGGGGACGGAGGGGGGTGTGGGTGTGGTTAGGATTTTAACATATGCATTGGGGAAGAGACACAAACATTCAGTCCATAACAATCATGTTGCCTGCCACCACAAACTTTTGGCATCTTTACTGAGAGACACAGGTTTAAAGGCCATAGATTGCTATACATTGAATGCAAAACATAAGAATTGAACCATATAAGTATTCAATCTAAGTAATTCCTTTCTACTTGTGATAACAAAAAGGACTACCCCATTCCAACCCTGTAGCAACAGCCTTGTTGTTTGCCTGAACTGTCTATTTAAATGCCCCAATTATTTAATTCACCTTGTCAATTTATGCAATCACATGGCAATTATTTCCATAGTGAAATACAACTTGACTAAGAAAATATTTTTTCCAAGTTGGCTTCAGTGTACAAAGACCTCCACTCAGAAAAAGAAAACACAGTGTTCAAGAGGCCTCTTTTGTCACCGGGTATGTACTACTCTACCCAGGTGGGAATGTGACGTCCTCAAATTAACCAAAGGTTGGGGTTCAGCAATATATTGTGGAAACGGCAACCTAAGGCACAATTTCTATCCTTGTTCATCATCCCAGTGCACCCATTTTCTCACTTTCAGAAGCTACTAACTCTCAGAAAGACTGGACACATAATTTATTTAAGTAATACTCCACAAATCTCTAATTTCAAAGAGCAAAATCCAACTTTAAGATAGTATCATTAGAGATCTGATTTTCTTAATTCTAACTGTAATTCACATGATTTGGGATTTTGGTCATCTAAATACATATTTTTTGTTTGTGTTTAAGAAGCCACTGAACCTCTGCTGACTGGAATGATTTGTATGATTTCGGCTCAGAAATCTTTTTTACATTCTTGAATGGTCAGTTCCATAATCTCTGCCTCCAGTGGTATCCCAAAACTTCTGTAATAAAACAAAATGGGGCTGGGAATGGTGGCTCACGCCTGTAATCCCTGGGAGGCCGAGGCGGGCGGATCATCTGAGGTCGGGAGTTCGAGACCAGCCTGACCAATGGAGAAACCCCATCTCTATTAAAAATACAAAATTAGCCGGGCATGGTGGTGCATGCCTGTAATCCCAGCTACTCAGGAGGCTGAGGCAGGAGAATCACTTGGACCCAGGAGGCGGAGGTTGCAGTGAGCCAAGATTGCACCATTGCACTCCAGCCTGGGTGACAGAGTGAGACCCTGTCTCAAAATAAATAAATAAATAAATAAACAGAATGGATTTTGTTTTCTCTTTTCAGTTATTTCAACACCTGAGGTGGTTACCAATGGATCCTTTCACTACTCATACAATATTATAAATTCACATATATTCAGTGATTCTAATTTTCAAGCTTTTCTTCAAAGGAATACTGAGGATCCTTTCAGATAAGCATATTTCAATTTAATTCATGCCTACTAATTCTGAGATTTGAGTTGAAGTTTCTTAGTTCTGTATTACTTCATGGATATGACAATCATAATCAGTTTCTGCACACAAAGTGTGGGCAATTTAGAGATCTAAAATTAGTGTGAGCAAATTATTTAAACGAATGCCGCATAAGAAAGAGATTAATCAGGTCACACAAATGGCTAGAGTATCCCAAATCTGAGTTCTCACTTATTTTCTTCTACCCTAGCAATCTAACTAAAGGTAGCAAAGATTTTATTTTGTGAGCTTATAGAAAGTACAGCATTTTGTATTTTTTTTAACCAATAATGATTGGGCATCCATAGTGGAATTTAAGCATTTTTGTCCATTTTTTTATTGAAAATTTTTCAAAAGGACTGTCTCTTAAGCTTAACATACATACAATGGACAATAAATAAATATTGTTGATAAATAAGTACATGAACTAGCTGACTTTACACTTATTAGATGTCATTTTAGTCCAGCAAAACTGAGGCAACTTTGAAGCCTGCCATTTAGTTTCAGCTATTTTTACAAAAGGGAAAACTTAGGAAAATGTTTATGTTTCCTAAAAATATAAGAAAAAACATCTAAACACAACCCCATAAGCATATATGTTATTTATGTATAATTTCTATTTTCATTTTGTTTAATACTATATTATAAAACGGAATTGCCTTTGTTGACAAAGTTGACTAACTGAATTTTGAATGGGTGTTAGCTTCTGACTTAATAACATTTTAACATCTAAACTTTAAAAAAACATCGTCTTATAATGTCTAGAATTACTAAAAAAAATTATAAAATGCATTTTTGAGTTGTAAACCCAATAGCGTGTGGTAATCATATTTTGGATACTTATTTGTTGAATTAATCAAGGAGCTTTCCTCTTCCACATTCCAAGGAAAATTGCTAGTACTTTGTAGGGAAAATGGTTATAGCTCATATTCTTTGCTATTACACAAACTACTAAATCTATATAAGGTTATGACTACATCTCAGTCAAGAAATATAGATCTTTCCATCGTTTCCATAAGGAAAGCCAAGATCTGATGAGGCAGTGGACAAAATGTATGCCAGAAAACTTGTAGATGAACTATAAAAAGAAAATTTCAGGATCTGATTTGGCAGATCACCTAGTAGGCACTGGAGGATGGGAGGCACGTTGATTTGCAACACTAGCTAGGGTTAGAGAGCCTGTTCCTATGTAGCAAATCTCCAAGCCTCAGCACTAGGGTATCTTCCACCTCCCTTTTTAAAAAATACGCCATGATTAAAGCCAATAAGACGCTCAGAGAATCTAGAAATAAATGTTACATTATTAATGCATTTGGTATTATTATACAGATTTCAGATAAAACAAAAAGTGAGTCAGAATTTAATATAGGGTATTTACATAACAGAGCTATATTCGTGAGCAAGCACATTGCCACGACATTCTGCATTTAGCTTTCTGGTGCCTAAGACACACTTAAGATCACGAATGGGCCTGTCCTCTGGAAAATTATTTTAAAGGTCTTTCACCTTTATCAAGTAGCATTATTTCCACCTTTATAACAGGGCTTGTATGAACACTATATAACACATGCTACTCAAATAGGTTTTAGATATTTGGAATCCAGGCAAATAGGAGCTTAATTATTCTTTGGTGGGTTTTAATTTCATGCAACCAATTTTGTGTGAATGAAAAGCATTCCAGAACAATTTTTGCCTGCTTCCTCTTTTTTGGTTTTCCTTCTTCTCCTTTCCATTTTTTGCCCTCTACCTTTCTTCTTATAGCAAGTGAAAGACTCAATTAAAGGAAGAGAATAGTGAGAGAAAGACCATTTTTGTCCAATTTCAACCTCTGGCCTCAGGTATACTTGCCTATGACCAACTACTTTAGCACTAATTAATGCTTTAGCTTCTCGGTAAATAGACAGTTTTTATCTCAACAAAATGTCATCAGCTCCTCCAAGAGATAAACTGTACTATGAACTTCTCAGCTACTATTAGCCTAGAGAAGGAGAGACTGCATCCCCCAAAGGGACTCTTGCATACTCAAAACTAAATAGCATAGAAATATCTTGCGTTTAGTTTTAATATTTATGGAATACCAAAGTATTCTTTCCTTTCTTAGAGCCACCTTATTATTAACATTCTTCTCCACCATCTCCAGGTGACTGATTGTATGTCACTTTTTTATGGCATAATCCCCTTTTGATGGCTAATTTTATGTGTCAATATGACTGCACCAAAAGGTACTCAGATTAAAAATTATTTCTGAGTGTCTTTGTGAGGGTTTTCTGGATGAAATTAGCATTTGGATCATAGACTCAGTAAGGCATATTACTCTCTCCAATGTAGGTGGGTGTCATCAAATCCATTGAGGGCCTGAATAGAACACAAAGGCAGAAGAAGGAGGAAGTCTCCCCTTGGTATGGCCTGCCTACCTACTTGAGCTAAAACATAAGTCTTTCCCTGCCCTTAGACTGGGATTTATACCATCAGCTCTTCTGATTCTTAGACTTTCAGAGTCAGTGCGGAATTAGGCTTTCCTGGTGTCCAGACTGTAGATGGCAGATCATGGGACTTCTCAGCTTCCACAATCACAAGTCAATTCCTCTTAATAAATCTCTTTCTGCATATATATCCTACTGCTTCTGTTTCTCTAGGGAACCTTGATTAATACACCCCTTCCAGCACTTCCAGAAACATCCACTATTTAGCACAGAGTGTGCTATGTGTGCCTACTCAGCAAACACTTTTTCTTTTTTTTGAGACAGAGTCTCACTCTGTTGCCCAGGCTGGAGTGCAGTTGCGCGATCCTGGCTCACTGCAACCTCTGCCTCCTGCATTCAAGCAACCCTCAGCTTCCTGAGTAGCTGGGGCTACAGGCATGAGTAACCACACCCAGATAATTTTTGTATTTTTAGTAGAGACAGGGTTTCACCATGTTGGCCAGGCTGGTCGAACTCCTGACGTCAAGTGACCCACCTGCCTTGGCCTCCCAAAGTGTTGGGATTACAGGTGTCAGCCACTGTGCCGGGCCAGCAACCACTTTTAATACAAAATTATAAAAATGATATTTAATTGACAGAGAGTATGTATGTCAAGGAATAAAATCACAGTTCTAAATATGAATGCTAAGAGCCTTGTGAAATCTCATTTTCCACTGCATACTTGACAAATAAATAGCCAATGTCATGGAGACCAAATAAGCAGGAGTGAGCTGCCCAGGAGTGAGGGCTTAGGTAGGAAATGGGACCTTCAGTGTTAAAATCAAGGAAGTGCCCAGCACACCAGAATGGCTGGCCATCCGAATAGAGTGAATGAAACTACTGTCAAGAAAATCAAAACCTCTAGTGTGCTTTCTGCTGGAATGTACTTTTACCAGTAAACTTGAAATCACTGATAATTTCCTCTCTTATTACAATATTGTCTCCTACTAGCGCTACCATTTTCTTCAGAAAGCCAACATTTTGTATTCTCTAGTTTTCTTATTATTGTGCTTGCTATTTTGACTGAGAAGATACTGGTTTCCTTTGGAAGTATCACCATAAAGACACTCTGTGAACTATTTTAATCATGGGTTTTGGTTTTGTTTTTGTTTTGAGACAGGGTCTCACTCTGTCACCCAGGCTGGATTGCTGCAGCCTCGACCTCCCAGGTCAAGCGATCCTTCCACTTTGGCCTCCCAAGTAACTGTGACTACAGGCGCATGCCACCATGCCTGGCTAATTTTTGTATTTTTTGTAGAGATGGGGTTTCGCCATGTTGCCCAGGCTGGTCTTGAACTTCTGAGCTCAAGTGATTCTACAGTTATTAAAAGTAACTCACAGATTTGTATTCCTTGATAGTTCCTAGCATCATGATGTTACTATTGGACGGAAATAGCTGGGATTTTGCTATATCATGACACTTACACATTCATTACATTTATCTTGCCATCACAGTAACAACTGTCGTTCCCATTTTCCTGATGAAAAAATAGAGGCTAAGTGAAATCAATTGACTAGCACAGGTTGTAGAACTAGTCACCGGATAAACCTACTGTCTATGATGGCCTTGAATTTCCATATTAATAATAACTCTCCACTTTCCAGCCTATTAAATAGGTCTAATGTCCGTGGACACAGAAGAAATGTGACCTAAAATTTGTAGATCAAAAGATCTACTGAAAAAGCATTTTTTCAGGTCTGTCTTATGTGTGTCTCAGATAGCTTCATGATTGACTTTTCTAATTACTCTGATGAGATCATAAAATCCAACTCTCAGACTGCTATTGAGTTGCTTTCCTTTATTTTTCTATTGGATATGCTGTTTGTGTTTTAAATTTTCATGGTAAGCATTACTGAGAAAGGAGATTCTTCATAATATTTCAAAAGAAAGCTATATTCAAAAGCCCGAGAGTTGAGGGGGGAAAAAGGGCAGTTCTGATTTTGTTTTTTAACTTAAAGTACCCATGATAGAAGGTTGAATTTCAGGGCACCAGACCAAACTACTTTTCTTCAAAATAGAAGTTGAAGTCCTCTTTACTTTTTTCTATTTGCCATGCAAGAATTTAAAAAAAAAAATCTGTGCCCACAACCCATAATTCACTTTAGTGGAAGAAATTTCTTGGGAATTATATTCTAGAAATGGCTGTAGTCTGGCAATTCTAGAATGCTAAAATAAAGAAGTCATTTCAAAGAAATTTTCCTAATAAAATATTTTCACTTTGAAGGATAGCTCTGCTTTAGTCAAATTCACATAATGAAGGGAAAATAAAAGCCTAAAGCTAATTCTGTAGGAATATATGAATACATGCAAGCATTGGTACAAATTAATGGTATCAAGTTACAAACTCAAGCAGTTTATTGGGCAGAATATCTGCAAAGTCAAAATATACACAGAGGCAACCGTTACAAATGTGAGGAAAAAATAACAGAACAAAGAAACAGAACAAAGATCACTGAAAGATTTATAGTTCAGCTTTAAATGCCTGTAAGCAAGTTTTTGTTTGAATTCGGTTCATCCTAGACTATTCCAAAACGGGAGTTCACTGAACCCCAACTTACAAAGAGAACTGACAGCAAGTCAGGTACATTTCACTCCAGCTGGTTAGAGCTGATGGTTAGAGCCTTCATGGATTTATGGTACTACGGGCGATGTGTATATCTGTCTATCTATACATGCTCCCCCCAGCACTAGAGAAAACAAGTTTCAAGACTATAGATTTTGAATCTACGGTTATAATGTATACATTACTAACAAGCTTAAACTCTAAGTTTTATTTCTTATACATGTCTGGCTCAGGTTTACATAACAGAACTATCCAACTTTTGTTGGACACAAGAATTTCTCTAAAAATTCTCATCATGTGCCTCTTTATATAACATTGTTGCATTAGGATTTGCAAAGTAGGTAGCTCAAACCGGTGTCCTATTATCCTGTAACTCTAAAAGTACAACAACAAAACATGACTTACTCTAATTTATAAACCAGTGATTGCCACTTGCATAGACAGCCTTTGATAAACTGAATAAGATAAATAGCTATTTAAACATATACCTCAACACCATTGTTATATTTTATGATCAGTTTCAGAGGGAATGATATCACAATCACTTGTGAAGCAGTGTCATCAAATCATTAAAGCTATTAAATTCTAACATCCCTAGAAAAATTGCCTTATTAAAATAGATTGATGAGCTATATTGTGTCATGTCTAGATAGCTCCATTCAACATTTAATTTAAGATATCCAAAAAAATCATACAGCTGAAAAATACATTAAAATAAAATAAATATATAATTTCCATTTGATTATTATAGTAATCTATCATATCAAAATCATAATGTAGTGTTTTTTATCAAAGCATGGTTCTTGCAATAATTCAAAGACCACAGCTGAGACAATAAAAGACCCTTCATGTTTCACATATATTTCCTGTCATCCACTAAGAACATCAATTTTTTTTAGGTTTACCTATATGTTTGGAGTAGAAGAGAGCAAAGTGGTATTATTAAAGTTGTAAAATTTTAAGACAAGGTTTGGCAATTTTAGCACAATACTAAGAATTATTTCTTGGCTCTCTTTAGCATTGTTTTTATATCTCTTAACTGTTAATGATGCATACTAAACTATTACAGATGAAATATGATGATTCTGCTTTAAAATATTCCGGCCAAAAAGAATGGTGGAATAGATAAATCAAGATGGGAAAAGTGTTCCTAATTGTGGAAACTGGGTGATAGTTACATGGAGTTGATTATATTATTCTCTCTGCTTTTGCGTGTATGTGAAAATTTCCATGCCTTATTCCATTCCTGCTGCTATATCAAAATACCACAGATTGAGTAATTTTTATAGAACAGATATTTATTTCTCACAGTTCTGGAGGCTTAGAAGTCCAAGATAAAAGCATCAGCAGAATCAGTGTCTAGTGAACGCTCATTCTCTACTTCCAAGATGGCACCTTGTTGCTACATCCTTACATGCGGGGAAGGCAGAAGGACAACAGGGACCAATGTTGTGTGACGCCTCTTTTAAAACACATTATTCCCACTCAAGAGGACACAGCCCTCAGGACCTACTCACTCTTAATATGATCACATTGGTATTTAAGTTTCAACATATGAATTTTGGAGGGACACATAAATTCAAACCATAGGACTTAGTCTGTTTTCTGTTGCTATAACTGAATCCCTGAGACTGGGTAATTTTTAAAGCAAAGAAATGTATTTCTTACAGTTCTGGAGGCTGAGAATTCCAAGGTCTAGGAGCCACGTCTGCTGAAAGTTTTCTTGCTGGTGGGATTCTCTGCAGAGATCCAAGACAGCACAAGGCAGCACAAGAGAGAACCAAACTGGCTTTTACAGCACTCACTCTCGTGATAACTAACCCATTCTCATAACAACCTGGTAATTAGTTAACCCATTCATCCATTCATCCATGAATCTCTTAATCTATTCTGGAGGGCAAAGCCCTTATAACCCAATCACCAATTAAAGGCCCCACTTCCTTATACCGTTTCATTGGGAATTAAGTTTCTTTTTTGTTTGTTTGCTTGTTTGAGATGGAGTCTTGCTCTGTGGCCCAGGCTGGAGTGCAGTGGCACGATCTCAGCTCACTGCAACCTCCACCTCCCGGGTTCAAGCGATTCTCCTGCCTCAGCCTCCCAAGTAGCTGGGACTACAGGAATGCGCCACCGAGCCCAGCTAATTTTTGTATTTTTAGTAGAGATGGGGATTCACCATGTTGGCCAGGCTGGTCTTGAACTCCTAACCTCAAGTGATCCACCCTCCTAGGCCTTCCAAAGTGCTGGGATTACAGATGTGAGCCACCATGCCCAGCCAAAGATTAAGTTTCAACATGAATTTTGGAGGGGAAAAACGTTCAACCATAGCACCAAAGTACTAAACTAAAAAAATTTTTAATCTCAATTCATCCTATCTTCACAGGATTCACTTCAGTAAATGTGATTCAATGATGTATATGAAATTTTTTTCTTTTCTGAATCCAAACATGAAAGAAAATTTACCTGTAAATGATTATTCTACTGAAATAGAATACACGTACACATAGCTGCTTAAAAATAGTTTAAACTCAGCAAGATTTTTGGGAGATCTATTCTTGAAGTGATGTAACTAGTGGCTTTATTGTCTCAAAAGTGGTAGAAAAATTTAAGGAACAAATTTAGTCATTATTTCCCTTATATGAATCAACGAGAATCCTTAATCCAAACATCTGAAATTCAAAATGCTTCAAAATCCAAAACTTTTGAGCACCAACATGACACGACAAGTGGAAAATTCCATACCTGACCTCATGTGACAGGTCAAAGTCAAAACAGAGTCAAAACTTTGTTTCTTTTACAAAATTATTTAAAACATTGTATCAAATTACCTTCAGGCTATGTGTATAAGGTGTATATGAAATGGAAATTTTACACTCTCTTGGGTCTCATCCACAAGCTATCGTTATGTATCTGCAAACAGATATACACATCTATGTATATGCAAACATTCCAAAATCTGGAAAGATCTGGAAACAGAAACACTTCTGATCTCAAGCATTTTGGATAAGGGATACTCAACTTGTTTTTATTCAAGAAACATACTAGGGGCTGTAGAAAACAATAAAATAGACAAGACATTGGCCCAACTGTCAAAAAGTTAACAGATCAGCAGACGAGATAACATTAGCACATAGCAAACAGCAAACAACAAACAAATGGCTGAAAGCTGAACTGCATGTTTCTGGCAGTAATTATAAAGGAATTTATCAAAGTGAGAGTTTTCTGAAAGTCTCACATAAGAGATGGGAATAGAAATGGTCTTTTAAAAATGGATAAACTTTGGGCAAGCTGGAAAAAATACCATGTTTCATGCAGAGAGTTCAGTGCAAACAAAGATATAAAGAAACATGAGTTTGCATGGCATGTATATACTAAAGAGAGAATTGAGCCCAGAGCAAAGGCACACATTAAGGAATAATAAGGACAACAGTAATAATAATAGCAAACCCTTACTCTGCACCAAACACTATTCTAACTGTTCTCTATATATTTATCCTTAAGAGTTATATGTTATTAGTGACAACCCAACATTGCAAATGAAGAAACTAAAGCATGGTGAGGTTAAGTAACTTGACAAAGATCACAGAGTTAATAATGGTAGAGCAAGGCTTTGAACCCAGACAGTCTAGATCTAGAACACATGTGCTGATTTCCATGCTATACTGCCTACCCAGTGGGACTTGATAGGTAGTTTGAGAGCAGATGATGAAAGTCAGACAGGACTTTCTACTTGATACTGACTAACCATATTGTTTTCTTGACAGACAGATAACATGGCGTGAAATGCAGTCTCTGATACTAAAGTGGACTTCATTCTCATCTTCACTTCAAATGACCACTACCTTTACGGACTGTCCAAAATTGTACAGTCTAGAAGCTGAGAGCTAACTTTTGCTCTCTTAAGTCAAAGAATCAGAAAACTGTGGCACTATGTTTAAGCAACTTGGCTGGAAACACATAACTTTGTGTTGCATCAGAGAACTGAAAATCAAAAAATTCTTGGTTTCAATCCTAGACTTCACAAACCAGTGCACACTTCTTCTCTCAGAACTATAATATAATTCTAGAGGCTGAAAACGGCAGTGCATTTAACTGGATCTCAGCCGTCTGTCTCACATCTAATGACACAATGTGGTAACTATTACGCAATAATTCACAGCCTGTTGTGTTTTATTGCACTTCAAGCAGATAAAAATAAATAGTGCAGGTATTTTTAATAATCCTTTCCATTATTGTTCAGCTCAATATACAAACCCCACTGTTTATCCAACTCTTAGATTAAATCTTAAAACCCAGAATAAAGTTCTAGAATCTAAGATTGTAATTATTCATGGTCTCCTCTTTTCATACTTTTGCTATTACCTCTAACCTTCCCATCTGACTAGTTCTTAGGCCTGTTGCTGACTAAATTTGATTATTTTCACTACTTTTGTTATATACTAGAAGTATTAAGTTAGCTTCCCAAATATCTCCCCTTTAAGGCCAGAATTAACTATGGGGGAGTACAAAACATTTGTATTGTCATACCAGAACTACTTTCTTGAACTCAGATGACAAACCATGTTGGTTTGCCCAAAACTTTCCTGGTTTAGGCACTGAAAGTACTGCATTCCAGGAAAAGACCTCAGTTCTGGGCAAACAAGGGGAGATGGTCACCCTAGTGTCTAGTACAGCTTCTAAACTGTTAGAGAAAAACCTGTGTGCCTGTCTCTACATAACTGTTTGTGTGCCTACACACCAAAACACTAAATATGTGTAAGTGACCAAAAAGATTAAGACCTGAATAAAAAGCAGAACTCTTGGCCAGCCTCCTGAAGAGATATTTAATCTCAGAATGAGAACTACTCCTTCCACTTAGAACAGAAGTGAGCCTTTGCCCTTAACCTTGTTAATATACAAGGATAAAAGTAAAAACACTTCCTAGTAACTCCTCAAGTTGCAGTAATGCTGCTAACACACTGTGTTGGGAACTTAGGTTACCAATTTATCTGAAAATCTAACCCACTCTTAATTAAAACTAATTGCACACATGGAATTTCTATATTGTAGTGCACTGGCCTGTGACACAGTTTTTAGGAGCTACAATAGTTTAGAAATTTTTTATTTTAAAGCAGCAGAAACCCCAGTATTAGTATTAAAGAAAAATGAGTCACATTAACTGTTGAGGTATTCTTTGCAAAAGCCATAATTTTACTTGAAAGCAAGGAAGTGAAAAAAGGGGAAGCTGGTATTTTAATAAAATACCTTCTCTTAAGATCCTTGCTAAGAGGGTGGGCATTATTGCTCAACACACACTGTAGTCTCAAAAACACTTGAGCAAGAATCTAAAAGCAAGAGTTCCTCTTCAGAAAACTTTGAGAAAACTTTCTTCCCTCTCTTAGGCCCTATATTTTAGGAACAGCCAGGGACAAAATAAATTTTAAGTTAAAAACATCAAAAAGTATTTTGAACACACTTCCATTTTTATTTATTTATTATTATTATACTTTAAGTTCTGGGATACAGGTGCAGAATGTGCAGGTTTGTCACGTAGGTATACATGTGCCATGGTGCTTTGCTGCATCCATCAACCCGTCATCCACATTAGATATTTCTCCTAATGCTATCCCTCCCCTTTGCCCCCCACCCCCCAACAGGCCCCAGTGAATGATGTTCCCCTCCCTAGGCCCATATGTTCTCATTGTTCAACTCCCACTTATGAGTGAGAACATGTGGTATTTGGTTTTCTGTTCCTGTGTTAGTTTGCTGAGAATGATGGTGTCTAGCTTCATCCATGTCCCTGCAAAGGACATGAGCTTATTATTTTTATGGCTGCATAGTATTCCATGGTATATATGTGCCACATTTTTTTTATCCAGTCTAACACTGATGGGCATTTGGGTTGGTTCCAAGTCTTTGCTATTGTGAATAGTGCTGCAAAAAACATACGTGTGCATGTGTCTGTACAGCAGAATGATTTATAATCCTTTGGGTATGTACCCAGTAATGGGATTGCTGAATCAAATGGTATTTCTAGTTCTAGATCCTTGAGGAATCACCACGCTGTCTTCCACAATAGTTGAACTAATTTACACTCCCACCAACAGTGTAAAAGCATAACTATTCCTCCACATCCTCTCCAGCATCTGTTGTTTCCTGACTTTTTAATGATCTCCATTCTAACTGGAATGACATGGTATCTCATTGTGGTTTTGATTTGCATTTCTCTAATGAGCAGTGATGATGAACTTTTTTTCATATGTTTGTGGGCCACATAAATGTCTTCTTTGGAAAAGTGTCTGTTCATATCCTTTGCCCACTTTTTGATGGGGTTGTTTTTTTCTTGTAAATTTGTTTAAGTTCCTTGTAGATTCTGGGCATTAGCCCTTTGTCAGATGGATAGATTGCAAAAGTTTTCTCCCATTCTGTAGGTTGCCTGTTCACTCTGATGATAGTTTCTTTTGCTGTGCAGAAGCTCTTTAGTTTAATTAGATCTCATTTGTCAATTTCGGCTTTTGTTGCCATTGCTTTAGGTATTTGAGTCATGAAGTCTTTGTCCATGCCTATGTCCTGAATGGTATTGCCTAGGTTTTCTTCTAGGGTTTTTATGGTTTTAGGTCTTACATTTAAGTCTTTAATCCATCTTGAGTTAATTTTTGTATAAGGTGTAAGGAAGGGGTCCAGTTTCAGTTTTCTGCATATGGTTAGCCAGTTTTCCCAATACCATTTATTAAATAGGGAATCTTTTCCCCATTGCTTGTTTTTGTCAGGTTTGTCAAAGATCAGATGGTTGTAGATGTGTGGTGTTATTTCTGAGGCCTCTGTTCTGTTCCATTGGTCTATATATCTGTTTTGGTACCAGTACCATGCTGTTTAGGTTACTGTAGCCTTGTAGCATAGTTTGAAGTCAGGTAGCATGATGCCTCCAGCTTTGTTCCTTTGGCTTAGGATCGTCTTGGCTATACTGGCTCTTTTTTGGTTCCATACAAAATTTAAAGTAGTTTTTTCCAATTCTGTGAAGAAAGGCAATGGTACCTTGATGGGGATGGCATTGAATCCATAAATTACTTTGGGCAGTATGGTCATTTTCACGATATTGATTCTTCCCATTCATGAGCATGGAATGTTTTTCCATTTGTTTGGGTGCTCTTATTTCCTTGAGCCGCGTTTTGTACCACTGATTTCCGTTCTTTTGCATTTGCTGAGGAGTGTTTTATTTCCAATTACGTGGTCGATTTTAGAATATGTGCTATGTAGTGCTGAGAAGAATGTATATTCTGTTGATTTGAAGTGGAGAGTTGCATAGATGTCTATTAGGTACACTTGGTCCAGAGCTGAGTTCAAGTCCTGAATATACTTGTTAATTTTCTGTCTCATTAATCTGTCTAATATTGACAGTGGGGTGTGAAAGTCTCCCACTTTTATTGTGTAGGAGTCTCTTCGTAGGTCTCTAAGAACTTGCTTTATGAACCTGGGTATATATTTAGGAAAAATATTTAGGATAGTTAGCTCTTCTTGTTTCCCATTAGTTGATGCAGTTTCTTCATTGACCATAGTCGATGGTCTTTACATTTTGGGTTGTTTTTGCAGTGGCTGGTACCGGTTTTTCCTTTCCATATTTAATGCTTCCTTCAGGAATTCTTGTAAGGCAGGCCTGGTGGTGACAAAATCCCTCAGCATTTGCTTGTCTGTAAAGGATTTTATTTCTCCTTCACTTATGAAGCTTAGTTTGGCTGGATATGAAATTTGGGTTGAAAATTCTTTTCTTTAAGAATGTTGAATATTGACCATCACTCTCTTCTGGCTTGTAGGGTTTCTGCAGAGAGATCAGCTGTTAGTCTGATGGGCTTCCCTTTGTGGGTAACCCGACCTTTCTCTCTGGCTGCCCTTAACAGTTTTTCCTTCATTTCAACCTTGGTGAATCTGACAATTATGTGCCTTGGGGTTGCTCTTCTAAGGAGTATCTTTGTGGTGTTCTCTGTATTTCCTGAATTTGAATGTTGGCCTCTCTTGCTAGGTTCGGGAAGTTCTCCTGGATTACATCCTGAAGTGTGTTTTCCAACTTGGTTCCTTTCTCCCCATCACTTTCAGGTACACCAATCAAACGTAGGTTTGGTCTTTTCATATAGTCCCATATTTCTTGGAGGCTTGGTTCGTTCCTTTTTATTCTTTTTTCTCTAATCTTGTCTTCATGCTTTATTTCATTAAGTTGATCTTCAATCTCTGATATCCTTTGTTCTGCTTGATTGATTCGGCTATTGATACTTGCGTATGCTTCACGAAGTTCTCGTGCTGTGTTTTTCAGTTCCATCAGGTCATTTATGTTCTTTTCTAAACTAGTTATTCTAGTTAGCAATTCCTCTAACCTTTTATCAAGGTTCTTAGCTTCCTTGCATTGGGTTATAACATGCTCCTTTAGCTTGGAGAAGTTTGTTATTTCCCACCTTCTGAAGCCTACTTCTGTCAATTCATCAAACTTATTCTCCATCCAGTTTTGTTCCCTTGCTGGCCAGGTGTTGTGATCCTCTGGAGGAGAAGAGGCATTCTGGTTTTTGGAATTTTCAGCCTTTTTGTGCTGGTTTTTCCTCATCTCCATGGATTTATCTACCTTTGGTCTTTGCTGTTGGTGACCTTTGGATGGAGTTTTTGCATGGTCATCCTTTTTGTTAATGTTGATGCTATTGCTTTCTTTTTGTTAGTTTTCCTTCTGTCAGGCCCCTCTTCTGTAGGTCTGCTGGAGTTTGCTGGGGTTCCACTCCAGACCCTGTTTGCCTGGGTATCACCAGTGGAGGCTGCAGAACAGCAAAGATTGCTGTCTGTTCCTTCCTCTGGAAGCTTCGTCCCAGAGGGGCACCTGCCAGATGCCAGCCAGTGCTTTCCTGTATGACGTGTCTGTCCACCCCTGCTGGGAGGTGTCTCCTTTTCGGGAGGCACGGGGTTCAGGGACCCACTTGAGGAGGCAGTCTGACCCTTAGCAGAGCTCTAGCACTGTGCTGGGAGATCCACTGCTCTCTTCAGAGCCAGCAGGCAGGAACGCTTAAGGGCGCCCACAGCTCCCCATTCCCCCAGGTGCTCCGTCCCAGAGAGATGGGACTTTTAGCTATAAGCCCCTGACTGGGGCTGCTGCCTTTCTTTCAGAGATGTCCTGCCCAGAGAGGAGGAATCTAGAGAGGCAGTCTGGCTATAGCGGCTTTGCTGAGCTGCGGTGGGTCCGAACTTCCAGGCGGCTTTGTTTACACTGTGTGAGGAAAACCGACTACTCAAGCCTCAGTAATGGCGGGCGCCCCTTCCCCCACCAAGCTCGGGCACCCCTCCCCCCACCAAGCTCGAGCATCTCAGGTTGACTTCAGACTGTGAAGTCTGACTGTGCTGGCAGCAAGAATTTCAAGCCAGTGGATCTTAGCTTGCTGGGCTCTTTGGGGGTGGGATCTGCTGAGCAAGACCACTTGGCTCCCTGGCTTCAGCCCCCCTTCCAGGGGAGTGAACGGTTCTGTCTCACTGGCGTTCCAGGTGCCACTAGGACAAGAAAAAAGCTCCTCCAGTTAGCTCAGTGTCTGCCCAAATGGCCGCCCAGTTTTGTGCTTGAAACCCAGGGCCTTGGTGGTGTAGGCACCTGAGGGAATCTCCTGGTCTGCGGATTGCGAAGACCATGGGAAAAGCACAGTGTCTGAGCTGGATAGCACCATCCCTCACAGCATGGTCCCTCATGGCTTCCCTTGGCTAGGAAAGGAAGTTCCCCGACCCCTTGCGCTTCCCAGGTGAGGCGACACTCCACCCTGCTTCTGCTCACCCTCTGGGGGCTGCACCCACTATCTAACCAGTCTCAGTGAGATGAACCGGGTACCTTAGTTGGAAATGCACAAATCACTGACCTTTTGCGTTGGTCTCGTTGGAAGCTGCAGACTGGAGCTGCTCCTATTCAGCCATCTTGCCCAGGAATAATCAACACTTCCCTTTTCTTTAAATAGAAGTTGTTTGGGAGACTGATAATAAATAGAGATGCATTGTATAATTACATCTAATATACAATATGTGACTTTTCATCACAACTTCTTATTAATCCCCTAATAGGGTCCCCAAAAAGCATCTTGAATGACTCTAATGAAACAATATTATGCTAGTCAGAACTAGATTTTAAATCAGAATTAATACTTTATTTTATTTGCTGACTGTATTAATGGGAAAATGACAAGAATAGTTAGTATATTTCTAGAGGAAATCAAGCTGAGATAGAACATTTTATTATTACAGAATTTTATTCTAGAGCAAACACATTTGAGATTAAAACTTAAATTATACATCACACTTTTGTAAATGTAAAACAGAAGATAGAGACAGAAAAGCTAGTTCATTTCAGATTCATATGCCGAAATGGAGATTTTATGTTTAATATTGCTGAGGTTTTGTGATTAAGCCTTAAACGTACAGGGGTGGCTATTTTAAGGCTCTACAGAATGTTAACTTCTGCACTTGATGTTAGCCAAAAGGCCAAGAAGTGATCAGAATGTCAACTTCTGTACATTCCCTTGGTAAAATTTCACTGCAGATAAAATGAGAAAAGCAGTTAAAAACAAAACCATGCAAGCAAACAAAGAGAAAATCTAGGAAACATAAAAAAGAACCCGGTGAAAAGTTACTTTTTTTTGATGCATTGTTGTCTTCATGCGTTTGACAATGAAAGATACTACTAATAGAACCTAATGTTCCCTTCTGGCACCCTAGACTCAAATTCCATGTGCAAGACTAGTGTTTGCTCTTATTGCCAGCTATGGCAGTATTCTCCCTAGGGGGCCCTGTCCTCTGGCCCTTCATGGGCACCAGAATCAGGAAAAGAACTCATTGTGCTAACAATAGCAAGATAAAGGAAGACTGGTAAATACATGAGCTGCTGGATATGTGGCCTGGCTTTGTTGTTTTCAGTATGTCACATCCACAGTTTTGTTTTCAATGGAAACGTGTTAACACTGAGTTGAAAGTTAGGGACCTGGGTTTTAAGTCATGGCTCTGACACTAACTGGCTCTATAATCTTAGGCAAGCTGTTTTACCTCTCAGGGTTTTAGACTAGAATAGTCACTAGGTGACCTCTATGAGCACCATTCAGAGACTTGAAGTCAAAGTCAAAAGCAAAGGCAATTGTTTGAACAATGTTATCTTAGATCAAATCACCCCAGCTGATCCCAGATATGTGAGAGGCACTGTAGAAAAGTACTTATTAATGTGCTTCTGGAACCAGACTTCCTCTTATTACCTTTGTGACCAGGGTCAAATTTCTTTTCTGTACCCTCATTTCCTTTTCTATAAAATGGGAATAATAACAGTACCTATCCCACAGGGTTATTATAAGGATTAACTGAAATTATCTATGTACAACCCTAAGAGCATCATCTGTTTATTCCTAATACATGCAGGAAGAGTTAATGAATTAATGAAGCTAGGTACTTTCCAGTAGCAGATGGGTTCAAGAACACAAATAGAATAATAAGGCTTTTAAACAAAGAAGACACTTCCTCCTAAAGTGACACTATTTTACTCCACACTCACACCCCCAGTTATTTTCCAGCAAGATGAATCACTAACTCTATCTAACACCAGAATCACCCGAATGGCTTGTTACAACAAAGGTTGCTGGTCTCAGTCCTACTGATTTAGTAGGTCTGGGATGGGGTAGAAAATTTGCATTTCCAACAAGTTTCCAAGTGTTGTTGATATTGGTGGCCCAGGAATCATACTTTGAGAACTACTGCGCTAAATAAAATCTCCCTGATTTCTCATAGTCAGAGAACTATCAGGACCTGCATAAATTGGGTGCCCGAGGACGACACCATCTCTTATTCCTTGACTCAACAGTACAGCTTGCTAGCCTGTGTATGACTACCAACATACCTGACCACACTTCGAGAACCACCGATCTAGTAAATCGCACTATTTGTTCCCTTCCTCACTATGTTCCAGCCACAATGGCTTTTTTCTGTTCTTAAAACCAGCTAAAGACTCTACCTCACAGTTCCTATAATTTCTAAAATTTACACTTGGAAATCTGCTCTCTTAGATCTTCACATGGCTGGCTCACCTCCTCTTTCAACAATCACCTCTTCTTTATAAGTATGTATATTTATGAAGAAAAACAAGAAGAGGTATTACATTTTATTACCACAGAAATTCATTATGGCGAAAACATATTTGAGATTAGAAACTTTAATTATAAATCACACTTTTTATAAAAAGAACCCCCCATTCCAGCTTATCACCTTGTTTTAGTTCCCTCATATCAATTATCTGATCTGTAAATATATAATTTTTTTCATAAATGTATTTGCTTGCTTGTTTTCTTCCCCCATAGAATGTAAGCTCCACAAGGTTGGAAGTTCTTTTTTAAGTAACTCTAATCCAAACACCTAAAAGACCACTAGGAATATAGTAAGCATTCAATAAATATTTATCAAATGAATGAATAATCCAGAAAGGAGCCATTTGCATCAGACTTCATATCACTGCTCCATGGAGAGTGAAAGTCTCTCTAGTTTTCATGCCTACCAAACTAGTAGAGATCCAGCTTTCCTTCCAGAAGTAATATAATTTTAGTCCTCTTTAATCCTAGTTGTGTGAAGACTCTAAAAGGAAACTAAAGAATGTTCCATAAATGCAGTGTTGCTTTGTACTAATTATCTAAATATAAGTAAACCAACTTCTCAGAGTGACCTAAAACAAAAAATATGCAGGGTTATGCCACTTGCACTGTTGCTTGTTAAGCCAAGAACAAAATGTTACAGAGTGGAATGAGTTCCATCCACTGAAGAAAACAAAGCCGGTTCACTATGTCTTCTTCAATAGTGATGCTGCTGACAGATTTTGTTGTTAACAGGTATTCAGTCTATACCCATTCATGAAAGGGAAGAGTTAATTCCTCTGGGTGAGCAGGAGGAACAGGTCTCATGGTCAACCTTACATTCCAGTTTCCTCTTAGAGATGCACAAAACACATGGGAACAGAATGAAGGTTTTGAGAAGTCCTATATCAAAAAGGCTTTGAATTTGGTTAAGCCATGTTTCCCAATTTTGACCCATCCATGTGAGCAAAATACTGTAGGAAAAGCAAGTTCATGGTCCACAGCATTGACTTGTATGCTTGTTTTGTTTAGTGACAAACTCTTAGTGGGACAGCTAACTAGTGCACAAGTTCAGTAAGACTGTACAAGAATGTGAACCTTCAGTGAAGGAACAATGGGTCATTCATTTTACAAGGTACTTACCATTATCCAGATTTCTAGAACAATATTCTAGCTCTTTAGCCACCACCCCCGCCCCCAACCAAACTGCCTAGAAACCTAATGTGTTTGAATTTCTTCATACCTAGTTTGCAGCTCTTCAATCAAAGTCATTGGAGACAAGGAGTGGTTTTTAAAATTTCCAATGATTTAGCACAGTTTTAGAGGGACATGCATGGAGCCATGAAGAAGGAAGGCAGCCAAATCAATAGTGTCACATCTGAGGTCAATGGGTGACAGATGTCACTGTCAGACACACAAACTGATCATTTGCCTGCTCTTTAGTTTTCCCAGAGAGGGACTTCTAATGAACCCACACGGACTTCAAGGAGTTTTCTCTTTGGAAAGGATCATGGTTTTTCCATAAGAATGCCAAAAGAATTAATCTTTTGTCACTTGTGTTTATTTCTCAAGAGGCTTTTAGTCATTGCTGCTCCACAGCTCTAAGTGACAATAGTGCACAGGATACATTTACTTTTTTTTTTTTAAGGGGAAGCCAGCCTTCAAAACAGTAACATCCTGGACATTTTCCAGAAAGAGAGATTACAAAACTCACACCTGTGGCACTAACAGACATCAGTGTCTCTCTAGTGGTTGCCTGCCAACTTAACTCACCAAATAAACAGGAAGGGAATCTCTCAAGCCTTTATACATGTAGCCAGGACATTGGCTTTTAAATGATGAGACAAGAAATACTAAATAATACCTTTTATTAGCGGAACATAGCTAAAGTCTCAGAAAATTGTAAAGATTATTTTGAGTGTTGTTGGCACCTGAGGCTTGAATTCTGGGAGTTTTGCAAATTCTGCTTGAAGCTAAAGAGACTCTTATTTCAGGTCAGCCAGTGTGGTTATATTGACACATCTAAGGTTTTGTCTGTTCAGTCACATACTCAACAGGTTAAATTGATGGCTCGGTCATTCATTCAAATGTCTGAGGGGACTAAGTCCTGCTGTGCTATGGCAGCTTTAAATATTGATTCAGATACTTAACTCTTCCAAACTATTGTTTTCCATTAATGAATTTGTGTTATTTCCATACATAATAAACGTTACATATCTGATTATGAACAACAGCATCTCTATAAATCACAAAGTTCCCTCGTTTATGGAAAGAAAGGTTGCTAGGATGCTAGTTCCAATAACCAGAATAGCGTGCACATTTAAATATAATTAAGATAGAAAAGTTCAGAGATATGGGGGTGGACATTAGGTCTCATTCCCATTGTTCAACAAAGGATTATTGGCAACTGTCATGCACAAGGAAGGCTGCTGCTGTGCTATGGTAAGTTCCCGCAATTAAGGAGTTGTGAGGGAAAATAACCAGAGGAAAGATAATGATGAGGGGAAATAAGATACAAAAACTATTATAAATGGGACGAGTAAGACTTGAAACTTGTTGCATTTAAACTGGGCCTCAAAATACGTGTAGGAGTTCTGCCTCAAAACATAGGTAAAAATAAGAGGTTGGATGGTCCTGGTAGAGAGTATTATAAAAGCAATGGCAGTGGAAAAGGACAGATAGGAGCACCTGTGTGGGGGTGAGGAGGGGATGGGATGAGGGGTATATTAAATGTGTGTGTGTTTAGCTGAAACATAAGTACTAGCAAGGGAGTTGTTAGGGACAGGTGAAACTCAAATGATGAACTGCAGCCAAATCATGGAGGGCTTTGAATGCTAGATTAAAGAGAGAGTTGGCAGACAATGGGGAGACACCAAAGGCTTTTGAGGAGGAGAGTGATATTCGTTTAATGAATTAGAAGATGTATCTGGTAGTGATGTGGAGGGTGATGGGAGTTTAATGAAGACTAAGGCAGGAAGACTACTACCTGGTTGTCGTTGCAGAGAAAATATCATGGAAAAAAAATTGAAATGTAATCCCACAGCAATTAAAGTAGAACCTGAACTCCTAACATGCAAATGTCACTATCACCTCTTCCTATTTAGTATCCTCTATGTAGATGACTTATGAAGACCTAAATCAAAAACATAATGCTTTGCCAGGTTATTCTTTAGAATACAAAAGAGATCAATCAAATTCATAAAAAGCACAATTTTATTGTATATGTTTTACTGCTTGGATCGTCAATAACAGAGGGCATATAAAAAAACAAAATCAAGCATCTTTACTAGACTATGTAAAAGACACATGTGGTATCTTCCAAACATAAAAAAAAAAAATTTCAGACTTCAAAGCTAGCATTCTTCTATGACTCAGGTCATGAATAAAAACAGAAAAATAGTCCTAAGTACTGCTGTCCCACTTTATTTGATGGAGGCATTTTAGCTAAACTCTAAAGCTTGCTCTTGAATTAAAAAAAAATGAAATGAAAAAGAAAAAAGAGAGGCAGGAAATGTATTTCCATTGTTGTTCAGCAAAGCAGCTACACAATGCTGAAGGAAAAAAAAAGAATGACTTTAATATAAAAGTCTTGGATTCCGGCAAGCTTTGGATTATTCATACTGTTTGGCTCTGAGGGTCACAGAGGGAACCATATGTCAGTAGCAGCATGCTGGATGCCATTTTTTTCAGGCCTAAACAAAAATATCACAAATAATTACTTTGAAGTTGTCTTTTTCCCTTTTCCCTTTTGCTCCTCAGCTGATGTCTTTTTTTCATTTTCATTTTTTTTGTCCTTACCAATTAGGTAAATATGAAGTATATGATTAGTCAACAGAATATATTTTCAGAATGTAGTTCTTAGAAGTGATCATTTAACAGGCAACATGGTATATAAAAATAAAGAGTAAGGAGAGGAAAATAGCATCGTTTTAAACTTCTGGCATCTTAGTATGTTTATTTAATGGCATCCACTTTAAGAATCAAACATTATCATTGTCTTTTGCTTTCCTGTTATGGTTTTCAGCTCAACAAATTCCAGCTTCCTGATTTTGTCATACTAGGAATTCTGCTGCACTCACTCATCAGATCTATTTTTGGCATATGTATCCTGTTCTCCATCTCTAAGGGCATATTATCAAATTCTTCAAACTGACTCAGGGTGTCTGGTGATTTCTCAGACAGTTTGAGCGACTCAATAGGACACAATCATTCCATTAACCGTGCTATAGAACAAAAAACAAGTTATATCCTTATTTTCTGTCTGGAGGTTAGCATTGCCATATTACTATGTCCATATTTTCTTCTGTGGATGTTTAACTATATTTTCAATGTTCATTAGAACTGTTCCCCCAAATTATTAAATTCCCAGGGTTAATGCTCTTTTTATATAAAAAGAAGCCAGATATCCTTCATAACAGATCAAGGGCACTGCCTCTGTGACAACAAGGCCTACCCTTTTTGTTGGGTTTTCCAGTAGTGGGAACGGGTTGTACTTGGTGGTCCCGTATGCCTCAAGAAATTTTGCACATATGTCCAAATGCTAAAACATGCGATCTCTTATCCAAACAGAAATACAATTGCATTTATTATTTTTAGTCATATAAATTTATTCAACAAACATTTGCTGAGCACCTACTGAATACAACAGATTGATAGGCATACTGTAGAGAGGATACAATGATGCATGGGGCACGGCCCCTGCTCTCAAGAAACTTCTAATTTTTAGAGCATGAAGTGGGTGATAGTATAAGGTGAGCGTACAAGTAACTATAACACAAGGTAGAATATGATGAGGACAATTAAGAAAATGTTCTAGAGGAGGGCAGATCATAAATGGTGGCTAGATCAGAAAAGGATTCAGGAAGAAGTAGCAGTGGAACTATGGAGTTTAATGGAGAGCATCTCAACAGGCAGAGATAAGAGACGAAATGATCTAGGTAAAGGAAATAGCATACACATAGGCATGGAGGCAAGAAAACACATGGCAAGATTGGAGAAAGGCAAGGGATTCAGTCTGATGGACCATAGAATGTACATGCTTTGGTGGTAGACAATATAAAACTGTAAGAGTGGGTTGAGGCCATATCATGGAGGACCTCAGCTAGACTGAGAAGTTCAGGGTTTATTTAGCGCACAATGGGGAGGTAATAAAAGCCTCCAAGAAGGAGAATGACTTACTGACTGTATTTATTTCTGCATCTGTTTATTTTCACCTCTCCACATTTCAAAAGGAATTTGAGGCAACTAACAAAAATACAATGTAATAGAATAAAAATATGTAAAGAGTCCAAGATGAATGGTTAAAATAATAATAAGATAGTCAAATGACATCAGGAGTAGGTTGTGTACAAAAATTTTTAAAGAAGATCCTGCACAATTATTAACAGTAAAGGATAGAGTCAGCTCTGAGTTTCTAATTCACCAAAGCAGAGACGGAGATGTAGTATGTGGACTAATGACACAATCAAAACTGTACTTCATGAAAGTCAATCTGGCAGTGGCAGGGAGGAGGAACTGGAGTGTGGACAAGGTAAGAGAAGGGTAGACTGTTCAGAAAGTTATTACAATAGCAAGAACCTTAACAAGGGTGATGACAGGAAACTTTCTTACAGCATTTAGTTTATCTTAACAGAAGTCTAGCAAAGAGGATAAACTCATATCTTATTGGTCCAAAGCATGTTGCAAATGACAAACCCGAAAGAGGTATAAAACTCATTGGTGCTATTTTCTGTCTGCTACAGATGTTTTCCCTAGGGTGCGTATGTTGCACAATTAATATCTTTTAAGAGATTCTTCCCTGACTGTCCCCAGGCAGTTGGCAGGTTAAAGTCCTTTGTGTCCTCTGTGTGCAACAATGACATCTTGAACAGTTAGACTGTGTGGTACCTTTCAGAGTGGACTACTCTTTTGCAGTCTGAACACTGGTTAGCCATTTAAGAATAAATGTTCAGTTAATAACCAGTTTCTTTCAAAATAAATAAAGACTAAGCTTTTTTACCCCTTTTGTAGTGTTCACTTTCAGTATGATGATATGTGATGCTAGCAGCAGGAAAAAGAGATAGCTTGCAAAGGCAACTGCAGCTCCAAAATCACAAAAAAGGAAGTCAAAGTAGTAATGATACACATTCATTTCATTTTAGAACGCCTGGCCAAGGCAGCAAGATCTACTTTAACAACAGCAGTTGTATCCTGTGGTGAAAGTACGTTACTCCCTGCTGAGTCTAAATTATTCAGAAGCAGGGGTAAGTAGAGAGGCGGAGTCATTATCTCTACTGATGGGGGCATGTTAAGCTTTCCAAGCAAGGTATCATTCAAAGCATACACACACACACACACACACACACACACACACACACACACACACACAGATTCAAACATATATACATGTGTTTCAAAGTATATTCTATATTTTCAGCTACACTTTTGTCATCATATACTGCCAGAAGGACCCTCTCTTATTTAATCTTCACCTTCCTCCTGAATTACTCCATGGTTCCATTCTTCTTCTTTCCTTTCTTCCCACCACTTATCCTTCTGACCAAATAGCCTGCAAAAGGAATAGCTTTCAAATGGCTCTAATATCCCTACAGCTCTTTATTTCTGGTTAGCCACTGATCAGATGCTTTTATTTTTTTGTTGTGTAATATGAGACAGAAAGAAAGAGAATGTCACAGAGAGAGACAGAGAGAGAATGACACACAGAGAGCAAGAGAGAGAGAGAGAGAAGTAAATTATAAATTATAAAGCATAACAGTAC
The DNA here is from genome assembly GCF_000001405.40 of Homo sapiens. Lineage (NCBI taxonomy): Eukaryota > Metazoa > Chordata > Mammalia > Primates > Hominidae > Homo > Homo sapiens. The sequence continues at coordinate 96,438,975 of NC_000023.11, forward strand.
AACAGTGGTTCTCAAATTTCAGCATACATCAGAATCATCTGGAAAACATGTTACAACAAAGACTACTGAGCTCATCCCCAAAGTTTCTGATTCAGTAGGTCTCAGGGGAACCCCAAAATGTGCATTTTGAACAAGATCTCAGGTGATGCTGATGCCGGTGGCCTTGGGACCACACTTAGAATATCACTGTACTAAAGTATTACTAAAAATGTTAAAACTACTGGGGGTTTCTTCCCAATCCCATGTTTCTTTCTCCCCTTGAGAGGCCATTACTATGCTTATTTTAAAGATCATTTCCTTGCTTTTTCAAAAACCCTAATTTTGTCATGTGTATGTCTCCCTAAACTATGATAAATAAATGGAGGTATATTCAGACCGCAGCGAAAAGGAATGAACTACAGCTACACACAATAACATGATGAATCTCAGAAACATAATTTCAGGTAAAAAAAAAAAAACAAGTTACTGAAGACTACACGTAGTACATGAGCATTTTTTAATGTTTCAATGCTTTTCATTCCCAGTTCTGCTTGATGACTTCCCCAGAAAGCCTTTATGCTTTTCACAGGTAGGAAATTGAATGTGCTTCACAACTTCCTTCCAAGGATCTCTAAGCACAACACACCTTCTTATTTAATCTAAAGTTGGGAGGTTGGTAAGAAAAGACATTTCCTAATTTTTATAATAAAATAGAACTGTGAAGTACAGAAAGAAATTATCTGAGGGTAAATGTCGTTGGAAAAATAAAGCCTAAAATCCAAGATTCTTGGAGACTTTTGTTGATGCCAATTAGTTTTATGTCTACAAGCAGTGGGATAGGATAATACAGTTAAAAAAAAAAAAGTTCTGGCTAGGAATTAGGAGAGGTGGATCCTAGTCCTGACCTTACTGTGGAAAAGTCAATTCATTTCTCTGGGTCTGTTTCTTCATCTACAAAATGAGGAGATTGATGGCTTTGAAACTGTCTTCAAAGGAGACTAGGCATTCTTCAGAGATACATCTGGAACCACGCTGGGCAATCGGAGGATGAGCAGGTGGGAGGCATAAAGGACACATAACATTTGAGGCTCAGGGCTTCTCTCCCCTTCTATCTGAGCCATTGAACTTTTATCTGATTTACATATTCTAGACTACTGCAAAAGAATTCATTTGGAGAAATAATTCCACTGATTGAAAAATCAAAGTTTGTAAAACATGGAATTAAGAGATTTGTAAGGGCCCTTCTAGCTCTAAAGTCTCTTACTATTATAAACCTTTACTACCTTTCTCAAAGCAATCTATATCCCACCACCACCACCAAAACTCTTTGATCTCAGTCTTGCTTTTCTCTTTAGAGAGACTTGAAATGTCAGCTCCCTCAACTTCCCATCTCAATACCAAACAACCTGTTCATTGCTGTACCCACCATCATCTTCTTTAATGTAGTCTCCGAATAAATCTCCTGATTTTCCTGTATCAGTGAATAACACCCTTTTCTAGTCCATTATCCACATTGATGCCAGAGTGTTTTTTTGGAATAAAGCAGAGTGAAGGAATTACAGGTACGCAGCTGACTCAGAGTTGAGATCATAGATATATTTCTATCCCTTATCTTTGCTGTTAATCCTCATGAATCCCCATAATCAAGGTGGGAGTTAAAGCTAATTAATCAGTGATGTCATTACATACTTTTTACTTACCTGTGTAATAATAAAGCAATCCAGTAGCTATCTTCTAGTACCGTTTTCCCTGAAAAAAACCATATAGTTACCAAAATTTCTTACTGGAAAATTTCTTCCAAGATCTTTGAATACTAAGATATAACTCATAAATTACAAATAAGTGATAGTGGATTGAAATAATAAAAGGCACTGATTCTCCTCTTTAGGGTAGTTGTAATCTGCGAATTTCTCCAAATATATGCCTTGGACAACTACCATCCCCCCCAATATAAGATCAGAGACCCTGTATGATAATATCCTGGATCAATGTTGCTTTGCTCTAACAAATTATCATCATTGGTTATTTTATTTAACAAGTATTTATTGAGCACTTGCACTGTGTTAGGTACTGTTCTGAGCATGAAAGATTCAGTCGTGAGCCAAACAATACACTGTGCTTTTTATTCTGTTTTCTTGGCAAGATTCATTCTCACTCCTCTGTCCACTGTTGCCTAAGAGGCTGACCCCTAAGAACTGGTTCACCTGGGCTCCTTGCCAGCTGGTTTCTCCCTGGGTTTTCATAACAGGAGGCATCGGTAGGAGAATGGCATAAATGAGAAGAGTCGGCCATTTCTTCTCCCGCTTCTCCTTACTGCCAGCGCCATGTCTTTCTCTGTCAGCAGTAGAGTCCCTTTAGCAAGACATCTTCTTTCAGGCAATCCGTCCTTCCCAGCTCCAGCTCTCACTGGGCTTCAGTAACATTCTTTCTTCCTCTCTCCCTATCAAGTCTAGTTTCAATATACCTTATTTCCTTAACCCTGCCCAAACTTACTACTGTAAGTAATTCTTTAAAATCTCTTTATTTGAACTATCTAAAATGATTTCTGTTTCCTCCAAAAACCCTGACATTATACAGTCTCTGAATTTACATATCTCAAATTTTATTCTCCCCTCCTTCTAGGGGGAAGAAAGAGATAACGTCAAGTATACAATGTATAATGAAATATTATAGCAATATGTGCTAAGAAGAAACAGTGAAGATGGATAAGAGTAATTGGGGTGGGAGAGGTGGAGATAAACTATTTTAACAGATAGTAGAATGGAAATGTATCTAAAGAAGTAACATTTTAACACAGATTTGAATAAAATGATGGAATTAATCATATGGGTATTTAGAACATTCAGAACAGAGGAAACAGCAAGTGTAAAGGCCTTGAGGTGGGAAGTTACTTGGCAGGTTGGAGGAACAGCTAGAAGGTCAGTGGGGCTATTTGATCCTATTGACTTTATTTACGTTCAATCCTTCTAAAAATATTCATTTATCGTCTATTATGTTTCAGGCACTGTTCTGGAGAACTGAGATGACAACCATAGTCTCTGCCTTCATGGAGCTAGCAGAAACAGTAAAGATATCCTTTCTTCTACTTAAATTAGAAAAGAGGAAAAAGTATACTTAGCATTTGGATTTCTAGAAGGTAGGAAAGCCAGATACTTCCATGAACCTTGTTCCAATGTTTACAAGTCAAATTCAAGTTCCACTCATTCATTAAATTACACATTCAACAGTCACAGGCTACTAAAATGTTTAAAGACACTTACCAAAAAAAAAAAAACAAAACATACAGCCTTGGCAACATAGCAAGACCATGTCTCTGTATATATTTTTAAAATTAGCCATGCATGGCGGTACACATCTATAGTCCCAGCTGAGGTGGAAGGATCGCTTGAGCCCAGGAGATCAAAGCCGCAGTGAGCTATTATCACACCATAGTACTGCAGCCTGGGCAACATAGCAAGACCCTGTCTCCAATATATATATATTTTAAAATAAAATTGCTACTGTATGATAGCAAAGTATGCAGTATTGGTAACCCAGTTTGGAAATATAAGGAGAAATTGGAGGATGTCCCTTAGAGACCTAATTTTTTTAATTTTATGATGAAGTACAAACATAATAAAAGATAGAAAATAAGTCCTAGAAAAAGAAGATTAAAATAACATACATATATACATCCATATACATATAACATGAGAATGAGAGAAAAAGAGAAATGGTATTGAAGTCACGTATTAGAGGAATTCCTTCAATATTGAGAGTGACAAATCTTAGAGTGGACCATGGAAGCCTCTGTCTCCTGATTTCACTTAGACATCTATCTGTCTTGAATGAAATACACGCAGATGCACATGAAGAAAACTAATACATTCAGGCAAACAACATGTATCAAGTACCTACTGTGTGCCAACCACTCTGCACAGCCTAAGGGGAATGCAAAAGATAAGTGAGCTATAGTCTCAGTCCTTAATGTGCCTATACTCTAATTATAGAGACAAGACAAACACACAACAAGGATTGACAAATGTAAGAAAAAAATAGTTCTAATAAGGCACAAATCTAAGTTGTCTAGCTCTAAACAAACGTTTAGTCAGATAACCCATGTTTTAAAGATACTCCATTAAAACTGTACTTTAGAAAAAGATGGATACATGCATTTGTGGAGGGGGTTACAGTCAGCATCGATCTCCTCAGCTATTGCATGTCAAATTCCCATGAGGTTATCTTTCCCTCTACTTTGTGTGAATTCTGCACAGAGCCCACAGCAGAGAAGAAAATTTAGTAACACACACTTTCAGGAATTTTTAATCTCTCAGTATTGCTGCATTAATTTTCAAGACCTTTTTTCTACACATTGCTCAGCAACAGATTAAATACATTGAAAACATATAATGTCCCAGGAGGTCCAAATTCTGTCTTAAGAATATCTGTAGTAACAGTGAACAACATTCAATATTCTTCACAAAGAATTACCAATTGGTCCACCCAACTGAGAACTGAAGACTGATGCAAATAGGATTGTTTTAAAAATCTTTGTTGGGAGAGCAATTTTCACAATGCTTTAACAGTCCTACATGACCACATTCACCCACATCCTAGCATCTACTATAGTATAGCTCTGTGTTTTGTTTTTGATTCTATGTAGTTATTTCCTCTAAAAATTTACCTTTCTGGTTACATTTTGTCTAATCTAGATAGTCAACTAAGTGGAAGTTTCCAAAGACCACAAAATAGATAGAGGGAAAGGTGAGACTAGGTAACAAGGGAAAGCTAGTCAGTGATGAAATTTAAAATACATCACGGGGTGTGAATTATCTATACATAGATAATCAGAAGCTGACTGTATCTTCCAAAATTCCTTTCATTCCTGGGCTTACACAGCAGCTGTGTATTTCTATATCCTTCTCTGCTCTGTACTGCCAACCCCAGTCAACCAAAGCAATTATCATAGCCCTTCACTTGCTTCAGGAGATACCATCACCAATTATCTGAAATATCTGCACCAAGCTTGGTCATAACCTCTTAGTTACAGATTATTTACCACATTTTGGACTTGATCTTTTAAAAATAATAATACTTCTAAGGCTTGACGCCTTCACTGCTGCATTTTCAAAGTTGCTTAAAAATGAATTATTATCTCCATGTGTCAATCCATCAATTCCAAACTATGATTTACATAATAAAAATACCAAGTTGTGCAAGTCCCAGAGTTCCTATACAATGTCTCTACCAAGGAAAAGCAGCAAAAAAGACTTTAACGCTTTTTATTAAACATAAAATAAATAGTTGTTCAAATCCACTTAGCCAATACAGGGGCTACCCAAGAATATTTATGAACATGTTGTACTAATCACTTCTACTAAGCACCTATTATGCACATAGCAGTTTTTCAGACACTATGGAAGATGCAAAACATAAAAATAAGACAGAGAATTCCTGCTCTACATGAGCTTATTATTTAGAATGAGATCTAAGATAGACACATGTAAAAGAGAAGAATAAAACTGTCTGATAATACATTCCAAATTGTATATAAAATGCCAGAGTACAAAGGGAGAAATCAACTGAGATAAACATAATTAGGGAAAATTCCTTGAAGTAGATGACTTTTGAACTAGAGTTTTACTTATTTGAGAAAATCTGCCCCAACAGTTTTTGAAAAAGTAAACTTTCAGCTTGATGGGATTTGGGAACTAGATGAAAACAATTGAATCTCTTTGTTTATAAGAAAAAAGAGGGACAAAAGACATTCATCACCTCTGCAGGGGGAAGAAAAATTATACTTCATCTTTAGACACACCCTGCTCCAGAATATGATTCATATCTTTTACCATGGAATAGTCTGTTTTGCCTTGCATTGTTCTACCAAATGATAGAGTAAGATGATAAAGCATTTCATCTGAGGATGCAAAACAGTGACAGGTTAGATTATACGTTAAGGTTATTGGGATACAAATGTGATGGCTCAAGGCACCCTTTTTAGGAATAGAAAACTGATGATCCTTTATGTTTCTTGTAGGAAGCAGCAGTTTTGAGCACATAAGTCTTAGCCAGCCCTAGTCAAAAGACACGGGGTCCTATTATTTTAAAAAAAGTTCCTTGTTTCTTGCCCAGCTCTTCTGGGGTCTATTAACAAAGAAGATTCATCTCTGGCCTCACACACTGCTCTACTTTGAAAGCATTTGAAAAATTATTCTATATGATATTCTTGCCTTTTCACAGAGGAAAAAGTCACCTATCTGATTCAACCAACCATCTAATAATTAGAGCTGACCTGTTAGTCACTATAAGATATGATTATGTCCAAAGGAGTAGTTGCCTTTCTGACAAACAATGACAATCTGCATTTATTTGAAATCGGAGACATAAATCTGCTGTTCTTGGTATTACAGAACGATTTTTCTTTGCTCCATCTTTATCCAGGGCCAGATTTCCCAAATTTAGAAAGAAGCTTAGACTCTAAAGCAAAATAATGTTTTTGAATTGCCAGAAGCTGCCTGTTAATTTTTCCCATGTTCTTATAAATTCAATTAAAAGCTGAAGCTTAGATCAAATTAAAATGGCTTGCTTCATTATCAAACATTCAGCCATCCAGCTGTTCACAAAATTAGCGTTAATGCATTTCATGTACAATAGTGTTTTCTAATGTTCTCTGTAGGTTCCCTCACGTCTGTAGTCAATTAATTACTTGTTATGTATGTGCTTATGGCAGCCCGGCTTCCTGTTTCCCACTACTTCTTCCACTTCCACAAAGTCCTGCAACACTTAAATCCTGACATTCATGAATCATAACTAAATGCAATATCCTTTCTTTTCTTTTCGCTGGAAGCACGTCTCATACTAGAAGGTAGAGAAGTCTAACACTCTAAAAGACTTGAATAGAATTCTTCTCCCTTATCAAACATTACAATCACAATACATCTACCAGTATATGTCTACCATGGCAGATACTTGGCATTTTGACAAAAAGTGAGGCGTCAAATGTGAACGAGGAACACGGCAAGATATACTGCTTCTTTTAGCTGAAGATTTTAAAAAACTAGATATGAGCGTATTAGTATTTGTTTTTATTTTCAGAATAATTAAAAATAAGTGCTTTGAATGCTATCTGAAGATGTATAACTACCTGGTAGGAAGAACCATTCTACTCAATCAGTAACCAGTAATCATTATTAATGCACAGTAAATTGCTATTGCTGAGACAGATCCATGTAGGTGAGAAAATTAGTCAAAAAGGAATGAAATTATTATTAACAAAAAATCGAACCTGATTCAATTATCAGCAAAATTCAATGAGGTGAAAATTATCTTTTGCAAACTGAGTACAATTTAAACTGCTTCTCTTCCTCATAATAATGCCTTCCTGAATTTCTATATTTCTATAGCTTTTTGGATCACCTGAGTCCTTGTGAGCCTGCCTTGGAATTTTAGGCTACCTGGTACCTGTTTCAAGCTAACAGATATTATTCCTGCTCCAACAACTACACACCCACGCATATTTCACCAGCTTCAATCATCACTCGTTTAACTAAATGAATATGTTATGCCCATTTCAAACCACCTATACATATTCACACTCAGCAGAGAACAAACTAGCCAGAGAAGAAAACAAGAAAAGGGACATTTCAGACAAGGGGACTAGCAAGAGCAAAGTCATGAAGCAGAAAATATCAAGCTATGTGCAGAGAGCTACAATCATTGCCAGAAGTGCAAATTGAGGTTCGTCAAGGGAGGGGGCATCTTTATTGATTTCAGTTACATGCCACATGAGCAAATATGCAGATTACATGAATATTTTATGGTAACAGTGAGTCAATAAGTCCAAGCTTGGCACCTCGGCACATGAGTATTAAAGATGACTGATGTATAAGTTAAATGAATGTGAAGTTTTATCCATACCTAATTGCCCTTTCATCAATAAACTTTCCTTTTTTAAATTTTTATTTTAGAGACAGCGTCTCACTCTGTCACCCAGACTGGAGTGCAATGGCGCCATCAAAGCTCACTGCAGCCTTGAACTCCTGGGCTCAAGTGATTCTCCCACCTCAGCCTCCCAAAGTGCTGGGATTACATGCATGAGCCACTGTGCCTAGCCTATAAACTTTCAGAATGTCCCAGTTTCAACATGTAACATCAGTTTTATTAAACCTGTACGTTCAAATTTATATGAATTAATTACATTCATCTTTTATGATTAATGACCCAAACTTTCTAACATGGTGTTTTTCAAACCATAAACTATAGACACATATCAGAAATCTCACTTGATGCATTTAAACGTAGATTCTTGGAATTCAAGTCATATCACTGAATTAGAGTAGAGCCTAAGAATCTGCATTTTGACAGACACCTCCAGCTGATTCACATCCACAGTGAAGTCTAGCCATTTCACTAACATGACACCTGTCTGTGGTGAGTTACACAAGAGTAACTGCTGGCAGAAGTTTAGTGCATAGTGTCTCACACCTGGCTAAGTGCTGTGTCAGTGTTTGCCAAGGCATATTCCTCAGAGCCCTGCTTGCTGGGGATGCTCTAAAAAAATATTTCTCTGGTCAAATACTTCTGTGATACCACCAAGTTATATATTCCTCTTAGAGAGTCCCAGTGAGTATTAACATATTAAAGGTGCTGCAAAGTCCTGCATTAAAAGGAAAACTTCACCAAGTGCAGTGGCTCATGCCTGTAGTCTCTACTTTGGGAGGCTGGTGCGGGAGGATTGCTTGAGGCCAGGAGCTCAAGACCAGCCTGGGCAACATAGCAAAACCCCATCTCTACAAAAAAAAAAAAAAAAAAAAATTAAAAATTAAAAAAAATTATCTAAGCATGGTGGTGCATGCCTGTGGTCCCAGCTACTCAGGAAGCTGGGGCAAGAGAATCATTTGAGTCCAGGAGGTTGAGATTGCAGTGAGCTTTGATTGTACCACCGCGATGAAAAAGTTGTCTCAAAAAAAAAATAAAAAATCATTTTTTTTTAGACGGAGTCTCGCTCTGTCGCCCAGGCTGGAGTGCAGTGGCGCAATCTCAGCTCACTGCAAGCTCCGCCGCCTCCTGGGTTCATGCCGTTCTCCTGCCTCAGCCTCCCGAGTAGCTGGGACTACAGGCGCCTGCCACCACACCCGGCTAATTTTTTGTATTTTTAGTAGAGATGAGGTTTCACCGTGTTAGCCAGGATAGTCTCGATCTCCTGACCTCGTGATCTGCCCGCCTCAGCCTCCCAAAGTGCTGGGATTACAGGCGTGAGCCACTGCGCCCGGCCTAAAAAATCTTGTTTAACTCAGCATTTCTCAAACTTACTTGAGTATGAAACCCTTTATTTTAATGACCCTATTCATGTATTCATATGAAATGAGTACATTAGTAGCAGTAATGGAAATCTGGGCTCTAATGTTTCACTATTAAATATGGAGTTGGCATTTATTTATCAGATTATTGAATTATTTTTCCATTTCTATTTTATTATTTTTTTTTTTTTTACAAATCAGAAATATATGCAACAGAACAACTGATTGTGATAAAGAGTAAAAAAAAAAAAAACTGAGAACCAACAAAAATACGTGTAGATTCCATGTGGGTGTTTTTCAAGAAACTGTTCAGTTTATTAATGCTATTATTAATTAACTATTTTTTTTTTTTTTGAGACAAGGTCTCACTCTGTCGCCCAGGCTGGAGTGTAGTGATATGATTACAGTTCACTGCAGCCTCGACCTTCCCGGGCTCAGGTGATCCTCCCACCTCAGCCTCTTGGGTAGCTGGGACTACAGGTGCACATCACCACGCTGGGCTAATTTTTGTATTTTTTGTAGAGACAGGGTTTTGCCATGTTGCCCAGATTGAAATGTTATTATTTATTATCAAATATCTTTATAATAAGAAATCCACCATCAATACTTAGTTGACAAATTGAGTCATAAAACAGAGGAAAAGGCCAGGTGCAGTGGCTCACGCCTGTAATCCCAGCACTTTGAGAGGCCAAGGTGGGCGGATTGCTTGAGGTCAGGAGTTTGAGACCAGCCTGGCCAACATGGTGAAACCTCGTCTCTACCAAAAATACAAAAATTAGCTGGGTGTTGTGATGGGCACCTGTAATCCCAGCTGCTCGGGAGGCTGAGGCAGGAGAATCACTTGAACCCAGGAGGCGGAGGTTGCAGTGAGCCGAGATCGTGCTATTGCACTCCAGCCTGGGTGACAGAGCGAGACCCTGTCTCAAAAAAAAAAACAAACAAACAAACAAAAAAAACCAGATGAAAATACAGCACAGCACAGTATTTCTGTTAGATTGTTTTAAAAAAATTGTTTCATAACTAGTTGTGAAATAATTTGGAGGTACTAGCAGATCAGATGTGGCTTTTGAAGCAACTTTCAGCAGTTACAGATCAAATTCTGTTTTCAATGACTTCCTCATTAATACGCCATCTCCCTGTTACACATACGATGCGCGCTTTATTATCTGGCAGGGGATTTACTGCAGTATGGATTTATTTGTGAGATTCTGAGCACATCTTCACTTCACACCAGACTGCCAACCAGCTTCCCTGACCCCAGCATACTTGGAAACACACTAAGGACATGCGAATCTCTCGGCTCCAATTTTAACAAGCAGCTTCCCTTCCACCTATTTACAAATTATAGCCAAGAGAACAAATGTTCACCTTTATAGAGTAATGTTTCCAGAAGGTACAGTTTACTATATTTGTGTGTTAACTCACTTGACTTTACTGACACCACTCTTACCTGTTTCTCCATCATAACAACCCTATTACATTGGGAACCCCTAACTTTTCTATAAAGTTTTAAATAAAATCAAGCCCATTTTGGAAAGCATGGACTTGGAATCTTTTTTAAACTACGAATGAGTATGATACAAACAGTAATAATATAAGATAGAAATCATTTGCTTTAGAGACTATACCAAATATTATAGAATGTCCCATTGTGAAAAGTAGTTTAACACAGAATTAGCAATCAAGGCTTTTTGCCAGCCTCCTTAGCAGCTGTTAAAATTTGTTTGGAACCTTAGCATGAGAAAAACTGCAACAACTGTAAACTACAGTGGTTCATCTGAAATAAATTTATGGTTATGAAAAGCACAGAAAAACATCTGCAAAGGAAAGAAAACACTAGGGGGGTAGAAGGGAAAGTTAGTAAAGCTTCCCAGAATTATCCCAGGGCCTGTCAGGGAAGGTTAAACAAGAGGTTTCCCCTACAGCTGCCAGAGACAGAATTGGAGCTACCAAGAGTTAAAGGAATCAAATAAAGGGTGGAAGGATCTAAGGGATTTCTATCTCTATCTCATAGACTGAGAGTAAGGAAATACACTGGGGTATAGCTAGGCAGTAACCTCCTAAGCAGAGGAATATATGAAGAAATGGGATGGGTAGTGCCATACATGATAGCACAGTCTGTACACAAACAAGAAGATATATTCCATATTGTGCAAAGGGCTCATTACAGTGATTCCCAAAGAGTAACTTCAAAGTAGCAACTTTAGATGGCATAAAACTGAATTTCAACACATGCTAATAAATCAGGAGCTGAGCGGAAAGGTTAAAAAGTGCATGCTCAGGCTGGGCATTGTGTCTCACACCTGTAATCCCAGCACTTTGGGAAACCAAAGCGGGAGGATCGCTTGAGGCCAGGAGTTCAAGACCAGCTTGCACAACACATGGAGACTTCATCTCTACAAAGAATAACAATACAAAAATTAGCTGGGCATGGTGGCACGAGTCTGTGGTCCCAGCTACTCTGGAAGCTGAACCGGGAGGATCACTTGAGCCCACTTCAAGGTCACATTGAGTTATGAGCTTGCTACTGCACTCCAGCCTGAGCAACAGAGTGAGACTCTGTCTCAAAAAAAAAAAAAAAAAAAAGCACGTTCAAAACAAAATAGAAACTCTGAGTGGAAAATCAAAAAAGACAATATGGACTGGGCCCAGTGGCTCACGCCTGTAATCCCAGTACTTTGGGAGGCAGAGGCAGGCAGATCACCAGAGGTCGAGAGTTCAAGACCAGACTGGCCAACATGGTGAAACCCCGTCTTTACTAAAAATACAAAAGTTAATCAGGTGTGGTGGTGCATGCCTGTAATCCCAGCTACTCAGGAGGCTGAGACAGGAGAATCACTTGAACCCGGGAGGCGGAGGTTGCAGTGAGCCAAGATTGCACCATCGCACTCCAGTCTGGGCAACAAAGCAAGACTCCATCTCAAAACAAACAAACAAATGAAACAGGCAATGTGGAGAATTCCAAGTAATTAATGCTGTTAAAAATTGACATACATTTGAGTCAAGTTCACAATAAATTCAGAAAACTGCATTCAGGAATTTAAAAAGACATCAACTATTATCAATGGGTTATCTTTGCCTCAATTTTTATTAGCCAAGTGATTTATCCTCTCTCACTCCTCTTTCTTGTAATCTTCTAAGCCATTCGTAGGCCAAATATATGTTAAGTGGAAATTTCCCAAGATTGATGTGGAAAATTGTCACAATAAAATGTAAATCCATGTTGATTATCTTTCCATCATTAAGTATTTAGCAGTAACTTTAGACATACTGTAGAAATAATGTATAGAATGTTCAATGCATTTATTCTCTGAGGAGTTATAAATCTAAGATGCACTGGATAGCTGTCACTGTCTTCTAGTGTATTACAAGACAGTGATGATAACGGCTGTGCATGTTAAAGATTGTTTTCTTGTCAAAAATGCCAGATAACTGGACATTAGAGAGCTTGCTTAAGGCCACACTCCTTGAAGTCAACAAAACATATAAATATTTTTTAAGTTCCAATATAGTTCATATTACTTGCTACATCTTAATGTTGGGTAAATCTGGACTACTAACTAACTACATGAGTTGAGCAATAATCTTAATTGGATGGTAGTTATATGTTAACAGTAAGATATTCATCCAATAAGAAGTCAGAACAAGATAAAAATCTTTGTGCTATACATTTATACTGCGGGTTTATAGGGAATGTGTCTTAGAGATGTTCATCCTATATCTATGTAACAGTTTCTATCATATTAGGTCCTCCACACTCCACCATCCTCCACAGCCAGGTTAATCGACTACTATCACCTAAGCTTCTCATACGCAACCCTGTACCTTCACACATGAGGTCTCCTTACTTTAAATATTCTCACAGTGCCTCCTCAACAAATCCTCAAATCCCCCAGTTCCTTTATACCTCAGCTCACTTGTCATGTACTTTATCAAGACTTCTGGCTGGGCACGGTGGCTCACACACGTAATCCCAGCACTTTGGGAGGCCGAGGTGGGTGGATCACTTGAGGTCAGGAGTTCAAGACCAGCCTGGCCAACATGGTGAAACCTCATCTCTACTAGAAATACGTATATATAAAAATTAGCTGGGCGTGGTGGCAGGCGCTTGTAATCCCAGCTACTCAGGAGGGTGAGGCAGGAGAATCGCTTGAACCCGGGAGACAGAGGCTGCAGTGAGCTGAGATCACATCACTGCACTCCAGCCTGGGCGAAAGTGAGACTCTGTCTCAAAAAATAAAGACTTCTGACTAGTCTCAGTTTATACTTAACTTTCCACAACTTTGAATTCCTCTAACACTTATCAATAGTTTATATCACAGGATTATATTCTTGTTCATATGTAGGAATTATTCTCGGTAATTATGTAAAAAAAAATATAATAAGTCGGGCCGGGCGCAGTGGCTCATGCCTGTAATCCCAGGCCGAGGTTTCACCGTGTTGGTCAGGCTGGTCTCGAACTCCTGACCTCATGATCCACCCACCTCAGCCTCCCAAAGTGCTGGGATTAGAGGCGTGAGCCACCACGCCGGGCCAAAAAGAAATTTTTTTAAAGCCTTGTATATGTCCTACGCCAAAACACTGTTGCTATTTCAGAGCATAAGGCTGAAAGTCAGGATATGGCAAGAAGACAATATTTCTGTAGGATAAGGCGTTGTGTTTCTGTCTCTTTGTGTCTGCCAAAAAATGGAATTATGAGATTAACTACCTTGTTCCCTACTACTATCCTAAGTGGTCTTAACATTTGTAATGCAAGCTCCTCAACTGTTTATCTCTACTGCTATTATAAATATTACCATAGCTGACCTCTCTAAAAGAATGGTGAAGAATTTATCACTGATATCAGCATCCTAATAAATATATCATGGATGAAAATAATGATGTTTGTTTGCTACTACTAAGATTTAAACAGAATTTATACTAGAGTATGTAACAGCTTATAGTTAAAAAACCTTGCTAGGGGAAAGATATGACCTAGATTGCCACAAGATAATTTGAAACCTGTCTAAAAAGCAAACCATCTGACTAATTCCACACGTACCATTATTCACACATTTTGAATCTGCTAATGTTTCAGTTCCGTTAATGTTTAATTTGGACTAAAAATTAACTCACTGAGCTAAAAATTAACTCACCCAGTCTAGTACCAGAGACTGGATGAGTTAAGCAACAAACATTTATTTCTCACAGTTCTGGAGGCTGGGGAGTACAAGATCAGGGTGCCAGCACTGTCAGTTCTGGTGAGGGCCCACTTCCTTGTTTACGAATAGCTATTTTCTTGCTATATTCTCACATGGGAGAGAGCAGACAGGCAGACAGGCCCTGTGTCTCCTCTTCTTTTTATAAGGGTGCTAATCCCATTCATGAGGTCTCCATCCTTATGATGTAATTTCCCCCCAAAAGGACCCAATTCCCAAAACTACCATATTGGTATAAGGGTTTTAATATATTAATTTGGGGGGTGGGACAAAAATATTCAGTTCATTGCAGTTAATAATGAACATAACCAGAATGATTGAAAGAGTCTGACTTCCCTCTTTCAACACTTTAAATGTTTCTGAGATACACACACACACACACACAATCCAGCAGCTCTGAAAACCCATTCACCCAGAAAACATTAGTAGTTGCCCCAAGTTATTCAAATACAGTTTTCCTGAGAAGAGATTAATTTTAAGTGGTAGCTTAGGTCTCTGTGGCATCCCCCCTCCCAGAAATCAAACCCCAGAACTCACCAGTAGCCAAATATCCTAAAAGTTCCCTGGTGTATTATTAGTCCATTTTCATACACCATGACTGGGTAATTTATAAAGAAAAAGACATACCCAAGACTGGGTAATTTACAAAGAAAAAGAGGTCTCCTGCTGATAAAGACATACCCAAGAGTGCGTAATTTATTACCAAAAAAAAAAAGAGGTTTAATGGACTCATATTTATTACCAAAAAAAAAGAGGTTTAATGGACTCATAGTTCTACGTGACTGGGGAGGCCTCATAATCATGGTGGAAGGTGAAAGTCATGTCTTACATGGTGCCAGGCAAAAGAGATTGAGAGCCAAGTGAAAGGTGAAACCCCTTATAAAACCATCAGGGCTCATGAGATTTATTCACTACCATGAGAACAGTATGGGGGAAACCACCCCATGATTCAGTTATCTCCCAGAGAGTCCCTCCCACAACACATGGAAATTATGGGAGCTACAATTCAAGATGAGATTTGCGTGGGGACACAGCCAAATCATATCACCTGGCATGCTCTAAAATCTAATTGACCCTATTTAAGTACAACCCTGACAAGAGATACAAAACTAGGTGTGTCCGTTCCCTAGGGCTGCTATATATCAGAAACTGGGTGGCTTAAAACCACAGAATCTTATTCTCTAGAGAGAGTAGAAGTCTGAAGTCAAGGCATTGGCAGGACTTTGCTCCCTCCAAAGCCTATGGGGGTGGAACCTTCTTCCAACTTCTGGTAGCCCCAGGCTTTTCTTGACTTGTGGCAGCATAACTCCAAGGCAGAGAATCTCCGCCAATTTCCCTCTGTGTCTGCCTGTGTTTAAACTGTCCCCTTCTTATGAGGACACTAGTAATATTAGATTAGGAGCCACCCTTAACATATATGACCTCATCTTAATCTGATTGCATCTGCAAATACCTATTTCTAAATAAGGTCACATTCACAGGTACTGGGGACTGGGACATAATATATCTTTTTGGGTGACACAATTCAACCCATATCACTGGGCATAATAATGTCTGAATGGCCCTTTAGGCTCTGTCTTTTCTTAGCTCTCCTATTCAAATTTTGAATAAGAAATCCAATTATGTTTTATATTATTAATTTTGATATATTATTTGTAAAACGCTAACTAAATGTAATATTCAATAAATGCAAGCATAGAGATTCAGTTTACTTTGCTAATGTTTTGTAACACTTTTTAAGTATCTTCCAGATCCCACACTGGATAAATACATATCTCAGAACTAGAATCAAGTACACAGTCATTTAAGACCAAAACCACAGATGTCACAGGCTCCATGTGGTCAATGCCTTTAAGCAGACAGTCTGCTACAATCTGTACCAACTGACACTTCCAGGTGGTGTACAAGAGAAGCCTCAGGGAGGAGACTGCATTGCTTCAATCTAGCCGCAGGGTAACATATATCACAGAAATCGACTTTTTAAAAATTTTCCACCAGGAGATCTAGGTACTTCTTAATTGCTTTCCTTCTTCTCCTTAAATTTGTCCTGGGGAAAAGTGAGTACATAATTTCTATTATTTGATGAGATTCTAATATTTGTGTGGATGCTGATGTTGGATCAGTGATATCACTGCACCAACTGTGGAATGACAACCAGTCACAGCGACAGGATTGTGTAGGGGTATCTTAAGGAAAGTACAATGCTAGGACAAGCTCTATTACAGGCCAGTGATACACTCTTTTAAAGGAAAATGAGTCAATGCAACACCACCAGAACAAAACTTTTCTGGAAACACTTTGAGTATATTTTGCTGTTAGATCTGATAACTTAAATTCAAAATGAAATGAGCACGTCTATGACATCTACTACCCCATGGGGAGGAATAGTGTACAGGGTCTTTTGCACCTAAGTCTTTCTGGGCCTTTTAACTCTCAAATCTTCATTCAATGCTACTGAGCTCAGTTATGCCTCCGGGCAGGAGGAAGCTTGGAAGCCCTAAGCCAGTAAGTAGGTGACCTGCTCAAAATCAAGCTACTTTACTGGTGTTTCCATGCTGACCTATACTGCTTTTTGTGTATTATATTCTAATATGTGACCTAATTCCTACAACTAGATATTGGCCTTCTGCCATAGTACCTACATCTCTGCCGTGGTTTTGACACCATTCCTCCAAGTCTAGCATTATGACTGATCACCGAGTCTTGACAGAACCTCAGATCCATCCTAAATCCTAGTTCCTATTGCTGGCTTCCTGAGGCCCACTGAAGGTCCACCTGGTGCCTGTGGCTACTGTTCATGTCTGAATAGCCTAACAGGTCTTAGTGGCAGACTTCTAAAATCTCATATCATATCCCACATTCCTTCTGGTAATCAGTAACATATGGGTTCCAGTCCACCTTCTGATCCATTCTAAACTCCAGTTTATGATTTGGGATAATAATTTCTTAAACTTGGTAACCTAAATAAGTAGTCAGTCAAAACATAAGCACCCCATAGAAATATTAAGTGTAGTCACATACTAATTTGATTCAGAGATTAACAGGGATACTTATGAAATTGTCTACTGTTATTTATATTGCATATTTTGAAGGTTTGGAATTACTATTTCTCCCTAGCTGGTCTGGATGCTCATTAATTTCCTTCTTTCTTTTTCCTCCTTCTAGCAATGGTTATGAGATAAAGCTTGTGTTTGTCTATTTATTAGGATTCTTCATTTTAAAAACTGTGTCAAGCTTAAGTCTTTATGAGATGGCTCTGATTTTATACAGCATTTCACACTGATGTTGGAAACTTTTAAAAAATTGATTATAGTTCTCATATCCATCAGATGAAGGAGCACTTGCTTAACAGGAAATCCCCTGTTATGGACTAAAACATGTCCCTCAAATTTCATATGTTTAAGTCCTAACCCCTAGTATCTCACATGTGACTATATTCAGAAATAGAATCTTTAAAGAGGTAATTAAGATTTGGCTGGACATGGTGGCTCATGCCTGTAATCCCAGCACTTTGGAAGGCCAAGATGGGTGGATTAATTGAGCCCAGGAGTTTGAGACCAGCCTGGGCACCATGGTGAAACCCTGTTTCTACTGAAAATACAAAAAAATAGCCAGGCACGGTGGCACACACCTGTGGTCCCAGCTACTTGGGGGCTGAGGTGGGAGGATTGTTTGAGCCCATGGGGCAGAGGTTGCAGTGAGCCAAGATTGTGCCACTGCACTCCAGCCTGGGCAACAGAGTGAGACCTTGTCTCAAAAAAAAAAAAAAGATTAAATCAAGTCATATGGGTGAGCCTTAATACAATATGACTGGTGCCCTTATACAAAGAGGACGAGACACCAGGACCCACAAACACACAGAAAAGGCAAAAAGGCAGCCATTGGTAAGCCAAGGAGGAAGGCCTCAGGAGAAACCAACCCTACCAACACCTTGATCTTGGACTTCCAGCCTCCAGACTATAAGAGAATAAGATTCTGTGGTTTTAAGCCACCCATTTTGTGGTACTTTTTTATGATAGCCCTAGCAAACTAATATAGCCCCTTTAAGGTTACAACCTCTCCCTTGAAGAACAAACAGAAAAGAGGATGATCTTTGACACTTTGTTAATATCTTGTTCTTGGTATTTGATGCTTTCCATCATGAGCCTCTACAATTTGTGTTAAGAATGATATATTTGAACGATGATTTTCAAACACTTAGTTACAGCTGAAAGTTTTAGAGAGTCGACTTATAGGAAACCTGGTATAACCTTGTGCAGCTCACTTAACCTCTTTGAACCTTGGTTTATTTACATAAAAAGGGATAATAAGCCCTGTCTTGATCACCACAAAAAATGTTATGATGATCAAAAGTGATAAGGTGTAAAAGAATTTTCAGGTTGTAGAACTCTGTACAAATACAAGGACTTCTTAAAAGTAAAGGGCAGGGACTGCTGAACATTTCTAAAGGGGCTTTTTTGTCTTCCCATGTTTATCAAGTTTTGAAGAATAACTATGAGGTAATAAATTGTACACACAACAAAAACTGCATGAGAGAACAGACCTAGGAAGCACCGTAGTCTTGTGATATACTTTAGTAGTTAAAAGTACTTGCTTTGACACAGAAAAGCCTGGTCTAAGTTCTGCCACTTACTCTTTGACTAATGCAACTCTTTAAGCGTTCGTTTCCTCACCTATAAAATGGAGAAAATAATAAAATTTCCTTATAGGTTATTTACCGTATTAATTGAGATAATAATGAATGTAAAGGAGTTAACATATCAGCACAATATATGACACATGGTAAGCACTGAATAAACGTTGATTATCTTTATCATTGATAATATTATCCTTATTCCTAAGAACCTAGACATTATTCAAGAGACGAGTGCTCTTACACTTTTGAAACCACAATCGCACTATATCTTAACACCCTAAATCCTCAGAATTGTCTTGTAGAATAGCTAAAGACAGTACGAAAATGGAGACCCAGCAAGTGGCTCATGCCTGTAATCCCAACACCTTGGGAGGCCAAGGCAAGAGGATAACTTGAGGCTAGGATTTTGAGACTAGCCTGGGCAACACAGTGAGACCCTGTCTCCACACACACACACAAATAGCTAGGTGTAGTGGCTTGCACCTGTAGTCCCAGCTACTCTGGAAGCTGAGGCAGAAGGATTGCTTAAGCCCAAGAATTTGAGGCTGCAGTGAGCTATGATTGCACCACTGCAGTCCAGTTTGGGTGACAGAGAGAGACTCTGTCTCAAAAAAAAAAAAAAGAAAGAAAAGAAATTCAAAATTGAGAAAGTGATCATGGTAAGGAAGCTGGTTCAAAAGGGAAGAAACCCATGTGATTTTCATTTTCTTGAAAGAGAAGTCAAAGTCTCAGTTTATAGAGTCAGGCCGAATTGAGTAACAACCCAGCTTTGAATTCTACATTAGTGGGAGCAGGTGGTCAGGCATAAATGGGGGCAAATCTGATCAGATGGTCACAGATCAACACTTGAGCTTTGAGGTTCAAACTGGGTTTAAATAAGGAAATAGAATTTAGGCCTGGAGAGAGGAAAAGGAGAACAGAAGTATAGCTGGGGTAGGACACAAAAAGTACCTGTCTGACAGGCTGCTCTCTGTTCTGGACTAAAACACCTTTGTGAGTATGAGTGATTAAGGACTAATAGGAACATGCAGTGTTGTTGAATGAGGCAATGTTCTCCAGGTTCTGGTGACTACAGAAGAGATTCTTGATCCCCAGGGAGTCTTAAGAGTTCTAAAAAAATCTTTACCCATTTTTATGTGTATATGAGTCTGAAAAATTAACTTACAGATATCTAGCCAGTGTGTTGATCAAGAATAGCAGTAGGAACTGGCGTGAGGTTCTAGACTATCTGCATTTTGATCTTGCTCTTGATTTTATCTTATTTTAATTGTATAACATATAGTTAAAGTGTCCAACATGACATTTTGATATACTTATCTTGAAATACGTATACATAGAGATTACTACAGTTAAACAAATGAACATACACAACATCTCATGTAGTGGCCTTTCTTTTTACAGATATTCTTTTCTGTTGATATTAAGGTTGGCTAAGGGAGAGGATATGCTAGAAAGGAAAAAAGAGGACTTGATAAGGATAATGAGTGACACATGATAGTGTTTATCATGTGCTGTTCTAAATTCTTTGCATGTGATTATCCTTATTTAATCTTCTCAGCATCCCTGTGAGGTATATATTATTATTATCTTTATTTTCCAGATGGTAATCTGAGGCATCTCAAGGCTAAGTAACCAGCATGTGGTGAAGCCAGGATTCAAAACTAAGCAGTTGGTCTCCAATTTCTCTAGCACTAATATTGAGCATCTATTAGTGCACCAATAAATATTTTCCCAGTGAATGAATAAATAAATATTCAATGTTAGAAAAGGTTGTAATTGTACGTGTATACCCAGATTCTCTTAGATTGCAAGTATACTGGCTATCAAGAAGTGTTTTCTATAGTTCTTTACCTACTATTTATCTCCCCCATATTCAGTGCTTACAGATAATTGGTACTGATGATGGAAATAAGAATTAAATTCAATGCCTAATAGATAGTTCACTCATAACAAGCACTCTTTATTTTATTCCCCAAACACACCCCAATTTCAGCCTTTCTGGCCTCGATTAATTCTGATGACTTTAGCTTGACAATCTTTGCAGAATCTGACCACTTCTCACTACTCCCACTACCACCACCTTAGTCCAAGCCGCTGCCAACAACCTTGTAGATTACTGCCAGAACATGTTTTCCTGTTTCTGCCTTGGCCTCTTTTCAGTAGCCAGAGCCATCCCCTTAATAATTTAAGTCCAATCATGTCATTCCCTTGCTCACTTCAATGTCTCCCATCTCACTCGGAGTAAAAGACAAAGACCTTACAATGGTTTACAGGATCTACCTCCTGCCAATCCTATTATCTCCCTGACCACATCCCCTGAGTCTCTGTCCCTTTCACTCTCACTGCACTCCAGCCACCCTGGCCTCTGCGCTGCACCTATAACTCACGAGGAATGCTCCTCACTTAAGGACTGTGTTCTGCCTGCACTTTTCCTCCCCCACACCTGTATGGCTCACTCCTACACCTCCTTCAAGTCTTTGTTTATATGTCACCTCAGTGAGGTACATCCCAATCATCCTTTTTTAAATCACACCCTCCCCCAACACTCCAGATCCCATTTCCCTGTTTTACTTATTTTTCTGAAGCCCTTAGCTTTGGAACATACAATTTTCTGATGTGTTTTATGTTTATTGTCTGTCTCCCTTCACTAGAATGTTAACTCCACAAAGGCAGGACTTTTTGTCTGTCTGTTTTGTATGCTGGTGTATCCGAAGAAGCTAGAAGAATACCTAGCACAGAGTTAGCACTCAATCAGTACATGACTGTTGAACTAGATAGGAGATTCTCATGTGGAACAGTGATAAACTGGCCTCAGGTTAAATACAATCTATCCAGTGGTACTTAAAGCAATACTTCAAGATAACTCAGGTCCATGATTAGCTGCTGGCTCGGGTCGGCAAATACCACCACCACTACCTGCCCACCACTCCACCACCCTCAGAATTTGTTCAAAGCTAGTATAGGTATATTCAAACTGTACCGGTATATTCTATTACATTCAACAAGCTTTATGGTATGCACAAGGCAAATCCACCACCAGGTTTAAGGACAGAATAAAATGTAAACCAGCACACAAAAATGTCATAATAAAATAGAACCTCTAAAAGTCTACCCTGCAAATGAGCCCATGAAAATGGGCTGTTCAAATGTTAGCCATAAAAGTGATAAATTCATGAAAACCAATGCATTTGCTAAACTCATAAAAACACTTCTTTTAATTTGAGATTTTTGCATTTCTTTTTTCATTGTTGGTTAAAAGCTAAATCACAGCTAAATGGCATATTATGTTCCAGAAAACATTTCCATTTGCAATCAATTAAAATACCATTTATTACAGTAGAAGAGTATATGTGCATCATAGAAAATTAGAAAATACAAGTAAGCAAAAACTTAAAAATGAAGGCTTCACATTGTCACCATCAGAGATCCCCTAAGACAACTCTATAGTAAATATGTTTCTTAACTTTGTTATGCATGTATTATATATAATATGCGGTTTTATATATTTTGACCAAAATAAGATTATATTGTTTAGAACTTGTTTTCTTGAAGTCAATGATCTGCACCTTTGCCTTTAAGTAAGATTTCAGCTCATCTGATGCCCAAACCACATTAAAATTTTCCCCCAATTGAATGAAAAATGTAATTTATAGCTAGTTTGCCATAAACAGTATTCAATCAAGGACAATGCAGTGAAAATAACTTTTTAAGTAATAAGCAGCCCAAACTTCTTTAGTCACATTATTTTATTTTTGGGAAAATTCCAACCCAAAACACTCTCTTATCTGAAAATATTTATTTTTAATGCTGCATCTATCTAAATATGATTTAAGTTCTGTTCAGTCTAAATTCGTCAGTGATTTATTAACTAAAATTGTAGAATAGATGCTTAAAAGTACAACATGTTCTAATATTAAAATAAGAGAAAACTTGTTTAATTATAAGAAAAAGGCTTAGATCATTGTAATTGTTAAAAAAAAAAATACACAGTACCATAGGACAACTTGCTTTGCTAAGTTTTTATGATCATGGTCATTACTCATCTGAAACTGATTTTTTAAACTGCTTTTTCTCTTTTTACCACATAATAAACTATTCATATTCTGTGACATTTTATTAAGCTTTTTCAGTCATAAAAGTGAAACTTATTTCTGTTACTCTTGGTGATAATAAAGGGTTATGTGATAAAATGACAAGGACCCTAGAATTAATGGAAAATATAAGTCACTTGTATTCGACAACTCTTTTTCTTCAACATCCTTTAAATTTCAATTTATATTGTCCTTAAAAACAATTAATGGAAGACTTTCCATGGTGATTTTCTGAATGAATCCTCTTTCTAAACATAAAGTGCAAACATACAACACTCATAAAATTAATAAATCCATCCATCTATACAGGTTCTAATCTGTCTTTGTGTGTTTGAGATGTGAGTATTATATGAAGAAAACTGAAGACTCTCAAGTTATACTCTGCAAAATGTTTCTTTAAATTCCAGAAATATGATGTTGACATCCCCTGGGTTTTGTGATATAGTGAGGCTATGACGACAAAACTTTCTGAAAGAAGTGAAAATCAGGGGGTTGGCTCAAAATGTGGTTTGATGAGGAAGAACTGAATAAGCCCATACCAGCCCTGGGTGTTTCTGTGAGGGTAGGTTTAAGGACAGAATATTCTGGGGAAAATAAAGGTCTTGAAGTGGATCTGAACACGTTGAGTTGAAGGAGAACTTGAACTAAAGTCTCTCTCCTGGGGGCTTCTATTAGGGTTTTCATGCATCTGTGGGGAAAGGGGTGTAAGAACAGAACTTTCTTGAAGAAGTAGTCAAGAGTGGGCTCACTACATGACTGGATAAAGAAGAACTAAGTCAGTTGCTTTGGGGATTTATGTGAGGGTTGGGGGATAAGAACAGATCTTTCTATAAAAGAGCTATATAATGGAAGACAGAACTAATCAGAAGCTGTTACTTCATGGGGACAGACTTATTATATATGATAATGAGCTTATAAATAGCAAGTCACAAATAGACCAACTTCATTTATTTATTTATTGAGATGGAGTCTCACTCTGTTGCCCAGGTGGAGTACAGAGGCACAATCTTGGCTCATTGCAACCTTCGTCTCCCAGGTTCAAATGATTCGCCTGCCTCTGCCTCCTGAGTAGCTGGGACTACAGGAGTGCGCCACCACACTCGGCTAATTTTTGTATTTTTTTAGTGGAGATGGGGTTTCACCATGTTGGCCAGGCTGGTTTTGAACTCCCGACCTCAGGTGATCTGCCTGCCTCGGCCTCCCAAAGTGCTGGGATTACAGGCATGAGCCACTGCGCCTAACTTCTTTTATTTTGTGGGTTTTCTTTGCCTATTATTTCAAAGCTGGCACTCTTCTCCTACTTCTGATTTTAAGCCACATTACGGGACGAGTTCCAATGCACCTTTTGCTCCCCTTATGCTTCTATTTTCTGTCGTCATAGCTTTTACATATGGATTATGTACATTGAACCTCCAGGATAAAGTATCTAGGGTTCAGACACTATAAACTAGAGGGCCAAGGGACTTATGGAGGCCACATCCAAGAAGGTATTTCTGGAGGGATGGAAATGGAAATAGGGAAATGTGGTGGTAAAAAGTAAAATGAGAATAGAATTATTATTAGGGGAAAGCTTGAGTTTGGGTTTGGACAAAGAAACTGTCAAAAAACAAAATCTAGGGGAAAGCTTAGGCTCCAGATGAACACCAGAATTAACTGCACTGGTATTTGCTGGTATTTGATCCTGGGCAAGATACTCATGAGGGTCTGATGCATACAAGTTAACATATATCTGAAGGATAACAAGGAAAAGTGTCACCACTATAATTAATTCCTGTAACATTGGATCCTGAAAGAATTAGTGGTCTGAACCATATAAAGATAGGCTTATCCAAAGGAGGAGAGGGAGAAAAAATCCAAACTAATTACAGTGATATTGGATTCTGAATAAGTTAGTCTTAGGGTGTAATCCAAATACAGGAACACTTCTCTGAAGGAGAAGAGGAAAAAATTCACCCCAAATTTATATTCAAATAACACAAACTAGTTATTTGTGTTGTCTAGTTTTTTGTTTTTTTTTTTTTAAGACATAGTCTCTCTCTGTCACCCAGGCTGGAGTGTAGTGACGTGATCTCGGCTCACTGCAACCTCCACCTCCCAGGTTGAAGCAATTCTCCCTGCCTCAGCCTCCTGAGTAGTTGGGATTACAGGCATGCGCCACCACCCCCAGCTAATTTTTGTATTTTTAGTAGAGACGTGGTTTCACCACATTGGCCAGGCTGGTCTCGAACTCCAGACCTCAGGTGATCACCTACCTCGGCCTCCCAAAGTGCTGGAATTACAAGCATGAGCCACCCTGCCTGGCCGTCTAATCTTTATAAGATTTACCTGAAGCAGGAGGAAGGCAAACGCACAAGCAAAATTAATTCTAGCGATATTGGATGCTGGACAAATTAGTCATGAGGTCTGATCAACATAACCAAATGCTTATCTGAGGGAGGAGGCAAAAAGTGCTACCACCAAATTAATTCCAGAGATATTAAATTCCTGATGAGTTAGTTACGTGATCTGGTCCATAAAAGTGATCACGTCTCTCCGAAGGAGGGAGAAAGTCACCCCTAACATTAAATCCAAAGATGTTTGTTTCTAGACTAGGTATGTGTGTTGTCTGATCCATGTAAGTAAGTGCATCTTTGAAGGAGTACAGAGAAAAGACCACATGTTTATTGAAAAGACTATGTGGATATCACTGGCACTGGGTTTTGTCCCAAAGTGCAATTTTGGTGAAGAAAAATGAGTAAGAGTGTGAGAGAGTCTCCTAGTATGAGGAAAATACCAGGGTAGAATAGAAGCGAGCTATCATAGAAACAAGTGGTACAGCTCTTGTCACAGAGCGGGAAGGACACTACAGAACGGTGGCTGACAAAGCAGTTACTCTGGGTCAGAGTGGAAAAGAAAGTAGGCAACTACAGTGGGCAGGAAACTGAAAATATAGTGGTTAGCAAACAAGAAATCGGTCAGTAGGTACCAAGGTTCAACTACAATAGAAAGCAAATCCCCTGTCTTAGTGGAAAGGAAAGTGGACAACTGTACAGCCAGGGAATCCGGATTATGGAAAAGCACCCAGAAATTTCACTGTGGAAAGGAATGAGGGCAGCTAGGAAAGGGCAGGGAATTCCAGGTAGTCAGAAATCATTGAACAGGTATTGAAGTGGATTGAAATGCGTGTAGTAAATGGCCAACCAATCAGAATCTGCAAGGTCAGTGTATTAGTCAGTTCTCACGTTGCTATAAAGAACTTCCCGGCCAGGTGCGGTGGCTCACGCCTGTAATCCTAGCATTTTGGCAGGCCGAGGCGGGCGGATCACGAAGTCAGGAGTACGAGACCAGCCTGGCCAACATAGTGAAACCCAGTCTCTTCTAAAAATACAAAAATTAGCTGGGTGTGGTGGCACGCTCCTGTAGTCCCAGCTACTCAGGAGGCTGAGGCAGAAGAATCACTTGAATCTGAGAGGCGGAGGTTGTAGTGAGCCGAGACCCACGCCACTGCACTCCAGCCTGCGTGAGAGAGTGAGACTCCGTCTCAAAAAAACAAACAAACAAACAAACAAAAAAGAACTTCCCGAGATGGAGTGACTTATAAAGGAAAGACATATAATTGACTCACAGTTCAGCATGGCTGGGGAGGCCTCAGGAAACTTGCAATCACGGCGGAAGGTGAAGGAGAAGCAAGGCGCCTTCTTCACAAGGTGGCAAGGAGAAGAGTGGCGGAGCGAAGGGGGAAGGGCCCCTTATAAAACCATCAGATCTCGTGAGACTCACTCACTATCACGAGAACAGCATGGGGAAAACTGCCCCCATGATTCAATTTCCTCCACTTGGTCTCTCCCTTGATACGTGGGGATTATGGGGATTACAATTCAAGATGAAATTTTGAATGGGGACACAGCCAAACCATATCAGTCAACAATATAGAGGCAGAGATCTTAAAGACTTAGACTATTGGACTTTCAACTTTTGGAACCTCCAAAAGCCAGGTGAAAACAGCAACAGGATCGGAAGCCAAAGTGAAAGCTGAAGACTGTGCAGATGAACAAGACACCAAAATGTAAGTTGCTTTTATTCCAGTGATCTTAGTTAGTAGTTGGAGGGAATTAAGAATTGCGTTTCATTGTTCTGAGCAGCATGCTCCCTGTAAGATGGCAGTTGCAATATACAGCTCAATCATACCATTCGCTAGGCTTTTCTCATGGTGGTAGGAAGTTGGAGTTTAGAACATTACTAATGCAAACTAACAGTTAGTAAGCATCTTCAATCCATAGAATTTTTTTCTTACTAGGATGCGTTTTTGCATTCTATAATTTTTTTTTGAAATGACATTGCATTGCTAAGCGTATTTTGAATGTAAACATTATTATTTCCTAAGGTGCCTTGTTAAAACCAGGGTGAAAATCTGGTCCTGAAATCTATCTGAAAGTGAATTCTGGTTTAACCCACTTCTTAGTTGAGCATTTCATTATACAGTAAGTTAATGCTTTCCTGGTTCTTTAGAGAGCAATCTCTTCTTTGTCTACACACCTATGCTAGAAAAATACCTCATGGACAGAAATTTCTTGGAATAGCAGTGATTGTATGTTTAGCATATATATATATATATATTACATATATATATATATGTAATTTTTTTTAAGAGACACAGTCTCGCTCTGTCACTCAGGCTGGAATGCAGTGGTGCAATCATGGTTCACTGTAATCTCGAACTCCTAGGCTCAAGCCATCCTCCTGCCTCATCCTCCTGAGTAGCCGAGACTACAAGTGCGCACCACCATGCCCAGCTAATTTTTTTTAAATTTTTTGTAGAGACAGAGTCTCACTACGTTTCCCAGGCTGGTCTCAAACTCCTGGCCTTAAGCAATCCTCTAGCCTTGGCCTCCCAAAGTGCTAGGATTACAGATGTAAGCCACCATGCCTGGCTTTAAAATTTATATTTTAAAGTATTTCTTAGAGGGCTACATGATTTTAACCTCATTCTTAGAGGATTTTTCAACTACAGTTAACTCCTTGTGAAGAGCATTTAAGCCTGATCATCTAACTCCAAAAAGAGATCATGCTACTCAAAATCAATTTGTTAAAGATTTAGAGATATATAGAGAGCTTGAAGAAAATTGAGCTATCACTCATCCTCTAAAGGAACAGACCAAAAGTTTTAAGTGGTTTGCTTAAGGTTGTGGTAAAGTAAATTAGCAGAGCTGAGACTAACTCAAATCTCTATTCCAGATTAATTCTCTTTTCATTATCCATGCTGATTGAACTTTATGACTAAAACATTGCAAACTTACACTTAAGCAAAATACTAAGAATTTTCTGAATAGCACTGTTGCTTTTGTTGGCTTTAGTATCCTGCAAGCATGGGTGATAACCGGTAGTAAAACTACAACTACAAAGTTGAAAACTTAAACTTTAGCAAAATATTGGAAATTTTCTGGGTGGAGCTGCAGGATTTTGTTAGCTTCGGTCTCTCGTAGGCACTGATGTTAACTGGTAGTATTTGGCTAAGTCTTTGGGCATGCTGTTTTCTTAACGAGTTCTCTTGTTGCTTACTTTCTGAGAAAGCATGTTTTGGGATGAAAATAACATGTCTAGGATTTGCTTCAAATAATCCAGTGACAAGGGATATTGGATATGTGTATGGATAAAACAAGATTGGTCATCTGTTGATAATTGTTGAGGCTGCATGATGAGTACATGGAGGTTCATTATACTACTATAACTACTTCTGTATATGCCCTAAAACTGACCATTATCAAAAGTATAAATATAAAATTATTACTTATAACAGACAAGGCTGAGAGGTAACAGATGCTAGATAATAATGAAGTAACAAAGCTAAGGGCAAGTGATGCATCTTGTAGGTTTTACCTTCTTCTCCATTGTCTTTCTTCTATTTTAGTATATGTGAACATACTTAGACTTATTTTGGTGACTTGTGTATGAAATTGAAGAAATAGTGATAAATATAAAAAGTACCTTTCTGATCTGAGTTAAAGTGAGAGGAAATTGCAGATTTTATGTGAAAATTCCAGTTTCCACTTTTACTCATTGATCTATGAGTATAAAATTTACTGTCATTTTTATTCACAACTTTAATTACTAGGGAGGAACCCACATTGATAAAATAAATAATGGAAGTGGTGAGACTTGTAGTGGACAAAAGCAGAGGTGTTAATGCCTCACTGCTGCAAAACAACATATAATGTTTTTTCTTTTTATTTAAGCTTTTTAGGCCAGATGTGGTGGCTCATGCCTGTAATCCCAACACTTTGGGAGGCTAAAGCAGGAGTATCACTTGAGGCCAGAAATTCAAGACCAGCCTGGGCAACAAAGCAAGACCACACCTCTAGAAAATAATTTTTTAAAAAATTAGTCAGGCATGGTTGTTCATGCCTGTAGTCCCAGTTACTCAGGGGGCTGAGGCAGGAGGATCACTTGAGCCCAGGAGTTTGAAGCTGCGGTGAGCTGTGATCGCACCACTACACTCCAGCCTGGGCTACAGAGCAAGAACTTGTCTGAAAAGAAGAGGAAGGGAGGGGAGGGGAGGAGAGGGGAGGGGAGTTACTTTTTTTTTTTTTTTTTCTTTTAGAAATGGAATCTCACTATGTTGCCCAGACTGGAGTCCAGTGGCTATTCATAAGCATGATTATAGCACATTGCAGCCTTGAAGTCCTGGACTCAAGTGATCCTCCTGCCACAGCCTCCCGAGTAGTTGGGACTGCAGGGGCATGCCACCACACCCAGCTTAAACATTTTTATTGTAAAATATAACAGAAAACTAAATAAAACAAATGGATAGCTTAAGCGATTATTTTGAAGCAAACATCCTTATAAACAACCACCAAAGTTAAAAATCAGAATTTTGCCAGCACCCCAAAGCGCCATCCTAATCACAGCTCTCTCCATCTCCTCACACGTAATCTCTACCCTGACCTTTATGGTGATCAATTCTTTACTTCCTTTACAAATTTATTACCCAAGTGTTCATTCGTGAACACTAGTTAGGTCTCCCCTCATTATTCTTAAGTCTCTTTTAATCTAGAGATTCCCCTCCATTCCTTTTTTTTTCTTGCAATTTATTTGTTGAAGAACTGTGTGTTTTGTCTTCTAATTTTCCCCAGTCTTGATTTTCCTGTCTTGCATTTCCTGTAAATTGGGTTGGTTCTACAGGCTTGATCAGATTTTAGTTGATTTGCCTTCTTTTGCCTTCCCAGGTGGTGGTATGTTCTTCTGTCTGGATGTAGAAAATATTTGGCTGCATCTGTTCCTATGATAACTGCTTTTAGTAATCAGTGCCATCAGGCTTGAGGTTGAGGGTGTCTCTCCAGACATTTTAGTTGTCAGAAGCATATTCTCTAAAAAGAGAAAGGCCTCATGGGAACAATATTCCCTGAGTTCTTGAATCAACAAATTGTTGATAAATTGTCCTGTGGCTTTTTATTTGAAAGTCAGGCTAGATATAAAATCTGTGGCTCACATTTTCGTTCCTTGGCTGTATTAATATGCTACTTCTTTTTCTGCTAGCATAAAGCTTTGCTGTCGGTCTAATGATAATCTTATTTCCTCTCCTTTGTGAGTGATTTTTCGTCCCCTTTAAAGTCCAGTATTTTACTAGAATATATCTCTCTATTGACCTACGTCCATTTCCTCAGGTATTTGGTTGTGCTCTTTTAATATGCAGTTTCAAATCCTGTTTCAGGGAAGTTTATATTGTATTATACTTTTTAGAAACGGTTTTGTTTCCTTCCTATGATTTTCTTCTTTGGAGATTGAGAGCCTGGAGAAAGTAAAAAAGATTTCGAACAGCTGCTGGGGGCAACATCACAGGGATGAATGAAGAATTGCCAAGCAGTATTGAAGGCCCAATTGAGATTAAATGGCATAAATTTGTAGTGGAGCCAATTGGCACTTTTCTACAACTTTCTGTAGCAGAACTCAGCACAAGCAAACAAAACAGATGTTTGGGTTTATCCATTGCTGTATATCAGCAAAGTAGGTGGAATGTAAGGTCAAGAGGATGAGAGATTCTAGACGTTAGGTGGCATGAAGTTGAAATAGTTATCAAAATGTTAACTGTACAAATAAGACAAAAATACACCCCAGAATTTCTGGGACAGTCCAATTATATACTATTTTATTTTCTACTAAAAAATTAAAATGTGCGGCTAAAGGTGTTTTAATTCTAATTCTTCTGTAGAAGTAAACAAGCAAATCATAAAAAAAAATAGTGTTGACAGACTATCCCAATTTTTTATTTGGATGGAAATATCTCTATGTCTTTGGCCAGACCATAAAAAGTACACTTTTGTTTTGTTGTGTTGCAATAATGTCAATAAAAACAGTGCCTGAGAAAAAGACCCTTTGAGACTTTCTAATTTTTTTAATTATTATTTTCAATTGACACATGCGGATTGTACATATTTGTGGAGCACAGTGTAATATCTCAACACATGTATACTATGTGTTATGATCAAAGTGGTTACTAGAGATGGGAAAGAATAGAGACTTTATCACTCATGTAAAGCAGTGTCGATGTAGGTTTCTGATTCTTGCTAGTATTATTTCTAATAAATTTTAGGCTTGTGGAACTGAAGGTACCATCAACCTGGAAAATAAGCACAGTTGTTATTTGTCCATAGACTCCCTTTCTGAAGTGGAAATTGATCAATGTTTCTGAATATTTTCTGCAGTTACACCCAACTTAAGGTAATACTAGACAACATGGTAATGATAGGAAGCATATCATTTTGTTGGTCTCTCTTTCCTCATAGAAGTAGTAAAAATATCCCTTGGCCAACTCCCTTCTTATTGTCCTTTAAGTTTTCCAGTGTTCCTGCTCTTTAACTGTGACACTGTCATAGCTGACATCATTTATGCTCATTGATTGGTTGGCTTTCTTGATTACTTTTCTCTGTCTTCCTTCCTGTTAACCAGGGGTAACATATGGAGTTAATGTTTATCTCCCCATGTTGGTGGCCAGAACCCCAGCAAACTGCATACACAACCAGTCCCATCCATAAATTTGAAGAAATTCTGCAGTCAACTTTAGAATCTCATATAAAGTTTATTACATCTAGCTAAGCCCTCTTTGCTTTTCCTGTCACTGCTAAGTCCATCCTTCTCTCTTGGTACTTGAAACTTCCTTGCAATTGTCCAGTCAATAACCGTTTTATCATCTTTGTTCCACTTTTGCTTGCCCTGACTAATATGATGAGATTTAGTTGTAATGCACTGGGATTCAGCTAAGCAGGTTCTTAATATGAGCTTTTTTTTTTTTTTATTTTTTTTTCCCCGAGATGGAGTCTCACTTTGTCACCCAGGCTGGAGTGCAGTGGCGCAATCTCAGCTCACTGCAACCTCTGCCTCCCAGGTTCAAGCAATTCTTGTGCCTCAGCCTCCCGAGTAGCTGGACTACAGGAGAGTGCCACCACACCTGGCTAACTTTTTTTAGTAGAGATGGTGTTTCACCATGTTGGCCAGGCTGATCTCAAACTCCTGGCCTCAAGTGATCCACCGCTTCAAAGTGCTGGGATTACAAGCATGAGCCATGGAGCCTGGCCAATATGAGCTTTTTGACTAATTTACCCAGCTTGCAGCCCTTACAGCAGTCTCCTTCTATAAGATCTCAGTCATTTCTTGTCCCCATCTACTGCTAAAACATGTTCCATTGCCGCTCTACACAGATGGCTTCAGGATGCGAATACCTTTAGCAAGAACATCAATGCCTAATATCTTTGCTGCACCAAG
This sequence comes from Homo sapiens, assembly GCF_000001405.40. NCBI lineage: Eukaryota > Metazoa > Chordata > Mammalia > Primates > Hominidae > Homo > Homo sapiens. Next base: position 96,471,892 of record NC_000023.11, read on the forward strand.
GCAATATTACAGATGCTGACTCCCTCCTGTGATAATGCTGCAGATGCCTGCACTGAGATTGCTGATTTTAATGGGTTAAATAATACCTCCCCCAAAATTCATATCCACCTGGAACCTCAAAATGTGACCTTCCTTGAAATAGGGCCTTTAAAGATGTAATTAAGAGTTGAGATGAGATCATACTATGATTAGGGTAGACTCTAAATCCGATAGAAGTATCTTTATAAGGGACAAAAAAGAACACACAGTGTCACACAGAGGAGAAGGCCGTGTGAAGACAGAAGTAGAAATTGGAGTTATGCTGCCATAAACCAAGGAATGCCAAGAGCCACCAGAAGCTGGAATAGCCACCAAGATTTTGGTAATTTGTTATTATCACAGGAATTTGTTACTATCCATGTGTGATGGCCCATGGGGTCTAGCAGAGAGCTATCATTTAGTACCTACTTAGGAAGCTAAACACATATGGCACCACAGATACCGTATCATATTAGTGCCAAAACTGTTGGTGCCAATGCTGCAGGTTATTTGGCTTTGAATGTCTCAATTAGATTTACCCTTTTTGCTGCAGGCTCCTTGCTAAAGGATCCAGACTTGAGTTTGTTGAGCCTGGCCTAGAATACAATCTGATATACACCATATTATACTTAGAGTCCACTTCCCTTCTGTCCTTAAGCACTGGTCTTTTTCCAGAGTGGAATTCATTCATCTTGATTCTTCCCCTAAATTCTTTTCTAGAAGAAACATTAGCCTCTAGTGCAATACACATGGATCCCTTGCTTTCTAATCCCACCAATTCTCCTGAAAATGCTCAAAATGTGCCTGACAGGCCTGCCATATTCCTTCCAGCTCCATCACCCCTGAATACAACTTTTGTTGTGTTTTTTAAGAGTCTAAGGCTATCCTATAATGAGCCCTTCTTAGAAAGACGGAGAAATTGACAATCCTTCATGTAAGTCTTATACAATGCTAAGGCATGGGGGAAAAAGGTGGAGCTATCTAGTTCCTGCCTCTAGTTCCTGCCTATCAGTTCACGTAGGTTGCCAGCGGTAGTTACTACTATTGCTGTCTGGTGTCCCAGGGGGTCCAGCAGAGAGCTACTGTTCAGTGCCTACTTAGACCATGGTAATCTTTTTATTGTTCAGTGCCACATTTGGGACATGGGTATAATTTATTAGGTTTCTTTTGGTCCCATCTTAGACAACACATACCACAGCCATTTCCTGTCTGGGGTCATGAGATCTCACCATCTGCACTGCAAAGCTTCAGGGTGAAGGATCCTTGTCTTCTTTGTTCTTATGATCTACATATTTCTTTCTATTTCTTCCTTCTCCAATCTAAAGGAAGTATCAAGACTGTAGGAAATATCCCATTCTCTCCACCACTCACTTACTTATCGTTATGAATTAATTTAATTCAACACACTTCTCTTCCTATATAGCTTGGCTGGGAAGCATATGGGAGTGTGGTTAACAGAACCAGTTTAAATATTTGGTAGAAAGCCTTAGAGTGGGTGTCTTACAGCTACTTGTTGCTTATTTTAGAATGAGGGGTGGGTACTTCACACTTACTCTCTTCAGCTTTAGGAGTTTAGCAGAAATTGTGATGAAAAAATCCCATTTAAAATTCTGTAAAATTCCACCATTAAATGCAGTCATTCCCCTAAACATAGCAGAAGTATAGGCACTTCCCTAACTCTTAACTGTTGCCTTAGGAACATTCTGACCCCAGAGTTGGGGGTGTCCTCTCTAGCACCCAGAAATACAGGCCTACTATGATCTTGGATGGATAGCACTGTGGGACAGCACCAGAGGAACTACTGGACAGAATATTGGGTAATGAGGAACATTTTTAAAGGGGAGGGGTGTTTTAGTTATTGTATAATATGACAAACCAAGCCTATGTGCTTACGTTTCTCCCATTTCTGTAGTAACCAGTCAGTGTAAATAAATCAGTTGTTAGCGCAGAATTCCAGAACAGGAATCAGTAGCTTTTGTGTCCTATGGATAAAAATACCTTGGGATCTTGGGAGAGATACATAAACAAAGCTGGGGATTATCACCATACAAGCTAATAGACTATTTTGAAAGTGGTCTGTTAGAAGACTACTGTGGGCTACCCTGCTAATTAGAGGGAATAGAGTAACCTATACATAGAAGTGATTCCCAAAATGATTCAAGAAAACACATGAATTCCAACTGTAGAATACACCTGGGATAGTAGGTTAAGTAATCAGTTCCAGTGTTTTAATACACTGGAATCCCAAAGGCAGATTTATGCATTCTGTCTCTGGGTGGGGTGGGAGTTGCTGCTATGAATGCTTTCTGTTATACAGTGACCAAGTTGAAAGGATTGTCCTTGCTTATAATATGTAGCAATCACAAAATTTACATCTGGATTTAACACTACATATACTAAGCTAGAAGAAGAGGCTTATACTACTCCTCATACTTTGTAAGAAGATTCCAAGGAATAAGAGGTATAGAACAGCTGCTTGCATTGAGACTTAGGTAAAAGAAATCCAATGTCCAGGTCACTACAGTAGGAAATGACATAGACCAAGATAAAGTGAATTTCCCTTGAGTTACTTCCTTGTATACATACATACTTTGTTATGCTCATGAGTCAGATATACGATATTAGATTTGTGCAAACGTAGTTGCAGTTTTTGCCAAATGATTGCTACTATTCCTGTTTGCTGGCCCGTGACATTTGCCAAATAGTTGCTACTATTCCTGTCTGGTTTTGCCAAATGGCAAAAACCGCAATTATTTTTGCACCAACTTAATAATATTCTTTTATAAATTTAGTATGATAAAATACTGGCTGCTTACCAAACAGTGCAAAGCACTTTATATTTAAGGTTCTGTATACTCTTAGTGTGCAGGTTAAAAGCATATTAATCTATATGTATTGGAATCTTTCCAGATTTTGTACTACTATGATTACAAGCATATTGACAGTGGGGTTTAATGACAATTCTATTCTCTAAGAGTTCTTTCTTTATGGGTCTCTGGCACAGTTTTCCTCCTACATTATTCCCAGAATGGCTTTGAGTCATTCAATTTTATGATGTGCTGCTCCTTTTGTGCTCACTCCACATGTTATGCGAATAGAGAAACACCTAAGTCCTAGCCCTAAATTTCCTCTTCAACCTCACCTTCTACCCTACATCCTGGCAAGCCCTTCAGATGAAAGTCATTTTCATTCACATTTTGAGATTTCCTGGAATTATTGTCAATGGAATAAATTGGAATTGAGAGTTACTCTCTTATTTGCCATCTTCTTATACATTACTATGAAATGTGTAGAGGGAGTTGCTGATAAATAGCAATTCAAGGTCTAGTGCTAGTATTTGTGTGCCAGGTGTTTAAAGTGGCTAGATGTAGTCCCAAATAATGCCACCACTCCCTCCACACTTGTAAAATCAGGATGTATTCAGTAGCCCGTTCACTTTTCAATCCTATAATCTCTTATAGAAATTCCAGCCTGACAGTTAAAATACCAATTCTCCACCTAAAAGCAATTGTCTCCACTCTTCTTCCTTAATACTAGAACCTGACTTTTTTCAAGGAGTAGGTAGATATCCCTTAATCTCAGGGTGGACAGAGCTCTAACCCAGCCCCAGTTGGTAAGCTAATTGTTCTAGTCATTTTAGTTCCATTGTCTTCCCCTAGCAATTTATCTAGGGTTGGGCCTCTAGGCCAAGCTATAGCTTGGTGAGTTCTGACCAATAAGATATTAAAGAGAGCATGGTGGGCTCTTGCTAGAAAACATTTTGCTTCCTGGTAAAAGGGACAGGGCATAAAAGGAGAGCTTGCTGACACTGTCTTCCCTCTTATTTCAGCCTTAGACTAAGAAGAGAAATTTGGACCTCTGAGCCATCTTACAACCATGAGATGATAATCATAAGACAAAAAGACAATAGAAAGGAAATAAAAGACATAATTTCTGGGTCTTTGATGGTGCTGTTGAGCAGCTGAACCAATATTAGCAACTGCTTACCTGTAGAACAGCAGATCTCAAACTTTTTGGTCTCAGAACTCTTTATAATCACACTTATTATTGAGGAATATTAATTTCTCAGCTTTGATAAATGTGTAATGTTTATATAAAACGTTAACAGAGGAAGCTGAATAAAGGATATGTAGAAGCTGTTATCTCTGTAACTCTTCTGTAAATCTAAAATTATTTCAAAGTAAAGAGTTTTTTAAAATTATTGAGGATTGCCTAAAACCTTTCTCTAATATGGAACATATCCACTGATGTTTACCATAGTATAAATAAAAATGGAGAGATTTTTTAAAATTTTATTTATTAATTTATTTAAACATAAAAAGAATATCTATTACATGTTAACATAAGAAACATTTTCATGAAAATCATATTTTCAAAAAATAAATTTAGGGAAAGGAGTAGTACTGTTTGACATTTCTGCAAATTTCTTCAAAGTCTGGAATAATAGAAGACAGCTGGACTCATCTCCTTCTGAATTCAATCTGCTGTAATATGCTGTTCTGGTTCAATTATATGAAGAAATTCTAGCCTTACACAGGTATTTAGTTTGAAAAAGGAGTATGTTAATGGCCTTTTCAGATAACGTAGATATTTCTGCTTGATACTACACTGAAATTTAACAAGCGATAGTTTTTTTTAAAAGATCAATTGCAATATGGAAGCTGAAGTCATATCAATGAGCTTTTCATACTGTATTATATTAAAAGCTATTTTTCAATCTTTCATTTTGAATGGGTCTTCTATCCACTTATTAGTTCATACCATGAGGTATTAATTTATTATTTGGAAAATACTGGCCCACTGAGTGATGCAGGACTTCTAATTAATGACCCATTTTATAATGAAATATCGAAAAATCACATTTGTTAATACCACCATTGATTCCACCAAGTCTTTAAGTTGGGAAGCTGACAAGCTCATGGTGGCAGATGTAAGTTTTTCCAGAACTCTAATTTTCACTTGAAAGCTTGAATGTTATTATCAGCAACAAATACTTTAAATTGTTTTCCTTAAAAATGACAGACTTATTTTGTTCATTTTCAAGAAAATATCTGCCAAATACCCAAGTCTGTATCACCACAGTAAAAATGATGTTTCATGAGGAAAGCAGACAATTCAGCTCGTTACTCAATTCTGCAAGTTCTTTCCTTGAGACAACCATCAAACTCCAGTGTGCAGCAGAAGTACCTTATTAAAACTTTCCATTTTATCCCACAGAATGTTAAGAAAATGTGTACTCGAGGGTTGAGATTTAATAAAATTAACATTTTACTGTTTCTTCAAGAATGTTCTAAAGTAGAACTTGCTTTTTTTTTTTTTCCACAAATTCATGGCAGTGAAGGATACCAATGACTACTGCCAGCACAGTTTGGTGTCACCCCTTTGCTAAGATGCCAGCAGTTTTAGCCTCTGTTGCTTTAGCATCATCTATACAAATGTTAACAGGAAAAAAGGCAAATAAAATCTTATAATTATTGTTAAAAAGATCTTGAGGACCCACAGGGGTCCGTGGATCACACTTTGAAAACCACATTTAGACTTAAGTGAGAAAAATAAATTCTTATTTGTTTAATCCACTCTTACTCAGATTTTCTGTTATTTGCAACTAAAAGCATTCCTGATAGATGCAGCATAATATATTCTTGAGTATTCCTTGGTATTCAAAACATCCATGCTTCCACTTAATGATTGTGGCAAAAAAAAAAAAAAGCTATTTATCTATTTGAGTTGAGTCTCTTCTTGTGTGGAGACAGAGATAATTCATACTTCAAAGTCCTGTGGCTTTTCCCTTGCTGATCCATGAGGGTTATGCTTCTCCACGTATTGAAGCAATGCTAAGCAACCCTCAGACTGCATAAAATCTATCTAGTTTTGAAATATTTCCCATGATTTAATTTCTAGAATACGAATCTTAAATTACTAGTTATTGAGCAGTGATTCTACTCATTTCCATAGGTGTAGTATTTAGAAAGTCTTCCTTTGCATTACTGCTGCATCAGGTTAAGTAGAGAAGCTGCTTGTCTCAAGAGGATTGACTCAGAAACAATTCCAAGGCATTGCCAAAGGCATGGCACCAGAGACCTTGGACACAAGGTACACGACACAGTGAAGGTGAAGGTGAAAGAGAAAAGACCCAGGAATAAAGATTAGCTCCTGTGTGCTTCTATTTTAGGGACAGATTGTATCAAGAGTATTGGTTTCATTCTAATCTATTCTATAGTTTGGGAGTAGTAAAGAACATCACTTAGTATTTTAAATCCCCACTCTCTGCAATATCTAATTACAACACTTGACATTTGAGTACATTTTTTGTGTAATAAAACCAGTAGGTAACATAGGGAGAGGGAGATTGAAAGATCTGGAGACAAAAATATAAATTTGGCCAGAGTTTAGCTACAGGGTAATGTTTAATGAAATATTGCTTTTTAAAGACCAGGAGATTCCTAAACTCTGAAATATTTGTCAGAAAAATGAAACCCTTTAGTAATGGAAAAATAATAATTTTTAATGCCTAAATTTAATTGCATATGTTTTGATTTAAAAGACATAATTTCTTACTAGGAATAGAAAGAAATTTTCTTAAACTGGTAATGGACATCTATGAAAAACTCACATCTAATGTCATACTTAATGGTGAAAGACTGGATGCATTTTCCCTGAGATTAAGAGCAAGACAAGGATTCCATTCTTGCCATTTGTTCATAACAGAGTACTGGAGGTTCTAGCCAGGGCAATTAAACAAGACAATTTTGTTAATTTAACAAAATAAGTTCAAAACGTATACTTTGAAATCTATAAAACTGTTGAAAGAAACTAAAGAAGATTACATAATTGGAAAAATATCTTTTTTTATGTATCAGAAGATCTAATATTGTTAAGATGCAATATTCCCCAAATTAATTGACACATTCAACACAATCTCTATCAGAACTCCAGCTGGCTTATTTGTAGAAATTCACAAGATGATTCTAAAATTCATATGGAATTGCAAGAAACTCAGAATAGCCAAAACTATCTTGAAAAAGAACAAAAGTTGGAGGGCTCACAATTCCTGATTTTAAAACTTACTACAAAACGACAGTAATCAAAACAGTGTTGTACTGGCATAAGGAGAGACATAATAGATCACTGGAATGGAATTGAGAGTCCAGAAATACATCTATGTGTCTATAGTCAACTGATTTTCAACAGGGGAGCCAAGACCATTTAATGGGGGAACATAGTCTATTATACAGATTGTGCTAGGACAACTGGATATCCACATGCAAAGAATAAAGTTGGACCCCTACCTCATACCATATTCAAAAATTAATTCAAAATGGATGATCAACCTAAAAATAAGAGCCAAAACCATAGAACTCTTAGAAGAAAACATAAAGGTAAATCTTGATGACCTAGGATTTGGCAGTGGATTCTTAGATATGACACTCGAAGCATGAACAATGGATAAGAATGTTCAACAATGGATAAGAATGGAAAAAATGGATAAGTTAGACATCGTCAAAAATTTTTAAAATATTTTCTGCATGAAGGAACATTATCAAGAAAGTTATGATGACCTACAGAAGGGAAGAAAATATTTAAAAATCATGTATCTGAAAATGGCCTACTATCCAGACTATATATAGAACTCTTACAACTCAACAACAAAGAGACATATAACCCAATTTAAAATGAGCAAATCACTTAGAGATTTCTCCAGAGAAAGTATATAAATGGCCAATAAGCACAGGAAAAGATATTTAACATCGTTAGATACTAGGGAAATGCAAATCACAACTGCAACAATGCACAACCACTAGGATGGCTATCATTGAAAATACAGAAAAGAACAAGTGTTTGTAAAGACATGGAGAAATTGGAATCCTTAAACATTGCTGGTAGGGAATGGAAAATGGTTCAGCCACTATGGAAAACAGTTTGGGGGTTTCTCAAAAAGTCAAACATAAGACCAGACACAGTGCCTCACACCTGTAATGCTAGCACTTTGGGAGGCTGAGGTGGAAGAATCATTTGAGCCCAAAAGTTCAAGACAAGCTTGGGCAACGTAATGAGACCTCGTCTCTAAAAAAAATTTAAAAATTAGCTGGGCATGGTGGCACATGCCTGTAGTCCCAGCTACTCTGGAGGCTGAGGTGGAAAGATCACTTGAGCCTGGGAGGTCGAGGCTGCAGTGAGCCATGATCATGCCAATTCACTCTAGCCTGGGTGATATAGTGAGATCCTGCCTAAATAAAAATAAAAATAAAAAGCATAGAATTACCTTATTACCCTGCAAGTTCACTCGTAGGTATATACCCAAAAGATTGAAAACAAGTATTCAAAGAAGTACGTGTACGCATGTGACTCACTGCAGCACTATTCACAATAGCCAAAGAATGGAAACAGTCCTATGTCCATCAATGAATGACTGGATAAACAAATTATAGCATAACTGTACAATGAAACATTATTTAGTCATAGAAAAGAACGAGATACTGATGCGTGCTACCAGAGAGATGAACTTTGAAAACATTATGCTAATTGGAAGAAGACAGTCACAACAGATCACATACTAGATGATTTTATTTATATGAAATATCCGGAATAAGCAAATCCATAGAGACAGTAGATAGTGTTTACTTAGGTCTGGGAAGGTTTATGGGATGAAGGTGATAGTTAAAGGGTGCACAGTTTTGTTTTGTTTTGTTTTTTTTTTGAGGTGATGAAAATGTTCTAAAATTGACTGTGATAATGATTGCACATATGTGTAAATATGCTAAACAATATTAACATGTACACTTTAAAAGGGTGAAATGTGTTATATGTGAATTATATCTTAATTAAGCTGTTAATTTAAAACAATCTAATTTCTTAAAAAATATAAAAATGAGGTTTATATAGATTTTTCTATTTTCTTAATATCTCTCAAGCAAAACAGACTTTTCATCAGCATATTTGACAGCCATTTCTCTGACAACACTTGCCAGCCTGTTTGTGCCTACCATCCTAATACAGAAAGCAGAGAAGCTGGATATAGGCCTGGGAAAACTGCTCATGAAAAGAGCACCTGGCAATACCCATTACCAAAATTATCTGAACTTGGGACAGAGTTGACAATATTGAATTATTACAGTAGAGTGGGAGAAGGGCTATACTAGCTGTATCCAATAAGATAGAAGCTGGATAGGAAGATTGAGAAAAAGGTATTCAGGGTTCCTATCTCATCCATGAGTCAGGGTCACAGAAGACAATAATCAAGGTTTGTATGGAAAGATTTCTGGGAGTTGCCATGAACCGAGTTAGTACAAGTAGTGGGATGAGGTGAGGATGGGGGAATCAGTGTACACAAACTAAGAGAAACAACCGAGATAACTAAGGATGGGAGTCACTGGGTTATCTAATTGCAGAAAATGATTTTCTCTCTTTCAGTGGATCTTACACCTACCAGGTCTTACATCAAATCATCTTAAAGATGCAGCTTATCATTTTAAAATAAAATTATGGGAGTCTCAATTTGAGTCTGTGCATGATCAGACAAGAATAGACATATCTTGCAAACTGGTTGAATAAACCCAGTTAAAGTCCATGTGCTAAGGAGCATCTTGGAATCACTCTTCCTGAGAAAAGAGGGGTCCAGGAGTACAGTCAGTCCTCTAGGGGTGCAGTGATATTGGGTAGAACATGATGTATGTCATTTGTATTAGCCTCTTGATCCAGCCTCAAATAAGTCCTAAACTCTTAAGTTGAAACCGCCTTTGCAAAAATTTTAAACTGAGGAAATTATGACAGTGAAAGAGATTAGACCTAATTGACTCCATCTTGCGTCTAAGTTTTAAGCTGTACTTGTTCATTCCTGAGCATAGGCCGAAGTAACCTTGGGAAGAAGTGCAGTTTATGGTTTCACTCTGAAACAAAATTGATAATAGCCCTTTACTGAAAAGACCCCTTCTTGCCTGGGGACCAGTCTGCCTTTGTAGGACTGACAAATTAGCTACAAGATTAGAAATTATGGTTTAGGGGTCATGCAGCCTCTGTCTGCAAAAGTCTGAACTTCCCAAATTGCTTGGGGATAACATCACTATTGTAAAACCTGAGATCAGTGCTTGAGATATTTGCAGATCCTGCACTGGATAGATCAGCTGACATAACCCAGACTGGTAATCTGGCTCAACCAGTTCTGCCTTCCCACCCAGGAACAGAAGACAGCAAGAAAACCTCACTTCGATCCCCTATGATTCCACCTCCAACCTGACCAATCAGCACTTCCCACTTTCCTAGCCCCTAGCCGCCAAAATATCTGTTTAAAACGCCAATCCCCAAATTCTCCATGAGACGGATTTGAGTAATAAAACTCCAGTCTCCCACACAGCCAGCTCTATGAAGTACTCTTTCTCCATTGCAATTCCCTTGTCTTGATAAATTGGCTTTGTCTAGGCAGCAGGTGAGGTAAACCCGATGGGCAGTTACAAAGTACTTGGGGTTATAGGCATCATTCCATGGGATCCCTCATCAATAGAGGGTAATACTAGAGACAAACAAGAGCAAGTAAAAGAAGTAGGCAGCCTGGTAAAGGTGCTGTTGCACTCAGTGGACTGATTTGTTCATAAATATGTTACTGGTAGAAAGTATCTGAGTTACTGGCAGAGAATCACATGGGTCTGCAGCAACCTCAGTTCTTGCCTCCTCAGAAGAAACAATCCAACTGAGGGGAATAAGGCAGAAAAAAAGACCAAGGCAAGTTTCAGAGCAGGAGTGAAATTGTATTAAAAAGCTTTAGAGCAGGAAAGAAAGGAAAGTACACTTGGAAGAGACCCAGGTGGGCACCAAGAAGGTCAAGTGTGGCATTTAACTTTGATCTTAGGACTTTATAGGCTGACCCACTTCTGGTGTATTGCACCCCTTTCCCATGCTTCTTCCCTTAGTGTGGGCTGCCCACATGCGCAGTGCCCTCCTTACGCTTGGGAGGTGAGCACGCGCAGTGTGTTTAGAAGTTGCATGCATGCCCATCTGAGGGTTTCTTCCCTTTTCCGGTGGAGTGCCCCCAGAAGGTCATACTCCACCATTTTGTCTCTTAATGTACATGCCCAGGCTCACTCACCCAGTACCTGCGATTTTATTGGAAGCTCTTTTTGCTTCTCCCTGGTGCCTGCATTCAATTAACACTCTAATGTAACAGCTGTGGACCATCAGGAGATTGTCTCTCCCTGGCACGGTTGCCGAATTATCATTTTTAGAGAGGCAATGTGATAATTGTTGAACCATCACCTGACATTAACTGGTGGGTGGGGGAAGAGCCCTCTCCTGCCCCACTCATATCTGTCTAACTACCTGTAACAAATACACATAAGGGAACCCTTGAAACGTTCCAGAAACTCTTGGGGGAAGGATCTTTAAAGAAACCTGTAGTCATGTGTCAAACAGATGGGGGCATGTACAACTTATTTGAGGTATTATTATTTACGTGAAACTCAAAGGCTGGTGAGGCCTGGAGAAACGGGAATCATGGACAAAGTTCCTAATCCTTCTGGAGCAGCCGAAAATGATCTTACAGTGGAAGTGACCTTTGACTCATGACCTGAGAGAGGGTCCAAAGGACATTTCAGACTAGAGCAGAGGGTATGCACAAAGACACAGAGGGTCACTATGCTTATTTTTGAAAATTAATTTGCATGGACCAAGTGTTTTTCGTTTTGTGCATAGCTACACGTGTACATATTTAGCAGGAATCCTGGCATTTGACCACAGTAGCCACTGAGAGCAGCTCAACTATTTCTCATAACTGTTAAAATTATTCAAATATTAGAATTGGAAGGAACCAAAGATGCCATCTATACTCCGCCACCATGAAAGTGCAAGGGATAATTGCAAAGCTATTAGCAACCTCCAAGGCTCAATAACCACCTTGCTTTCATACAACATTTGCTTTGTCGTGTAAATTAAGAGGCACTGAATATCACCACAGGATTTGGAAGGCTGAGGGGATGCCAAAAATCTGGTCAGCAGGTCATAAGTATTTCTTTTGTTAATCTAATAGTCTAGTAATTTGACATACAATGAGGGCAGAAAGTTACCTCTATAATTCCTTGAGGTTCAGACAGCATTTATACTCCTGACACTCCATTTGCATGAAGAGAGACAGAAGAAAAGGGTGTTAATGTCTAATTGTTAATGGATCACATAGTTTAACTCTAGCATCTAAATGTCATGATAGAGCCTGCAAACTGAACACTGTGAATCTAATTGAAATTATTTTTGTGTCACTTTACAGTGATTGTTTCTTTCACATTGTCTCAAATAATGGCTGAATTAATTCTTCAGGAATTATACAGAGCAGAATTCCCTTTATATAGAGAAATAAGATGATCTTGTATTACTGTAGTTAAAAAACAAATAGCAAGCACTGACTACAGTACCAAATGTCATTTCTTTGAAAACCTGGGCCAACAAAAAGCAACTCTAAAATTCAGTAAACAGATTAAAATGAAAATGTTTCCATGACTTTTCTCTTCCAATGCAATTTGACTATGACAGTATTTCAAGGATTATAAACAAAAACCTTGGTAACAGATACAAGAACTTTAAGCATACTTATATATTATGGCACATGCATTATATTTAGCCTTTCCAGTGTGAGATTATCAACAACACATTGTTATCAAAATTACACACCAAAAATGTCCCATGCCAAAGCTAAAATAGTCATTTCTATTTCGTTTTTAGTAGCTTTAATTTTAAACTATTCTTAGGTTCATAGAGTACTATTACCCAGGTACTCTTCATTATTGTTAGGCATTACAAGCAAAAAAAATTTAATATAAAATCTGCATGTTGGCCAGGTGCAGTGGCTCACGCCTGTAATTCCAGCACTTTGGGAGGCCGAGGTGGGCGGATCAACATGTCAAGAGATCAAGACCATCCTGGCCAACATGGTGAAAGCCTGTCTCTACTAAAAATACAAAAATTAACTGGGCGTGGTGGCACATGCCTGTAATCCCAGGTACTCGGGAGGCTGAGGCAGGAGAATCGCTTGAACCCAGGAGGCGGAGGTTGCAGTGAGCCGAGATTGTGCCACTGTACTCCAGCCTGGTAACAGAGTGAGACTCCATCTCAAAAAAAAAAAGAAATCTGCATGTTATGCACCTTGTAATAAGACTAAATTAGCACCATCTACACAAAGAATTGTTAGAGATATAAAGTCTAAGGCCTTTCTCTTAAAGGACTTGTGGTCTAGTGGACAAGATGAGATATATACACACAAAATGCTCAACATATGATGGTACCTCTGTGTCAAATGAACGTAACAGACAGTAACAGCTATAGGAATTCAGATGAGGGTCCAAGATTCCTCTGTATAATATGGCTTTGCAGGGCTAGAATTTCTAAAATGCTTTCTTTATGCTGGACAGTTTAGCTGCAATTAGAGCTGAGATACTATTTGTTAGACAATAGTGTATTGGTTATTGTCTCATAACCCTGGGATGGTTAATTATGTCAATTGTAATTTTTTCATATTTTATTAAAATATCTAACCACATGTATTCCAATTATCATATTAAAAATAACACAATAGGAGCAAAGCTTAAATAATTAAAATATCTAAATATCATATAGTCTTAATTTCTTTTTTAAAATTCACTCCCTTTATGACTAAAAACTTGTATCTTCAGTTTCCAGATCCAAGAAGATGTGCTAATACCAATCGCTTTCTGACAATCACTATACCACTAGCATAAAATTTTAAAGTGACCTCAATATAATATAATCTCAGTGGTTTTAATATGGAACCTACTGAATATGCAGTTCCGTACTCATCCCAAACTCTAGATTTTCCCCTTTTTCCCTCTTTAGTAAAATCTATTATATTATGACTGCATGAGATGAGCCATCTCCATGAGATGGAGAAAGTAGAAAATAAACACGAAAATGAGATTCTTTAGGTCATTTGTAAATGCATCGCTTCATTCAATCTGCCCTCCATTCCATAAGTTGCTTCAATAAAGTGATTGTAATCAGTCTTAGGAAGATTAATACAAACAAAACTAACATTTCCCTTCTCTTCTAGTTAATATCTGCAGTCAGAGGCTTTCACATTTATATGTAAGAGAGGAGAGAGGCCGGGTTTGGTGGCTCACATCTTTTTTCCCAGAACTTTGGGAGGCTGAGGTGGGAGGATTGCTTGAGGCCAGGAGTTCAAGACCAATCTGGGCAACATAGTGAGCACTGTCTCAAAAAAAAAATTTTTTTTAAAAAAGAAGAGACAAAGAAAAATCAGTCATCTTGGAAGGTTCAACAGCAGCCGACTGTCTTCTAAATATCAAACAGCAACTCTTCTTTCCATATTTCAAAAGATTAATATAGCATTTGAAATTATCTTTTCATTCCATTTTTATTGTAATGCTCTAATTTTGTTACTATAGTAACCATTTTTTATTTGAGTGAAGGCTTCATTATCGTCACTTTAATTGTTTTGTTTTCTACTCTAGCTTCAAGTGAGTTTTAAAAATGGAAAATGGACTTATTTACTATTCTCTAAATATTACAGAACAGAAAGACAATTCAGACAATGATTCTGTATGACTATATTGAAAATATCTGTTTATATACAAATCATCACTGCCTATTTTAAAATATCAGCCATTGTACTTAAACCAGACCATTGTTCCCTATAATTAAATGTAAGAGTGCTAGTAACTAATCTGCAACACACCACTGAAAGGTATACAATATGCAGCTACTTCTGCGATACCTAATTGTTAAAGAAAATTTATTTTTGGTGGAGCCAAGGTGCCCGAATAGGAACAGCTCCAGTCTACAGCTCCCAGGGTGAGCGACGCAGAAGACAAATGATTTCTGCATTTCCAACTGAGCAAGCAGCACACCAGGAGATTATGTCCGTGCCTGGCTAGGAGGGTCCTATGCCCACAGAGCCTCGCTCATTGCTAGCACAGCAGTCTGAGATCGAACTGCAAGGTGGCAGTGAGGCTGGGGGCGGGGCGCCCGCCATTGCTGAGGCTTCAGTAGGTAAACAAAGCGGCCTGGAAGCTCGAACTGGGTGGAGCCCACCGCAGTTCAAGGAGGCCTGCCTGCCTCTGTAGACTCCACCTCTGGGGGCAGGGCATAGCCAAACAAAAGGCAGCAGAAACCTCTGCAGACTTAAATGTCCCTGTCTGACAGCTTGGAAGAGAGTAGTGGTTCTCCCAGCATGCAGCTTGAGATCTGAGAACGGACAGACTGCCTCCTCAAGTGGGTCCCAGACCCCCGAGTAGCCTAACTGGGAGGCACCCCCCAGTAGGGGCAGACTGACACCTCACATGGCCAGGTACTCCTCTGAGACAAAACTTCCAGAGGAACGATTAGGCAACAACATTTGCTGTTCACCAATATCCACTGATCTGCAGCCTCCGCTGCTGATACCCAGGCAAACAGGGTCTGGAGTGGACCTCCAGCAAACTCCAACAGACCTGCAGCTGAGGGTCCTGACTGTTAGAAGGAAAACCAGCAAACAGAAAGGACATCCACACCAAAATCCCATCTGTACGTCATCATCATCAAAGACCAAAGGTAGATAAAACCACAAAGATGGGGAAAAAACAGAGCAGAAAAACTGAAAATTCTAAAAATCAGAGTGCCTCTCCTCCTCCAAAGGAACGCAGCTCCTCACCAGCAACGGAACAAAGCTGGACAGAGAATGACTTCAGATGATCAAACTACTACGAGCTAAAGGAGGAAGTTCGAACCCATGGCAAAGAAGTTAAAAACCTTGAAAAAAGCTTAGACGAATGGCTAACTAGAATAACCAATGCAGAGAAGTCCTTAAAGGACCTGATGGAGCTGAAAACCATGGCACGAGAACTACGTGAAGAATGCACAAGTCTCAGTAGCCGATGCGATCTACTGGAAGAAAGGGTATGAGCGATGGAAGACGAAATGAATGAAATGAAGCGAGAGGAGAAGTTCAGAGAAAAAAGAATAAAAAGAAATGAACAAAGCCTCCAAGAAATATGGGACTATGTGAAAAGACCAAATCCACGTCAGATTGGTGTACCTGAAAGTGACGGGGGGAATGGAACCAAGTTGGAAAACACTCTGCAGGATATCATCCAGGAGAACTTCCTCAATCTAGCAAGGCAGGCCAACATTCAAATTCAAGAAATAAAGAGAATGCCACAAAGATACTCCTCGAGAAGAGCAACTCCAAGACACACAATTATCAGATTCACCAAAGTTGAAATGAAGGGAAAAATGTTAAGGGCAGCCAGAGAGAAAGGTCAGGTTACCCACAAAGGGAAGCCCATCAGACTAACAGCTGATCTCTTGGCAGAAACTCTACAAGCCAGAAGAGAGTGGGGGCCAATATTCAACATTCTTAAAGAAAAGAATTTTTAACCCAGAATTTCATGTCCAGCCAAACTAAGATTCATAAGTGAAGGAGAAAACAAATCCTTTACAGACAAGCAAATGCTGAGAGATTTTGTCACCACCAGGCCTGCCCTAAAAGAGCTCCTGAAGGAAGCACTAAACATGGAAAGGAACAACCAGTACCAGCCACTGCAAAAACATGCCAAATTGTAAAGACCATCAAGGCTAGGAAGAAACTGCATCAACTAACGAGCAAAAGAATCAGCCAACATCATAATGACAGAATCAAATTCACACATAACAATACTAACCTTAAATGTAAATGGGCTAAATGCTCCAATTAAAAGACACAGACTGGCAAATTGGATAAAGAGTCAAGACCCATCAGTGTGCTGTATTCAGGACACCCATCTCACGTGCAAAGACACACATAGGCTCAAAATAAAGGGATGGAGGAAGATCTACCAAGCAAATGGAAAACAAAAACAGGCAGGGGTTGCAATCCTACTCTCTGATAAAACAGACTTTAAACCAACAAAGATCAAAAGAGACAAAGAAGGCCATTACATAATGGTAAAGGGATCAATTCAAAAAGAAGAGATAACTATCCTAAATATATATGCACCCAATACAGGAGCACCCAGATTCATAAAGCAAGCCCTTAGAAACCTACAAAGAGACTTAGACTCCCACACAATAATAATGGGAGACTTTAACACCCCACTGTCAACATTAGACAGATCAACAAGACAGAAAGTTAACAAGGATATCCAGGAATTGAACTCAGCTCTGCACCAAGTGGACCTAATAGACATCTACAGAACTCTCCACCCCAAATCAACAGAATATACATTCTTTTCAGCACCACACCACACATATTCCAAAATTGACCACATAGTTGGAAGTAAAGCTCTCCTCAGCAAATTAAAAGAACAGAAATTATAACAAACAGTCTCTCAGACCACAGTGCAATCAAACTAGAACTCAGGATTAAGAAACTCACTCAAAACCACTCAACTACATGGAAACTGAACAACCTGCTCCTGAATGACTACTGGCTACATAACGAAATGAAGGCAGAAATAAAGATGTTCTTTGAAACCAACGAGAACAAAGACACAACATACCAGAATCTCTGGGACACATTCAAAGCAGTGCATAGAGGGACATTTATAGCACTAAATGCCCGCAAGAGAAAGCAGGAAAGTCTAAAATTGACACCCTAACATCACAATTAAAAGAACTAGAGAAGCAAGAGCAAACACATTCAAAAACTAGCAGACGGCAAGAAATAACTAAGATCAGAGCAGAACTGAAGGAAATAGAGACACAAAAAACCCTTCAAAAAATCAGTGAATCCAGGAGCTGGTTTTTTTAAAAGATCAACAAAATTGATAGACTACTAGCAAGACTAATAAAGAAGAAAAGACAGAAGAATCAAATAGACGCAATGAAAAATGACAAAGGGGATATCACCACCGATCCCACAGAAATACAAACTACCATCAGAGAATACTATAAACACCTCTACGCAAATAAACTAGAAAATCTGGAAGAAATGGATAAATTCCTCAACACATACACTCTCCCAAGACTAAACCAGGAAGAAGTTGAATCTCTGAATAGACCAATAACAGGCTCTGAAATTGAGGCAATAATTAATAGCTTACCAACCAAAAAAAGTCCAGGACCGGATGGATTCACAGCCGAATTCTACCAGAGATACAAGGAGGAGCTGGTACCATTCCTTATGAAACTATTCCAATCAATAGAAAAAGAGGGAATCCTCCCTAACTCATTTTATGAGGCCAGCATCATCCTGATACCAAAGCCTGGCAGAGACACAACAAAAAAAAGAGAATTTTAGACCAATATCCTTGATGAACATTGATGCAAAAATCCTCAATAAAATACTGGCAAACCGAATCCAGCAGCACATCAAAAAGCTTATCCACCATGATCAAGTGGGCTTCATCCCTGGGATGCAAGGCTGGTTCAACATATGAAAATCAATAAACATAATCCAGCATATAAACAGAACCAAAGACAAAAACCACATGATTATCTCAATACACGCAGAAAACACCTTTGACAAAATTCAACAGCCCTTCATGCTAAAAACTCTCAATAAATTAGGTATTGATGGGACCTATCTCAAAATCATAAGAGCTATTTATGACATACCCACAGCCAATATCATACTGAATGGGCAAAAACTGGAAGCATTCCCTTTGAAAACTGGCACAAGACAGGGATGCCCTGTCTCACCACTCCTATTCAACATAGTGTTGGAAGTTCTGGCCAGGGCAATGAGTCAGGAGAAGGAAATAAAGGGTATTCAATTAGGAAAAGAGGAAGTCAAATTGTCCCTGTTTGCAGATGACATGATTGTATATCTAGAAAACCCCATCGTCTCAGCCCAAAATCTCCTTAAGCTGATAAGCAACTTCAGCAAAGTCTCAGGATACAAAATCAATGTGCAAAATTCACAAGCATTCTTATACACCAATAACAGACAAACAGAGAGCCAAATCATGAGTGAACTCCCATTCACAATTGCTTCAAAGAGAATAAAATACCTAGGAATCCAACTTAAAAGGGATGTGAAGGACCTCTTCAAGGAGAACTACAAACCACTGCTCAACAAAATAAAAGAGGACACAAACAAATGGAAGAACATTCCATGCTCATGGGTAGGAAGAATCAATATCATGAAAATGGCCATACTGCCCAAAGTAATTTATAGATTCAATGCCATCCCCATCAAGCTACCAAGGACTTTCTTCACAGAATTGGAAAAAATTACTTTAAAGTTCATATGGAACCAAAAAAGAGCCTGCATTGCCAAGACAATCCTAAGCCAAAAGAACAAAGCTGGAGGCATCATGCTACCTGATTTCAAACTATACTACAAGGCTACAGTAACCAAAACAGCATGGTACTGGTACCAAAACAGAGATATAGACCAATGGAACAGAACAGAGCCCTCAGAAATAATGCCACATGTCTACAATTATCTGATCTTTGACAAACCTGACAAAAACAAGAAATGGAGAAAGGATTCCCTATTTAATAAATGGTGCTCGGAAAACTGGCTAGCCATATGTAGAAGGCTGAAAGTGGATCCCTTCCTTACACCTTATACTAAAATTAATTCAAGATGCATTAAAGATTTAAATGTTAGACCTAAAACCATAAAAACCCTAGAAGAAAACCTAGATAATACCATTCAGGACCTAGGCATGGGCAAGGACTTCATGTCTAAAACACAAAAAGCAATAGCAACAAAAGCCAAAATTGAGAAATGGGATCTAATTAAACTAAAGAGCTTCTGCACAGCAAAAGAAACTACCATCAGAGTGAACAGGCAACCTACAGAATGGGAGAAAATTTTTGCAATCTACTCATCTGACAAAGGGCTAATATCCAGAATCTACAATGAACTCAAACAAATTTACAAGAAAAAAAACAAACAACCCCATCAAAAAGTGGGCAAAGGATATGAACAGACACTTCTCAAAAGAAGACATTTATGTAGCCAAAAGACACATGAAAAAATGCTCATCATCACTGGCCATCAGAGAAATGCAAATCAAAACCACAATGAGATACCATCTCACACCATTTAGAATGGCGATCACTAAAAAGTCAGGAAACAACAGGTGCTGGAGAGGATGTGGAGAAATAGGAACACTTTTACACTGTTGGTGGGACTGTAAACTAGTTCAACCATTGTGGAAGTCAGTGTGGCGATTCCTCAGGGATCTAGAACTAGAAATACCATTTGACCCAGCCATCCCATTACTGGGCATATACCCAAAGGATTATAAATCATGCTGCTACAAAGACACATGCACACGTATGTTTATTGCGGCACTATTCACAATAGCAAAGACTTGGAACCAACCCAAATGTCCAACAATGATAGACTGGATTAAGAAAATGTAGGACGTGTACACTGTGGAATACTATGCAGCCATAAAAAAAGGATGAGTTCATGTCCTTTGTAGGGACATGGATGAAGCTGGAAACCATCATTCTCAGCAAACTATTGCATGGACAAAAAACCAAACACCACATGTTCTCACTCATAGGTGGGAATTGAACAATGAGAACACATGGACACAGGAAGGGGAACATCACACACCGGGGCCTGTTGTGGGGTTGGGGGAGGGGGGAGGGATAGCATTAGGAGATATACCTAATGTTAAATGACGAGTTAATGGGTGCAGCACACCAACATGGCACATGTATACATATGTAACAAACCTGCACATTGTGCACATGTACCCTAAAACTTAAAATATAATAATAAAACAAAGAAAGTTTATTTTTGACTTCGTATTATATTGAGAAATGTAAAGATGGTAATCACAATATTTGCATCATTACACAATTTGTATTTTAGGAGCGAGAAACTCATAATAGATTAATCTGATTTTTCATGGTATTAATTGAAATAACCAATTAATTTAAGTTGTTTATGTCTGATTAACTTCTTAATAACAACTCCATTCATGGCTCAGTGCTTAACTAGCCAAAATAACCAATTTTATTTTGGAAAGGATTAATCAGTAACAATGAGCACCAAAGCTTCAAGGGCAGTATTATACTGAAAGTGACATTTCCAATCTTATAGAGCAGGGGTCTCCATCCTGAGCCGCAGACTGGTACTGGTCAGTAGACTGTTAGGAACCTGCCTGCACAGCAGGAGGTGAGCAGAAGGAGATCGAACATTACCACCAGAGCTCTGCCTCCTGTCAGATCAGCTGCCACATTACATTCTCATAGGAGCATGAATCCTACTGTGAACCTGCAAAGGATCTAGATTGTGTGCTCCTTGTGAGAATCTAACTAATGCCTGATGATCTGAGGTGAAAAAGTTTCATCCCGAAACCATCCCTGTCCCCTCACCCCATCAATGGAAAAATTGTCTTCCACGAAACCAGTCCCTGGTGCCAAAAAGTTTGGGGACTGCTGTTATAGAGGAAAAACAAATCCACATTCACTAAAGACGCAATTTGGGAATTAATATATCGCCTAATATACACTTAAAATTATTCAAGATTAACCAAATGGAAGTATAGAAATGCATTTTAAAAACTAAAAAACACTAAACTTAAAATCACAAGGTCATGCCTCTTTTAGCATATTCAAATTGAAGTCATCTGAAATCATTGAATATTAACTCATTGTTTTTGCATGTACATAAGTAGCACATTTTATCTAAGAAACTAGACTTTTAAAAATAAGTAAAGTTATTTCGGTGCCTTCAGAAATGAAAAAGCTAAAATACAAAGCAAAGTCTCTTTACCCATGAACAAGTTGAACAAAGATTTTTATTTATTAGCAAAACAAATTACTAATCTTTCTATAAAATAATTATTTGTATTTGTATAATGTTCTATGGCTTATGACTTACACACCCAACATTTTATTTAATCCTCTCAACAGCCTTGTAAGGTAATCACTATCACCATTTTACAGATTAAAAACAAATTCAAGACTCATTTTGAATACGTGACTTTCTAAGATTATAGTGCTAATGAGTGGCAAAGTCTCAAATTCACTCATCTCACTCACAATCCAGTACTTTTCCACTAAATTCACAATTTAGATTGCTTTCATCATTAAAGAATCATTACTAGTGTCATCTGAGAAAAAAGACCAATCCTTATGAGTCTAGGCCATATGGGCAGATGAACAATGAAGAAGGAGAAGATATATGAACTTTCAGTTCAGGCTTATCAACAAGTAAATTCTATAACTACAGACAGAAGCATTACCCCATGATGAATGCATAGCAATGTCTAGAAAATACTCTCCAAATCTAGATGAATAATCTTTCAACTGTTTAATAAGGAAATTTCACCTAACAAGATTTTTTCCCTCCATACAAATGGGGTAAAATCCAAACCAATTCAATGCTAAATAAATAGTAAAATTATTTTTCTCATCCTTCAATGTAGAAGTTGCTTTTCTTAGGCAAATTCACAGGGACAGTCTACATATTTTAAGAATTCTCATTTAGTGTTACATCGTCTCTCGCCTTTTCCTTATGGCTGAAACTTTGAGCAAGACCAATAAATCATGACCAAGCTAAAACTGAGCAAGATCCTTAGAAGCAGAATAATCAAGACTTATACGCATTTGAGAGACCTGTAAAGTATGAACGAATGTTCTCTGCCCCTTCAATTCTATTCAGTCTGCCTAAAATTATTTAAGACTTGCATTTGACGTAATTCTTAAGTCTTTAGTGGCTAAGATGTCATAACATTTTTGAGGAAATATGTAAATATTATGTAAATATTGATCTACAACTAAACATGTTTGCAAGAATTATCTCAATGTAGTTAATATTTTGGTTAAATCAGTGTTCTTTTTTATGCAAACTATAACTTTCACCATTGGCATTGATCTGTATCTCAATATATTCATTTAATATGGACATTTTATATTTGTAAATTCAAAGTTAAGTATATAATACATATTTGAAGATAGCAGGCCAAAGAGACTATTTTTTTTCTAATTGACATTGAAACAAATGATTAGCATGCTGCAGTACTCGTCTAACTCTTTTATATTCATTAATTATTAAGGATTAATTCTGGTGAAAATCCAGAGAATGCTTATGATGATGAATTCTTAAGATATACGACTGTTGGAGGAGATAAGAAATTTTCATTAATTTATCATGTATTGAAATACACTATAAAGATCTTGACTGCTATAAATGTCTCCTACTTTTTTCATATAATTACTAAATATTGGTGGAGAATGTACATTAACATTTGCCCATTAAAATCCAATTACAATTTTCTAAACTATTACGATTTATTAACCTTGTGCAAGGTTATATACAAATTATTCAAATGCTTTTTATTTGTGGAAGTACTTTATATACATTACCTTTTTCACATGCATTGCCTCATCTGATCCTGCCAAAAATCTTGTGAGAGAGAGCAGTTAGTAAGCCCATTGTAAAGGAAGAGAAGGCAGGCCCATGTGTAGAAACCAAGCTGATTAAGTGCCAACTATATACTAGGTACAGCCTTAGACTCTTAAAAAAGATAATCAGGGAGCATATAATCTAGCAAGGAAAACAATTAAACAGGTATAAGTATGAACTCTGGTGAGTACTATGATAGGACAATCAAGGATGCTATGAGAAGTCATAAAAGGGCAACCTGACTTAGTCTTGGAGGAGGTAGAGAAGCCTCCTTGAAAGAAGAGATATTTAGGATGAGCAAAATCAGGAAGTTCCTTCAAGACATGCTCAATTTTTTATGCTTTATTGTGAAGGCTATAGGAGTAATGGGAGAAAAACAAGGAAAAATGCTAGAAACACAGGTCCAGGCTAACCTAAGAAAAAAAAAATTGGCATCAGCATTCATTAGTCACTTAATATGGGCCAGGAATTGCAATGAATATATTTCTGCAATCTATATCTTACTTAATCCTCACATCAACCCTAGGAGGTATTGACACTGGTATCAAAGTTATTGTTGCTATTATTATTACGAGCAGTAGTAGTAGCAGTAGCAGCAGCAGCAGCAGTAGTAGTACTAATATTTGACCTAAATGTACAACTAGTTGATGATTACTTAAATACATTATAACAGGTCATTAAACAGCAAACACGGTAATACCCGATTTTATAGAAAACAGTAGAAAAACTATGTCAGACAGGATCTGAAAGTCTTACATCCAGGTGTTAACAGCTAACAGTCATTGTTTCTAGGTAGGGGAGATTATGAACACTCTCTAAGGTCATCTTTTGCTTATTTATATGTGTGTGTATTGTTTTTTAATAAGAAAATATAAAAATAGTAAAATAAAATATTTCTTGGACACTTAGCTGGATCCAACTTTCCCTTTCACAAAAAGCACAAAAAAGGAATAGTTGAATGAAAACAAATTAGAAATAAAAATTCAATACCTAGAAAATATTCTGAAAAAATGGAATATAATGCTTCAAGACGCAAAAAGAGTTTTAAAAGAACTCAAACTCAATGTTGCACCCAAATTGCCAATTCTTTAAAAGCTAATGATTTTAGTTGTTATGGACTGAATTGTGTGGCCCACCCCAACCCCCCCACCCCCGATCACTTCCCAAAAATTCATAGGTTGAGGCTCTAACCCCCATGTGACTGTATTTGGAGATAGGGCCTTTAAGGAGGTAATTAAGCTAATTGAGGTCATAAAGGGGGGGCCCTAATCCAATAGGACTGGTGTCCTTATAAGAAAAGTCCTTGCACACAGAGAAAAGGCCATATTAGGACATATAAAGAAGACAGCCATCTGCAAGCAAGGCAAGAGACCTTAGGAGAAACAAAACCTGCTGGCACCTTGATCTTGGACGTCCAGCCTCCAGAACTGTAAGAAAATACATTTCTGTTGTTTAAGCCACTCAGTCTATGGTACTTGGGTATGGCTGCCTGAGAAGACTAATATATTTAGATAGTTTATGTTTGACCAAATCATCAAATTGACCCATTTGTTTTCAGGAAAAGAAAACCTGCTTTAGCTTTATGGAATGTTTTGCTTATTTGTTTTCTTTGGGTTTTATATTTTCTAGTGAGAGGAGGGAAGATACTCTGCCTTAAATGGTAGCAGAGTGTGGTTGTGGTCCCACTGGAGCAGATGTGGAAACAAAGGGAAATGTGATGATTACTTTTATATGTCAACTTAACTGGGTCACAAGGTGCCCATAAATTTGATTAAACATTATTCTAGGTGTGTCTATGTGGGTGTTTCTGGATAAGATTAACATTAACATCTCTTCCTGACTGTCTTTCAGCTGAGACATCAATCTTCTGCATTTGAACTCAGACTCAGACTGAGACTTACAACATTGGCTCTCCTGGTTCTCAGGCCTTCAGACTCAGACTGAAACTTGCACTTATCTCCTCTAAGATGAATGAGTTCTTGCATCTGGCCCTTCTTACAACAACAACAAAAAAAAAGAGACACAATACCTAGTAGGCCTTTTTCAGTTTTGGAGGCAACATAGTCTTCATTTGGAGGCATTACTCCGTCCCACTTACCAGCTAATCCAAAAAGCTTCTAGTTTTTTTTCTTTTTCTTTCTTTGTTTTGAGGCAAGGTCTCACTCTGTTGCCCATGCTGGAGTACAATAGCGCAATCATGGCTCATTGCAGCCTCAACCTTCCAGGCTCAAGTGATCCTCCTACCTCAGTCTCCTGAGTAGCTAGAACCACAGGTGGGTGCCACCAAGCCTGGATTTTTTTTTTTTTTTTTTTGCCTGTAGATATGGGGTCTCCCTATGTTGCCCAGGCTGGTCTCAAACTCCTGGACTCAAGAGACCTCCCACCTCAGCCTCCCAAAGTCCTGGGATTACAGATGTGAGCCACTGTGCCCACCCAGCTGCTAGTTTTGAGTGTGACCCAAAATAAGAGAAGGCTCTGCAAGAGATCCAGTCTGACATGCATCTACTCTGTCACTTGGTCCATAGGATTCAGCAGATCCAGTGCTGCTTACGGTGTCAGTTTTCAATTAGGGTGCTGTTTGGAGCCTTTGACAGGCCTAGGTGAGTCACAGCCCAGGTCCATAGGATTTTGGAGCAAAGCCCTGCCATTATCTACAGATAACTACTCTCTTTTTAAGAAATAGTTCTTGGCCTGTTACTGAACCTTAGTAGAAACTGAATGTTTAACCATGGATCACCAAGTTACCAGGTAACCTGAGCTGCCCATCATGAACTGGGTGTTATCTGACCCACCAAGCCATAAGGTTGGGCATGCATAGCAGCACTCCATCATTGAATGGAAGCAATATATACATGACTTGTCCCAAGCAGGCCCTGAAGGCACAAGTAAGCTACATGAAATGCCTGTGGTCCCCACAGCTGCTACGCTGCCTTCTTTCTCCCAGTCTCACCTGTGGCCTTATGGGGAGTTCCCTACAATCAATTGACAGAGAAACAGAAGATTTGGGCCTGGTTCCGCACAATATACTTGAAAGTAGACAGCAATAGCACTTCAGCCCCTTTCTGAGACATTCCTGGAGGACATTGGTGAATAGAAATCTTCCCAGTGACCAGAATTTTGAGCAGTGCACATGGTTGCTCACTCTGCTAGGAAGGAGAAATGACCAGATGTGCAATAATATGCCAATATATGGGCTATTGGCAATGGTTTGCCTGGATGGTAAGGGATTGGAAGGAACATGATTGGAAAATTGTTGGCAAGGGAATGTGGGGAAGAAGTACATGGATAGACCTATCTGAATGGGCAAAAATTGTGAAGATGTTTGTGTCCTATGTGAATGCTCACCAAAGGTTGACCTCAGCAGAGGAAGATTTTAATCAAGTGCATAGGATGATCTATTCCATAGAGATCAGTGAGCCTCTTTCCTCAGTCACCCCATCATTGCCCAATGGGCTCATGAACAAAGTGGCCAGGGTGGCAAGAAAGAAGGCTATGAATGGGCTCAGCAACATGGACTTCCACTCAACAAGGTCAACCTAGCTATGACCACTGCTATGTGCCCGATATTCCAGTAGCAGAGACCAACACTGAGCTCCCAATATGGCACCATTCCCGAGGCTAATCAGCCAGCTACCTGATGGCAGGTTGATTACATTGGCGTGCTTTCATCATGAAAAGGTCAGTGATTGCTCTTACTGGAACAGACACTCTGGGTACAAATTTGCCTTCTCTGCATGCAATGCTTCTGCCAAAACTACCATCCATGGATTTATAGAATCCCGTATTCACACAGTATTGCTTCTGCTAATCAAGGAATTCACTTCACAGCAATGGAGCTATGCTCATGAAATTCACTGGTCTTACCATGTTCCCCACCATCCTGAAGCAGCTTGTTGGATAAAACAGTGGAATAGTCTTTTAAAGGTTGCTATAGCAGGGCCAGAGCAGCATTCCTCCAGACGGCTGTATATGTTCTGAACCAGCATTCAATATATGATGCTGTTTCTCCTTATAGCTAGGATTCATGAGTCCAGGAATCAAGTGATGGAAATAGGAATGTCACCACCCACTATTATCCCTAGTGACCTACTAGCAAAATTTTTACTTCCTGTTCCCATGACCTTATGTTTTGCTGGCTTAGAGGTCTTAGTTCCAAAGAGAGAAATGCTTCCACCAGGAGACAAAATAATAATTCCATTGAACTGCAAGTTAACACTGCCACCCAGCCACTTTGTATTCCTCAAGCCTCTCACTCAACAGGCAAGGAAAGGAGTGACTATGCTGGCTGGGATGATTGATCCTGATTACCAAGGTGAAATTGGAGTACTACACCACAGTGGAGGTAAGGAAGAGCATGTGTGGAATACAGGAGATCCCTTAAGGCAGGGATGTCCAATCTTTTGGCTTTTTAGGGCCACACTGGAAGAAGAATTGTCTTGGGCCACACATAAAATATGCTAACACTAATGATAGCTGATGCGCTAAAAAAAAAATCGCCAAAAAATCTCATAATGTTTTACAAAACTTTATGAATTTGTGTGGGGCCACATTCAAAGCCATCCTGAGATGCATGCGGCCCATGGGCCACGGGTTGGACAAGTTTGCCGCAGGGCATCTCTTTAGTATTACTGTGCCCCATTATTAAGGTAAATGAGAAGCTGCAACAACACAATGCAGGCAGGACAAAAAGTGGCCCAGACCCTTCAGGAATGAAGGTTTGGGTCACTCCACCAGGCAAACAACCATAACCAGCTGAGGTGGTTGCTGAAGGCAAAGGGAATACAGAATGGGTAGTGGAAGAAAGTAGTTATAAATACCAGCTACAGCCACATGACCAGTTACAGAAACAAAGACTGTAATTGTCATGAGTATTTCTCTTTATTTTATGAATATATTTGTGTGTGTATGCAAAATATCTTTTTCTTCCCTCTCTTATTCCCCTATCATGTCACATATTAACTATATATCATAGCATTTAAGTACTATATTGTTCATTTGTTGGGGCACAATGGTTCATGTCTGTAATCCCAGCACTTTGGGAGGCTGGGGCAAGAGGATTACTTGAGCCGCAAAGTTCAAGACCAGCCTAGGCCACAAAGGGAGACCCTGCTTCTACAAAAAATTTAAAAATTAACCAGGCATGGTGGCATGCACTTGTGGTCCCAGCTACTCAGGAGGCTGAGGTGGGAGGATCACTTGAGCCCAGGAGGTGGAGGCTGCAGTGAGCCATGATTGTGCCACTGCACTCCAGCCTGGGCCACAGAGCGAGACCTTGTCTCAAGAAACATTATAACGTATTGTTAATTTTATATAATAGCATTTAAGTTATGACATCTCAAGGAGAGTAAACATCACTCAAGTACTTTACCTCTTCTTCTAGAGAAGGGGTTAGTGCATTTTTCCTTGTGTGTAGGAGAGTTGTATCATATTGGGTGGAACTGTGGTCTTGTCATTTTATATGGAGATTAAGTGTGGTTAAAGAGATGCATGTTGGGTGCCAAGCTGACAAAGGGTTAGCTCGTGATGGTCAAGTTCCTGTGTCAAATTTATTGGGCCATGGGATGCCTATGTATTTGGTTAAACACTATTCTGGGTATGTCTGTGAGGGTTAAATATTAATCTGGATGAGATTAATATTTAAATTGGTAGACTGAAAAAAAGGAGATTACCCTCCCCAGTGTGGATGGGCATCATCCAATCTGTGGGAGACCTGAATAGAACAAAAGGTGGAATAAGGGAGGATTTACTCTTTCTGCCTGACTCTCTTACAGCTGGGACATCTATCTTCTCCTGCCTTCACACTCAGACTCAGATTGGATCTTACACTATTGGCCTTCCTGGTTCTCAGGTCAAAATACAACTATACCATCAGCAATCCTGAATCTCCAGCTTGCTGACTGTAAATCTTAGGACTTCTCAGCTTTCACAACCAGGTAAACCAATTTCTTTTTTAAAAAATAATTGTAACTGTTATTTTAGATTCAGGGCATACATGTTCAGATTTGTTACATGGGTATATTGCATGATGCTGGGGTTTGGGATAGGAATGATTCTGTCACCCAGGTAGTGAACATAGTACCCAATACGTAGTTTTTCAGCCCTTGCCTCATTCCCTCTCTCCCCACTCTAGTGGTCCTCAGTGTCTGTTGTTGCCATCTTCATGTCCATGTGTACCCAATGCTTAGCTACAACTTACAAGTGAGGATATACAGTATTTGGTTTTCTGTTTCTGCATGACTTCACTTAGGATAATGGCCTCCAGCTACATCCATGTTGCTGCAAAGGATATAATTTCATTCATTTTTATGGCTGCATAGTATTCCATGTTATATATGTACCATATTTTCTTTGTCCAATCCACCCTGGATGGGTACCTGGATTGATTCCACGTCTTTATTATTGTGAATAGTGCTGCACTCAACGTGAGTGAATGTGTCTTCTCGGTAGAATGATTTATTTTCCTTTGAGTATATACTCAGTAATGGGATTGCTAGGTTGAATGGTAGTTCCACTCTCAGTTCTTTTTTCTTCTCCCCAGCTGATTTTTTTTTGTAGAGACAGGGTCTTGCTATGTTGCCCAGGCTAGTCTTGAACTCCTGGACTCAAGCAGTCCTCTCACCTTGGCCTCCCAAAGTGCTGGGCTTTTAGGCATGAGCCACTGCCCCCGGCCTCAACTCAGTTCTTTGAAAAATCTCCAAACTGCTTTCCACAATGGCTGAACTAATTTACATCCCCACCAACAGTCTATAAGCATTCCCTTTTCTCCACAGCCTCACCAGCATTTGTTATTTTTTGACGTTTTAATAATAGCCATTCTGACTGATGTGAGATAGTTTCACATTGTGCTTTTTATATGCATTTCTCTGATGATTAGCGTTGTGGAGCATTTTTTCATATGTTTGTTGGCCGCTTGTATGTCTTCTATTGAGAGGTGTCTGTTCAGTCCTTTGCCCATTTTTCAATGGGGTTATTAGTTTTCCGCTTGTTGAATTAAGTTCCTTACAGATCCTGGGTATGAGACCTTTGTTCGATGCATAGTTGGCAAATATTTTCTCCCATTCTGTGGGTTGTCTGTTTACACTGTTGATAGTTTCTTTTGCTGTACAGAAGCTCTTTAGTTTAATTAGATCCCACTTGTCAATTTTTTGTTTTGTTGCAATTGCTTTTGAAGACTTAGTGATAAATTCTTTCTCAAGGCCAATATCCAGAATGGTGTTCCTATGTTTTCTTCTAGGATTTTTATAGGTTGAGGTCTTACATTTAAATTTTTAATATACCTTGAGTTAATCTTTGTATGTGGTGAAAGATAGGAGTACAGTTTCATTCTCTGCATAAGGCTAGCCAGCTATCACAGCACTATTTATTGAATAGAGTGTCCTTTCTCCATTGCATATTTTTGTCAACTTTGTTAAAGATCAGATGGCTGTACGTGTGTGGCTTTATTTCTGGGCTCTCTATTCTGTTCCACTGGTCTGTGTCTATTTTTATACCAGTACCGTGTTGTTTTGGTTACTGTAGCCTTGTATTTTGAAGTTGGGTAGTGTGATGGCTCCAGCTTTGTTCTTTTTGCTTAGGACTGCTTTGGCTATTTGTGCTCTTTTTTGGTTCCATATGAATTTTAGAACAGTTTTTTCTAATTCTGTAAAAATGATATTGGTAGTTTGATAGGAATACCATTGAATCTGTATATGAGCCAATTTCTTATGATAAATAAGTAAGTATATATGTATATATTATACATCTATTAGATATATACATATTCATAGTATCTAATATTTGTGTACATATAGCTCCTATTGGTTCTTTTTCTTTGTAGAACCCAGACTAATACAAGAACCAAATCTACGTCCAAGGCAAGGCAACGTAGTAAAGCAAGAAATCATCAGAACCTGGCTTGGGACTGAAGTGGAAGAAGAAGGGCTGTTCATTGGCAAGAATCAAATCTGAGTCTTATATGGGAGGCACAAGCTGATGAGAGTAGGTTGGGAAGGTGAGATTTGGTGAGATAGC
Source organism: Homo sapiens (assembly GCF_000001405.40). NCBI lineage: Eukaryota > Metazoa > Chordata > Mammalia > Primates > Hominidae > Homo > Homo sapiens. Next base: position 96,503,210 of record NC_000023.11, read on the forward strand.
CTGAAGCAACTGCACTCATCAAAGAGCTTTTATGAAGAATTGGCTTCTGTGCCTGTGGGATAGTAGAGACCTTTAAAAGGCAGTCTGGACAAAAACATGAGAATTGTTTCTATAAGGAAGGAAGGAAGAAAGGAAGGGAGGGAGGGAGTGGGGAAGGGAGGAAGGAAAGGGAAGGAGGGTTACTGCGATATCAACAGCACATCTGAATTATCTGTCATTAGATAGCTAGCTGTCTAATGATAGATAATTAGATAGCTATCATTACTAGCTATCTAATAAGATGTGGAGAAAAACTAAAATTGTTGCTTATTACTTCACATTCTGCCAATAAGCTGCCACAGATAATATTTTGAATAATTTTACTTAATTGCACATTCATTTAATCAATATGCCCCTAAATTTCAGCTCCATCTCCAATTATACTATATGATTATATCATTGTTCCTAATATATATATATATATATATATATATATATATATATATATATTTTTTTTTTTTTTTTTTTTTTTTTTTTTTTTTGAGACGGTGTCTTACTCTGTCGCCCAGGCTGGAGTGCAGTGGCGCGATCTCGGCTCTCTGCAAGCTCCTCCTCCCGGGTTCTAGCGATTCTCCTGCCTCAGTCTCCCAAGTAGCTGGGATTACAGGCGCGCGCCACTATCTCTGGCTAATTTTTTTTTTTTTTTTTTTTTTTTGAGATTGAGTCTCGCTCTGTCGCCCAGGCTGGAGTGCAGTGGCGCGATCTCGGCTCTCTGCAAGCTCCTCCTCCCGGGTTCACATCATTCTCCTGCCTCAGCCTCCCGAGTAGCTGGGACTACAAGCGCCCGCCACTGCGCCCGGCTAATTTTTTTTCTATTTTTAGTAGAGACAGGGTTTCACCTTGGTCTCGATCTCCTGACCTCGTGATCCGCCCGCCTCGGCCTCCCAAAGTGCTGGGATTACAGACGTGAGCCACCGCACCCAGCCAATTTTTGTATTTTTAGTAGGGGGGGGGTTTCACCATGTTGGCCAGCTGGTCTTGAACTCCTGACCTCAGGTGATCCGCCCGCCTCGGCATCTCAAAGTGCTGGGATTACAGGCATGAGCCACCGCGCCCGGCTAATATTCTTTATTTCATTGTTTTGTTCACTTGTGGTATGGGCTTAACTATAGATATTAAGAGCCAGGCTCTGGAATCAAACTACCTAGATTCAAGTCCAGGTGCTGCCTCTTTCTAGCTGTGTGACCTAGGGCAAGTTACTGAAACTCTGTGACTCAGTTTTTAAGGAAGAGTTGTTGTGAGGATTAAACGTGTTAATACCACGTTTAGATTCATGCCAGGCACTGTATGATTGTTAAATGTGACATTAAAGTGTAAAAGAGAGACTATCTAAGGAAGACTGTCCTTACTGAATTCCATTCTATGTTACTGCAGTGCACCATTGTTTTCAGTAATATAGCATAATACAGTAGAGATTAATTTCTGTTTTCTTTTTATAATAATAACCTTGCATCCTAATTATGAAATATACAAAGTATATAAATATATAGTAATATAACTAAATATCTACATATAAAATTATAAAATATTTTGAAATGTAAAGTATAAATAAAAATAAAAGTAATAACCACATATATTCAAAATAACCAGTATAATTATTTAAATGTTCTATTAATTCTTAAATCTGTTGTACAGTTTTTAAATCATAAAACAGACATAGGCGCCGGGCGCCGTGGCTCACGACTGTAATCCCAGCACTTTGGGAGGCTGAGATGGGTGGATCACCTGAGGTCAGGAGTTTGAGACCAGCGTGGTTAACATGGCAAAACCCTGTCTCTACTAAAAATACAAAAATTAGCCAGGCATGGTAGTGCGCACCTATAATCCCAGCTCCTCAGGAGGCTGAGGCAGGAGAATTGCTTGAACCCGAGAGGCAGACGTTGTAGTGAGTTGAGATCATGCCACTGCACTCCAGCCTGGACGACAGAGCAAGACTCCGTCTCGGAAAAGAAAAAAAAATAGACATATTCATTTTTTACTTTACAGTCTAATAGGAATTTTTTCCTGTTAGAAAATATTATTTGTAAATGTAATTTTAATTGTTGTATAATATTCCATCAAATAAATATATCACAATTTATTTAGCCATTCATATTTTTAGACCTTGGGGTTGCATCATCTTCCTCTTCTTCTTCCTTCTCCTCCTCCTCTTCCTTCTCCCATTCATTTTTCTTCTTTGCTGTTTTAATTAACACTTAAATATACATCCTGGTACCAGAGTATAGATGAATATATGAACAAATGAAATAATAGATCTGTATTGAACATCTTTAACGCTAATATTCATTATCATCACTAATTATTATATTACCTTAAGGAGAATTCCTAGGAGTAATAGTACTTAATCAAAAGACTTACTTTTATACTGCCATTTCCATTTCCCGTCAGATAGGTTGGACCAATTTAATATTCACTAACAGCATATAAGGGCTCCCATTTTCCTGCTATGTTGGTAACATTGTATATTTCACTTCTTCATCTTTGCAAATTCCATGGGCAGAAATCATTTGCCATCATTTTTTTTTTTTTTTTGAGACAGAGTCTTGCTCTGTTGCCCAGGCTGGGGGGCAGTGGTGCGATCTCGGCTCAATGCAACCTCCGCCTCCCAGGTTCAAGGGATTCTCCTGCCTCACCCTCCCAAGAGCTGGGATTACAGGTGCACTCCACCAAGCCCAGCTAAGTTTTGTATTTTTAGTAGAGACAGGATTTCACCATGTTGTCCAGGTTGGTCTCGAACTCCTGACCTCAACTGATCCACCCGCCTCAGCCTCCCAAAGAGCTGGGATTACAGACGTGACCCAACGGGCCCTGCCCATATGCCATCATTCTTTTAATTTGATATTTTTATGATCAGTAAAATTCAAATGTGTTGACCATTTGTATATATTTTATGGACTGTCTTTAAAATCTTTAGATAACTTTTATTTATCATGTTTTATACATATATACATTTAATTTTATATAAGGCATAATCATAACTATATCATACACAGCTGGAGTTTTGATGGAGTTCTTCTCTTTTTTTATTCTTTTTCTCTTTTTGCTTGACATTCTCCTATATCACCTTCACCCCTATAACCTGTGTTAATGACTTAGTATATATCCTTCCAGAGTTTTCTTCATGCTCATAATTAAACCCAATGAGGGAGGGGCATAAAGAGAAAAACAAAATGTGGAGGGGTGTTGTGAGAGAGAGAGAGAGAGAGAGAGAGAGAGAGAGAGAATGTGTGCGTTTCAGAGAGAGAGAAAGAGACTATGAGAATATGAATGAATCATTAAGAGAGAACATGGACACTCTGGAGCCAAAATGCCTAGGTTCAAATTGCATTCCTGCCATTTACCGGCTGTGTGAACCTGGACAAGTGACTTTACTTCCCTATACCTCAGTTTCCTCATTTGTAAACTGAGCATCATAGTAATACCTACCTAATTGAGTTAATGCATGTACATTTCTTAGAAGAGTTCTGGCGCACCATATGTGTTTTATAAATGTTAACTATTGTTATATATACGAGTTTGGAGGTCATCATTTGCTTTGCAAAAATGCTATTATACACATCTTTTTGGAAGGGAGATCTTGTTTTTCCAATAGGAGAGACATAATACAGTTGACCCTTGAAAAATGCAGAGATCAGAGCGCTCCCCACCCTTGCACAGTCAAAAATCTCTGTATAACTTTTAACTCCCCCAAAACTTACCTGCTAATAGGTACTACTGTTGACAGGAAGCCTTACAGAAAACAAGAAAGGTTGAATAAGACATATTTTGCATGTTAAATGTATTATATACTGTATGCTTACAATAAAGGAAGCTAGAGAAAAGAAAAAGTTTTGAAGAAAATCATAAGGAAGAGAAATATATTTACTATTCATTAAGTGGAAGTGAATCATCATAAAATTCTTCATCCTCATTGTCTTCGTGTTGAGTAGGCTGAGGAGGAGGGAGAAAGGAAGGGTTAATTTACTTAAGATGTGTTATTTTATGCACCACTAAGAAGAAAGAAAATGTGCTACCAGTTAAAAATGACACAACGCTTTCTAATCATTTAGAATCTTTATTTTATTCTTATTGAAAAGTTCTTTTAGACATACTTATCCAAATAATTTTACTGTATATTATTCCTGTGCATATAAATAAACTAAATTGGTTATGGTATTTCTAAAAAAACCTTTCTAACATTGAATCCAACTTTTATGTATGCTTTCAACTCAAAATCATCATCATCCATGTTTTTGCACATAATGTTATTTTATGTGTCATCAAAAACATTGGTGGTGCAACAGTTCTTAAAAGAGTGCTCCATTATCATCACCAGGATTTTATTTGAAGCCACTGACACCCATTCTGCAGTTTTTGATGCTGGGTTCTTCTTGATTATATCAGAAACTGTCAATACAAGGTTTTAAATAAACAGTCAGGATTCATATTCTTTTCTTCCGTAATTTTGTTGAGTGAAACATGTAGAGATTATAATTGGCCAGCCATGCTTCCGGTAGCAACAACCATGTTCATGCATGTGCAGCAGGGGAAATCATGGTATGACTGTTACTCAGCCTTCAGTGATTGTAGAATGCCATCAATTCTAAGGGACATCCCAATTTTAGAAATAAAATCTATGAAAATGTTTTTTAATTAAAAGAATATGATAATTCATTATTTCAATTTAGAAGAATCTGCCTGTCGGTGAGCTTTAGACATTTACTTTTTTGTGTGTGGGAGGTGGGGCTCAGTCATACGTGTCATCTCATTTAATTTTCATAACTCCAAAAAAGAAAACCATTTTACAAGATGTGGAAACTGAGGCTCAAAGTAAAGCAATATGCATGGGAGTCGTGTGGCCAGTAAGTGGCAGAGTTGGGGTTGCAATCCTGGTGGGGTTTTTTGGTTTGGTTGGTTGGGTTATTTATTTATTATACTTTAAGTTCTAGGGTACATGTGCATAACGTGCAGGTTTGTTACATAGGTATACATGTGCCATGTTGGTTTGCTGCACCCATTAACTCGTCATTTACATTAGGTATTTCTCCTAATGCTATCCCTTCCCCTGCCCCCAAACCCATGACAGGCCCTCTGTGATTTGCTTCTTTATATCCTTTTTCATTTTTCTACTAGGGTGTTTTTTTCTTGTCAATTTGTAATAATTTTTGTACATATTTAACTATTTGTCACCTTAGTATCAGAATTCTCCCAGACCTATAATCTACTGATTAATGGTATCTTTTGCCATAACAAATATCTCCATTTTATATAGTCAAAACTGTTACATTTTTTAATAACTTCTGGTTCTCCTGTTTTGCCAATGTCTCCCCTATTCTGAAGCTATAAATGTAATCTCCTTATTTTTCTTCCAGGATTTTAGTTTTTATTTGTTTATGCTTAGTACTTAATCCATCTGTTTTTGTGTGTGTGTGTTTTTATATGATGTGCAATCGGAGTTTAACTTTATTTTCTTCCATATGGACAGCCAGTTGTCCCAGAACCATATATTAAATATTCCATCCTTTCCTCACTGAATTTGAAATGCCATCTTTGTTATATATTAGCACCTCATATTGCCAATGCTGGGGTCTATTACTTGGTATATTTTATCCTTTAAGTTATCTAGAATTTATTCCTGTACAACTGGTTGTCCAGTTGTTCAGAATCGTTTATTGAATAATCATGCTGTCTCCACTGATTTGAAATACCTTATGTATTGGTTCCATTCATCATTCTGTTTTGGCACCAGCATCTCCCAATTTCAATTCTTGTAGCTCTATAACATGTTTTTGTATCTGGTAGGCAAGTCATCTCTCTCCATCCTTTTACACTTCTTTATTAGAATTTAATTGGATATCTTCTCATGTTTATTCTTTCAGATGAACTATAGGATGCTCTGGCCATTTTATGTCTCTCTCTCCATATACGCAAATACTAAATACATATATACATGCATGCATGCATACACACATACTGTGATATGAGTTTGCTTGAAAGTTTGTTGCATGTGTAGATATACTTCCTGTGTTTCTCCATTAATTAGTCTTCTTTTATGTCATTAGTAGAGTTTTGTAGTTATCTTAATTTGGTCTTGCACATGTTTTTTTAAATTTTACTATTTGGCATTTTTGTGTCAGTATCGTGAAGATGTTTTTCATTTCATTAACAAATGGATTATTGCTGGAATATTGTAAGTATATTGATTTTAGTATATTAATATTATAGTTTTGTACTTCATTCTTCAGAGGTTTGCAGATCGAGAATTACATCACCTACAAATAATGAAAATTTCCTACTTTTCATTTATACTTGATTTATACATTTATATTTTATGCATGCTTTGACAAATATGTCCATAATGACATTGAATAACAGAGATAATAGTAGACAGTCCTATTTGTTCTGAATTTTAATAGGAATGCTTCTGGTATTTCTTCATTAAGTATAATGCTAATGTTGACTGAGATAATTTTTTATAATGTGAAGAAACTATCTTTCTACTTCTATTTTACCAGGGGTTTTCTTTAGGAATATCTATTGGCATTTTCCCTCCAGAAAAAATATTTAAGCCTCTGTTGAAATATTGTTCTTCTTTGGCCTGCTATTATGAATTATTATTGGTTTTCTAATATTGAGCCATCCATGCATTAATGGTACGCCATTTACTTAAACATCAACTATTATTCATAACATTTACAACTATAAATTATAACATTTGCTTAATCATCAACTATTATTCTTTGAATATATTACTGGATTCAGGTTGCTACTTCATTACTTAGAATTTTTGCACCAATATTTACAATTCATGTCAAATAGTTGCTTTATTAATAAATACACTTAAAACGAGTAAGTTTCCTCTGAATTCAGTTTCGCCTCATAAGTTTGATAGTATTGTTTTCCCTGGCGTTATTTTCTAAATAGTGATTTAAGCTAAGCTTGATTTCTACTAGCTCCAATATCCATTTTAGAAGAGTGTTTTTTTTATTTTTAATGGTTCAATTTTTTCTATTTATAACTCTGCTATTAATATGCGGTTTTATGAAACCTTGACAAAGAACGCAGTTTACACAATTTCTTATTTGGAGAAAGTAGTAAGATTCTTTTTGTGGATTAAAATATGAAATATGATCAATTTTGGTGTTTCATAGACATTTGAAAAAAAAGTGTATTTTCTATAGCACCAATGTGTGTGTGAAATTGATAGTATTATTAGTCTCTTCCTTACTTTCTTCTTTTTCTACTCAATTTGTCAAAGATTAGAAAAGTTGTGTCAAAATTTCCCCTGATGGTTGTGATTTTGCTAACTTTTCCTTATGTTCTGATAACTTTTGCATTATATATTTCGATGTTATCTGATACTTAACCATTGTTTTGTCAATAAAAATCAGTCTTTTCAATGTAGTTTTGAGCTTTTTACTTTTTATTCTACTTTGCCTGGTGTTGAAGTTGTAAACCTTTCTTTCCTCTCACTTTCATTTGCCTGATAAAGCTTTGTTCTTTATTTGCAATTTTTCTCTAACCTAGTTGTAGAATATCGGTCTTGTATTAGGAGAGCTTAATCCTTTCATATTTATCATCATGAGTGATATATTTGGTCATAGTTTTGACACGCTATTTGACACTTGCCATATTTAATATGTAGATTTAATAAATAGTTACTTTTTTTTTTTGAGACAGAGCCTCGCTCTGTCATCCAGGCTGGAGTGCAGTGGCGCTATCCCAGCTCACTGCAACCTCTGCTTCTCGGGTTCAAGGGATTCTCCTGCCTCAGCCACCCAAGTAGCTGGGACTACAGGGGTGCGCCACCACTCCCAGCTAATTTTTGTATTTTTAGTAGAGACAGGGTTTCACCATGTTGGCCAGGCTGGTCTCGAACTCCTGACCTCAAATGATCCACGCATCTCAGCCTCCCAAATTGCTGGGATTACAGGCGTGAGCCGTTCCACCCAGCTGATCATTGCTTTTAAATTTCGTTTGCTCATTGTTCTAGTTTTCCTTGTGCTTTGCTCACTTTCTGTCTTTCTCTTTGTAATCTGGTGATATTGCGTCCGGAATTGGTGGGTTCTTGGTCTGACTTCAAGAATGAAGCCGCGGACCCTCAGGGTGAGTGTTACAGCTCTTAAGGTGGCGCGTCTGGAGTCTGTCCCTTCTGATGTTCAGATGTGTTCGGAGTTTCTTCCTTCTGGTGGGTTCGTGGTCTCCCTGGCTCAGAAGTGAAGCTGCAGACCTTCGCAGTGAGTGTTACAGCTCTTAAGGCAGCGCGTCTGGAGTTGTTCGTTCCTCCCGGTGGGCTCGTGATCTCGCTGGGCTCAGGAGTAAAGCTGCAGATCTTCGCGGTGAGTGTTGCAGCTCATAAAAGCAGCATGGACCCAGAGTGAGCAGTAGCAAGATTTACTGCAAAGAGCGAAAGAACAAAGCTTCCACAGTGTGGAACGGGACCGGAGCGGGTTGCCAATGCTGGCTCCGGCAGCCTGCTTTTATTCTCTTATCTGGCCCCACCCACATCCTGCTGATTGGTAGAGCTGAGTGGCCTGTTTTAACAGGGCGCTGATTGGTGCGTTTACAATCCCTGAGCTAGATAGGAAGGTTCTCCACGTCCCCATCAGATTAGTTAGATACAGAGTTTTGACACACAGGTTCTCCAAGGCCCCACCAGAGCAGCTAGATACAGAGTGTCAATTGGTGCATTCACAAACCTTGAGCTAAACACAGGGTGCTGATTGGCGTGTTTACAAACCTTGAGCTAGATACAGAGTGCCGATTGGTGTATTTACAATCCTTGAGCTAGACATAAAGGTTGTCCACGTCCTCACCAGAGCAGCTAGATACAGAGTGTCGATTGGTGCACTCACAAACCTTGAGCTAAACACAGGGTGCTGATTGGTGTATTTACAATCCCTGAGCTAGATGTAAAGACTCTCCACGTCCCCACCAGACTCAGGAGCCCAGCTGGCTTCACCTAGTGGATCCCGCACCGGGGCTGCAGGTGGAGCTGCCTGCCAGTCCGGCGCCGTACGCTGGCATTCCTCAGCCCTTGGGTGGTCGATGGGACTGGGCACCGTGGAGCAGGGGGTGGTGCTCGTCGGGGAGGCTCGGGCCGCACTGGAGCCCATGGAGTGGGTGGGAGGCTCAGGCATGATGGGCTGCAGGTCCCGAGCCCTGCCCCGTGGGAAGGCAGCTAAGGCCCGGCGAGAAATCGAGCGCAGCGCCGGTGGGCCAGCACTGCTGGGGGACTCAGTACACCCTCTGCAGCCACTGGCCCGGGTGCTAAGTCCCCCATTGCCCGGGGCCAGCAGGGCTGGCTGGCTGCTCCGAGTGCGGGGCCCACCGAGCCCACGCCCACCCGGAACTCCAGCTGGCCCGCAAGCGCCGCACGCAGCCCCGGTTCCCGCTCATGCCTCTCCCTCCACACCTCCCTGCAAGCTGAGGGAGTGGGCTCCGGCCTTGGCCAGCCCAGAAAGGGGCTCCCACTGTGCAGTGGGGGGCTGAAGGGCTCCTCAAATGCCACCAAAGTGGGAGCCCAGGCAGGGGAGCTGCCGAGAGCAAGCGAGGGCTCTGAGGACTGCCAGCATGCTGTCACCTCTCAATATGGAAGTTGTATATGATAGTTTTATTATGTGGTGTTCTAGTAAACTGGTCCTCCCGCAAAAAGCTGTGATTTGTAGTGCTTTTGTGTTTACCAATTGCTGGTTTTGGTAGTGTAAATACTTCCAACATTGCTAATTTCAAGTTACCAACATAACATTAACGATGCCAACAATTAGCTCTCAGGAGCTAGTATGATTTGGCTCCAGTACAACACTGGATTTATTGTACTAACGTCTATGTTTACATTAAAAAATTTGATCTCTATATCTCCACCTATATATAAAAAAAGTGCCAATTGATCTCATCTATATGGAATGACAGATTTAATATGCATTTATTCATCATCACTAATCCTCACCAATTTCACGTTTTATTGAAATAACCTGATTTTTTACATTGAGGTTATTAAATCTTTTTATTATATAATTTATATTTGGGTAATTCTTTTGGAATTATTGTTACATTTCATAAACACATCAATAACAATTATTCATACAAATTAACTGTATGGTTTTCTGATCAAAGCACTGATAACCATATTTTATGATATACTTACAAAAGTATTCAAATGATATTCAATTCCCTCATTTTTCTAGATATTTTATTTTTCAATTAAGTAGGCAATCTGGATCAGGTGTCTAGGACCTAAACCACCCTAGACTTTCAGAAATAACCTTCAGCAACTCAAATATGTGTTAACATCAGTGTAATTTTCAAAGGACAACACAAGAAATGCTAATAAGAATTTCACTACAGATTTTGCTGTAGATTGAAATTGTTGTCCACTATATCATTCAGTATTCCTGATAGAAAGCCCAATGTACAGAATTTCTTTTTTTTTTTTTTTTTTTTTTTTTGAGACGGAGTCTCACTCTGTCGCCCAGGCTGGAGTGCAGTGGCACGACCTCAGCTCACTGCAAGCTCCACCTCCCAGGTTCAAGCCATTCTCCTGCCTCAGCCTCCCGCAAAATTTCTTTTTAGAATCCAGCTGGTACTTGGAAACCTTCCACAAAGCTAATGAAAATAACTGCGTTTCTTTTTTTCTTTTGATTTCTAGGAATCTCAGAGCTAAATTTGAAGCTAAATTTCAGGAGTTTTGCAGACTCTTGTGCCCTGATTTTTCCTGATCTTGACTTTCTGCTCGTAATTTTGTTTTGGCTTGCCCTGATAATTCCTATTTATAATTTCTCCTTATTTTATTGTATGTACTCCTCAAAAGGCTGCTTCACATTCTTTATAAACAAGGAGAGTACAAAATGAATAAGTAGAAACTCTACAGAAATTCTATATTTTGCTCTATGGTTCCTAACTATTAAAATGAAAGTTTCAAGGTCCTTAAATAAATAAAAATCTACAACAGTTTTTTGTTTGTCAGTATTTGCATGTTTTTCTATCAACAGATTTCTTCTGTATGTTAGTGTATAACAAGAGAAAAATAGGCTCTTTATCCCTTATGTAATGCATTTCTTATTTCCTTCACTGCTTCAACCCTCAATAGTCAAAGCAATCTGAGAAAAAAACAAAACTGGACACATCACACTGCTGAATTTCAAACTACATTATAAGTCTATAGTAATCAAAACAGTATGGTACTGGCATAAAAACAGACACATAGACCTGTGAAATAGATTAGGGAATCCAGAAATAAACTCATGCATGTATGGTCAACCAATCTTTTACAAGGGTGACAAGAATACACAATGGGGAAAGAAAAGGCTCTTTCCCAATAAGTGTTGTTGGGAAAACTGAATATCCACATACAAAGGAAAGAAACTGCACCTTTGTCTTACACCATACACAAAAAATTAACTTGAACTGAATTAAAGATGTAAGATTTGAAACCATATAACTCTTACAAGAAAGCATGGAGGAAAAGCTCCTTGACATTGACCTTGGAAATTATTTTTTGGATATGATACTGAAAGCACAAACAATAAAAGCAAAAATAAATAAAAGGGACTACATCACCTCATACCTGTTAGGAGGGTTATCGTAAAAAAGACAAGACATGTCAAGTGTTGGCAAGAGTGTGGAGAAAAGGGGACCCTTGTACACTGTTGGATAGGCTATAATTGGTATATCCATTATAGAAAACAGTATGGAGGTTCCTAAAAAAAATTAAAGATAGGCCAGGTGCGGTGGCTCACGCCTGTAATCCCAGCACTTTGGGAGGCCGAGGCGGGCAGATCACAAGGTCAGGAGATCAAGACCATCCTGGCTAACACGGTGAAACCCCGTCTCTACTAAAAATACAAAAAAAAATTAGCCGGGCGTGGCAGCATGCACCTGTAGTCCCAGCTACTCGGGAGGCTGAGGCAGGAGGATGGCATGAACCCAGGAGGTGGAGCTTGCAGTGAGCTGAGATTGCGCCACTGCACTCCAGCCTGGGTGACAGAGCGAGACTCTGTCTCAAAAAAAAAAAAAAAATTTAAGATAGAACTAATACCATCCAGCAGTCCCACTTCTGGGTATATATCCAAAGTATATGAAATCAGTATGTTAAAGAGATATCTGCACCTCCATGTTCATTGAAGCATTGAAGATATGTAAACAACCTAGGGCCAGTCAACAGTTTACTGGATAAAGAAACTACGGAACATATACGCAATGGAATACCATCCAGCCATAAAAAAGGAAGACATCTTGCCATTTGCAACAACATGGATGAACCTGGAGGACACTGTGCTAAGTAAAATAAGCTAGACACAGAAAGGCAGATACTGTATGATCCACTTACATAAGGAATCAAAAAAGTCAAACTCACAGAAACAGAGAGTAGAGTGGTAGTTGTCAGGGCCTAGGGGCTGGCAGAAATAAAAAGATATTGACCAAAATGTACAAACCAAAAATGTATAAGATGAACAATTTCTGGGAGTCTAATGTATAGCATAGATAGTGATGGATGTGTTAATTTGTGATCATCATTATACAATGTATACCATATCAGGTCATCACATTGTATACCTTGACTATATACAATTTTTATTTGTCAATTAAATATTTTAAAATAATAAAAAATTTGAATTTATATTAATTTTGGTTTTTGTTTTCTGTTGCTGTTATAGTATTTTGCCTCATAAACTCCACTGAATTTAATAAAAATCTTATAGACGATACTGAGGATGTCTTATTTTTAATGATTAGAGAGTGGTATAATGTGCTAGAAAGATCCCTGGAATAAGAGTCAGGCATTCTGGTTCCATTTTCTAGTTAGAATACAGATACAAATTTACCTTTTGAGTTAGGGTAAATTGCTTTACCTGTGAGATCCTTGAAATGAGGGGATAAAATGATAAGCACTTTAAGGTCTCATCCTTTCTAACATCTTATTATTTGAATTATTTTTAAAAGAGCTGATAAATGCTTACTGATATAATATGTTCATTATGCCTTTATCATATCTGCAGTATCCCACCTTTGGCCATGCCTTAGATATATATGACTAAGTTAATATAGTTAAAATAAGAAGCAGTAAAATAATGAACATCTCATTCATGCATGCATTAATTCTTGTTCTGATGACATTTTTGAAATCCATGGTATTACTACAAGTACTCTTTTTCCTGTTTCCATAATGACAAAGTAACATTAATAATACATTCCTGGAATATTAACTATCTTGTGCTAATGAGAAGCTTAATAGCCTAAAAAACTATTGCAAATAACTCATAATTGTGTGTTATGAGGAGTCCATTCACTTTTGTTATTGAGATCATCCCTGAAATGCTGTGGATCCTAATGATGTGATCCCTGTGTGTAAGATTATCATTCCTGGGTTTCTAGAGGCTAATTGTCCTCTATATTGAAGACAGATGCATCCATTTCCTAATATAGTATCAGAAATGTTCATATGGCAAGAAGTAGTTCCCACCATATATAAAATGTGAGTTGAACTTGAAAATAAAGGTCCCTATTAATACTGTCATATCAGTGCCCTATTCTGGTGCCTGCCACAAGGAAAAATTATGTTACTTGCAAGATTGGAAATAGGTAGAATGATAAATCAATTTATTTCTGGTTTACTGCCCATTTAGATAGCCAGCCTCCAAGAGGGTCCCCAATAATTCTCACTTTCTAGTATTCACACTCCTCTCCCAGTTTGTACTAGGGATGGTCTGTATGACCGATAGTATGTAGCAGAAGTGAGCGTATGTAACATTCAAGCTCAGGTAACAAGACTATGACTTTTGTCTTCGTTCCTTCCTCCTCAGAGCACTCTCACTCTATGGAAGTGATGCTTTAAGCAGCCCTATGGAGAGATACAGGTTTCCTTGAATGGAAGGCTCCTGCCAACAGCTGTGTGAGTAAGTCATCTCAGAAGAGAATCCGACAGCCCAGTCAAGTTTTCAGAAATTGCGACCCAGGCCAACAACCTGACTGCAACTTCATGAGAGACCCTGAGCAACCACTCAGCTGAGCTGCTTCAAAATTCCTGACTCTCAGGAACTGTATGAGATAGTAAATGTTTATTGTTCTTACCTAAGTTTTAGAATAATTTAATATACAGCAAGAAAGGACTAATACAGAAGACATTCTCTATTAATGTTCTACCTTAATATTAAATGGTACTTTAAAAAAATTTTCAGCATTTCTTCCAAGCTCTTTCAACAACTTATCTACACGTTTTTAACTAATTTTGCAAATTAAATTACTATGACCTGCAATTAACCCAGACTATTCAACAAATACATGACATGGGGGGAAAAGGATAAGGGGAAACTGTTATTGATTGAAATAGATTTAAAGGACATACCAACAATTTCAATGTGTGACCTTGATTGGATTTTGATTCAAACAAAGTAACTGTAAAAAGGCATGTCTGAGATGATTGAGGAAAATTGGACATGAACCCATTTGATACTAATGAGTTATTGTTACTTTTGTTGGCTAATAATATTGTGGTTACAATTTTTAAAGCCTTCTTAGAGATATATAATGAAGTCAATGTGGTTAAAATGATACCATAGTTGAGATTTGTTTTGATATGTTTCAACACAAATAAACAGAATGAACTGTTGGTGGAGATGGGATAGATTAACCAAGCATGGCAGCGTGGTGATAATTGTAGAAGCTGGGTGATGGATACATGAGGATTTATTAGACTAATATCCTTACTTTTTCTCTCCTTCTGAAATTTCCATAATAAAAAGTTTTAAAAATAGAGTATATTTTATTTAAAGATTCCAAATAATTATTGAATATGGAATTTTAATATCTATTGTTGGAAACCATGACACATGTCAAAAAATTTCTCCAAATCAAAACCTTGTTTTAAGATACTTCAAGGGTAAACAATTTTACAATGGTCAACTGAAGTCCAAGATGCTTTCTTTTACACCTTAAATTATTGTATTTATTTATTTTTTTAATAATTTCAACTTTTGTTTTAGATCGGGGTACATAGGCAGGTTTGTTACATGGGTATATCACACG
Organism: Homo sapiens; assembly: GCF_000001405.40. Classification (NCBI taxonomy): domain Eukaryota; kingdom Metazoa; phylum Chordata; class Mammalia; order Primates; family Hominidae; genus Homo; species Homo sapiens. The sequence goes on from NC_000023.11 coordinate 96,518,252, forward strand.
ATGCTGAGGTTTGGGGTACAGTTGAGCCCGTCACCCAGAAAATGAGCATAGTACCCAAAAGTTAGTTTTTCAACCACTACTCACCTCCCTCCGTTCCCCCTCTAGTAGTCCCCAGTGTCTATTGTTGTCATCTTTATGTCCACGAGTACCTAATGTTTAGTTCCCACTTATAAGTGAGAACATTCAGTATTTGGCTTTCTGTTTCTGCATTAATTTTCTTAGGATAATAGCCTCCAGCTGTATCCATGTTGCTGCAAAGGACATAATTTCATTCTTTTTTATGGCTGCACAGATTCCATGTTGTATATGTACCACCTTTTCTTTTTCCAAGCCACCATTAATAGACACCTAAATTGATTTTATGCCTTTGCTATTCTGAACAGTGCTATGAGTGCATGTGGTTTTTTTGGTAGAATACTTTCTTTTCTTTTTTTTTTTTTTTTCAGACGGAGTCTCACTCTGTTGCCCAGACTGGAGTGCAGTGGCGCAATCTCAGCTTACTGCAACCTCCACCTCCCGGGTTCAAGCGATTCTCCCACTTCAGCCTCCTGAGTAGCTGGGACTACAGGCGTGTGCCACCATGCCCAGCTAAATTTTTGTATGTTTTTAGTAGAGACGGGGTTTCACCGTGTTAGCCAGGATGGTCTCGATCTCCTGACCTCATGATCTGCCCGCCTCAGCCTCCCAAAATGTTGGGATTACAGGCGTGAGCCACCGCGCCCAGACAAACGCTTTATTTTCTTTTGAATATATACCCAGTAATGGGATTGCTAGGTCGAATGGTAGTTCAGCTCTTAGTTCGTTGAGAAATCTCCAAATTGCTTTCCACAATGGCTGAACTAATTTGCACTCCCACCAACAGCATATAAGTGTTCCCTTTTCTCTACAGCCTCACCAGCATCTATTATTTTTTTGACATTTTAATAATAACCATTCAGACCGGTATGAGATGATATCTCATTGTGGTTTTTATTTGCATTCCTCTGATGATTAGTGCTATGGAGCTTTTTTTATATGTTTGTTGGCTGCTTGTATGTCTTCTTTTGAGAAGTGTCTGTTCATATTCTTTGCCCACTTTTTAACTGGCTTGTTTGTTTCTTGCTTGTTGAATTGTTTAAGTTCCTTATAGATGTTGGATATTAGACCTTTGTCAGATATATAGCTTGCAAATATTTTCTCCCATTCTGTGGGCTGTTTACTCTGTTGATAGTTTCTTTTGCTATACAGAACCTCTTTAGTTTAATTAGATCCCACTTGTCAATTTTTGGTTTCATTACAGTTGCTTTTGAGAACTTAGTGATAAATTCTTCCCCATGACTGATGTCCAGAATGGTGTTTTCTAGGTTTTCTTCTAGAATTCTTATAGTTTTAGGTCTTACTTTTAAATATTTAATCTTGAGGTAATTTTTGTAAATGTTGGAAGGAAGGGGTCCAGTTTCAGTCTTCTGCATATGGCTAGCCAGCTGTCCCAGCACCATTTATTGAACAGGGAGTTCTTTCCCCATTGTTTATTTGTGTTGACTTTGTGAAAGATCAGATGGCTTACATCACATTACCCAACTTTATTTGTGTGTTCTCTATTCTGTTCCATTGGTCTATGTGTCTACTTTTGTACCAAGCTGTTTAGGTTACTGTAGCCTTATAGCATATTTTCAAGTTGGGTAATATGATGCCTCTGGCTTTATTCATTTTGCTTAGGATTGCTTTTTGGATTCTATATTAATTTTAGAATAACTTTTTCTAATTCTGTGAAAAATGACATTTGTGGTTTGATAGGAATAGCATTGAATCTGGAGATTGCTTCAGGCAGTACGGCAATTTTAATGATATTAATTCCTCCAATCCATGAGCATGGAATATTTTTCCACTTGTTTGTGTCATCTATGATTTCTTTCAGTAGTGTTGTGTAGTTTTCCTTGTAGAGATTTTTTGCATCCTTGGTTACATGTATTCGCAGGTATTTTTTATGTGTGTGGCTGTTGTAAATGGGATTGTGTCCTTGATCTGGCTCTCAGCTTGAATATTATTGATGTATAGAAATGCTACTGAATTTTTTACATTGATTTTGTATCCTAAAACTTTACTGCAATCATTTATCAGCTCCAGCAGCCTTTTGTTGGAGTCTTTGGGGTTTTCTAGGTATAGAATCATATCATCAGCAAACAGAGATAGTTCGACATTTCTCTTTTTATATTTGGAAGCTTTTTATTTTATTCTCTTGCTTGATTGCTCTGGCCGGGACTTCTGTAATTGGCTTTATAAGCAGAAAGTATAATTACAAATATTAACAAAAAAAAAACTTCCAGTGAAATGGCAGGCATAGAAAGGTCACAATTTGATGTATCTCTGCTGCTCCACTTTGCAATTACAGACAAAATACATAAAGATAAAAATAAGAAGATGCAACTCAGGTCAAAAGCAAGAAGAACAGCTCTGTGGACCAGAAATCAAACAAAAACGCAAAGTGATGGGCAATCCCGGAGCCACTGGCTTGCTGGTTCCAATTCTTAGAAGCAAAGTATGGATGGCCAGGATTTTATCTCTAGTAGGGTAACAGTGACTAAAAGTGCTGTAGAAATAAGATGGGAAATGAGCAAAGCTTATTGCATAAAGCTAAGATCTGAGGTGGATTTATCCTGCTCTAGGAAGGAAACTGGCAAAAATAAATTGCCTGCATGTATAGCTCAAGAGAAACTACAAGTTTAGCGAGGTGAGGAGGCCAGTGCAGCATATTTATTGCCTATCTAAAGGATTCTTTATTTTAGCCAAGTAATTTTAGAAAGTAGTCTGACAAAGATTTTGAGTATGTTTAGAATACTAAAAAAGAAGAAGAAATTCCCTCAATCAAAGAAAAGTAAATTATGGAATAAAAATAAGCAGAACTAAAACATGAAAAAGTAAATTTGTATAACAACCAACCAGAAATTCTAGAAATGAAATATCTAATTTTAACGAAAAATAGAACAAACTAGACACAGTTGAATAATCAATGAATTGAAAAGTGATGATAGCAAAAAATTCACCCAGAGTGAGACACTAAGACTCAAAGAACAGAAAAATATGATCAAGATATGGAGAATAGATTGGGAAACCGCAACATCCCTTTAACAGGAGTTCCAGAAGAGAAAAAAAGGAGGGAATGGTGCAGAATTCATATCTGTAGAGTTTATGGCTAGGTTTTTCCAAAATCTAAAGACACTAATCTTTAGATCAAAATTATATTCTGAGTAATGAGTAAAAAATAAATAAATCTGTACCCAGACACATTGTTATACAAAAAAAAAGCATAACATCAAATATAAAGATAAAATCATGAAAGTTGCCAGTAAAAAAAGAAATTATCTTGAGAGGAACAAAAATTAGACCAAACAGCCATTCCCTTAGCAATAATAAAGACCAGGAAACATTAAAGTAATATTTATTTTCTTTGTCTTAAGAACAAAAGGTGTTATTTCCAGTTAAACCATCATCAAGAGTGACAGGAAAAAAAGGGAAGGAAGGAGTGAAGGGAGGAAAGAAGGGAGGGAGGGAAGAAAAAAAGAAGGAAAGAAGAAAGAAAGAAGGAGGGAAGGAAAATAGAATCCAAAAGGAAGTCATCTGATAGAAAAACACAATGCCGAACAAATAAATCATCAGTAAAATGAATTAAAATTTTATTATAAAAATAAAATATTAACTATTTTTGAGTTTTAGAGAAAAGCTTGATAACAAAATAGGGTTAGTGAATCTCAAGGTCCTTATTGTCATCCTGATCAAGTGAAAACCTAAATAACTTGTTAGAAAAAAAGTATTAAAAATTTTGAAGTTCAACTTCCATTTCTACAAATATGGCAGACTAGAGAACCTGAAAATCCCCCAACTACAAAACAGCTAGGAATGTTGGGTAAAATGTAGCAAACATCTTTTTAAATGCCTAGCTGTGCTCCAATGAAAGTAAAGGAGATTACCAGTGGCAAAGAATGAAGAGAAAATTGAAAGCCAGAGAAAACCCAGAGCTGAAACTGCAGGCACATTGAGGAATGTTGCTGGTCAGAACAAGTTTGAAGTTTGAGTTCTAAAGTCCAAGCAGAGGCAAGATATGGCATAGAGTATACATTAAGTGTGGAGCTGAAACTGAGAAATTCCTCACAAAAATGAGTCTTGAACAGCTGCAACCGCAATAAAAGGAAGAAGTAGAAGCACACAAACAACTGTCACAAGAAATTGTCTATATCATGTTGCTTTCTTTTCAGGGTTTGGGGGGGTGGGTAGGGAGTCTCCTTTAAGAATTTATTAACATAAGCTTGTCTTCTAAAAACAGGTTTATGGTTTGAATTTACATTACCCATTTGATCCAGAAACCATTCCCCAAAACTCACCACATGCAGAATGATCACAGACTGGTGATAACTCTGGGGCTACTGACAATCAAATGAAAAATCATTCTGGAGAGGTCAGACTTCAAACTAGAAGATGGAGAAAAGATGAGAATGGCAAATCTAGAAAGCAGGAAAGGAGAAAAAGAAAAAAGGTAAAGAGGCCGGAGTGGTGGCTCAGGTCTGTAATCCCAGCACTTTGGGAGACGGAGGTGGGAGGATTGCTTGAGGCCAGGAGTTCAAGAAAAAGAGGTAAAGAAAAAAGCCATGGTAAGTAGAAAACACAAAACAAATCATTAACAATACATTACAAATGCATATGTAATCACGTATTTTTAAATGAACTAAATTATAAAACAGAAGTGTTTAGATGATGAGAGAAAAAAAGAAATTCAGCTAAATGCTATTTTTGAGAGACATACCTAAAACTTCAGAAGTAGAAAAGTTCAAAATAAAAGGGTAAAAAAATTTTTTTTAGACAAATGCTAACCAAAAAAGGGTCATGATTACTATATAAACGGCAAACAAAAGCCGCTTTAAGGAAAAAAGTGGGTAAGGGCTCAGGAAAAGGAGATACCTGCACAATGATAAAAGTTCCAATTTTCCAGGAAGATGTAACAATTCTAAACTTGCCATGAACGGGTTAGCAAAGTATCAAAATATGCAAACAGAAAGTGACAGCGTTTAAAAGGGAAATAGATTCCCTTTTAAATTTTAACAACAGGAACATTAACAAATCTCTCTCAGTGATTGATAGATTAAGCAAACAAAAAATTAATAAAGAGGCCGGGCGCGGTGGCTCACGCCTTTAATCCCAGCACTTTGGGAGGCCGAGGCGGGCGGATCACGAGGTCAGGAGATCGAGACCATCCTGGCCAACACGGTGAAACCCCGTCTCTACTAAAAATACAAAAAATTAGCCGGGCGTGGTGGCGGGCGCCTGTAGTCCCAGCTACTCGGGAGGCTGAGGCAGGAGAATGGCGTGAACCCGGGAGGCGGAGCTTGCAGTGAGCCGAGATCGCGCCACTGCACTCCAGCCTGGGCGACAGAGCGAGACTCCGTCTCAAAAAAAAAAAAAAAATTAATAAAGAAATATATGCTTTGAACAGTGAGTTGTTTGATCAAATAGACATATATAAAATCCTACACATAACATCAAAAACTCCATATTTGTTAAGAAGACAGAAATGTATATACACATATCATTTATCCAAGAATAACAGCACATAAAACAAGTATAAAAATGTACACCGTAATGATAAGCACAAAAATTAGGACAGAGGTAGCTTTACAGAGGGAGCATGCTGGGCTTAGAGTGGAGAATATAGGACTTTCAATTCTATTAGTATTGTTTTATTAGTTTAAAAAGATCTGAAGCAGAATGCCATATTGTTAGTATTTAATAAAACTGGATAAAGAGTACATGAGGGCTTGGCATGGTGGCTCACACCTGTAATCCCAGCACTTTGGGAGGCCAAGGTAGGCAGGCAGATCAATGGAGGTCAGAAGTTCGAGACCAGCCTGAGCAATATGGCGAAACTCCATCTCTACTAAAAACACAAAAAATTAGCCAGGCGTGCCTGTAGTCCCAGCTATTCAGAAGGCTCAGGCAGGAGAATCGCTTGAACCCAGGAGGCAGAGGTTGCAGTGAGCCGAGATCATGCCACTGCACTCCAGCCTAGGTGACAGAGCAAGACTCTGTTTCAAAAAAAAAAAAAAAAAAGCGCATGAGTGTTCATTATATTTTTCTCTGTATATTTTTTCTGTTTGAAATAGCTCATAGCTTTAAAAAAAAAGAAAGAAACTAAAGTCAAAAGGCAATAGGCAATAACAAACTAGAAAAGATATTTGAAAAAGAATATGACAAGAAGTTAATATCCTACAAATTGATGAGAAAAAAAAGAAACAATTTAAAAGGAGCCAAAAGTATTCTGGCAAATACTATTAGTTGGTGTATTAGTCAGGGTTCTCCAGAGAACAGAACTAATAGGAAATGTGTATATAGAGAAAAAGAGATTGTTTTTAAGGAACTGGCTCCCACAATTAAGGAGGCTGGCAAGGCCAAAATCTGCAGGGTCGGCCAGCAGGCTGGAAACCCAGAGAAGAGTTGATAGGACTGCAGTTCCAGGCCTAAGGCACTCTGCCACAGAATTCACTCTTGCTCAGAAGAGGTCAGTCTTTTTTCAGACCTTGAAACTATTTGAACTTAGCCCACTTACATTATGGAGAACAATCTACTTTACTCTGAATTTTCCAATTTAAATGTTAATCCTATCAAAAAGCACCAAAGGACATCCGGAATAATATTTGACCAAATATCTGGGCATTGTGGCCCAGCCAAGTTGACACATAAAATTAACCATCATAGTCAGCTAACAGAGCAACCATTTCCAGCTTTGCTCTCCCTTACCTCTTACCCACAAATACTATGGAAGCTAGAAAAGTTAATGCTTGCTTTCCCAGCCTCTATGAATGGCCATACATCCCAGATCTGGTCACTGAGACTTAACTAGAAGTTTGCTGTGGAAAAGGGAGTGGCTTCTGAAACAGCTTTTGTTTTGTTTTTATAAAAGAAACAGATACAGCTCTTGCTGCTCATCTTCTCTTTTATCTGCCTTTAATGTGGACATGATGCCTGGAGCTGTGGCACATAGCTTGCAAACATCAATTCCCCACCTGCAAAGAATGGTATATCTGAAAGAAAGAAATCCTGGGATTTTGATGCCATTTTTGAGCAACTGCATGATCAACTTTCTGCTTACTTATAGACATCTTGTAATGTGGTATTAATTGTCATTATTGCTTAAATCACTCTTAACCAGATAGCCTGATACTTGCAGCCAAAAAACATTTCTAACTGATACAGATTTGAAGAGGTATTTGAGAGAAGAGTGTCCACTAAATATGAAAATGTGGTCAACCTCACTAGTACTCAGAGAAAAGTTACAGGATTCAACATTGGTGAGAATATTTTTAAGAATGGGTATATACCAATGTTACTGGTGAGAGTGTAAATTTTTGCAACCTTCTAAAAACCAATCTGCCAACATCCAGTTAAATAAAATATAGTAAGTTAAATTATATATGTAAATATAAATATATTTATATTAAAATAGTGGCTTATATTTAAATAAACAGTGGTTACATATATACACATACATGTATACATACACCTATGTCTATATACACATATGTATACATACATATACACATATGTATACATACATATACACACATATACACATATGTATACATACATATACACACATATGTATATGCATATATACATGTAAATATAATGTACATATATAAATATAAAGGTTAGATTATATATATACATATATATAATTTAAAGTCAAAAGGCAATGATAAACTGGGAAATATATTTGAAAAATTACAACAAAAAGTTTATATCCTCCAAACTGATGATAAAAAGAGAAGCATTCCAATTAAAAAGACTAATTATATGTATATATACACCATACACACACGTATATAGTTTAACCAGTATATTTGTATGTGTGTGTATATACATATTTGTGTATATACATATGCATACACATATATGTGTGTATGTGTGTATATATACATATATATATAAACATATACATGCACACACATAATTTAACCAGAGTCCCACATTGGGAAATCTAGCCTAAGAAATAAAAATGACCAGTACGTATGTTGTAGGAGAAACAGTCATCCATGGTTTTCTCGGAATCCTACATATCTTGCTGAGTATGCTAAGAACATAAAAGCCTGATTGCTCTTTACTTGGTCCATTCCTCAGGTTATGTTTGCAGTGAGCAACCTTCAGGAATGAGTACAAAAGCAGGCTTACTTACTGTCTGCTACAAAAATGGTCGATTTTCTAAGCTTAGTGCTCCTCAGGTGTACCACAAACACACTGCCTATAAAGCATCAATCAGGGCCATATCATCTCCCCTGCGGGACTGAGGAACAACGGGAACTGATGTGAATATACTTGTGCTCATACTGCTTGCAGTGCTGTATGTAATAATACCTTTTGTCTTTAACCCAGAAGTATTTTGCCTTCTATAGCATCTATGAAACCATGGCAGTCGAACTGGTTAGCTTAGAATTAGGGTAAAATCAAATCCCAGACCTTTATAGTAAGAACATACACAAATTGTTGCTTTGCATTATTAACTTAATGGTAAACCAAATAATTAAAAGAAAATATCAATTTCCATTAACAAGAAAATAATTCAACAAAATGGTGCATCAACATCATGTAATATTATACCACCATCGAAAAAGAATGTGCTTGGCCAGGCGCAGTGGTTCACACCTGTAATCCCAGCATTTTGGGAGGCAGAGGTGGGCAGATCACGAGGTCAGGAGATCGAGACCACCCTGGCTAACACGGTAAAACCCTGTCTCTACTAAAAATACAAAAAAATCAGCTGGGCATAGTGGCGGGCGCCTGTAGTCTCAGCTACTCGGGAGGCCGAGGCAGAAGAATGGCGTGAACCTGGGAGGCGGAGCTTGCAGTGAGCCGAGATTGCGCCACTGCACTCCAGCCTGGGCGACAGAGCAAGACTCCGTCTCAAAAAAAAAAAGAAAAAAAAAAAAAAAGAATGTGCTCTACTATTCACAATAGCAAAGACTTGGAACCAACCCAAATATCCAACAACGATAGACTGGATTAAGAAAATGTGGCACATATACACCATGGAATACTATGCAGCCATAAAAAAGGATGAGTTCATGTCCTTTGTAGGGACATGGATGAAGCTGGAAACCATCATTCTCAGCAAACTAGCGCAAGGACAAAAAACCAAACACCGCATGTTCTCACTCACAGGTGGGAATTGAACAATGAGAACACATGGACACAGGAAGGGGAACATCACATTCCCGGGACTGTTGTGGGGTGGGGGGAGGGGGGAGGGATAGCATTAGGAGATATACCTAATGTTAAATGACAAGTTAAGGGGTGCAGCACACCAACATGGCACATGTATACATATGTAACAAACCTGCACATTGTGCACATGTACCCTAAAACTTAAAGTGTAATAATAATAAAATTTAAAAAAAAAGAATGTGTTCTATGTATATGCATTACCTTACAGAGAGGTGTGTGTGTGTGTGTGTGTGTGTGTCTGTGTGCACACGCACGTATTTGAATAAGCATAGAGAAAGGTGTGACAGAAAACATTACTTTAAGAAATGCATTGGAAAAATTTTGCATATAGATATATGATATAGATTGATATAGATATAGATTGATACAGATTGATATAGATTGATATAGATATAGATATATAGATATAGATATAGATAGATACAGATATTGATATAGATTGGCTTTTAAAGTAAGTATTTGTTATTTTTCAATTTAAAATGTAATGAACCACTAAACATCTATTAGAATTAGGAAATGAGTTCAGAAAGGTTGCAGGATACAAGATCAACATACAAAAATTAATTTTATTTGCATATACTTGCAGTGAACAATCCAAAATGATAGTAAGAAAACAATTCCATTTACAATTGCATAAAAAAATACTTAGGAATAAATTTAACAAGATAGGTGCAAAACATACACTGAAAACTAAAAAATAATGTTGAAAGAAGTTAAAGAAGATCCAAATAAATGGAAAGATATCATATTTATATGATCAGAAGACTTAGTATAATAGAGATCTCAATATTCCCTAAATTGATCTATAGATTCCATTCAATCCCTATCAGAATCTCATCTGGCTTTTTTTGCAGAAATTGACAAGCTGATACTAAAATTCATATAGAAATTCAAAGGACCCATAATAACATGAACAATCTTTAAAAAAGAACAAAGTTTGAAGACTCACACTTTTCAGTTCCAAGCTTACTACAAAGCAATACTAATCAAGACAGTGTGGTAGTGGCATAAGGGTAGACATATATAGATCAATGAAATAGAATTGAGAGTTCAGGGAAAAAAACATATATCCATGGTCAATTGATTTTTGACAAGGGTATCAGATCATTCAATAAGGAAAGAATAGTCTCTTCAACAAATGGTGCTGGAACAACTTAATAGCCAAATGCATAAAGAATGAAGTTGAACCTCCTACATCACACCATATAAAAAACAAGTCAAAACGGATCAATTATGTAAACATAAGTGCTATAACCATAACACTCTTACAAGAAAACATAGGGATAAATCTTGATAACCTTGGATTTGGAAATGGATTCTTAGATATACTATCAAAAGCACAGACAACAAAACAAAAATATATAAATCGAACTTCATAAAAATTAAACACTTGTGCTTCGAAGTATACTATTAAGAAAGTGGAAACACAACCCACAGAATGGAAGAAAGTGCCAATCATATATCTGAAAGAGACTTGTATCTAGAACATATACATAACATTTACAACTCAATAATAAAAATGATAAATAACCCAAATAAAAAATGGACAAAGGATCTGAATAGACACTTCTTCAAAGAAGATATACAAATATCCAATCAACACATGAATACATGCTTGACATTATTAGCCATCAAGATAATACAAATCAAAATCCCAATGAGACACTTCTTACACCCACTAGGATGTCTATAATTGAAAAGCCAGACCAAAAAAAAAGTGTTGGAGAGGATGTGGAGAAATTGAAACCATCATATGCTGCTGGTGGAAATGGAAACTGGTGCAGTCACTTTGGAAAACAGTCCAGAAGTTTTTCAAAAATTTAAATATAGTGTTATCTTTTGATTCCCTAATTCTACTTTAAGGAATATACTCAAAAGAAATGAAAACATATCCCCACACAAAAACTTATAAATGAATATTTATAGCAGCATTATCCATAGTAGCCTAAAAGGTAGAAACGACTAAAATGTCCACCAACTGAGGAATGATTAAACAAAATGTTACACCCATACAATGAAATATTATTCAGCTATATAAAGGAATGAATTTCTTATTTGTGCTAGAACATGTATGAACCTTGAAAACATTGTGCTAACTCAGCAAAAGAAACTGCCATCAGAGTGAACAGACAACCCACAGAATGGAAGAAAATGTTTGCAATCTATCCATCTGACAAAGGGCTAATATCCAGAATCTACAAAGAACTTGAACAAATTTACAAACAACCCCATCAAAAAGCGGGCAAAGGATATGAACAGTCACTTCTCAAAAGAAGACATTTATGCAGCCAACAAACATATGAAAAAATGCTCATCATCACTGGCCATCAGAGAAATGCAAATCAAAACCACAATGAGACACCATCTCACACCAGTTAGAATGGCGATCATTAGAAAGTCAGGAAACAACACGTGCTGCAGACGTTGTGGGGAAATAGGAACCCTGTTACACTGTTGGTGGGAGTGTAAATTAGTTCAATCATTGTGGAAGACAGTGTGGTGATTCCTCAAGGATCTAAAACTAGAAATACCATTAGACTCAGTGATCCCATTACTGGGTATATAACCAAAGGATTATAAATCATGCTACTATAAAGACACATGCACACATATGTTTATTGTGGCACTATTCACAATAGCAAAGACTTGGAACCAGCCCCAGTGTCCATCAATGATAGACTGGATTAAGAAAATGTGGCACATATATACCATGGAATACTATGCAGCCATACAAAAGGATGAGTTCATGTCCTTTGTAGGGATGTGGATGAAGCTGGAAACCATCATTCTGAGCAAACTATCACAAGGACAGAAAACTAAACACCACATATTCTCACTCATAGGTGGGAAATGAACAATGAGAACACTTGGACACAAGGCAGGGAACATCACACACTGGGGCCTGTTGTAGGGTGGGGGGATGGGGGAGGGATAGCATTAGGAGAAATACCTAATGTAAATGACGAGTTAATGGGTGCAGCAAACCAACATGGCACATGTATACATATGTAACAAATCTGCACATTGGCACATGTACCCTAGAACTTAAAGTATAATATTAAAAAAAAGAAAATATTGTGCTAACTGAAAGAAAGCTGACACAAATTCCACATTTTATGATTCCATTTATGTAACGTGTCCAGAATAGGGAACTCTAAAGAAATAGAAAATGGAATATTGGCTGCCTATGGCTGGAAGGAAATGGGGAGGTGGGAGTTTATGAGTCATAGCTAAAGGGTATAGGATTTCTATTTGAGGTGATGAAATGTTCTAAAATTGATTGCGGTGATGGTTGCAGAACTCTGTAAGTATAGTATAAACCATTGAATGGAACGCTTTAAATGGGTGAATTGTGTGATATCTGAATTATATCTCAATAAAACTGTTACCAAAATATATATAGTGAAGGGGAAATATGTTTCCTTCCAGCATTTTCTACTTTCTTCACAATATGAGAAAGGTACAGAAATCCCTGATCCTTAAAATATTTTTTAAAAAAGAAAAAAGGAAGGAAGGAAGAGGAAAAATCACCTCTGCTGACTCCATATAGGCCTGTAAGTGAGCAGAAATCCAAATCAGGCTGTTTCCTATTTTCTATGTGGCAGTGAATAATCTGATCATACAATATATCAGATTTGAATGCCTTGTATTTTTTAATACTTTGCTGCTTATCTCCCACCTGAAATAGCATCTAACATCTGACTCCCCTATCAGTATGCTTGGCAAGTAGCTCACCCTTTGGATAAAAAAAAAAAAAAAAAAAAAAAAAGAATTCCCTTTATTTAAAAAAATAAAAAAAGAGAGTCAGTGGGAAGATGGAAAGAAAGCCACTTGGCTTTGTCTTTTTTTTTTTTTTTTGGCAAATATATATTAGCAAAATGAGGTTCCTTCAATTCTAGCACAGGTTCCAAAGAGAGCAGACTAGTGGTTTATCCACAGAAAAATAAAAACTTAATATTATGAAATATGCATGTTAATGAAAAAAAGAAAAACTAACATATATAGAATCTTCCCTTACCCACCAAAAAACATAGTTTATCAGAGTTTGTTTATCAGAAAATTCTTGAAGGTCACTAGTATAATAAAAGCAAAATAACAGAAACATTTATGTACATAGAACTTGAAAGCAATACTGTGATAATAGTTCACACATTCCCTGACAGCCTTCACATAGCCCTCTAATTTTTCAATAATAAATTCAAAAATTTCCCTTCCTTTGAAGTTTCTCCTTCTAAACAAAAGAGAGGAGAAATTTCATACCCAGAAGTTGCCACCTAATCTGTTGCAAAGTCAAGTACAGATAAATAAATAGCTGGTAAATCCTTGGCCTGATAAATAAAATCAGCTCTGTTTGAAAGCTGAGCACAGACTAAGTGTTCAACTTCTGAATATAGTTTAAAATATTCCCATTCATCGAAAGAAAAGTTTAACTTCTATATAATACAGAATGCCAGGATTAAACAAAAGAATATGGTTAATGGGAGAATTTTAAATAGGGCAAATGAATTTAGAGGAGATGAAAATTCAGCCCTGACAACAAGACCCTGATGAGCTTCAAAATAATCCAGACCCTCTCAAACTAGTAACCCTTAGCGCTGAGGTAGAAAGATGCAATGTGCCGATGATGCCATAAAATAGACATCTTCCTGGAGCCTCAATTGTACTTAAAGATTTGGGGGAAAGCATTACTTTTATACAAATGTATCTATACTTGGAGTACCACACAAACATTTACATGTAATTTTAAAGATAAAACAATATGTGTTTACACAGAGAAATTCTAATTTAATTACCGAGAAAGTCTAGACTGGTCACTTTGGACTATGCTCGAGAGTCATGCAAAGCGCTGGTGTGATAGGCAGCTTCTAAGATGGCCTCCAGTGATCTCCACCTCTTAGTATGCACAGACTAGTGTAATTCTGTAACTGAATGCAAAGCCAGCTGATCACTGTTCGGAAGTCAAAACGTGAGAAGCGAGATGTGGTGAAAGAAAAGTACCTTTATTTATCAAATTCTAGCAGTTGGGACATGGCCAGGCTCAAGCCTCAAAGAAACCATCTCCAAGTTTTCAGCTAAGGGCAGGGTTTTAAGAAGGGAAACTTGGTATGGAAGGCATGCAGGAGTTGTGCAGAGTTCAGGGTCTGTGTGTCTTGTTCCAATGGCTATTGTGAGTTATTGTCTACCTGGAGTGCTGGTTGACCCCATCTAAGTTGTGACTGGGCTGTAGATTTTCCATCTTGAGGTAATCTCTAAATGGAAGAGAATTCTGCAGCTGTGTCTCCACGCCTGGTTTGTTTTAAAATTAGCCCCTGGAATTTCTCAACAAACATACAGTTAGATAAGAGTGTCTCCTGGGAAAGGAAAGGAGACAGAGTTTCAAAGTACATTTTAAGGCTATATTCTAAGACTAAGGGCGAATAAAAGGTTTCTCCAGTTTGTTTCAAGGTTACATTTTAAGACTAAAGAGAAGGATTCCCGGGCAAGATGGCCGAACAAGAACAGCTCCAGTCTGCATCTCCCAGTGAGACCAACGCAGAAGGCAGGTGATTTCTGCATTTCCAACTGAGGTACCCGGTTCATCTCACTGGGACTGGTTAGACAGGGTGCAGCCCACAGAGGGCGAAGCGAAGCAGGGTGGGGTGTCGCCTTACCCAGGAAGGACAAGGGATTGGGGAACTCCCTCCCCTAGCCAAGGGAAGCCATGAGGAACTGTGCCGTGAGGAACTGTGCTATCTGGCCCAGATACTACGCTTTTCCCATGGTCTTCACAACCCACAGACCAGGAGATTCCCTCGGGTGCCTACACCACCAGAGCCCTGGTTTCAAGCACAAAACTGAGTGGCCATTTAGGCAGACACTGAGCTAGCTGCAGGAGTTTTTTCATGCCCCAGTGGCACCTGGAATGCCAGCGAGACAGAACCGTTCACTCCCTTGGAAAGGGGGCTGAAGCCAGGGAGCCAAGTGGTCTTGCTCAGCAGATCCCACCCCCATGGAGCCCAACAAGCTAAGCTCCACTGTCTTGAAATTCTCCCTGCGAGCACAGCAGTCTGAAGTTGACCTGGGACACTCCAGCTTGGTGGGGGGAGGGGTGTCTGCCATTACTGAGGCTTGAGTAGGTGGTTTTCCCCTCACAGTGTAAACAAAGCCACCTGGAAGTTTGGACTGGGCCTTAAGTTTTTGGTACCAGGGTTGGATAAACTACTGAATTCTGATTCTTCTTAATCTTTAGTTAGCCCTTAAAGTCAAAAGAAAGAAATTTTGAGCTTTTTTCTCAGTAAGAATTATGCTGACATCAACAGATGAATGGATAAAGAAAATGTGGTACATACACATAATGGAATACTATTCAGCCTTTAAAAACAAGGAAATCCTGCCATTTGCAACAACACAGATGAATCTGGAGGGCATTAAGTGAAACAAACCCAGACACAGAAAGACAAATACTGCCTGATCTCACTTATATGTGGAATCTAAAATAGTTGAACTCATTGAAGTAGAGTTGAACTCATTGAATTAGAGTAGAATGGTGATTACCAGGGACTGGGGCGGAGGGCATGATGGGGAGATGTTGGTTAAAGAACAAAAAGTTTCAGGCTGGGTGTGGTGGCTCAGGCCTGTAATCCCAGCACTTTGGGAGGCCACAGCAGGCAAATTACTTGAGGTCAGGAGTTTGAGACCAGCCTGGCCAACATAGTGAAACCCTGTCTCCACTAAAAATACAAAAAAAATTAACCAGGCATGGTGGCAGGTGCCTGTAATCCCAACTACTAGGGAGGCTGAGGCAGGAGAATTGGTTGAACCTGGGAGGCAGAGGTTGCAGTGAGCTGAAATCATGCCATTGCACTCCAGCCTGGGCAATAGAGAGAGACTCCATCAAACACACACACACACACACACACACACGCACACACACACACAAAGTGTCAGTTGGAAAAGAGAAATAAGTTCTGGAGATCTATTATACAGCATGATGATTATAGTTAATAATAATGTGCTGTATGCTTGAAAATTACCAAGACAGTAGATTTCAAATGCTCTCACCACAAAAAAAAAAAAAAATGGTATGTGAAACAATGGATATATTAATCAGCTTGACTTAATCATTCTGCTGTGAATACACAATCAAAATATCACATTGTACCTCATAAATATATACCAAAAAAATTAAGAATATTTTAAAAATAGTAATGCTGTGTCCAAATTATTATAAACTCTAAGTTACAAATAACATTTTATTGGCAGATATGCTCTGTAAGTTGCACAAACTGATTTTGTTAAGTTTCATCTGCTTCTTTTCTTTCTTTCAGTCTATCAATGTGAGGAAGATGAGTGGGAGCACCTTAACACAGACACTTTGAATTTGAGCAGCAGCAAAAGGGCAAGCAGGGTATGTAGTACAGGTCTGGTATGCCTGATATGGTTCCTTTCACAGAAGAGTGACCAGTGTAGGTTTAACAAGCCCTTTGACTCTAGCTAGAGTTCTGGAACACAGGGCAATGCATTGTAACTCACTGATGTATCCAGATACATAAACTATGTAATTTGCTCTATGTATCAGTCCCCTTTACACAATCCTTTACAAGCCCATCCCTGGTGGAAACAGAATGATAACACAAGTTTGGTACTCTTTGCTTTTTTTTGTTTTTTGAGATGGAGTTTCGCTCTTGTTGCCCAGGCTGGAGTGCAATGGCGCGATCTTGGCTCACCGCAACCTCCGCCTCCCGAGTTCGAGAGATTCTCCTGCCTCAGCCTCCTGAGTAGCTGGGATTGCAGGCATGCACCACCATGCCCAGCTGATTTTTGTATTTTTAGTAGAGACGGGGTTTCTCCATGTTGGTCAGGCTCGTCTTGAACTCCCAACCTCAGATGATCTGCCCACCTCAGCCTCCAAAGTTCTGGGATTACAGGCATGAGCCACCGCACCCGGCCTAGTACTCTTACTCAGCATTGCTAGTTCAGCCTCTTCCTCATTTTGACAAGCATTCAACTTAAGGGAGTGATTTTTCCATTATTAAGAATTATATATAAACTGATTTTTTTTGTAGTGCAGATAATCTTAGTGAATTATGCATGGGTCTGCCAAGAAAGTTATAATTCTGTCATCCCAAATACATTGTTCAACCAGGAGACCTGGACTGATTTAAAAGTATGGCGTGATTGTAAACCACCCTGGGATCCTTCGGGATGAAACACAATGTATAATAACGTTATATCATATGAGAACAGGTAGGAACAAGAATGACAGAACATAGGTGTTAATCATTTAATATTATTTCTAAATTATTCAAAGTGATTCCCAAGACAAATGTTAACTTCATTTTGACATCAAATCCATGTACACTTGACAGTGAGAAAGCATGCTGCTGCTTTATATTTTCCCTGCCTTTTTTCTTCAGATTCATAAGTCAATAATAAGTTGGCTTGCTTCTTTACAAAAGACAGAGCTACATCAGTAGATACCATCCATCAAATAAAATTTAGATTGTACCCTAGGGAAACTGATTTTCCCTAGATACCCTTAAAATCCCCACAGTGGTCAATACACTGTTCTACTCTCTCCGTCTTTCACATGGACAGAAATTGCTTTCTTTCTTGAGTTCAGCAGAGATTTGGCTTTTTCTAAGGCAGCCCTCTGGGACATTCTGAAAGCTTTCAGAAAGATTGTATCACTTATTTGTCTGCCACAAAGAAATGCAAGCAAAAAGCCAAGTGTAAGTAACAGCTAGACATTACATGGCAAGCCCTACTCCCTCTATGCTCAGGTCAGAGCTTGGCTGTTTAGTTCTCAATCACAGAATAAGTCATTGTTACTCTTTGGTAGAAGAAAGCAAACTGAGGAAAAGAGAAGTAACCCTTTTAGGGAAAAAGAAAGATCAGTAAAACTCAATAGTTGGCCTTCATCAGTTGGAGTGCAGGCTTCTATCTTCCCTTTCAAGAATATGTATGGAAGTGCTCGCCTTTTCCTTCAATCAAATCAATGAAAATTTTCTTCATGTGCTAATGAGAATTTTGAAGACATTTCTGAATGAATTTTGACATCATCTTTATGATTAAAGGAAATATGTTTAAATGGAAGTTTGGAAGATTGCAGCAAAACATCATCAAAACAAAACTTAGCATTTCAGCTCAGGAGGCATCTCATATTTGTGTGTTAAAGGTTGTATTTTGAAAGTCCTATTTATTATAAAAACTACCAACTACTGTGAAAAGGTTTATTTCAAAGACTCAGTGAGGCTTCAAAGAACATAGCACCCAGCATAACATAGGCAGTCAATCTACTGAATGACTCAATGAATTAAGGACTTAAGATTTTAGTGTTTCAAAAATTCGCTAAATGGTACTTTGCTTCAAACATTTGTATAAATCTGTATCTCTCTGCAAACTAATATACACTGATGGCATGTCTGTAGAATTGAATTATATATGAACTGTATATAATTCTACTTTCTCTTCGGCTGGCTATATTTCTAGGAAAGCTCCATTTCTTTCTCCATTTATCTTCCTTTTCAAAGACCACTTCTCATGCTCTTCTTCCTTAAGGTTTTACAGGTTATATAGACTGATGTCTCTATATGTATATGTTTCCTGCTATACTAGGAACTTTTTAAGAAAAAGAGAAATTTTATTTGGCTTTCTATTCTGTTCTAGCATGGCACCCTACAGCTAACTTTATCATTCGGTATGCTAATTGCCCATTTGCTTAGAGAGGTACAGCACTCTCATGATAAGATTTGAACCTTTAGATTTAGCCATTCCAGAACATCTTCATCATGTAAGTCAATAAACAAGTTTGAATTGGTTTTTGTCCCTTGAAACCCAAAGACCGCTCATAAAATTGATACTGGGCTGGGAGCGACAGCTCACACCTGTAATCCCAGCACTTTGGGAGGCTGAGGTGGGAGGATTGCTTGAGCTCAGGAGTTCAAGTCCAGCCTGGACAACATGGCCAAACCCCATCTCTACAAAAAATACAAAAATTAGCCAGACATAGTGGTGTGTGCCTGTAGTCCCAGCTACTTGGGACACTGAGGTAGGAGGATCACCTGAGCCCAGGGAGGTCAAGGCTTTAGTGAACCGTGATTGTGCCACTGCACTCCAGCCTGGGCAGCAGAGTGACACCCTATCGCAAAAAAATTGATATTGATATCTAGAAGAGTGGTACTGAAAAGTAACATATCACAAAAGTGGAACTGGTCGATTGTGATTAGAATGCAGGACATTAAAGATTCTCTTGTCTCCAGCTGGAAAATAGGCAAGCTCTATTTTGCAGTAGCTTATTAAACTGTTCCTATTGTATCCTAGGATTCAGACTTTGGGTACTTGATATAAATACTTCAGGTTATTGAATTTCATTGATTACTGCTTTTGATCTTGAATAAGTGCCTATCAGGAAGATAAAAGCTGTGGCCCAAGCTTATGTGTCTGAAAGTACATAAGGAGACACCTTCTGCTTATGGCCAGCAATACAAAATGACTGACAGATAACCATGAATCTTACCAGGTTGGAAGTGCTGTATACTCTGCTCCAAGCTAAACTTAATGTGAGTAAAGTTTACAAAACAGGATATATCACAAGAGATAAGACTGGTACTAATCCCCTAGCTCCTTACCTATGACTTTATCCTGTGCATTTCCTGTGTGACAAAGAGCACAACTACCTGCATTTTAAAGAACAGTTCATTGGGATTCTGCCACGGGCAAGAGACAGATGAACTTTATCTCCACCACACCCTAACCTACTATTACTTGTATTATCCCAAGAATGAGCAAGACAGATGCCATTTAACTAAGCGTTGAGTCAATGGTCAAAGCCCTAGGTCTGTTGCCTAAAGACAGAAACTCTGAGGCACAGATTCAAGGGCCATTGAAACAGCCAAGCATAAAAGAGTCCTTGGAGAATCTCCAACCGGCCTGCGCACTGGAAGAACAGGGTGGAGCCAGGAAAGTTCGCACCATTTGCAGGGGGGAGGAGCCTGGCCTTTCCTGTTCCTGTGTGGTGACCTGGAATTTAATCGATGAGGTGGAGAGCCTGTTAGCAGGACTTCATCTCACTTTGCTGTGTTGTTTTTCCTTTTTCCTTTTTGCCCAATAAATTCTGTTACCCCTCACCCTTCAAAGTGCCTGCGAGCCTAATCTTTCCTGGTCGTGTGACAAGAACCGGTTTTTCCTACAACACCATGACTCACGGAGATATGTGTCTTTGGTTACCAGCCCGTAACGCTGACCAGATGCAAATTGGTAAAAAGCCGATTAAGGTTTTAAATGGATTAGATTGATAGTCTGCATGAAAATAAGCCAAAACAGTGGAACACAGTGCCAAGAGACAGACATTCTACTGACATTGGTAGAACCCCTAAATTTCCCTGTTAAATGAACCAACGTTTTCGT
This sequence comes from Homo sapiens, assembly GCF_000001405.40. NCBI lineage: Eukaryota > Metazoa > Chordata > Mammalia > Primates > Hominidae > Homo > Homo sapiens. The sequence goes on from NC_000023.11 coordinate 96,538,886, forward strand.
TTTTGTTAAAGTCCATTTGATGTGGGTTCCCATCACTTGTAACCAAGAGTCCTGACTAACACAAGGTTGAAGGGAATAGGAAGGAAATTAAACTATATTGAAAACTTATTATTTGTCAGAAACTGGGTAAAGTGATTTCCTGTATTCCTATCTAATGTTCACAATAACCCTGTGAGGTACGTAGTATCTTCCCTCATTTTGTTTAAAGGAAATTGAAGTTCACAACATAAGTACACAATAAGTGCCTATGGCCACATCGTTAGTAAGTGGTGGATTCAGGATTCAACCAAGTCTGTTTGATGCTAAACCCATACAGTACTATTTCTACTATACCACACTTCTCCTCCATAAAATGGAGATAATAACAGTGCTTGCCTTACAGGATTATTGTAAATGCTTAGAATATTGTTTGGCACATAGTAAATTCTGAAGCAACAAAATGCAAAAGGATAAAATAAATAAATAGGCAAACAGTGGATCCTTGACATGAGAATTTAATATCATCTATGAATGACAAGCTGTTTGAACCTGGAAAATTCTGTGATGTCTAATGGCCTCCATTATTTAAAATCTGTAATCAGAAGATGATTATATTCACTCTCCAGCTTAAAAAAGATTAATTATAATTGCTGTAAATTTTTAAAATATAAAAGCCACCTATAGTCAAAGCAGATTTAGTTGCCCTGTTTTTCAGGAAGGCAAAAGCTGTTTATTGTATTAGAAAACACTATTTGGACAGCATAGTTCTTTTAGGGTTTCAAGCTGGGAATTTTTAGCATCCACATTATAAATATTTCTCACTACATAATACTACATACATGGCTCAAACTTACTGATATCTTAACTAGAATCTGCCTGAAAATTTAGGCAACAGCAACTTGCTTTATGCAGAGTTTCAAGCTATAAAATAAATTATTCATAATGAGTTAATTATTATCTCAGTGTGCCATCATTTCTATTTTTTAAATGATATTCAAAAGATTAAATACCCAGGAATTTAATCATAATTTGCATACACTAGTTTTAAAAATAAGTAACAGCCTCTAATTCAATGCAAAATTACAAAATTTTCCAGATGAAAGATAACCTTGACACTGTAACCCAAATAGAGAATTTCCCTATAAAAAAAGCTAATGACCAACCTCAATTGCTTGAGGCCTTTTTACAGTTTATTTCAATACATTGCCTCATATTATGCTTTCCTATGAAAAGTGGCAAAAACTATACCTGTAATTTTGTTTGGGCCTGCGATTTTCATTCAGCACATGGAGGATTGGGCTTAAATAATTCTCTGAATTCATGCCTCCACTTTCTTTTCTCTTGAATATATAGGTACTTCTTTATCACAAAACAATGACTGAATGCAGTGTCCCCTCCAAATTACTTAGACTTGCATGGAGTAGAAACTGCCAGGTCATTGCAGCAGTTATTATTTCCTCTCTGAAACCACTGTGAAACAGAATGACTGAACAGGAAAAACTCAGGCATCTCTGTGTCCTCCAGTCTCCAAAGCAAGTGTTTGTGATAACTAATTCTCTACACGTAAAGAGAAGAAGCAAGGTCTAAGTCTTATCAAATACAAAACACAGCATTGTTTCAACTTTGAAAGTAAATAATATCTTGAAGTAAAAACTTTATGACTTCTCATATTTACCTTACTAACAGATTATAGTTTGCTCTAGTACTTCTTCCTGCTCAGAAAAAAAAATAACTGAAACATATGGAGAAATTATACAGAATTAAATCATTTTATTTTGCAAGTATATGTATTCCTTTGAACATGTTACAGATCAGAGTTAATCCTGGTTCTCATAATTTACCACTTAATCTTAGAAATGTATTTAACCAAAACTTACTACAAATTCAAAATATTAGTGTCTGACAACTCTATTTAACATTTTCACATTAACATTCTATACTTTATTACAGCATCGACACAATATTCCATACTGCTTCTTCAAAAACAAAACATATTTGCTATGATTCTAACCAAATAGTGCCTAGACATCAAAAGAAAAGCTTTTCCTAGTTTTTCCTCCTTTAAAAATACTCATAGAATTTACTGGAGAGGAAAGGAAGAAGCCTAGATCAAAGTTTAATTTTTTAACGCCACATGTTCCCATTTTGTGACATAGAGACAATAAATAAGATCTGCATCCTGTGATCAATAGAAATTTAGAGGTTTGGGTTTTACTATTTTTCCCCTGCTTGCCTTTAAAAAATTAATAGAGCTTGCCAATGACTTTATTACAAAAAGCGCTTCAAGGTGAGCACAATAGAATTCTACTTTCCTGGTACACAGTGATGGCATGTTTTTTGTAAGTAAAAGATGACATTGAATTAAAGAACTTATTCCTTTAGAGGAACTCAATTATAGTCTTCTCTGGTATTTTCCAGAATCAAATTCAATGCTACATCTTGAGTTAGATTCTCACATGTTCCCTTGGCACAGATGTAAAGAAATGTTTCTCTGCCTTCCTCTTTGATTTTCCTCTTCAACTGGGTTAAAATCCAACTCAGGATTTTTGACAGAGACAGCTATATATAATGACAATTGCTAGAATACCCAAATTTGCCAAGTCCTCCAGCCTTCAGGGGCTACTCTTCTATTTAATATCCAATTATAAAATGACGCAAACTCCTATTGATCATACAGTGAGAAGTCTAGCATCTTGCCTAAAATCCAAGGATTCCTGGGGAGCAGGGAGCTAAATGGGTGAAATCTCACTTCAAAATATGTACCCCTGCTGATTTCTCAGTCCTCTTATCACCCAGTGTCTTAAAACTCTGACCATTTATGGGCCGGGTGCAGTGGCTTACGCCTGTAATCCCAGCACTTTGGGAGGCCAAAGTGGGTGGATCACGAGGTCAGGAGTTTGAGACCAGCCTGGCCAATATGGTGAAACCCCATCTCTACTAAAGATACGAAAATTAGCCAAGCGTGGTGGCACGCCTGTAGTCCCAGCTACTCAGGAGGCTGAGGCAGTAGAATCGCTTGAACCCTGGTGGTCGAGGTTACAGTGACCCGAGATCGCGCCACTGCACCCCAGCCTAAGCAACAGAGCAAGACTCTGTCTCAAAAAAAAAAAACCAACTCTGACCACTTATCTCTCTCTACTTTGAAGCCCTTCATGCCCCTGCCTCCATATATAGCACTCTTCCTCCTTGCTGCTCCGAAGTGCCATTAACACATGCAGTGTGGAGGTTAAGGAGGGCATGCTGAATCAAACCAAGCCAAAGTGAGATGAGGCATTTCAAAAATCAAGCAGGGGAAGTGTCAAACCAGCAGCCCAAAAGTGGCAATGAAGATAGAGGTACAACTTAGAAAATACAAAGGAGATGGTTCCTGTCTTCAAGGAATATATATACAATCTATCAAGCATTTCAAAACATACCTGAAGCACAACTGAAGCTCAAGCTGGAGTCTTTGCTATACACTTAATGTCTTTTCAGGATGGTGTTTTTCCTGTGATAAACCCAGTGATCAGAGATCTGTCAAAGTAAATAGGAAGCCAGAGAGTAACCAGGTAGTTAGTGCTGTGTTTCATAACTGGCCAGGTGATTGAAGACCTGTCTTGAGTGAATAACTGGCCAGGAAGTGGCCAGTGAGGGATAATGTTTTCAGAAGGTCTGACTGAACGGGAGCTGTATGGTCCCTTGTTTGGTAGGATGCCCAATATCTGCCAATCATTACACATGGATCAGTAAGAGAGGCTGTTCAGCCAGTTCAGCACACCGGTGTGATAGTATTCTAATTCCTGACCAAACAGAGTCCACTTGCTTTACAGGAACGAAGTGTTACTCTTTCATCTTCCTGATTTTATTCCTTGTTCCTTAGAGTCAAATAAGCACTTGCTAAATGGGTAACATTTTCTGAAATACACACCGAGCTGAGAATTCAAATAACCGCTAGATTCTGACTGTAAATAGAAAAGGTCGTAAAGAAAAGACATCTTAACAATGGACAGTAGAAATATGTAATCAGAGTTCGGAATATAGATGTAGAGATGGACAAGACTTTGTCAAAAAGGAATCTTTCAGGCACCCTTGTAATCTACTTAGATATTTCAGTGTTTGACCTTGAAGCAACTTCTGGCAAGTTGGATGGCATAATTTCCTAGAATATCATAGTGGATAAATCCATTAGCCTGGTGACCCTCACTTGGCATTTTCAAAGAAATTTACAGCCAGTAGTGATAAGGTTGTGAACACTGAAAGCTGCCTGGCTGATGAAAATTCTGTTTGAAAAAAAAAAAAATCTAGCCTGATTTCACATAGGAGTTCCACCAAACACATCCACACACCCTTACTGTTAGAATGTATACCTTCTTAAAATATGCATTAAGCACTAAGGAGATCACAGGCATTTTAAACTCTACTCCACTTTGAAATTATTTTTTCCAACCAATATGTTTTGAGATCTACTATGTGCAAGACATTATGCTAGGTGCATGGAGAATGCAAAGATGAATAAGAGAGACCCTCATTCTTTCTTGTAATAGATAAGACAGGCAAGTAACTACAGCAGAATAAATAACTGCTAAATAGAGATACCGGTACCCTACTGGGAGAGCTCAGAAAAAAAAAGTGATTGATTCTGATCAACAAGGATTAGGGGAACCATAACTGAGGTGACAATTGACTCATAGCAACCAAATTAAGTCACACTCTTTGTAGAATCAACAAGAATCCACATTCTTTAGCTGGATTTAATTCGCAATGGGAAACCTGCCCAGAGATTACCCATCCTACAATGGGAGAAATGTTATTAATGAAACAAAAGAGCTTTCAGCCATGTCATCAAGAATGATACAACCTAAGAGACTATCAGCAAATAACATCTGTTCCCATGGGAATTGCTACATGTTTCAAAAGTATAAAATATTTAAGTTAAGAAGAACGATGTCATGACTCTTAACTGTAGAAAAATAACATTTTGAATACTGCCTAAAGGAGCAGGAGGACATATATATTCTATCATTAGAAAGATGTACCATAGAATAGAACAGGAGTAGTTTGCTTGGCTCAAGCATGACCAAGATGCACTTTTCTCCCAAGACTACCAATTATTATTTTGCAAATCAAGAGTATTTTAGAAACAGTACTTTGTGGGGTTTTTTTGCTGTTGTTCGCTTGCTTTTTGTTTTGTTTTTGGGGGGGTTTTTTGTTTGTTTTGTTTTGTTTTTTGAGATAGACTCTCACTCTGTCACCCAGGCTGGAGTGCAGTGGTGCAGTCTCAGCTCACTGCAACCTCCGCCTCCTGGGTTCAGGTGACTTTCCTGCCTCAGCCTCCCGAGTAGCTGGGATTATAAGCACCCATCACCATACCCGGCTAACTTTTTTTTTGTAATTTTAGTAGAGACGGGATTTCACCATGTTGCCCAGGCTGGTCTCGAACTCCTGACCTCAAGTGATCCACCTGCTTCAGCTTCTCAAAGCACTGGGATTATGGGTGTGAGCCACTGGGCCCGGCCAGAAACAGTACTTTGAATAAGTTCCGTGGTTCTATTTTTAAGGTGAAACATCTCCACTTAATATTATTTCCCAACCTTGAGCTTGTGTTAGCAATATTTTATCATTAGTGACTTGTTTGCTTGCTTTTTGTATGTATCTAAGTAAAGAAAAACAATTACTGAGCATCTACTACACACAAAGCAAGTTCTCTGGATGCAATAAGGATTTGGAAAAAAATGTGCTCCTGTCTTCCAAGAGCTCCCAATTGAGTGGTGGAAACACACATGTAAATACGGTCCATAAAAAGCAGATTGCATGCAAAGATGGAGGCAATCAGATTAATAAAAACAAAAAAAAAAAAAACAGAACAAAAAAAGCAGACTGTAATGAATTGGTGGCTTTATTTTTCTCCTTTCCAGCATAAACCAAATTAAGTTCACATTACATAATTAACTAGTAGCCTTTTGATTACTAATGTTATCGTGCATCCTAATCCCATACAGGAAAATAATTTAAGGATAGCACTAATGTGCAAGCTCCTTGAGGAAAGGGACTATATGCTAGTTAGCATAGATCAATAGCATATATCAATGTGTCAGTGCTGGATGACCCCTTGCTTGGCAAAATTGCAAATTCACAAAATTGTCAAAATCACAATTATTTTATACATACAAGCAAAGCAGAATTGGCTCATAATCTAACTCTTATACATCCCACCAGACTTTTAAATTTATCTACCTGTTGTATCCTTATTTTCAAACATAAAAGAAAACCAGTACATAATTATAGAAGAATCTACATAAAGCAATCTAATATATACCATAAGCCTACATTCTCAGTTCGACCACACGCATTTGATGTTAGAATGAAGTGGAAGGCTAGATGGTCAAGAGTTTATTTCAAATGGTAAATAAATCATATCTGGAATATTTTAATAATAAATATGATGAAAGAATGTAGACTATTTTTCAACTACACGTCAAAACTAGAGCACAAATGAATTTAGAGGGAAAATCCAATGAAAAGAATGAAATGAGGATATCTTGACAATTAAAATTATTATTATTATTATTTTTTGAAACAAGATCTCATTTTGCCACCCAGGCTGGAGTGCAGTGCTGCAATCACGGCTCCCTGTAGCCTTGACCTTCTGAGCTCAAGCAATCCTCCCACCTCAGCCTCCTGAGTAGCTGGGACCACAGGCGCAGGCCCATGCTTTTTTTTTTTTCCATAGAGGCAGGGACTCCCTCTGCTCCCCAGACTGGTCTTGAACTCCTGGACTCAAGCAATTTTCTCTGCTCAGCCTCCCAGCATGCTGGGATCATAGGCATGGGCCACTAGCACCCAGCCTAAAATTATTTTGAAGTCTTTTTGTGGCCCAGATAGTTAGAAATACTTCTTGTTTGGCAAAATTTCAATCCATTTATACACTCGAGAACTATTTATTAAACACCTACTCACTAGTAGGCATTGAGTGCACAGTGATGATCAAGACAGACACAGTCTCTGTCTTTGTGAAACCAGAGCCATTCTATCCATTAGGCATGGGAGGCACAGTGCCTAGCACCCACTATACTTTACAGGAGCTCATGAAAATGCTTTAATTTCTTTTAAAATGAGAAGAAAAAAAATGAATATACTATCCAGGCTCGATTGCATTAGTCTTTAGACCAATGCAGTCATAAAGTAAAATTTTAATAGTTTTTATGGAGAAAGGGACCCATGAAGGCAAAAGTGGCTGGGGCTCAGGAAAGTCACAATGCAGGCCTGTATGGAATTTACATTCTATTAGAAAAGGCTGCCAAATAATTAAATAAAATAAAAGGCATTATACAAAGTGCTGAAATAAGGTAAATGCAGGATGCTATGGGAATTCATCTTGAGGAGTCAATGGGCCAGGTGTGGTGGCTCACGTCTGTAACCCCAACACTTTGGGAGGCCAAGGCGGGGGGATCACCTGAGGTCAGGAGTTCGAGACCAGACTGACCAACATGGTGAAACTCCATCTCTACTAAAAAATACAAAAGTTAGCCGGGCATGTTGGCAGGCGCCTGTAATCCCAGCTACTCTGGAGGCTGAGGCAGGGGAACTGCTTGAACTTGGGAGGCAGAGTGAGCCTAGATGGCGCTACTGCACTCCAGCCTGGTGACAGAGCAAGACTCTGTCTAAACAAAACAAAACAAAAAATTCTCAAAAGCCTCAGAGGACACATGAAGGATGATAAGTGTAGAAGAGGAAATGCGTTGGAGTAAGAACATGCACAGATTTGAAAGAAAGAGAGATCACGACAAGTGGGAGTAATGCAAGCCCTTCTGTAGGGTTAGACCAGTGGTTCTCAATCCAGGGTGATTTTCCCTACCAGAGGACATTTAGCAGTGTCTGGAGGCATTTTTGGTTGTCACATCAGGAAAGGGATGCTGCTGGCATCTTTCTAGTGGCAAGAGGCCAGGGATGCTGCCAAACATCCTACAATGCACAGGACAGCTGCACACGACAAGGGACTATCCTAACCAAAATGTCAATAGTGCGAGGCTGAGAAACCCTGTATGGGAGAATTAGAATTGGAGTTTTTTAATAATTAGTATTTGCCAGTCTGATAACCAGAGATGGTATCTTAGTGCTTAAATTTGCATTCCCTTGATTACTAGTGAGCTTGAACATTTAAATACACACACACACACACACACACACACACACACACACATATATATATAAAATTTGCTATTGTTTTTCCTTTTTTGGAATATTTTCTGTTTGTGTCCTTTGAAGACATTTCAATTGGTTATTGATGTTTTGCTTAGTGTCCTGGAAGAACTCTTTATATATCACAGATAGAAAATGCATGTGTCATATATGTTATAAATATTTTCCCCACTTTATCATTTTCCTTGCTTTATTTTTTTCTGTGCGGTTTCTTTTACTGATTCAAATATGTTGTTCCCATCTTTCATATTTTCTACCTTTATATTATAAAAGCTATTTTGATCCCAATTGCATAAACTGGTTATTTTAATACAATTTGATAAAGTATAGCAGTAGAAGGATGTACCAGACTATTGGTATGTCTGTCCCATACCAAGACAAAATGTGATATTTCTTGTACCCAAGCAAACCTGAGGAGCAAAAAAATGACAAGATTTATTTATTTTTATTGTCCTATGTAGGTTTAAGTGCCTAGGAAAGTGCCTACCACATTATAGGGTCCCAATAAATATCCATTAAGTGTTGAATGAACAAATAAGTGGTATTTAATTATTGGCATATAATTACAGTTTATATAATAGTATAAAACATTTATACTGGCAAATATTCTTTATGGAATTGGATAATGAGTAGAAGAGATGATACACTTTACTCCTAGTAATACTCCTTCAAAACGATGTCTAAATCTAGAGCTTTCAGGTCTCAAAGTCGTCCTAGGAGTATACAGTACATAAGGATTAGGGCTGGTTCAGATGACCTTGAAGACATCTACACACCTGCAGATCCTGTTCTCAATCCAAACTGACTATCATTTTTGTTTTGAAAGAAAAGGATTGTTCCTTCCCCCAGCTACACACACACGCACACGTACATTTCAAGTAAAAAGTGAAAGTTCCTCTGGCTTTCATCCTACTTCCCAGAGGTTTGATGTATCTATTTTTTTTAGAAGTATTTCTTATAAGCATGAATTTGTTCCAGATTGCTCTGACGCAAAAAATAGCACATTTTGTTTCTTTTTGATTTTCAAATCATATCAGACTTCGTTCTGAACCCTCACATTCCTAGCTGATAGGGCATTCACTATCAGTCATTACTGCAGCTTCCTTCCTCATCAGATTCTATAGACTTCTCAGACTTAAGCCACATTAAAATGAGGGACAAGGGGCTAATCCTTAATATCTGGCAGTCACCATCATTACTGGTGTTCCTGCTACTCAGTGATGCACTGAATTCTGGTTCTCTGTTATTTGCAAGGCACTGTTGCTCAGCACTGCATATGGCAGGAAGCAGGATGGCAAACCATGCCTCCATTGACTCCTGCATTTACCCCAGGGGATACTCACTGCTCCCCTCAAGGCAAAGCCATGGATCTTTTCGATCAGTCTCCAGCATATACCTCCCCACTACAGTGGTACTGCTACCTCCCTAACCACAGTTTCAGCAATAACCAGTTTGACAGCAAGTAAAAACCTCTACAGCAACTCCAGACTTTACCAACAAAGCCCTAGACAGGTGTTATTTTGTGTTCATTTTAGGAGTGGTTTTGGTTTGTGTGTTTTCCCTTTAGGGGGTCTTCCTGTTAAGGAATGAAAGAGAGAAACGAAGAAAGAAAAAGAGAGGAAGAGAAAGAGAGGAAGGGGGTAGAGAGGAAAGACAAGGGAGTGAAGGGGAGGGGAGGGGAGAGGAGGAGAGGAGAGGGGAAGAGAGAAGGTTGGAAGAAAGAATGAAAGAATGGAAGAAAGTAACAGCTGTTAACTTTACTCACCTTTCCACCTTCCATCCCCACTAGAGAAATTGATTTCCAGAAGCGCAATGGCTTTGTGCCAAGCAAGATGAGTTTAGGACTCCAGGAGTTGTATTCAATTTGAGGAAGATCTTTATAAAGCAGCAACTTAAGATTTGGTTAGAGTGGATTTCCACTTAAAATGACAACATCAAGACACTGTATTATTGGAAAACCATTGCAAGTGAGGATGAAGCAAAGCATGGACTACTTTAGGAAGAGTACACTTTAGAGTCCTTTAGCAATAAATGGGCAAGGTTATTTTATGATATCTTTACAAAACTTTGCTTTTCTGAAACTACTCAGAGTTCCAGCCAGTTTAAACGCGAACAAAAAATACCTTTCCGAGAGTGTTCTGACACTAATTTTGCATCAAATTAATTGGCATAGTTTTTCAACCCCAGAGTATCAGTATTACAATCATGCTGCCATTTAGACTGCCTAGTGTTGATCCATTTCACTAAAAGTATGACTGGAAAAGTTGTGGGAACTTTTCTGCTTTTCTGCCACCTTAAAGGAGAAAAAGCCATGACTTCAGGGAGTGGATTCGATACATTGTTTACATTAGTTGGCCCATTACAAAGATTGTGTAAAAGAAATTATTGAACACTAAATGATGTATAAATAATCAGTCCTCATGTCTTTGGAGGAAACAAAAGAATATCACACACACACACACACACACACACACACACACACACACACTTAAATATCTCTGAGGAAAAAGTATTAATATTTGACAGCACCCACAGCAACGTTCTTTTCCCAATTTAGAAGTGGAAGCAGAAGTGAGGGATGAATTAAGGTTCAAAAAGTCAGGGCCTCCTTGAGACTTATTCTTTTTTTTTTTTGGAGATGGAGTCTTGCTCTGTCACCCAGACTAGAGTGCAGTGGCACAATCTGGGCTCACTGCAACCTCTGCCTCCCGGGTTCAAGCGATTCTCCTGCCTCAGCCTCCCAAGTAGCTGGGATTACAGGCGGCCGCCACCATGCCTGGCAACTTTTTGTATTTTTAGTAGTGATGGGGTTTCACCATCCGGCCAGACTGGTTTCGAAATCCTGTCCTCGTGATTCACCCACCTCGGCCTCCCAAAGTGCTGGGATTATAGGCGTGAGCCACCGTGCCCAGCCGAGACTTATTTTTAAGGGCATTTCCTAACTCATAGATGACCAACCTTGCACGGTCTATCTCTAAATAGTTACAAGTTTTGTTAAGTAAAGTGAATTTTAGTAAGTTAATTCATCACTCTGGATTTTTGTCTCCTCATCTGTAAAATGGGATGATAATAAACTCCCCTATCTACTATTGCATGAAGCCATCTTATGGAAGGTTGAAATCAGGTGATGTCTGTAACATTTTTCCACAAAATACAAAGTTATAGTTTTTTCTATTCCACATTGTTTTAGCCAGGAAATATACTAGCTGTTCAAGATAGAAAACTGAATTCAATAGAGTCACTGTTCTCATGGGTCTTATAATACAATGTGTTCAGCAACCAACAGATCTTCTTTCACTACCAAATATTATGATCATCACTGTGCTAAGTGATGGGGTTATGAAGATGAAATACAGGGTCCTTAGCCTCAAGAAGCACACAGTCTGAGAAAGAGGCATTCCCATAAACTGACAACTACAAAACAGCACAGTAAATGCTGTGATCGAGAAGAGCACAAAAGAGGAATGGCTTAAATGCATTTCTGTTCACTTCTAATGTACTCTGTCTGCAACCAAGGGACACTGCCACCATGTCACCAGACTGACTTGGGTATGCTCTTTTGAGCAGTCACTTTCCTCATATGTCTGGTTAGCTGAGAAAGAAATTAGCACAACTTGTATTCAATTATCCATTTTATGATTAGAAAACAGAAATCTTTTTTAAAATAACATTAATGTGTGAAGCAGATAGTCATCAGAGGCAAGTTTTAAAAAGCACATTAACTCCTAAGTATAAATTGTTCTTTCACACTAATAGTTAACAAGCACTGTTTAGAGCAGGTCCATATATTTTACATTTTAGCCTTCAAGATCAAAATATCTGTTTATTGTTGGAGAAATATCTTAGAGCAGAATTGCTCTTATTAACAATATAACTTAATCTTACTTGAAATATTTCAGCAAAACAAATTAAAAATTCCTGCTAGAAACACATAAGAGTCACCTAAGGAAATTCCTGCTGTAAGCACTTAGCTGATGTGACATATTGTTGTGCAGGAGCTCTATTTTAAGAAAATAAAGTAGCAGGTTTTCCCAAGATAACATCCCATGGGGGCTGCAAAATTTATTTTTAAAAAGTATAATTTTTTTCTTTAATATGCTGCCATAATTCTAGGACAGCAGTCTCTCTCTGGGAAAAAAAAAAAAAAAAGGCATTCAAGTGGCTGCCATCTGTATAGCCCCATTCCAAATGATAGGAACAAGCTGGTTCAGAGGCTGAATGACAAATATTATGAATTTCAAACAAATCTAAGCCTGTCATTCTTTTCAGCTCTGATGCTCAAGAAATCATTTAAAACATTTGATAACCATGTCATTGCATACCTTGAGAGGTGGTTTGATTTCAGGGATTACAATTACCTGAGAAACACAGAACCATTTGCCTTGCAGAAGCTATTTAGATTTGAAGACCTTTTCATCACAGCCCTGAAACTTCATCTTACATCATCTCCCGACATGAGCTGACTGTATTATGCTTGAAACTGCACTAAAAGCTGCAGCACTCCCATCACTGCAGGCTTGTTTTACTGACAAGCCATGCAGATAGCATTAGTATGATAGGCTGTGGCATATACGCGTACTTTTGAGAAGAGAGGTTAAATCCTAGAGGGAACAGTGTTTGGGGAGCAAATGATTTCGCAATAGGAAGGAATCAGTTAGCCCCACCAAAGCAGAAGGACTAAACGGGTATTTAGCTCTTTAGGGACACATCCAGCTTTGTATCAAGGTCAAGGAAAAGCATGAAATCAATTAGAGTAGATATTTACAGGCGCTTAGTATTTGATGATGCTGATATTTAAAGAGAAAGGACAAGGAATTCATCTTTTGTGTGCGCCATTAATTTATAAATATTCTACATTTAAAAATAAAGTTTTTCACAGAAATGATGTCCTTTTATCATCTTTCTTTTCTGAAACATATTTCTTGTTTGATTTGTTTTCAATAATTGAACTATATTAAAGCACACCATTTAAAATGCCTCTTCATTTAACCTCAAAGTAATTAAATCAGCAATAGGCATGTATTATGAATAACTTTATCAATCAATGTCAGCATTTCAAATGTTTGAAACTGTGCAGTAATATCCAAGATAATGATCTCAGAAATACAGGGGAGGCATCGTGATTCTTAATGTGTATTATGACATTTATAAAATGTTAAGGAGAAAAAAATCAGAAAGAAAAAAAGAAAATGAGCTATTAAAGGCACGCATGTCAATTTCATGAAGTGGTTCAAAATTAGCATCTTATTCAGAATGAGTTAATTTTGTGATTATTTTATAGTCCCCAGACCAATAAACCAGACTCCATTTCAGAGATGTTCAGGTAACATTTTTCTAGTTTAAGGTTTCTCTTTGCTTAAAGTTTGCCTATGTGGAAAATAATATTTGTAACAATTACAAGTTTCATCTATTTTTACCTCACTAAGTGATAATAGCCTCAGAAGAGTTCTTGCCTTCAATGGCTTGCTTGTTTCTTCAAGACTTTTGTTATCAAGGTTTTAAATTGTTCCCTGGGATATGTGGGAATAGTTATATCACTGACGTCAAAATCTGAATTCAGTGGCAACAATTTTATTTCAAGTTTTGAAAGAAGCAAAACAGCAATTATGTTATTAAAAGCCCATTGGATATGATATGACTTTATTTTTTAAAATGACTTGTTTCTGTGGTCATTTTCCTGTTTTCTAGAAGCTCAATAGATTCTTTCTAAAATCCAGTGTGCATAAATCCTCTTCAAATTTATCAAATATATTTGAAAGTAAAAAGGTTTTTTATGTTGAACTGTTTTCAACTTTAAATACTTGCTTTAGAATGCTGTCTACCCTGTTTATTATATACAGTTACATATTGCAACAATGACATACAGTCATACATTGTGTTATTATTGTGAATTTGGAATGTCAAGGCCATTTTCAGTTTTTAAGGTGTTTTCTTGATCGCTTGCATAATAAAGTGAAACTTAGGTTTATATTGTTTCATCATCACCCTCTTTTCCTTCTATTTCTGTACTGAACATAAATCATGCATTCAAAAACCATTTTTGTTAAGTATTGTGGGAGACACAAAAGAAGTATAAATGTATATAGTATTTTCCCTCAAAGACATGCCTTCTCTAGGAAGTGAAGACATGTATACCATTTAAGAGAAAAAAAAATGGTTAGGTACCAACATGTATGACACAGCAGGAGTTACAATAGAAATTCAAAAAAAGTGAGATTCACATTCACTGAAATGTACATAGAAGGTTTCCCAGAAGTGATAGGACTTAAACTGAGTCTTAAGGGATATTGGATTAAGATGACATGAGGGGCAAGGATATTCACAAGGAAGACAAAGAAACAAAAGATCAAGATATAATGAATGGAGACTGGTTTAGATAAGTGGAAAGATTCTGATGGGCAGCAGGAAAAGATAAGGTTGGAAATAAATTGAGGTCTGATTTTGAAAGAACTCAAATACTAAAGTGGGAAGTTTGGACTTGATATTTCTTTGTCTGGGCTAGGCTTACGGTGGTAATGCGGTAGAAAAGATGAGTATAAGAAGCCTAGGAGAGGAAGCAATTTAAAATGTCTCTTCATTTAACCCCAAAGTAATTAAATCCTAGTAAGTGTTTGTTGTGTACTGCTTAGTTGGTAGAATATAATAGGGAATGAAGATTCTAAGATGCCTTCAAAGAATTGAGATTTCAAAACAGAAAGAAGTGTTTATATTAGAAATTTTACTATACCTTCTGGTTCCTTTAAAAGTAAGACTCTAGCCCCCAAACAGTGCTTAAGCCATGTAAGAGGAATGGTGAAACAAATGAACCCAATTTGTATAATTAGTTTCTGAACTGTCCTTCAATTCCACCGTGCTTTTTCTTGTCTTTGAATCATTCACTTTCTAAATCTCCTTTCTTTCTCCGGCTTCTTTTCTGCTCCACCGCTCCAATTTCTGAGACTCTAGTTAGCCACTTTTTTTCTAGATGTTGCTCCCTCTTTGACGTTCGACCTCCTTGGGCAAAGCCTAAGTCATCTTTCCTTTCTGGTTTGCACTGGGAAAAAACTGACTTAGAGAAAAATTAGGAAATTTGACAGGAAAAATAATTGGGATGGGGGGAAAGTGATCAATTTGAGTGTTATTTTATTGATTTCGTAATGATAGTGGGATTTACTATCATATACATAATCCCTGATAGACAGTTGGAAATATCAAATTCAAAGTTAAGACCTGGCACGGTGGCTCACACCTGTAATTCCAGCACTTTGAGAGGCTGAGGCGGGTGGATTACTTGAGCCCAGGAGTTTGATACCAGCCTGAGCAACATAGTGAGACTGCATCTCTATTAAAAAATTAAAAAAAAAAAAAAGAGAGAGAGAGATTAAAATTGGAAGTTAAGGTTGAAATGTAGATTTGGGGGTCTTCACCAATAGTAATAGTGCCTCCCAGAGGCACCGAGGAGTGTTCCCATCTCTTTACCCCACAATGGACATCAGAGGTAAGGAGAGATGTTTAAGATATACAGTAATATCTTTGTGTTAAATCTTATTAAATCCTTGCAACAACTTTATGAGAGTGAGATAGATTATGTTAATTTCTTGTCAGGTTTTTTTTTCTTATTTGATCAAGAACTTGATTTTTATAAAGATTTATTTACATACTTATCCAAGACTGATTTTTTCTAAGGTCCTACACACATAGACCAGTCCTTATTTTCATGACTGGTCTAATTATCCCTAAAATTGTCTGATTCTGCTGTCTTTTCTATCAGCATGCACAGTCTTGCTCTCCCAAAAAACTGTGATTAGAAAAATTGCATATGTCAAAAAGAAGGCCAGCTTGAAGAAATGTGGTCTATAACACACAGATCTTCTATTCAGCTAAAAATAAAGCAAATATGTTAGGGCAAGCATTAAAGAGAAAAAGACTCGTTATCCCTTGAGGGATATGTTTTCAAACCATTGGTTACTGTGCCTGGAAAAACAATAGACTCTGGAAAGAAATATGCCTTTTTATTCTTTATATACTAATTATCCACTAAATATACCGCACTGTATTAGAGTTCTATTTAAAAATCATTTTGTTATATACCATCAAACAAAGCTGTAAATATAAAACCCCAGAGAATGGCAGAACGTTCAGTAACTACAAGGCATTATAAGGCATGGGTGGGAAATTAGAAACGTGGAAAACTCTTTTTTTTTTTTTTTTTTTGAGATGGAGTCTTGCTCTGTCACCCAGGCCAGAGTGCAATGGCATGATCTTGGCTCACTGCAACGGCATGATCTTGGCTCACTGCAACCTCTGCCTCCCAGATTCAAGCAATTCTCCTGCCTCAGCCTCCTGAGTAGCTGGGACTATAGGTGCACACCACCACACCCAGGTAATTTATGTATTTTTAGTAGAGACGGGGTTTCTCCATGTTGGCCTAGCTGGTCTCGAACTCCTGACCTCAGGTGATCCACCCGCCTCGGCCTCCTAAAGTGCTGGGATTACAGGCATAAGCCACCACGCCTGGCATGGAAAACTCTTATTCACTCCTTTGGATCACTGAATCATAGAATTGAAAGGAATTTGGGGAAAAAAATGTAGTTTAGTCACTTTCATTTTAAAGAAGGAACAATTGCTCAGAGAGATTGTGAAAAGCTTAAAATGATATAGCTAGTAAATAGTAGAGCTCAACCTCGAATCAAGTTCTTCTGACTTCCTATTCAGTGCTCCACATTGCTTGTACCAATCATTAGGTGTTGACTAAATGAATGAACCCAAAATGATTACTGAGTTCCTACTGTGTGCTTACCAACATGGTATGTGTTGAAGAAGAAGCTAAAGGTTTTTTTTTTAAATAAGAAAAAGGATTTTTAAATTTGAAATCATTAAAATTTATGTAAAATTTAAAATTTATATAAAGTTAGTGTACAGTAGTTAGAAGCAGTTAACAAGTAGTATCAGAATAATATATGAACAAGTATTCAATGGCCAAAGGGTGTTGACTAATGAAGAGAAAAAGGTAGGTCAGAAGAACTGGATAGAGCAGAAGTAGGGAAGAATCTACTATCTGCTCCAAAGCTACTAGACACAGTTCTAAGGAGCCATTCTTTGACAAGGCCACGTGTTGCCAACAATATAACAGGAATAAAAACATATTCTATATTCACCTTCCTCACAGGGTACATATAGAAAAGTTGATGAGAGATAAAATTTGCTAAGGAATTTTAAATTCCTTCCCCCTAAAAAAAATAGCTGTATTCACCCTTGATGTATAACTATTAAAATTCCTGCCAAAGCATTAAAAAGTAGGTTAACTCTAAGATTTTAGATTTTGCTAACATATGATAAATATTATAGTCTCTTTTTTTCTGGCGAATAGCACATAACTCCAGAAAAACAAAATAGAGAAGCTTTGAGCAGAAGTCTTCATCCAGGTGGAAGCATTTAGTACCACAAATTGCTTTAAATTAATAGTTGTTACAAAGAGACTAAGATGAAAATGTATATTTAGCAAATGATTTGAGGCAACCAAATGAGAAAAAAGGAAAAATGGGCAAGTAACATTACTGTTTGGTTTTACTCATTTAAAATAAAATGATTATACTACAGATGTTAAATCCGCAAAGGTATATAACCTGTTTCAAGAAGAAATTACATCATCTGTTGAGAAATTTTAAAATACATTTTTATTGCCATTAAATCAGTTTTTAGCATAAATGCATCCTTTTTTGTCTTTACTTTTTTGATTAAAAATAAAACCACTGCTGTGTTCCCTTAGAGCCTAAAATTATGCTGACACATAGTAGGAACCTATTAAATATTTGTTTAATTTTGCTATATCAGGCTCTTTTCTCCCTCTAAATGTATTAACATTTAATTTTGATTGTTGCTTAGGCCACAAGGGCTACACAAAGAGACTAACAGCAATTTGAAAACATACTTTCAAAGTCACTGCATAAACAATACTAAAATTAGATATAGTCTTGTGGAAAAAAGCCATTTCTCTTCTTCCTGTGGAAACATTAGGGATTAAAACTTACAAGACCTTCCAGAGCCTCAGTGTGGGTCAGAACAACCAAAAGAAAGAGAAAGAGAAAGAAAGGAAATAGGGGAAAAATAGCACGTTAGCATGACACAGAGTAAGAGGATCAAATATCACTCTATATCGCTAACCCTCAGAGTAAAGTGAATAAGCCAAGCAAAAAGATTATAAATACTGTTCCTTAAGAACAGAAAACTGAAATTGAGGCTACTGCCAACTTATATTCCTTACGCACTTGGCTTAAAACATATTAGAGGAGTTTGGAGTTGGGATCACTGGCTTTGAATTCAGGTAGTCGGTAGTATGCCTTCTGGTTCTGTACTTTACTAGATGTGAGACTTTAAGGTTATTTTGACATTGGAGACAGTATCAGTAATAGCAGCTATTAATAAGCATAGCCTTTTTAGCTTCTTAAGTTACTATTAGTGTTTAGATTGTAAACATCCATGATGTTTAGTCCTAAAAGGCAATTTATTTCTGCCTAAAACTAATACTCACACCATAGGTACTATTGGCCTACCAGTAAAACCTTGTTAGAATATTTTAAAGCAAAATTTGCATCACACTAATAATATCTCCCAAGTCAGTGCAAACAAAAATCATTGCTCAAGTCTGATCAATTTCCAAAAAATAAACATAAATGAGTGCCTACTATGTGCCAAATGCTTTTCAAGGCACTGGGAATACAGCAAAAATAAGACTCCATACTTTCCCTTAAAGTAGCTAATAATTTGGTGGGAGAAAATCTGTATAAACATTTATAAAGGGGTAGTGAGGAGGTCCATTATTTTAAATTCAACATGTCATTTGGCAGAATAAAACTTAGGATCAGAAATGGGTCTAAACATCCTTGGCCCCACTTCCCATAGTACTGCTAACTACAATTGGAGATTGTAAGTAGGTTGTCATTAAAATGCAAGCCGTCTAAATTCACTAAAAACAATTACGTTTAGAAAATAGAAAAGAGTGATATTCCATATCACAATAATGAAATCAACCACCCTTTAAATTCTAAAAGTAACAGCTAACATAAAATTAGCATTTCGTTTTTTTAGAGTATACAATTTACAAGGAACTGTACTTTATATAATCTCATTTGACCCCCATAAATCCACAATAAAGCAGCCATTCTTTTGCACATTTTCTAGGTAAGGAAATTGAAGTTTCAAAAGGTAAAATGAGGAGATTGAGTGGATATGGCACACTGAGAAACAGAAACTGGTGCCCTCGGGGATCAGAAAAAGTAAGAAATGCCCAAAAGATGAGATGACAGAAAGAAGAAGGAAGGGAAGAAGGGAGGGGCAGCCCAAAGGTGCACAGGAAGGGCTCCTGAAGAGTGAGAAGAGCTTCAGGAGTGCTTCTAGTGCAGACATGGCAGAAACTTAAATATAAACGGACCATAGGGCAACCAAATGATAACAGGCTTGAGTCCCACAAGAAGCAGCCAAAAAGTTTGACCCCATCCTATTACCCCAATCATGGCTTTGGATCAGACAGCAAACAGCAGAGTTGCTTATGTTTCCTGTCTTCATTTGGTCTCCTCCACACTCTTAAGACCACCTAATCAGCTCCCAGCCCTCTCCTCAAGTCCACCAATACTGCTCTCATTAAGAGGACTATTGAACTCCAAATTGCTAAATCTATAATTAATTCTGTCTTCATCTTACCTAACCTATTAGCAGGATTGAACATGATAGCTGACACCTCTTGTTGCATATCCAAGAGACAGTTCAAACTCAACATGTTCAAACCTGAACTCCTGATCTTCTCCCAAACCTACTCTACCTGCAGCCTTCTTCATCTCAGTGGATGGCAATTTCATCCTTCCAGTTGTTCAGGCCAAAAGCCTTGAAGTTTTTTTAAAATTACTTATTAAAATAAGTATATATATCAAAAGTCTAATGTTTGAAGATTTCTTACAAATTGAACAAATCTGTGTAACCAGCCCAAGATCAAGAAAGAGAACTTTACAAATACTCCCCAAATCTTCCTTAGACTGCCCTCTTCCAGTCACTAACTCCCCCTAAATAAAACGAATAATATCTCTCAGAATGCAATGCAAAGGACAATAAGGAAGAAAAGTTAGGAAACAAGGAGTATATATCCGGAAGTTCCAGCATTTATCTACTACAAATGCCAAATGAAAAAGAAGAGTTAAAAAATGGATAGGAAGTAATAGATAAAGCAATAATCAGAGAATATGTTCCAGAACTAAAGTAAGACATGAGCCCTCAGATTTAAAAGCCCCATCAGGTGTCAAGCAGGATGTATGAAAAAGGACCCACACCTAGACACACTGTGGTGAAATTCCCGAACAATAAAGAAAAAATTTACTGATAGTTTCCAAAGAGTAAAACACATTGCCCTATGTCATTGATTCTTGCACCTTGCAGTGAAAATTCAGATGTCATTGATTTTGAATTTTCATAGGCAACATTGTGAAAGAAGAAGATGGGACACTATTTACAATAAGAAAATAAGATTTTCTTCAAAGTTCTATATCATCTTTATATTTATGTTATGTTATTACAAAAATATATTAAAATGTCTGCATTCCAAAGCAAAAAAGGTCCATAATCCCATCACCCGACCAAATCAATGTTTTCATTTATCCAGGTTTCCTTCTAGTTCTTGTTTATCTGCATATTCAAAGTTCACACAATTGCAATAGTATTAAAGGTAGAAATTATATTCTACTTGCTTGCTTTATAATATACCATGAGAATTTTTCTATTTGGTAGCCTTTCTTTGTTTCTTATCTTCCGCCACCTCTTCTTCTCTCTCATTCCTTCCCGCCCCTACTCAGGGTAACCAATGTTAACCTGATGTATATATTTCCACAACTCTGTGCATGGTCATATAAACATATATCTACATGTTGCTTCTTTCCTTTGTGAGGGTTTTTTTTTAATTATGTCAGTTTAAACTCATTTATCTGCAACTTGTTCTCACATAACAGTACATCATGAACTTACATCTCTCAAGGTTGATACTGTTCATAATGAGTCCTACTCATAATTTTTATTAGAAGAAAAATATTTCATGATATTCAAATTTAAGAATAATTTCAGATTGTTTCCAGTTTTTTCTGCTCATAATATTCAGATTGTTGCCAGTTTTTCTAGTATAAACATTAAATAGTATTATAATGAACATGTTTATACATATAATACACTTTTTTTTTTTTTGAGACAGAGACTTGCTCTGTCGCCCAGGCTGGAGTGCAGTGGGATGATCTTGGCTCACTGCAGCCTCAAACTCTCAAGCTCAAGCGATTCTTCCCCGCCACCCCACCCCTGTATCCCCGTGCCCAACTACCACCCCCACCCCCTTCCAAGTAGCTGGGACTACAGGTGAGCACCACCATGCCTGGCTAATTTTTGTATTTAGTAGAGGCGGGGTTTCGCCATGTTGCCCAGGCTGGTCTTGAACTCCTGGACTCAAGTGATCCCTCCACCTCGGCCTCCCAAAGTACTGGGATTAAAGGTGTGAGCCACTGTGCCCGGTCTATAAATGTATTTCATATACATTTTTAACTAGGTAAAAGTGCCCAACATGAGATTACTGGATCGAAATATATATTTACATAGTTTTTAAAAGCTTTTGTTCCTTCCTGTAAGAAATAGCTAAAAAAAAGGAAAAATATAAAAATGTTTTTGTATTTTATTTTAATAGGTGATATGTAATATGTACATGTGGGGAAAAAAATCAAACAGAAAAAAAATTCCTATCAGTCCTCCAATTCCCCTCACCAAAGAGAACTATTATTAAAATGTAACTTTCCAGAGATATTGACACAAGTAAATATACTTGTTTTGAATTGAATTTTCCATTCAAACAGTTACAGCCAGATTACTTCCCTGAAAGGCGGTGGCAATTCAAAATCCTACTTGCGATACATCATAGTGCCCTTTTTCTAGCTAAGTGGTCAGTACTGTTAGCACACTTAAATTTTCTCTGTGTAGTTAAAAAATTGATATCTCATTGTTATGGTAATTTGCATTTTCTTGATGACTAATGAAGATGAGGATATTTCCATTTATTTATTGGCCATTTTCATTTCCTCTTCTTTTTAATCCTTATTCACACCCCTTGCCTAATTTTTTCAATTGATTACTTTTATGTTACTTTGCAGAAACTCTTTGTATACTACAGATATTAAAATGTGGTACATATACACCATGAAATATTATGCAAACATAAAAAGGAATGAGATCATGTCCTTTGCAGGGACATGGATGGAGCTGGAAGCCGTTTATCTTCAGCAAACTAACACAGGAACAGAAAACCAAACACCGCATGTTCTCACTTATAAGTGAGAGCTGAACAGTGAGAACATATGGACACGGTGGGGATGTGCAGAGAGCATTAGGGAAAAGAGCTAATGCATGCTGGGCTTAATACCTAGGTGATGGGTTGATAGGAGCAGCAAACCACCGTGGCACACGTTTACATATGTAACAAACCTGCACATCCTGCACACGTACCCCGGAACTTAAAATTAAAAAAGAAAAAAAGTTTCTGTTTGTAAAATATGTTGTAAATCTTGTCCCATTAGCTTTTGAATTTATGATTTTTTTCATTAAAAATGTAATATTTTGTGTATTGTAATATCTATTATTACTTATCTAATTTCTATATTTCCTCCATGGCTTAAGAAGGTTTCTCCAACCCCAGACTATAATATATTCTCTCAAGTTTTCCTTTAAAATTCCTATTCTTTTGTTTTCTATAAATAATTTAATATTTAATTTTAATACATTTGGAGTTAGATAGGGTGTGAAATAAGGATTCAACTTTGCTTCTAGATGGATAGCCAAATTTACCCACACTGTTAAATAGATTTTTATTTTTTTCCACAGAACTGAAATTTTACTTTGTTTAATTTCTAAATTGTTATATGTATGTTAGACTCTCCATTCCCCTTCATTTAACTGTGTGGATATTCTTGCAACATTACCACTCCTTCAATTTTTTTTTTCAAAATTTCCCAACTCTTCTTGCTTATTTCCTCTACCTCTTAAAATTTAGAATCAGCCTGTCAGGCTCCATTAAAAAATTCTATTGGGCTATAATTGGAACTGCACAGGATTTACAGATTAATTTGATGAGAAATGTCATCTTTATAAAATTGAGCCTTTTCATCTAGGAATTTGGCATATTTCTCCATTTATTCAAGTTGTCTTTTTTTGTGGAGAAACTACTAGCAACACTGTTACAGCTATTTGGGAAGACAATTTGGCCATATCTTATTACAGTAGACGTGTACACATCCTCATGGCCACCTATTTCTTCTTATGAATCTCGAATTAAATCTATACTCAAATATGACCTACAGTATTGTCTATAGTAGCCACAAAAAAGAAAAAATCGGAAATAACCTAAGTATCCATCGATAGAGAAATACAGAATGTATCACCATGCATCTTCTGAATAATTATGCAACAATTAACTAAAATGAGGTAGATCTACATGTTTTGATATGAAGCAATAACCAAGACAAATCATTAAGAAAACAAAGTACATTATTGAGTACACATCACCAAGCTAATAAAATGGTCATTTCAATGCAAAGGATTGATGTGGAAGATGAGGTAAAGAGCAATTTTCACATTCTATTGTTTGACTTTTTTCCAATGAGAATTCATTCATGTATTATCCATGTAATTAAAAATAAGAACAACTTACAAAAAATGTTTAAAAGCACAAGTGATTTGAAAGTATTATTTTTAACAGGCCACACATAATAGAATTTCAAGATCCAAATGTTCTCACATATTGCCCAATAAAATGGTGCAATTTATCCACTACTTAGATGCAATCCAAAAGAAACCAACCTCACAAATGTATGTAAAAGTGACAGACTGGAAACAATCATATTAAGAAGCAGGTAGTTGTAATAGAAAATGGTAGCTAAACTCTAGGAGAAAGGAAAGAACTCCTTCTCTTGGCCAATCAGAATCCATCTTTAGTTAATTGGCCTTCTTGTATAGGCAATTTTATTAGAAAACAAACCATTCCTTTTACCTGATATATATGTGTAACATAGTGGTTAAGACTTTGGAGTCATGGATTTGATTCCTGCTTCTGCCATTCACCAGCTTTATAACCTTAAGCATACCTGGTATTTAATTCATTGTTCTTTATTTTTTCTGATCTGTATAATGTAGGCACCTCATAGGATTGTAGGGAGAGTTAAAGGAATTACTATCTGTAAAGTGCTTAAAGTGGTGCCTGCTGAAAAGTAATTGCACTCAATGTTAGCTATTATCAATATTATTAGTATTTGTTCAATTCAACAAATATTTATTTTCTAGCCACCATGTGTCAGATGCTCTGCTAGCCATTGGTAATACAGAGGTGACTAAGAATCAGTCTTTGTCATCAAAAAAGCTTACTTAATGTGGAAAAAATAGACACACGTGTCCATGTCAATGCAATGTGATAAGTATTTGAAAAGAACAATTGCTCAGTGCTCTTAGCATACAAAGGGGATTCACTCAACCCAACAATGGGGAGGGAAAAGTGGAGGAGTAGGGTATATTTGATATGGAAAACTCAAATCACAACTTCCTCTCTATTCCCTTTTCTCATTAAGAGAGAGAACATCCTTGGTAGATTATTTACTCCTCTCCAAACCTAAAAGTGACTCACCAAAATTTATGTCAGGACAAGATATTCTGATTTCAACTCTAGCTTGGCAACCAAGAGTCACCATTATAAGACATGACAGAGTTGCTCTGCAGGACAAGTTGGGAAACAACTACAAAATCATGTTGTAAACTTCACAGGGAGTCAAGATTTCACAGGGTGCCAGCCTTTCATAACATAGTTTCCACATTCAGTGAGCATTTTATGGTAAGCTTCCAAAGATTGTGTTTCACAACAAATAACTAAACTCTCTGCCAAAGACTTGAGCTTGTATAAACTCAAGATAAACATGAGTCTGAATTGCATCTCTACTTAAAAAAAAAAAAAAAAAGACATGACGATGGCTTGTATTAACTGGCATATATTATCAAGGAAGTATTAGGTTACTCTCCAACCATAGGTCACAATCTTACAAGAGCCAGACTGAATATTTAAGAAAGAGACATAAAAAATCTGATATTGATTAAAAGACCAACGTATAAGACTGGAATGGATTAAAGGAATACGGAAAGCTTTCCAACTAATTCAGTAAGTACTACCCGCTCTGAGACAAGGAAAAATAAGTGATTTCTTGCCCATAAGAGCTCATGGTCTAGTCGGAAAAACAAAGTGCACATACAGAAAATTGAACGCTGTCAACTCTTAAACAATATGAACATAAAGTCTAGGTTTGAGCAATTGGGATTTTAGCTAGATTTTTAACAAGGATTATACATCTTTTGTGAAAAACTTATAATGACCTTTCAACACCTATAGGAGAAATCTGGTTTTCTCACTTTATTCCACACTGTATCCCAATAATCCCCTGGTCAAGCTAGAAAGGCTTAACAGTAGGCCTCAAGTTTCCCATCTGAAATATTTTTCTGTACAAATCCTAACCATGGGTAACTATATTAATCCCATCTCCTCCATTAAACTTTTGTAGCTATAGCACCCTATGCTCTGAACCTCCACTGAATACTCCTACCACTTATCAGGAGTCTCCAGTCTGATATCCTTTGGCAATCCCCACCTCTACCACAAAAAATGGGTCATGATTGAAGAAAATTACAAAATACTTCAAAACGGAAGCACACAGTCACCTTATATGGCCCAAATGACTCACAGGCCACCAACAATTGACTGCATCTTAATTGACCTAGTTTATGTATCTAAGGAAACAAGAGTTGACCAAAACAAAAAAGAGAAAACAAATCTCAAAAGCTAGAGGTGGCATTGTCCAGACAGCACCTTCCTGGGGAGAGGGAGGCTTGGGCCCTGGACTTAAGTATTTTCTATTCCCTAAAGCAAAGCATCCTTCATATGGAAAGTATACAGATGCTTCTATCTAACAGACTTCACATATTTCTGATCCCACTGGTGCCAGCATTTCCTACCTACTGGTAGAAACTCCGGTGGATGTGCCCCCACCACAATCTGCATTTTTAAAGTCAGCTTTATTGCAGTATAATTTACATATTGTAAAAATCACCCATTTTAGGAGTATAGCCTATGAGTTTTGACAAAAGTATAATCATAATCAAGATACAGAATATATTATTTAACTTCTTATATACATTTGTCAACAAGGAGGAAATGCACTATTTATAAAGGCATGCTTGTAACAATTATTTTTCACTAAAAAGATACTTTTGTATTAGCTTAGCTAGAATGAGTCCATACTTAATGAACTGACAAAATCCTGAAAAAAAGAGAAAGAAGATTGTCCTCTCAGACCTAAATTATATCAACACAATATATTCGATCAGAATTCCAAAAAGTTACCTAAAGAGGCAGAATATTTCACAGACCTGCAAGCCTTCTTGATTATAACCTGATTGCAAATATTGTATTAACAGTGTCTCAAGCAACAGAGAGGTTGGTTTGATCAGTTATTTTCTAGATGAGAGCTACTCAAAGTGTGATCCTTGGACTGGTGCCCATATCAGAACTGTTTGGTATGGGCCTATGATGAGATATGTACTTAAACTAAGAATAATCAGCTGGGCGCAGTGGCTCACGCCTATAATCCCAGCACTTTGGGAGGCCGAGGCGGGTGGATCACCTGAGGTCAGGAGTTCAAGACAAGCCTGGCCAACATGGTGAAACCACATCTGTACTAAAAATACAAAAATTAGCTGGGTGCGGTGGCTCACGCCTGTAGTTCCAACTACTCAGGAGGCTGAGGCACAAGAATAGCTTGAACCCAGGAGGCAGAGGTTGCAGTGAGCCAAGATCACGCCACTGCACCCCAGCCTGGACAGCAGAAAACCAAAAAACTAAAAATAATCAATTAGAACTTTTATTGCAATTTGACAAAGTAATTTTATATTAATTGAACCTAATACTAAAAATGGATTTGTATTTTTATGTCTTTGTTTTTCTATTTATTTATTTTTATTGTATTTAAAAGGAACTTGTTCAACAGGAGAATCTCTCAAAATAATATTAATACAAATTGGCCTGAACTATGTGAAGAGATTATAATGAACAAAAGTAATGTCTTAGATAATTTCTCAAGGTTGCTTTTATTTTCAACCCTATGAATTCACCAGATGACCTATTTTTATCCAGATACAGGCTCTATGCCTCTAATAAAAAAGTTCTTAGAAGGAAGCATAATATTTTGTTTTAAAATAATTGATACTTCAAATTATATTTTTGTGCCCAGTAAAAATACATTGTCTAAAATGAAGATTTTAAGAGAATCATTCACTGTAATGGATGACTAAGATTTAATCCAAATGTGATGACTTTAGCCTTAGGTCATATAAATATCTATGTGGGCATTAATACTTAAAGAGTTAGAGGAAGGAGAATAGGTTATAAATATTGCAGAGGTAGAATACGAGGAATGTTAAATAAGTGAATTACCAGTCTTCATTACAGCAGCAAAATTGTTATGTAAGGCCACATGCATATATTAATTTTAGTCAATATTTATTGAGTACCAACTACGTGTCAACAGTTGTGAAGCATAAGATGAATCAAACATAACCCCTGCCTTCAAGGAGCTTATACTCTGGTAGAGTGTAAGACATGATGAATGAAATAGCACAACAGGTTAGTCAAATATTACTGCAATTCAACAGACTAAATTGGTATTTTCCAAAAGCTATCAAATGTGCCTTACAAAAGTTAGTCAAGTAACTATTTACACATTTTATTGTTAATGTATCTCCCCAGAGTAGAAGAATTGTTGTCTTTGCTAAAGAAAAAAAACAACCTCTTAGGAGCAACATGAAGTTAATTAAGCTAATGTGATTGTCTAAAAAGCATGTCTAGTGGAAGAAATGTAACTGAAAGCAAAATGAAGAACTTTCAGACCTAAGAAACTCATTCCAACATGTTCTCATCTGGTCTCAATATGGAATCAGTCCGCAGTTATTTTAAAAACTGTTTAAGATTCGTAAAAGTCACACGACTGGTGGGAAAATTCTTGGCAGTTGAAATATTTACAAATGCAAAGTGAATCATGTTGTGAAAGTACTATCTGCAGCTTCCTTAATTAAATCAATTGCATATTGATTTATTCATTAAAGCTAAAATGTAAAGTGTATGATAAGGTCACTCCTTTTGGGTACTTAATGGATTTATTAACCGTGAAAATCACCATTAAGAATAACCTTTTAAAGGCCAAGTTAATATGACAATTTTGATTTTTTAAACCACACGTTGCATTATTTTCAGCTTTCTCAAATCGGAGTACTTTGGTCTGGTCCTTATAATGTGGTTAAGTCGGTGTAGCAAACATTTGCATCTGCCAGATCTAACTCAGGGTCACCAAGATTTTCTATCTGTCCCAATGCTTGTCATACATGAGGCCCAGAAGCCAGACATAATATATCTTTTGGTCATTCTCACTCAAGAGCTGGTCTATCACTCAAGGCTTCTCACCAAAGCCTGAGGGCCTTGACTGATTCAACAACAAGAGCTTCCCTGCGTTGTCTCTGTTTTGGTACTCACTTACTCAGATTAAAATTTTTACTCTGATTTATGACCCTGGCTTTTGTTCTATGTCCCTAGTATATTAATCCCATTTCCTGGGCCTTAATCATTATCAAATTGCATTTCTCCCTGTCTTCTCTTGCCTGATACCTTGATTCCAGTAAATCACTTTGTTTCTCTAACCTAAACCTCAATCTTTGGGTTACATATGTTCCAATTTCTGCCACATGTTATACTGATCAGAATTTTAATGATAAAGTTCATATTCATTCATTCATGTAACAAACATGTATTTACCTGTGCAAAGCACTCTCTTAGCTTTAGTGATACAAAGATGAATGAAACAAAATCCTTGTACTCAGGAAGCTTGCAGTCTAATGACAGATACAGAGAAATAAACCAACAATTGGCATAGAATATGCTATAAAAGTATTATGTAAAGGGAGCCATGCAAACGCAAAGGGGGATACTAACGAAGACTTCTAAGAGAAGATGATATTCAAACTGAATCTTGAGGGCCAGACAGGAGTTAGCAAGGCAGAGAAAATGATTAAGTAAGAAGGCAGGGAGAGTGTTCCAAGAACAGGAAGCAACATATGTAAGCAAGAGACAGCATGGCAGATTGGAGGAACTACAAGTGGTTTAATATGACTGAAACATATTTGTGACAAAGTGGTGAAATGTAAGACTGGTTGCAGCCAGATGATGAAAAGCCTCCTTGTACTCTGTTCTATCTAGATGAAGGGAACCCACTGAGACTGATTAACTGGAGGAGTACTATATTCAGACACGTGTTTTAGATTACTCTCCAGGATTGTGGAAGTCAGATTAGAGACAGGTGAAAGAGGGTGAACCGAGGAGACACTTACTATAATTCAGATAATATGTAATGAGGGACCAAAATAAGATGGTAGCAATAGAAATGGAAACAGGAGGATGGAAGTACAAGAGTAAGAGATATTGTAGTATGAGACCATATAGAACTTGACAAATCATTGGACACAGGAGAAAAAGTGTAAGCTAACTCTGAGGTTACATATCAGAAGAAATTATAGGTGAAAGTTTGATGCAGCCGATGGCTTCTTTAATGATGTTGAGTGGGTGGCAGTATATAGGGTGGCAGTATATAAGCATCAAAGTGGAGATACCTAGCAAGCAGTTGGGAATGCATTTCTGTGGCTCAAGATGAGAGTTGTGGTTGGGATAGATGTGAGAGTTATCTTCATAGAGGTTATAGCTTATAGGAATGGATATGGAGAGTAAATAAAATCTGAAATTATTTTTAAAGGAAAAATGAAATTCCAGATAAGGCTAGAATTTCAGTCAGTTTGACATTTTTGACATACAACATGTACAGTGTCAAGAGGAAAGTTACTATCTTATCCTTTCATTTCTAAAAGGTTTCAACTCATTCTTTTCAAAGTATTTCCTCTTAGTCCCATGTGATCCTCCTCACAAATGCCCTTTGAGATCGATAGACGAGTATTATCCCCTTTATAAGAACTCCCTTGTAATCATAGTACCTGTTTCTTCCCTCCGTCAGACACCTGATGCCAGACAAACCTAAAGACCTTTGCCCTGCTGCCACCCATGCCCCAGCATGACACTCATTTTATAGGTGTAAGGGCCAGGGCACTAAGTGTTCAAATGTTTGTAGGAGGCCACACAACAAACCAGTGCAGGAAGAATGTTAAGAACTCAGGATTACTGACTCCATGTATAGGGCTACTTGCACTACATTTTATCATGAACTCTCCAGGAATCCACCTATTTCACAAAGCAAAGCAAAGAATACTATCAATATTGGATTTAAATATACAAATATATAGCTGTTGAAATATACTATTTATAGACATATGACAAAAAGGTGAAAAAAATTAAACACCTCATTACTAGTATTTATTTTCAGTTTTTCTCTCTCTTTTTTTTTTTTTTTTTGGATACAGGGTCTGGCTCTGTCGCCCTGGCTGGAGTGCAGTGGCCTGATCTCGGCTCACTGCAACCTCCACCTCCAGGGCTCAAGCCATCCTCCCACCTCAGCCTCTGGAGTAGCTGAGACTACAGGCATGCACCACCACACCCAGCTAATTTTTGTATTTTTTGTAGAGACGGGGTTTCACCATGTTTCACAGGCTGGTCTTAAACTCCTGAGCACAAGCGATCTGCCCACCTTGGCCTCCCAAAGTGCTGGGATTACATCCATGAGCCCCTGCGCCCGGCCTATTTTCACTTCTGATGAGTTACATAAGTAACTCTAAACTTGAAATCAGTTCCCATATGAAAGTCTCTGACATAAAAAGAATATTCATTTTAAAAAATATGGTAAAGCTCCTAAAATTAAATGACTTTAAAATTTTTATTAAAGTGCGGCCGGGCGCAGTGGCTCATGCCTGTAATCCCAGCACTTTGGGAGGCCGAGGCGGGCGGATCACGAGGTCAGGAGATCGAGACCATCTTGGCTAACGTGGTGAAACTCTGCCTCAAAAAAAAATTATTAAAGTGACATAGTATACTTTAAAAATAGCTTGGAAGTTCTCACAAAAACACAGAAGGCAAAAACTACAAAAGAGAGAGGTTCTGTCTGAAAATAAGGAGGTAAGGTTTTGCATACTGTACAAGGTACATGGAAGAAAAGGGGGAAGGGTGTATAGGCAATACTAAGATATCTTCCAATAATTTGGAAATTATTCTTACTCTCTAATAGTTACACTATAAAATCAAGGCCTAATGGACCAGGTCATAGATAAACAAGACACATTAAAGAAAAAGAATGTCTCCCAGGCTAGAGCAAGGCTAACAAAATATATTAACATATCTAAAGAATGAGTGAGTCCCTGAGAAAGTGGGCTTAGTCAGACAGGAAAGTTTAGGAAGAAGAGAATGACAAAGGCCTTGACCTGGGCATCCCAGCACTGTCCAGGAGAGAAAATGTTAGGGCCATAAGACACTTTCATCTCTTTCACAGCTACATACCTACTCCAGAAGTGGACACATCACTCCTTCAGAGTGAGTTGTCGTTACACATGAATTTCATCAAGAAACAGTTCCGTTTCTAAGCTGAAACTTAGAGGAGCATGCAACACTACTTGTGTGCTCCTCAAGTCCCCCTCCTGTTTGGTAGGGCTTTCTATGGGGAGAGAACACTTTGATCATGTCAACATGAGTGTTCCATCCACTGTGAGATTTGTATTTTTTGTCATAAATAAATTTTTTGTCAATCTGAATTCTTTCTTGTAAATTTAGTCAATATGAGTTCATCTCTGGGCCACAGAGCCCATCTCCAGGTATAGACAAATCAGATTTCTGAGGCTAACTTGGTAATCCACCAACACCAACCTTGGAAGTGCCTTTTATTCACACTTGAAGGGGAAGAGATGTACAAAATCAATACCTTAGTAATTGCTATACAAGCTACACAAAAAGCCTGGGTAAGTGATGGCATAGTGTGTTTCATTGATAAAAATGTGGTGCCCTTGGAACCAACCCAAATGTCCAACAATGATAGACTGGATTAAGAAAATGTGGCACATATACACCATGGAATATTATGCAGCCATAAAAAAGGATGAGTTCATGTCCTTTGTAGGGACATGGATGAAGCTGGAAACCATCATTCTCAGCAAACTATCACAAGGACAAAAAACCAAACACCACATGTTCTCACTCATAGGTGGGAATTGAACAATGAGAACACATGGGCACAGGAAGGGGAACATCACACACTGGGGCCTGTTGTGGGGTGGGGGGAGGGGGGAGGGATAGCATTAGGAGATATACCTAATGTAAAATGACGAGTTAATGGGTGCAGCACACCAACATGGCACATGTATACATATGTAACAAACCTGCACGTTGTGCACATGTGCCCTAAAACTTAAAGTATAATTTAAAAAAAAAAAAGAATTCCATGGTGAAAAAAAAAAAAATGTGGTGCCAAGAAGCAAGAATGGTAAGCTTACAAAGACGGTAAGTTTACAAAACAGTTTTCAGATATTGTTCTCTTTGGGCTGAGTCTGATTCCCAGATATAGAACTTTGCCTACTATCTAACTCAGTTACACATATACTGATGGTCTGACCTCAAATATGCTTATATAGCACTGTGTGAACTATGTGAGTGTGTACATTCTCCTTTTCTCCTCCCTTTCTCTCTGAAAAGTGGACCAGTAGAACAAACAGATGTTTCAGAGTTACACAGATGTGGGTTTGAATCTCAATTCCACCACTTCTCAGTTTCTTATTTTCTCTTTGTCTCTAAAATGGAGATAATAACAATATCTCATAGAACCATTGTGAAAATTAAATGAGATAATATGGGTATAAGTACCCAAAAGTAAGTTTCCTTCCTGTTCTTTTCCATCCCTTGGCCTGTTCAATTTAAAAACAAACACACATGCACCTTATTCCATATAACCATAAGTTTTATGAGAGCAGAGATCAAAGCTGATTTTTGTTTACCACTCAGTCCCTGCTTTATGGCTTTTAGTGGGTCATCAAATATATTTTGAACTATAAAGTCAGATTGGTTAAGAAATTGAGGTTCTGTTTAATTGAATTTTCCAGTCAGCTTAGGGATCCCTCTTAGTTGACAAAAACAAAAAACAAACAAACAAAAACCTACCATATACTTTAAAGGCTTCTATCAATAAAAAGGCTTTATCAGGTGTCACTTCTGTAGAATCTGTTGTAAGACCTTTGATTAATCAATGTAAAGTGATTTTTTTAAAATATTTTTGTCTGAAACTTCAGATAGGCAACTATATTCATTTGGCAGTGCTGCTATAACAAACTACAACAAACTGAGTCCCGTAAACAACAGAAATATATTGTCTCACAGTTTTGGAAACTGGAAATCAGAGATCAAGGTATCAGCAGAGTTGGCGCCTCCTGAGGGCGACTAGGGAAGGATCTGTTCCCAGCCTCTCTCCTTAGCTTGAAGATGACTGTCTTCTCCCTATGTCTCTTTACATCATCTTCCTCTGTGTATGTCTTTGTGTCCAAATGTTCAAATTCTCTTATTTTTACAAGTACACCAGCGATATTCGATTAGGGTCCACCTCAATGACCTCATCTTAACTAATTCCCAAAATAACATCAAATTCTGAAGTACTGGATGTTAAAACATCAACACATGAATTATTGGGAGACACAATTTAACCCACAACAACAACTTCTGAGTGATTATCTTCGGGCCCTCTGGGTACAGCCTATACTCCTTTCTTATTATTGCATATAGAGAAAAACACTTGGCAATTATTGAATTAACATTTTAGCATGTTTTGACTATTCTTAAATAACTTATATGCAGTCCATGTGATACAGTGAGTCACTTAAGTTGTGAGTGTATCAAGCTATCTACCAAGCATTTGTATCTTAATAGACTGTGTTGTTTTCTATTCTTAAGAACATTTTGTGTATTGAGGTGGGGAACAAGAAGGGTGGCCATCAGGCTAGAATACAATTTTAGTGAATTTTGAAAAGGCTGTATATGAAGATATGTCTAAAAAGTGGAAATATGTTTCCAGAGAAATGCAGGGGACTCTAAAAACATAAAAACATGATCATGAATTTGGGGATAGCTGAATTTCAGGGGAATATCAAGGAACTTCTAGACATGGGACAAGATTAAGCCTCAGCTAAGAATATATATTTCCACTAAAATTAGTCAAAGTGAAGTTGTTCCAATCATTTCAGTCATCTTCACAATGGATTTTGATGTAGGTAAATTGACCTGAATATTGATCTTTAAAATGGTTAAAGTAATTGCTTTCTTAGAGCTGACAAAGCATTTCATTGACTAAAATGGAAAGGGTTTCATTGAACCTGTTTCCTGTTCCCCATTGGATCATCCAAATCAAAATAAGGTGAGTTTATTTTGCTTGATTTGGGGGAACAAACGTAAAGTCATGTAATAGCCTTATGAAGGATTTTTTTTTTAATAACCATGCCTCATTGACCATCAGTGTAAGTGGAGCATTTGTGTGTTTCATATTCTGGAAATTGTCATCTTTATGCTTAACTTGACTTCTAAAAATCTTGAGTACTTTGTAAAGTCGCATCTTTGTCTCAAATGTAAAGCGTTATGCTAAAAAGGAATGAGTTTTGGACTGGGAGGGAGAAAATCTAGATTCCAGTCCCAGCTCCGCCTTGTGGCCTTGAGAAAGTCACACATGGGCTCTGACTCTGTCTCAGTAAACTAAAGGGTTAGATCAGATGATAGGCAAGGCCCTTTCAATTCAGAGGGTCTATAATCCTGTTATATATAATTATTGTGTCTTTATTACAATATTTTCACACAAATGCAAAGTATATCGATATAAAAAAGGACTTTTCTCTGCTGAGTGTAGGGTGTGGAAATAGAGGTTATTTATCTTCATCAGCTTTTCAGTCTGATTATTTTCATATTGCACTTTATAAGGTATACCCACATAAAATGTAATGTGCTTTTAAATATTTTTGTCCATTGCTCCAAAAACCTAAATTCTCTGTTATATCAACATTACCCTAGTACAGCTAGAAGACATTTAATTTTATTTTACATAAATCTTGGCAGGAATTACCTTGGTGCTTTTGTCTTGGCTAAGCACCAGGTGCTTTTGTACTGGATATATACCAACTGCTCTTTTTATTTTAAAACTTTACATGGACCCTGTATAATTGATTTTCCTACCTATCTAATTACCCTTGATGATATTATAATTCTTTTAAATAATTAAATGGGCTATGACTAATTTTAATACTGATAACAAAATTTTAACTTGATCCTGCAATTTTAATATTGGCAATGTGATACATGGAATGTAAGTGAATTTAGCTCACATTCCAAGTGTTTCATTTTGTGACACTTATATTGAATAATAAAGTGTTCAATATAATACAACATTTATAAATCCAGCTCTTTAATGAAAATGGGCTTATATCGATTAGTTTATGAGCAGAGTTTAATTTTGAGATACAATATTTAAAAGGGAAGGTTAAATTTTATATTTTAATTCATGAAGAAATCTATTCTATTACTTTATATGTTATTTTATCCATTTTATCTTAATCTGATAACCAAAATTAAATGTTTTCATTTTGTTTTCCCTGTTGCCTAATATGAAAGCCAATGACCTTTTGGAAATGGAATTTTATTTTCATTTTCTTAATGTGTTTCTCTTATATTCCATGTTTGTTGTAGCAGCACTTAAATATTTTTGTCATATTTAAAAAGAATGCTTTAATTGGATAGGTTTCATTTATTAAAACATTTTCTCCAATTCAAGTTTACTTGAAACTATATGAACTCGATCCATTTTCCTTACATAATTTTAAACTAAATGGAATCTATGTATTTTTCTTCATCATAGAAGGCAACAATGACCAAAAAAATCACTTTCTATATTTTGGCACAAGTTCCTTGTGCCCCTCATCCACCCCCAACCTTTATAGAGTGTTTACACAATGTGTACAGGTTTTTTTCCCTTTAGAAGCAAGTTGCTAGTTGAGAATATTTTTCCTCTAATTTTTACTGTGCCTCAGGAATTTAAGTCATGAGATCAAGGCTGAAGATGTTTTGTGACATTGGGAAAGTCACAATCCATATTCTTATCTGTTTGTCTCATCAGTAAAATGGTGATAATTATCACCTTGCCTACCTCATAGAGTTTTTCTAAGGTTCAAATGAGATAATATACACAAGGGCCTTGAAAATACATGGAATGATGAGCAAATATAGGGACTGATGTTATTGTCGCTACTGTTGCTATGTTGTTATGTTATGTTCTTAAAGTCAGGTATTGGAATGCCTAAGATGGGAAAGGAATGTAACTTTACCAGAAGATCATTCTATCTAGTTTTCCCCATGTGTCATAGTAGACTATTTTAACATATAATAATATATAAAGATTCTGAACTTCCTATATAACATCATATTAGTTGCAAGATTTTTAGAGCATGAGTAAATTAAAAAAGGAAAACATCATAAGAGGAACAGACTTAGAGACGAACCAAGTCAGGACTTCAGCATCCAGAGCCAATAGAGAGGATGCTGGTTAAGGACAGAATAGAGAAAAAACCCAGATGTAGGGTCGGTCCTTCCAGAAGAGCCAGGCAATCCACTGCAGTATCCACAGGCAGGCAGCTCATAAGAAAGCCAACTAATGAATGGATCACGGCAATAAAAATCTTGGCCACGAGTGGTATTTTAAGTTGGGAACATGGTCCTACTTTGGTTTTAGACCATCAGTCTATATACAATAGGCCATCTTCAAAAGTCTTTCCCTTGCCCATGCTTTACTATAGATTCATGGATCACCTCCTCTAGGAAGTCTTCCCGAATCACCATCCAGACAGTGTTCAAGCCATCCTTCTGTGCTTCCTATACCTTGTGCTGGTCTACAACACGTACTATAGTTATTCAGCCATTTACTCAACAGATACTTATTAAACACCCATTTTCTACCAGACATTGTACTAGTAATGGAGGATAGAATAGTAAACAAAACAAAGTCCCTGCCCTCATGGGGCTTACATTCTAATGAGGGGAGAGGAATACAGAAAATAAAAAATAAATAAGCAAATATAAAGTATGTCATGGTGATAAGTACTATCAGCAGGAATAATGTTGGACAATGGGAAAAGAGAGTTGAGGGGAACTGCTATTTTTTAATATATTATACTTTTATTTAATCTTTTTTAAAGTTAGCTTTACCTTTGTTAATAAATATTCTTCTAAAACATTTTATGTCTGCATATATATTCCCCTATATGAAGGTTTCTACCATACTTATGTAACTATTCCCATATTGTTGTTGAACATTTAGCTTTTCTCTCTATCATAAACAATATTAAAAAGAATATTCTCATAGTTATTTTTGGGACACATCCTTGATTGTTTCCATAAGTTTCAAGAAATGGAAGTGCGACTCAGCTGTTGCCGTGCAGAGCAAGTCTGAGTCATTTCCAGTCCTTTGGACACTGGCATTGGTATTGAAAGCCCCTTTCTGTAGGAGTCAGTGCCAAAGCCTGGTTTGTCCTCCTGATCCTGGACCCACACTTTCACTGTTCTCTTTTTCTAATGACTCAAAAAAGGGTCAAGAAAATTAGTAGTGGAAGTTATGCAGGTTATGATACTACCAGAGAAGCTCCCCAGAACCTAAGAAGGCTTTGTCTAAATCCAACGGTATTGGTGCTTTAAATCCTAAAATTTGTACTGCAGGTGTGGGTAGTGTCAACCTGAAAGTTGACTGTAAAATTCTACAGCTCTGCTTCATCTCCACATTTACCTCCATGCAGAGAAAATTTGGGGTTTGGAACCTGTTGTTTGACCTTCACCTTCCAGAATCCATTACTTTCCTTTCACCTCATTTCTGCTAGATGTCAACCTTCCTCAGCTCTAGCCTCCTGGCTGACTTCCTAGCTCTTGTCCCTAGTCTATACCTTGACCATATTTTCTTTTTTTATCTACCAGTAACAAATGACTAACCTAGCTATTGTCCCAGTAGTGATGAATATGGGCCTGACTTTGGTGTTGGAACCCAGAATAGAATAGCACACCCATCATTTCCCTTTTCCTCTCTACTCACTACCACCTCCTCCTTATCAGTCAAAAGTGTGCAGAAGAGATGTAGCAGATCCATAGCATCTCAACACACAAAAAGTAGATTTGCCTCCCAAATGTCAGAGAAATGGTTGGGAAATGGTGTGCAGATATAAATAATATATTGGCTTTTTATTGGCAGTTTTTAAGAGCAAGACAACTTGATGATTAAATAGGATCAAGTTATTTGAGGGCAGAGAAACAGTTAATGCTTTTCATTTGTCCATGACTTTACTTTCTCTTGCACAAATGATTACAAGCTGTCTCTAAATAAATGTTTCTATTTCTATTAGTGTTTGAATAAATCTAACAAGATTTTTGGGAAACTAACAGTCATGCTAGCATACAAGACTACTGACAAGGAAATAAAAAAACAGTTAAGTAAAATATTTTTATTATTAATTGAATTTTAAAACGTAAGAACCCATTGCATAGACTAATTCATTTTAATCAAGTCAACCTTGAGAAATAGAGCTTACAAAGTAAGACCAAAAATGCAAGATCTTCCAGACACTGGAAATTTAGTACCCTGGAGGAAATATGTCTACCTTAGAAAAGTATATTTAAATCTGACTTTTCAATGGGTATTACTACCTTTTTCCTTTTCTTATTCAAATTAAAGAATACACAAAGTTACCTGCCTTCAGCTGGTTTTCTCAAGGTGATAATGGGCAAATCAGAAGCCACGGAGCCACCCATAGATATGACTTTCTTGTTATTTGCATTTCTTCTCCCTTCATTGCTGCTTTCGTTCGAGATGTTTTTCAAACAACCAGACCATGCTGTGCACCACGAGTTCACGTTTTCACTCTCAGCTTCCCATATTGAGAACAAAAGTTACTGGTCCATAAGTTATGTTGTGAGCATTTTTTATTGTTTTCCTACTTGCATGGATATACAAAGGAAATAAACAACTCTAATAGAGAGGCGAGATTTACCCTACCTGGAAAACAATATACTACACAGCATGATCAAAGCCAATAGGTATAACAGATCTTCCTAGAGATGATAAGTGGTGTCTTCCCACCTATAAATCATAGGTCACACTATCCAACCTCCTCCATTCCTTGAATGATGGATTTCACAGGGGGTTGTGCATCATATAATCTATATACTAGTAGTTCTTTCACTTTCACCTGAAAATGGAGCTGACAAGGCCATCTAAATTTGGTTTTGAGAAAAGTGAACATAGAAAACTTGCTTAGAGAATCAAGTTGCTGCATTTACATTAGTTGAGAAACATTTTAGAGTCTACCTTAAAGTAATTGTCATATACTCACTTTAACCTAGATCAAACGTGACAGGTCTCTGTTAAAAGCAAGACAGATCAAACTGAAGATGACCAAGTATCAGGAGACAAGACTAATTCATTAGTAAATAATAGAGATCTAAACAGCGAGCCAAGGAAGGTACTGCAGACAAGTGGACAGGTAGTGTCAGCAAGAGCCAGCGGGTGATAATAGATATGATCTCTGAAAGTAGAGGAAGTATGACATTAGGAAAATATGAGTTCAGAATTATATTCCAGAATTATATTAGAGACTCAAAAAGTATTGGGTTACGTGAGATTTATTTTCTGTTTCATGTAATTAAAAATCTAGCAGTTTTTATGGCAGGGCTGGTATGGCAGTTCTTGGTGTCATCAGAGAACCAGTCTCCCCTATTGCCTTCATTTGTCATCCCTAGAGTGTGTGACCCTCTTCCTGAAGGCTACATAATGGTCACTGAAACTCTAACTGTTACATCTGCTTTCATAAAGGAAGAAAAGACTAAATGGGGAAGGACACAGCAAACCCTTTCAAAGAGACTTCCAAGAAGTGCTGACTACTCTGCTTACATGTCTGCTTTTAGCACTCCTATCTATAAAGGAGACTGTCACATATAATTTTTCATCTTGACACACTGCCATCCCCAAATGTATAAAAGTTCTGTTTGTAAGGAGGAAGGAGAGGCTAGAATATTGGGTAGGCAAGTAGCAGCATCTACAACAGTCTAATGCAGTATTCGGTGGGAGACCTTCTGTTCAGTGATTCAAGAATTCAGATTCCTTCTACCCTACAAGCTGTTTTCAACACATGGTTCCAGTGATCACCACAAAAGGGGAAAGACAGGGTAAAGAAGACACTACCTGCTTCTTAATCACATTGGCACTGAGTCATGTACCTCACTTTTACTCACATCTACAAGTTAGGTACACCCTGGCTGGTCATACACTTCCTACAGTAAAGAAGAGTAACACTGATACTTGGTGGATAGCTAGTCATATCTGCTACAGTAGTTGCCATCAGGGAGATTGAGCAACAGAAATAGGAACTCAGCTACAGATACAGGTTCAAAGATCAGGATACTACTCTATGAAACAACTAGTGGAGTGGCTTCACATCTTGGCTGCTCATTAAATTTATTGGATACACCAGATCTTTTAACAAGTATTAGTGCCCAGCCCCAAGCCAAATAAGATGGAAATGGGCATCGGTACTTTTTTTTAAAGTCTTCCCAAGTGCTTCTAGCGTTTAGCCATAGTTGAGAGCTATGCTGTGAGAAGGATACGGCTGGACTTCAGACTCAGAAGCATTGAATGTTAGGCAAAGATTGAAGATAGAGACTTAACTAATCTCATAAACAAATTCATGAAATTATGCAGCAAAACAAACTTGATACTTAATTCTAAGATCCTGAACCTTGAGCTACTTGTACAACTTTATCCAAATATCTGAGGTGAGGCTAATATAAATAGGGGTTATATGGTTCCAGCAGTAAAGTTTAGAGGACCCCCAGGCAGGGAGCCAACCACCACAAAAAAGTTTAACCTTCTAGAATTTTTGAAGTATATGCTACATACACGATGGACTTTAACAATTTCATGTATTAGCATATTCCCAGTGCCGGAACAGACCCAGACCTAGAGCAGCAAATATTTTTTTAAACTTATAAACTAACAAGTATTCAGGGAGACTATGTACCATATGTACATTGCGATTCTCCATACTAAGAAAGATGATTTAAAAAGAAACATTGGAAGGGTATAAAAAATATAAGTAATAATTGCCTCATAAATGAGAGAGAGAGAGAGAGAGAGAGAGAGAGAGGTAGAGAGAGAGAGAGAGGAAGGAGAGACAGAGACAAGCTTTAACACATTAAGCAATAGAAATCAGACAAGTGGGCCGGGCTCGGTGGCTCACACCTATAATCCCAGCACTTTGGGAGGCCTAGGTGGGTGGATCACCTGAGGTCGGTAGTTCGAGACCAGCCTGACCAACATGGAGAAACCCCGTCTCTACTAAAAACACAAAAAATTAGCCGGACGTGGTGATGCATGCCTGTAATCCTAGCTACTTGGGAGGCTGAGGCAGGAGAATCCCTTGAACCCAGGAGGCAGAGGTTACGGTTAGCCGAGATTGTGCCATTGCACTCCAGCCTAGGCAACAAGAGTGAGACTCCGCCTCAAAAAAAAAAAAAAAAGAAATCAGACAAGTGGTTGCCTGCTGCTGGGGATGGATTGATGGTAAAGGAGCATGAGGGAATTTTGGATGTGATATTAATGTTTTATACCTTAATTGTGATGATGTGTGTAGTTGTCACAACTCATCAAGCTATATACTTAAAATGAGTAGATCTTATTGTATGTGAAGTATAACCTATATTAGTTTTCCAATGCCACATAACAAATTACCACAAATTTAAGGGCATAAAACAACACTCATTTATTAGCTCATGGCTATGTAAGTCTGGTTACAACATG
The DNA here is from genome assembly GCF_000001405.40 of Homo sapiens. Lineage (NCBI taxonomy): Eukaryota > Metazoa > Chordata > Mammalia > Primates > Hominidae > Homo > Homo sapiens. The sequence goes on from NC_000023.11 coordinate 96,580,954, forward strand.
ACTGAGTTCTCTGCACAGGATCTCCCCAGGCTAAAATTGAGCTGTCTGGCAAGGTGTGTTCTCATCTGAAGCTCAGGATCCTCTTCCAAGTCCACCTGGTTGTGACATAATCCAGTTCCCTGTGACTATAGAACCGAAGTCCCCATTTCTTTTTTTTTTTTTGGAGATGGAGTCTCGCTCTGTCGCCCAGGCTGGAGTGCAGTGGCGCGGTCTTGGCTGACTGCAAGCTCCGTCTCCCGGGCTCACGCCATTCTCCTGCCTCAGCCTCCCTAGTAGCTGGGACTACAGGCGCCCGCCACCTCGCCTGGCTAATTTTTTGTATTTTTAGTAGGGACGGGGTTTCACCGTATTAGCCAGGATGGTCTCGATATTCTTACCTCGTGATCCGCCTGCCTCGGCCTCCCTAAGAGCTGGGATTACAGGCATGAGCCACCGCGCCCGCCTTGAAGTCCCCATTTCTTTGCCTGATATGACTCAGTGGATGCTCTAATCTCCTAGAGCACCTAGCTCTTGCTGCATGGACCCTTACATCTTTAGACCCAGCAATAGAGAATTTCTCTTGTATTGAATCCCTGTCCTGTTTCAAATGTGTCTCTCCAGGAAGAGCCCATTCCTTTTTTAGGCGTTCATGTGATTAGTCAGTTACAATGACAAATTCCCTTGTGCCATAAAACGTGACATAATCATGAGAGTGATGTCTCACACATTCATGGGTTTTACCTGCACTCAAAGGGAGGAAATTATAAAAGGGAAAGCGTCATTGGGTCATTTTAGAATTCTGCTTACCACATCCCTCAGTAATATTTATCATAAAAATAGATTAACACATAGGAAATTAAGGAGAATTTAATATTGACCTTTAGCTACTTACTTCCAAGGCCACATCTCAGAGTTTATCATCATCCAGAATTGCTCAACTTTTGAAATCTTAAATTGAGACATCCTACTATCTGTCTACAGCCTGTTATCTCCCCAGTTTCCTCACTCTGTTTCTTCCACTTTGTTTGATCTTTGACCTTGCAGGTCCTCTAGTCCCTTGACAGCTCTATGGTTTTATATCTACTATCATTCTTCTATGTTCACTTTCTTCTCCCAACCAACTTAGATGCTATGATGCATCATTTCACTCTCTTGTTTCTCTCCAATAATAACTCTTATTATATTGTGTTGCCATTTGTCTATCTCCCCCACTGGACTGTAAATTCTAAGGCATATACTTACCCTGCTATAAGATAGCATCTAGCAAATAGAAATACCTAAATAAATGTTTGCTGAAAGGAGAAATGAATGGCTGAGATACTAAACATAAGTATAAAAGGAATTCAGGGGTGGCAGGAAGGGAGAAGCCCAGTGGGCTGGAGCAGCTACAAAAGACTTAATACATGTGGTAGAAATTGAACTAGGCCTTGAGGATGGAATAAAAATTGAATAACTTGGAGCTAATTGGGGTCATTCCAGGATGAGGATTATTAGTACAAGCACTGCCTTTCACTAATTTTGAGTAAGAATATGCATCATTATGAAGTGGGGCTACAAGAAAACCAATTTGTTTGATTGATCGGGAACAGTGGGAGCAGACAGGAAACTGGGACACATAGCCGATAAGTAACAGAAAGCCTTGAAAAGGAGACACATTCCTAGTGGGAGACGCTGTCATAGATGTCAGCAAAGGTGATTAAAAAAAAAAAAGAAGTCATGCAGAAAATCTATAAGTCTAATAAGGAGAATCTAAAAGCTAGAAAATAGGAAAGGAGTCAACTATTGGGAGCCAGAGTGCTCTATCGTGTATCTAAGAGTGGGAGTTATTAATCTGATTCTGCTGATTATCTTTCTCAACCAGGACAGTTTTCACCAGACTTTCCAACTCTTGCCCTCTCGCTTTAAAAGTTTGCCTAGCATCTGACACAAAAAGTACATTTCATTTTTAAAAATTTATTTGATTTTCCATAGGTTATTGGGGAACAGGTGGTGTTTGGTTACATAGATAAGTTCTTTAGCGGTGATTTGTGAGATTTTGGTGCACCCATCACCCAAGCAGTATACACCACACCCAATTTGTAGTATTTTTTCCCTCACCCCCTTTGTACCCTTTCCCCCTGATTCCCCAAAGTCCACTGTGTCATTCTTATGCCTTTGTATTCTCATACCTTAGCTCCCACTTATGAGTGAGAACATAATGATGTTTGGTTCTCCATTCCTGAGTTACATCACTTAGAATAATAGTCTCCAATCTCATCCAGGTTGCTGTGAATGCCATTAATTCATCCCTTTGTGCGGCTGAGTAGTATTCCACCATATATTTATATATATATATACACAACACATATATATATATATACCGTGTATATATATGTATGTATATATATACATACATACATATATATACACGGTATATATATATATATACACCACATATATATATACACCACATACATATATGGTGTGTATATATATATACACCACATACATATATGGTGTATATATATATATATACACCACATATATATATGTGGTGTATATATATATATATACACACACACCACAATTTCTTTATCCACTCATTGATTGATGAGCATTTGGGTTGGTTCCACATTTTGCAACTGCAAATTGTGCTGCTATAAACATGTGTGTGCAAATATCTTAAAGTACATTTCCAAATAAGTTGGAGATAATATTGGAAAGAAAAATAAAGGGCTGGTTATGGAAAGCCTCAGAAACATGGAAGGGAAGTTTAGATTAAATGTGACAGTAAACCAAGTGGATGCCTGTTTCTTAACCAAGAAGGTGGCAAAATAGAAGCTATGTTTTAGGAACATTTTTTAAGCTGGGAAATGTAGGATGAATTCAACATAATAGATTTTTTTCACCCTAATTTGAAATTAGTGTTGGGGCCATATTAGCATTTTCTATAACCCAGGAACAAGTGATTTCTTAAATAATATGTCCATTTCTTGAAATAAACCATAGAATTCATCCTTTTTCTGTCTAATTTTATCAATCACAAAATATACTTTCTGTTACAGATACAAGTTGGATTTTAAAAATAACCAGTTATGTACTAAAATGAGAAGGATACACAATACATTCACACTTTTTTGTTTTATTTTATTCATAAACATGGTACTATATATTTTAAAATCAATTAATTGACCTAAAGTGCAACAAATATAGAAATTAATGATTTCTTTAAGCCTTTTCCATCTGATTTGAGGGAAGAGATCAAACCACCAGAGAGAGAAACTTTCACTAAATGATATAATCACATTGTATGATACGGAAAAAGAGGCTTGGTGAAGACTTTAAAAGTTGTCTAATGTGGCCGGGCGCGGTTGCTCATGCCTGTAATCCCAGCACTTAGGGAAGCCAAGGCGGGCAGATCACCTGAGGTCGGGAGGTCCAGAGCATCCTGACTAACATAGAGAAGCCCAGTCTCCACTAAAAATACAAAATTAACCGGGCATGGTGGCGCATAGCTGTAATTCCAGCTACTTGGGAAGGCTGAGGCAGGAGAATCGCTTGAACCTGGGAGGTGGAGGTTGCGGTGAGCTGAAATCACCATTGCATTCCAGCCTGGTCAACAAGAGTGAAACTCTGTCTCAAAAAAAAAAAAAACAACAACAAAAAAGTTGCCTAATGTAACAGGTGGGCCTATATTTAAGAATACAGGTTCTATTCAGGCAGACTCCCTCCTCAAGTGGGTCCCTGACCCCCGAGTAGCCTAACTGGGAGGCACCCCCTAGTAGGGGCAGACTGACACCTCACAAGGCCGGGTACTCCTCTGAGACAAAACTTCCAGAGGAATGATCAGGCAGCAGCATTTGTGGTTCACCAATATCCAGTGTTCTGCAGCCACCGCTGCTCATAGATACCCAGGCAAACAGGGTCTGGAGTGGACTTCCATTAAACTCCAACAGACCTGTAGCTGAGGGTCCTGACTGTTAGAAGGAAAACTAACAAACAGAAAGGACATCCACACCAAAAACCCATCTGTACATCACTGTCATCAAAGACCAAAACCACAAAGATGGGGAAAAAACAGAGCAGAAAAACCGGACACTCTAAAAATCAGAGCACCTCTCCTCCTGCAAAGGAATGCAGCTCCTCACAAGCAACGGAACAAAGCTGGATGGAGAATGACTTTGACGAGTTGAGAGAGGAAGGCTTCAGAAGATCAAACTACTCTGACCTAAGGGAGGAAGTGCGAACCAATGGCAAAGAAGTTAAAAACTTTTTGAAAAAAAATTAGATGAATGGATAACTAGAATAACCAATGCAGAGAAGTCCTTAAATGATCTGATGGAGCTGAAAACCACGGCACGAGAACTACGTGATGAATGCACAAGCCTCAGTAACTGATGCGGTCAACTGGAAGAAAGGGTATCACCAATGGAAGACGAAATGAATGAAATGAAGCATGAAGAGAAGTTTAGAGAAAAAAGAATAAAAAGAAATGAACAAAGCCTCCAAGAAATATGGGACTAAGTGAAAAGACCAAATCCACATCTAATTGGTGTACCTGAAAGTGACGGGGGGAATGGAACCAAGTAGGAAAACACTCTGCAGGATATTTTCCAGGAGAACTTCCCCAACCTAGCAAGGCAGGCCAACATTCAAATTCAGGAAATACAGAGAACGCCACAAAGATACTCCTCAAGAAGAGCAACTCCAAGACACATAATTATCAGATTCACCAAAGTTGAAATGAAGGAAAAAATGTTAAGGACAGCCAAAGAGAAAGGTAAGGTTACCCACAAAGGGAAGCCCATCAGACTAACAGCTGATTTCTCAGCAGAAACTCTACAAGCCAGAAGGGAGTTGGGGCCAATATTCAACATTCTTAAAGAAAAGAATTTTCAACTTAGAATTTCATATCCAGCCAAACTAAGCTTCATAAGTGAAGGAGAAATAAAAACCTTTACAGACAAGCAAATGCTGAGAGAATTTGTCACCACCAGGCCTGCCCTAAAAGAGCTCCTGAAGGAAGCACTAAACATGGAAAGGAACAACCAGTACCAGCCACTGGAAAAACATGCCAAATTGTAAAGACCATCAAGGCTAGGAAGAAACTGCATCAACTAACAAGCAAAATAACCAGCTAACATCATAATGACAGGATCAAATTCACACATAACAATACTAACCTTAAATGTAAATGCACTAAATGCTCCAATTAAAAGACACAGACTGGCAAATTGGATAAAGAGTCAAGACCCATCAGTGTGCTGTATTCAGGAGACCCATCTCACATGCAAAGACACACATAGGCTCAAAATAAAGGGATGGAGGAAGATCTACCAAGCAAATGGAAAACAAAAACAGGCAGGGGTTGCAATCCTAGTCTCTGGTAAAACAGACTTTAAACCAACAAAGATCAAAAGAGACAAAGAAGACCATTACATAATGGTAAAGGGATCAATTCAACAAGAAGAGCTAACTATCCTAAATATATATGCACCCAATACAGGAGCACCCAGATTCATAAAGCAAGTCCTGAGTGACCTACAAAGAGACTTAGACTCCCACACAATAATAATGGGAGACTTTAACACCCAACTGTCAACATTAGACAGATCAACGAGACAAAAGTTAACAAGGATATCCAGGAATTGAACTCAGCTCTGCACCAAGTGGACCTAATAGACATCTACAGAACTCTCCACCCCAAATCAACAGAATATACATTCTTTTCAGCACCACACCATGCCTATTCCAAAATTCACCACATAGTTGGAAGTAAAGCTCTCCTCAGCAAATGTAAAAGAACAGAAATTATAACAAACTGTCTCTCAGACCACAGTGCAATCAAACTAGAACTCAGGATTAAGAAACTCACTCAAAACCACTCAACTACATGGGAACTGAACAACCTGCTCCTGAGTGACTACTGGGTACATAACGAAATGAAGGCAGAAATAAAGATGTTCTTTGAAACCAACGAGAACAAAGACACAACATACCAGAATCTCTGGGACACATTCAAAGCAGTGTGTAGAGGGAAATTTATAGCACTAAATGCCCACAAGAGGAAGCAGGAAAGATCTAAAATTGACACCCTAACATCACAATTAAAAGAACTAGAGAAGCAAGAGCAAACACATTCAAAAGCTAGCAGAAGGCAAGAAATAACTAAGATCAGAGCAGAACTGAAGGAAATAGAGACACAAAAAACCTTTCAAAAAATCAGTGAATCCAGGAGCTGGTTTTTTTAAAAGGTCAACAAAATTGATAAACCACTAGCAAGACTAATAAAGAAGAAAAGACAGAAGAATCAAATAGATGCAATAAAAAATGATAAAGGGGATATTACCACCGATCCCACAGAAATACAAACTACCATCAGAGAATACTACAAACACCTCTACACAAATAAACTAGAAAATCTAGACGAAATGGATAAATTCCTCAACACATACACCCTCCGAAGACCAAACCAGGAAGAAGTTGAATCCCTGAATAGACCAATAACAGGCTCTGAAATTGAGGCAATAATTAATAGCCTACCAACCAAAAAAAGTCCAGGACCAGACGGATTCACAGCCGAATTCTAACAGAGGTACAAGGAGGAGCTGGTACCAATCCTTCTGAAACTATTCCAATCAATAGAAAAAGAGGGAATCCTCCCTAACTCATTTTATGAGGCCAGCATCATCCTGATACCAAAGCCTGGCAGAGACACAACAAAAAAAGAGAATTTTAGACCAATATCCCTGATGAACATCGATGCAAAAATCCTCTATAAAATACTGGCAAACAGAATCCAGCAGCACATCAAAAACTCTTATCCACCATGATCAAGTGGGCTTCATCCCTGGGATGCAAGGCTGGTTCAACATATGAAAATCAATAAACATAATCCAGCATATAAAGAGAACCAAAGACAAAAACCTCATGATTATCTCAATAGATGCAAAAAAGGCCTTTGACAAAATTCAATAACCCTTCATGCTAAAAACTCTCAATAAATTAGGTATTGATGGGACGTATCTCAAAATAATAAGAGCTATCTATGACAAACCCAAAGTCAATATCATACTGAATGGACAAAAACTGAAAGCATTCCCTTTGAAAATTGGCACAAGACAGAGATGCCCTCTCTCACCACTCCTATTCAACATAGTGTTGGAAGTTCTGGCCAGGGCAATTAGGCAGGAGAAGGAAATAAAGGGTATTCAATCAGGAAAAGAGGAAGTCAAATTGTCCCTGTTTGCAGATGACACAATTGTATATCTAGAAAACCCCATCGTCTCAGCCCCAAATCTCCTTAAGCTGATAAGCAACTTCAGCAAAGTCTCAGGATACAAAATCAATGTACAAAAATCACAAGCATTCTTATACATCAGTAACAGACAAACAGAGAACCAAATCATGAGTGAACTCCCAATCACAATTGCTTCAAAGAGAATAAAATACCTAGGAATCCAACTAACAAGGGATGTGAAGGACCTCTTCAAGGAGAACTACAAACCACCGCTCAATGAAATAAAAGAGGATACAAAGAAATGGAAGAACATTCCATGCTCATGGGTAGGAAGAATCAATATCGTGAAAATGGCCATACTGCCCAAGGTAATTTACATATTCAATGCTATCCCCATCAAGCTACCAATGACTCTCTCTCTTCACAGAATTGGAAAAAACTACTTTAAAGTTCATATGGAACCAAAAAAGAGCCCGCATTGCCAAGTCAATCCTAAGCCAAAAGAACAAAGCTGGAGGCATCACACTGACTTCAAACTATACTACAAGGCTACAGTAACCAAAACAGCATGGTACTGGTACCATAACAGAGATATAGACCAATGGAACAGAACAGAACCCTCAGAAATAATGCTGCATATCTACAATTATCTGATCTTTGACAAACCTGACAAAAACAAGCAATGGGGAAAGGATTCCCTGTTTAATAAATGGTGCTGGGAAAACTGGCTAGCCATATGTAGAAAGCTGAAAGTGGATCCCTTCCTTACACCTTATACAAAAATTAATTCAAGATGGATTAAAGACTTAAATGTTATACCTAAAACCATAAAAACCCTAGAAGAAAACCTAGGCAATACCATTCAGGACATAGGCATGGGCAAGGACCTCATGACTAAAACACCAAAAGCAATGGCAACAAAAGCCAAAATTGACCAATGGGATCTAATTAAACTAAAGAGCTTCTGCACAGCAAAAGAAACTACCATCACAGTGAACAGATAATCTACAGAATGGGAGAAAATTTTTGCAACCTACTCATCTGACAAAGGGCTAATATCCAGAATCTACAAGGAACTCAAACAAATTTACATGAAAAAACAAACAACCCCATCAACAAGTGGACAAAGGATATGAACAGACACTTCTCAAAAGAAGACATTTATGCAGCCAAAAAACACATGAAAAAATGCTCATCATCACTGGCCATCAGAGAAATGCAAATCAAAACCACAATGAGATACCATCTTGCACCATTTAGAATGGCAATCACTAAAAAGTCAGGAAACAACACGTGCTGGAGAGGATGTGGAGAAACAGGAACGCTTTTACACTGTTGGTGGGACTGTAAACTAGTTCAATCATTGTGGAAGTCGGTGTGGCTATTCCTCAGGTATCTAGAACTAGAAATACCATTTGACGCAGCCATCCCATTACTGGGTATATACCCAAAGGATTATAAATCATGCTGCTATAAAGACACATGCACATGTATGTTTATTGTGGTACTATTCACAAGAGCAAAGACTTGGAACCAACCCAAATGTCTAAAATGATGGACCGGATTAAGAAAATGTGGCATATATACACCATGGAATACTATGCAGCCATTAAAAAGGATGAGTTCATGTCCTTTGTAGGGACATGGATGAAGCTGGAAACCATCATTCTCAGAAACTATCACAAGTACAAAAAGCCAAACACCGCATGTTCTCACTCATAGGTGGGAATTGAACAATGAGAACACATGGACACAGGAAGGGGAACATCACACACCGGGGACTGTTGTGGGGTAGGGGGAGGGGGGAGGGATAGCATTAGGAGATATACCTAATGCTAAATGACAACTTAATGGGTGCAGCACACCAACATGGCACATGTATACATATGTAAAAAACCTGCACATTGTGCACATGTACCCTAAAACTTAAAGTATAATAATAATAATAATAATAAAGAATACAGGTTCTATTATATAATGGAAATCTGTTGACATTAGTGGATTTTATAATTGCTTAATTGTGATTTTTTTTCCTACTTTCCAAGATAAAAGTTATACTTTTCTAGAGGGCATAGATTTACTTGAGTTCTGAATCTGAACATTTAATAAGTGGATTCCAAGTGTATAAGCTGATGACCAAAGTTCCCTATGTTTGGAATATAATAACATAACCAAATTTTAATATTCTAATTATGGTTATTGTGATATAGTCTCAATAAAATTGTTTCTAAAACAGAGGTGAATATATCCAAGTCTGTGAAACCACACAACTTCCTAGATATAAATGCAGATAGACACACTATACTTGTCAATACAAATGGAGCAACTACATGATCAGTTGGGCCAGGTGACAGAGAGGCTGAGCTACTCCTTCAGGCATTAATTTTACTGTCATTATAGTTGACACATTTGCTTCTTTTTCATTCTACTGGGATCACATTCCAATTGTCAGAAGAGTGTGCGTGGGAGGTGGGATTTACCAGCACTCCATTAACTACCTCTTACGCCTGACACCAGTGACTGATCACTGGTGAATTCTTTTCAGTTGTCAAGAACTTCTCTCACTCTGTGTGTGCAAGTGTGTGTATGGGCACACACACCCATGGCAAAAAGAAACTTCTGGACTTATGACCCAGTGCTAATGCAGATCCCACTTATTTGGCAGTGAAAAGTAAACACTATATAATATTTATTGTATATATTAATGGATTTTCAAAATCAACATTTGAATAATTGTCTAACTGTGACAGTCACTCAGCTACTTTTAATTTATGCCTAGAAAACACTATACAAAAGAAGGTACTATGTTATTTTATGGAAGGTATCAAGAAGCATGTGTTTTGGGTCTCTGTTCACACTACACATTATCTGTTTTAGAAAAGTGATTCACTTTATATTTATATCCATGAAAGATTAATTGCTTTTCAGTATTTTTATTAGAAAGAATAGTCAAACATAAGCACATTTGAGTTTTCACGATTTTAAAAATGTCAACGTCACCACTAAACATTTTTAAACCTTCAGAAATATGTCTCCCTCAAAATACATGATGATGAGCTCATTCCAAATGCTTTAGGTTAAATTATAGTAGTATTTTTATTTAGTAAATTACATGGAAGCTTGTACAAGCTATCTTAGTTTAAGAAATGAATCTTCATAAGCGATTTATGATTTTTATATATATTCCTATGTTTTATTAAATATAATTAGACTATGTTCAAATATGAATACATTATTAAGACTTAGGATAAGTGACATGCCTTTCCCACTAGCATATTATTCAAATGATATATAGCCTTTTCTGGTCAGAATGATAGATAATGACTTTGTACAAGCTAATTTGAAATCGGATCCTTAATTTTCATTCATTTAATTACAAAGCAGCATTATAAAATCCCTACCAAAATAGTTCACATAGCAGTCCGCAATGAGGAAGCTTTTATGTGAAAGCACATTGTGTAAGCTTGGTCAGTCGCCAGAAGTGGTAGGATTTTGCTGAGCAAGTCATGGCATTATTAGAGGATGCTGGCATAAACAGAAATGCAGATCAGTAAATGAAATGGAGGATAGAAAGAAACCAATAAAGATGGCGTATTTAAAAAGTTGAATGTAGCTTATTAGAATACACTTTTAATAGTTCAGTGTGAGTAAAGACCTGAGGAAATAACCTTCCATTTCAGCATAAAATAAATGTGGTTGAAATTTATTCCAACTGTGCTCTTTTACAATAATATAGAATCATTTACACTTGCCCATGAAAATGATTTTATTGATAAGCTGGCACTAATGATAAACTAACTCTTCATGATACCAACACAATGGCTGGTAGAGAACTTACAGAAATGGTGACTTTAAAGAAGAACTGTGTCCTCTAGGACAGCGGTCTCACACCTTTTTGGCACCAGGGACCAGTTTTGGGGAAGACAATTTTTCCTCAGAAGGAGGAGCGTGGGGGCTTGAATCCGTTACACTTCAGATCATCAGGCATTATTAGTTAGATTCTCACAAGGAGCGTGCCATCTAGATCCTTCGCATGCGCAGTTCACAATAGGGTTCCTACTCCTATGGGAATCTAATGCTGCAGCTGATCTGACAGGATCCATTGGTGGCCTGTGGGTTGGGGTCCCCTGGTCTAGGAGAATAAAATAATAGGTAACCTATATTAGGATAAACAATCCAGTTTGTTCTTGTGATATTTATAATATCTACTGTAAAACTCAGGCTTTGTAACAGAAATAGCATGGCCATCAAATTTTCTTTTAAAAAGAGAAAATGAATCCTACTAACAATTTTCTTGTTCAATTAAAAGTAATGATACTATTTCATTTTCACAAAGAAATTATCTATTGAGATATTCATGATCAGATATATCATAGGACACATATGTTTGTCATAGCACTTACCAGAAGAGAGATGACTGGGATCTCAAATCTTAAAATCTTCAGGTTCCATCATGCCGCTTGCTCCTGTAGGAGGCTCCTAAGGTGTATATATTTCACAGAGGATACACTGGACAAGCGCACACTGCATTCTAGCTAGAGCTGTGGCCTTAAATCTCTATATAGCCTCAGGTTAAATTGAGCTGGACCACTTGTGAATGAAGATGGCTCTTTATATACCCAACCTCTATCCTAGACTATGACCCAGACTAGAGGTAAGAAGAGTGACTTCTTGGCCTTTTTTCTCAGGATCACTCCACAGTCTTGACCCTTCTCTTCCTTCCACCCTCAGGTCTTACCCAGATAGTGAGAAGATGGACAAACAGAAAATCTTCCATGAAAAACCTAGAATAGAACTTTCCTAAAACTGCCTCCTGTGCCCTAGACACTAACCTTAAGTACACTTGGTTTTACCAAAAAAAGGAGTACGAGTGGGCTGTCAACATGGAGGAGGCTCATATCACACCTCTCATATAAGAGCACACCTGAAGCTTGAACTTTTACTTCTTTGTTTCTCACACCTAAAACTCTAGCTCTTGAGAATTATGTGTTCTTTACCCTCATTAGAGAGTTGTTCCTTCTACAAGATGGAGTTGTTGAAGGAATATTGGACCTTTCCCAGCAGTTAGAATATGCCACTAATCATAATTAAGACTAAAAGTGAAGAATAATTAAACATCTTGTGTTGGAGTTATTCTTAATTCAGGGTCACAAAATCTAATACTTCACTGACCCGGTACATATAAAGTAGCAGGAACTGATATTTTTTTTAATTCTATGTACACTTCCATTACCTAGCTGTTTATTGTATAATAAGCAATTTATTTTCTCTGTATAGGAATATACACATTATGGTTCATATTTGGAAAAAATAGCAATTGCTAATTGTTCCAGCTTTAAAAATTTTTTTTTTTGTATTTTGTACAGACAAGGATCTTGCTATGTTGCCCAGCTTGCTCTCAAACTCTTAGCCTCAAGCAATCCTCCACTTTGACCTCCCAAAGTGCTGAGATTACAGGAATGAGCCACCATGCCCAGCCTGGTCTAGCTTTTGAAGAACTAGTACTGCAGCCAGTCTCTACTATGCAGTTATTTATTTGTTCACTATTAATATCAACACACATTTACTGAGCATTGACATAGTTGTGCATGGCTTCAAAATTGGCTTCTACCTTCTAAAACAATCTAGTATTCAAGATAAACACATTACATAAACAACTTATAAATAATAAAGACTATGATAAATACTATAAGAGATATAGAAAGGATACAAAATATATGTTAGAAAGAAGAGCTATTATTCTGAGAGAAGGAATTTTTATATGGAAGAGGTAGGATTTAAAGAGAGGCTTAAAATACACATAGGATTTCTCAATAGCTGAATTTCACAAATATAGTCTAAACCAGTAATTAACATATGTGGTTCAAGGACAAGCAACATCAGCATTACCTGGGAACTTGTTAGAACTGCGACTTATTAGACCCCGCCCAAGATGTAATGAATCATAAACTCTAGGGATGAGGCCTGACAATCTGTGATTTATCAACTTTCCACGTGATTCTGATGCGTGCTGGAGTTTGAAGGCCACCACTGGTCTAATCAGTCAATAAGCATATATTTATTGATTGACTTATGTGCAAGGCACTGAATAGACATTTCGGGAATGGAAATAATTATAGACACAGTTCTTATTATTCAAAACATTTCACTAACATTAGGATAGTAATCTTACCAGACATACTATAAAAGAAACCTAAAAACACAAAGTCACAAGGCCCAAGGGACTTGGGTCAAGTACCAAAGTCCAACATGACATGGTGGCAGGTAGAGATTACAGAAACTTCCCACCTAAGGGGAGAGTTCCAGGGTATTCAAAGGGGGATTTTACTAATTTACAACCCTTCCCCTTTGTCAACATGGACATTATCATTGCTTTGGCCCAGATGGCAATCAGTTTTGAGAAATCAGAAAAGAAAATAGATCAGGGAGCCAGAAACAACGAAGAATAGAGCTGAGGAATCAGAATAAAAGCCAGTTCAGAAGCCAGGATTCAGGGAACAGTAAAACAAACACAAACGGCCACTTTATTTTTCCTCCTGTGAGTTTGTTGAGCTTCCCAGATACATGCATTTGTAGTTTTTATCAAATTTGAAAAGCATTTGGCCATTCTTTTTTCAAATATGTTTTCTTCCATCTTCAGTCTTTCAGGACTCCACTTACAAGTATGTTAGACTGCTTGATATGGTGATTACTTGATATAGTCACTGAGGCATCTTTTGCTTTTTTAAGGGTTTATTTTCCACTCTATGCTTCAATTTGCATAGTTTTACTGCTATGTCTTCAAGTTCATTAATCTTTTCTTCTGCCATGTCTATGTTGTTAATTCCATCCAATGTAATTTTCATTTCAAACATTATATATTTCATCACAACAACACTTCCATTAGGTCTCTTGCACCTATCATTTCTCTTCTCATTCTGCTCATAGCTTTTTTAAACCTCCTTACATGTATGGAATATGTATACCATAGCAGTTTTAATGTCCTCATTAATTTAATAAGAATAACTCCAACAAGAAGTGTCCAATTATTTTTCATTTTTATTCTTAATTATTTAATGTTCTACTTACATAATGTTTAGAAATTCCATCATCTCTCATTTCAGGGCCTGTTTTCTTCTGCTTATGGGTCACATTTTTTTGCTCCTTCTTATGTCAAGTAATTATTTTACTGGATGGCGGACATTATGAATTTTATGGTGTAGAAGGCTGAATTTTATAGTATTCCTTTAAAGAGCATAGGACTTTATTCTGGCAGGCAGTTAAGTAAGACAAAAATCATCTTTGCTTTTGAGGCTTGTTTTTAAGCATTTTTTTAGCCCCAATACTAAAGTATGATCTTCTGGGATCTCTGCTGAATGCCCTGGATATTCAACAGTGTCTCTCTCTTCTGGCCAGCAGGAGCCAAAATGATTCCCAGCCCTGTATGAACTCTTGAAACTATTTGGCTTACAGCTTCCTGGTAATTATTCTTTTCCTAAGTTGTTCTTTGCCCAACCTGATGGATTTTCACTCGACATATGCACAGATTGGTTTCAGCCAAAGACTTGAGACTCCTGTGTAGATTTCCGGAGCCATTTCTCTATGTAGCTTCCTCCTATCCAGTATTCTGCCTCACAAATTCTAGTTGCACTGGCCTCCTGTAATCCTGATCTCTATCTCCTCATTTTAGTGAGATTCCGTTTTCCTGTGCCACTGTCACAAAAGTGTTTCTACCAGAAATTTAAGGTGGTTGTAGGTCTCCCCTCATTTACTTTCCTCCTCTCAGGGATCAAAAGCCTGTACAGCCTACAGTCCAATATCTGAAAAGTGTTGTTTCATATATTTTGCGCATCTTTCTAGTTGTTTATGAAAGGAAGGCAAGTCCCATAGTAGATATTTTTCGTGGGTGGAAGCTGAAGTCCCCAAAATGCCCACTGCAAAAACATGCAAGAAAAATATAGCCACAGACATATGGGCCTTAAGGATGGGAAGCTGAGAGAGTTGTACTGATATACATTTGGTAAACATATTTTGGAGTAGATAGTTGTTTTCTACTGAACGCTGGTTAGTTTTAAAGATGTCCTGGCTCCAAGTGACTGAGCATTCTATATGCACTGACATTAATAAATAATTGTTGTAGACATTAAGTGCTTCTGAAGGAATGCCTAATTTATTCTCCTTATTAACAAGTCAGATAAAATGCAACATTTGCATTATCTTGTAGACTTGTCTGCTCTTTATGAGAGGAAACTTTTTATTATAAAAGTAATATATGCTTATTATTAAAAAAACTCAAACAAGACAGAAATATATAGAACAGAGTAGAATTAAATCACTCCACTCTATCTCATTCACTGTTAGGAGTTTGGTATATATCTCTCTAGCTAACTATATATCTATTTCTCATCTATCACAAAAATGGATTTCTCTATCATTTACTGTCCAGTCCCATTGAAGAACCAGTAATAAGGCTTTCCCTACTATATCACGATCATCCTCTGTTTTGGGGTCTTACAAGAGTCTTGGGCTATTGCCAAGGAAAAGCATTCACAAGTAGTTTAGATGGGATCCAGAAAACCTCAGTGCCTGCTTCTACTGGATGAGGATCAGTGAGGACTGCAGGCAGATCTTAAAGCAAAATTTTGTCTCATAGATAAAAAATGACATAGTTATGGTCCTTAGCATAGCCATTTACTCTCTTGACTAATAATGAATTTTTGCTGGTATCAATTCAGCTTTAATTTGGCACCCTACAGTGGTATCAATAGAGTAGTTGGTGTCCCTCAATACCGCTTCCCTCCTGTCATCCATATTCCTCTACATCTAGTCTTTCTGTGTCTAGCTTATAACCACCTCCAAGGACGTGTCCTTTGCCCCCTTCCCTGCACACACACCTATACTTCCTCCTGCCCAGGTGACTTTAATCTAATCTCTTCTCAGGACCAGGGATAGAGTGAGTAGACAGGGTTTTTTCTCCTTTTATTTTCCTTTCAAACTTTATATTGTCATGAACTCTATGTTCTGTTTTCCAGAGGGCCTTCCATTTTGTTTTTCTATAGCCTTGTCTATAGAAAATGTAATAAAACAAAGAGTGTAATAAAATAAAAACAAAATGTAATAAAACAAAGTGTATATTAACTCTTTTCCTTTGAATTCTTGCAGTAACTATGCCAATTTATCTCCAAAGCCATGCAAGTGGATTTGACTGACTAGGGAAAGGGTCAGTAAGTTCAGGAAGTGAAAGAAAAGAAGAAAAAGCACAAAGATGACATTCAAGGTTATATTCTGAATCCTTACAAGCCACTACATATAGAAATCCTTCAGGTTATTATGATATTATTACACCATATAAATCACCATAATATAGTTGACCAGTCTCTTAATGATGCACACAATGAAAGAAAACTACATTGTATGTGCTCAAACTTTTCTGTTTATTAATGTAGGAAAAATTCCTGAAAGTGGAAATGCTGGATCAAAAGGTATGTAAGAATAATTTAGGTTTCAGTTCCAAGATGGCCGAATAGGAACAGCTCCAGTCTACAGCTCCCAGCGTGAGCGACGCAGAAGACAGGTGATTTCTGCATTTCCAGCTGAGGTACTGGGTACATTTCACTGGGGCTTGTCAGACAGTGGGTGCAAGACAGTGGGTGCAGCGTACCGAGCATGAGCCAAAGCAGGGCGAGGCATCACCTCACCCAGGAAGTGCAAGGGGTCAGGTAATTCCCTTTCCTAGCCAAGGGAAGGAGTGACAGACGGCACCTGGAAAATCGGGTCACTCCCACCCTAATACTGCGCTTTTCCAATGCTCTTAGCAAACCGCACACAAGGAGGTTATATCCAGTGCCTGGCTCGGAGGGTCCCATGCCCATGGAGCTTCACTCATTGCTAGCACGGCAGTAAGAGATCAAACTGCAAGGCAGCAGCGAGGCTGGGGGATGGGCGCCCGCCATTGCTGAGGCTTGAGTAGGTAAACAAAGAGGCCAGGAAGCTTGAACTGGGTGGAGCCCACCACACCTCAAGGAGGCCTGCCTGCCTCTGTAGACTCCACCTCTGGGGACAGGGCATAGCTGAACAAAAGGCAGCAGCAACCTCTGCAGACTTAAATGTCCCTGTCTGACAGCTTTGAAGAGAGTAGTGGTTCCCCCAGCACGCAGCTTGAGATCTGAGAACGTACAGACTGCCTCCTCAAGTGGGTCCCTGACCCCTGAGTAGCCTAACTGGGAGGTACCCCCTAGCAGGGGCAGACTGACACCCCACATGGCCAGGTACCCCTCTGAGACAAAGCTTCCAGAGGAATGATCACGCAGCAACATTTGATGTTCAGCAATATTTGCTGTTCTGCAGCCTCCGCTGCTAATACCCAGGCAAACAGGTTCTGCAGTGGACCTCCAGCAAACTCCAACAGACTTGCAGCTGAGGGTCCTGACTGTTAGAAGGAAAACTAACAAACAGAAAGGACATCCACACCAAAACCCCATCTGTACATTACCATCATCAAAGACCAAAGGTAGATAAAACCACAAAGATGGGGAAAAAACAGAGCAGAAAAGCAAAAATTCTAAAAATCAGAGCACCTCTCCCCCTCCAAAGGAATGCAGCTCCTTGCCAGAAAAGGAACAAAGCTGGACAGAGAATGACTTCGGTTGAGTTGAGAGAAGATGGCTTCAGAGGATTAAACTTCTCCGAGCTAAAGGAGGAAGTTCAAACCCATCGCAAAGAAGGTAAAAACCTTGAAAAAAAGATTAGACGAATGCCTAACTTTCTAGTGTTAGTGTTAACCAGTGTAGAGAAGTCCTTAATGACCTGCTGGAGCTGAAAGCCATGGCACAAGAACTACATGACGAATGCACAAGCCTCAGTAGCCGACTCGATCAACTGGAAGAAAGGGTATCAATGACTGAAGATCAAATTAATGAAATGAAGTGAGAAGAGAAGTTTTGAGAAAAAAGGGTAAAAAGAAATGAACAAAGCCTCCAAGAAATATGGGACTATGTGAAAAGACCAAGTCTATGTCTGATTGGTGTACCTCAAAGTGATGGGGAGAACGGAACCAAGATGGAAAACACTCTGCAGGATATTATCCAGGAGAACTTCCCCAACCTAGCAAGGCAGGCCAACATTCAAATTCAGGAAATAGAGAATGCCACAAAGATACTCCTTGAGAAGAGCAATTCCAAGACACATGTCAGATTCACCAAAGTTGAAATGAAGGAAAAAATGTTAAGGGCAGCCAGAGAGAAAGGTCAGGTTACCCACAAAGGGAAGTCCATCAGACTAACAGCTGATCTCTCAGCAGAAACTCTACAAGCCAGAAGAGAGTGGGGGGAAATATTCAACATTCTTAAAGAAAAGAATTTTCAACTTAGAATTTCATATCCAGCCAAACTAAGCTTCATAAGTGAAGGAGAAATAAAAACCTTTACAGACAAGCAAATGCTGAGAGATTTTGTACCACCAGGCCTGCCCTAAAAGAGCTCCTGAAGGAAGCACTAAACATGGAAAGGAACAACTGGTACCAGCCACTGCAAAAACATGCCAAATTGTAAAGACCATCAAGGCTAGGAAGAAACTGCATCAACTAACAAGCAAAATAACCAGCTAACATCATAATGACAGGATCAAATTCACACATAACAATACTAACCTTAAATGTAAATGGGCTAAATGCTCCAAGTAAAAGACACAGACTGGCAAATTGGATAAAGAGTCAAGACCCATCAGTGTGCTGTATTCAGGAGACCCATCTCACATGCAGAGACACACATAGGCTCAAAATAAAAGCATGAAGGAAGATCTGCCAAGCAAATGGAAAACAAAAAAAGGCAGGGGTTGCAATCCTACTCTCTGATAAAACAGACTTTAAACCAACAAACATCAAAAGAGACAAAGAAGGCCATTACATAATGGTAAAGGGATCAATTCAACAAGAAGAGCTAACTATCCTAAATATATATGCGCCCAATACAGGAGCATCCAGATTCATAAAGCAAGCCCTTAGAGACCTACAAAGAGACTTAGACTCCCACATAATAATAATGGGAGACTTTAACACCCCACTGTCAACATTAGACAGATCAACGAGACAGAAAGTTAACAAGGATATCCAGGAATTGAACTCAGCTCTGCACCAAGTGGACCTAATAGACATCTACAGAACTCTCCACCCCAAATCAACAGAATATACATTCTTCTCAGCACCACATCACACTTATTCCAAAATTGACCACAGAGTTGGAAGTAAAGCTCTCCTCAGCAAATGTAAAAGAACAGAAATTATAACAAACTGTCTCTCAGACCACAGTGCAATCAAACTAGAACTCAGGATTAAGAAACTCACTCAAAACCACTCAACTACATGGGAACTGAACAACCTGCTCCTGAATGACTACTGGGTACATAACGAAATGAAGGCAGAAATAAAGATGTTCTTTGAAACCAACGAGAACAAAGACACAACATACCAGAATCTCTGGGACACATTCAAAGCAGTGTGTAGAGGGAAATTTATAGCACTAAGTGCCCACAAGAGAAAGCAGGAAAGATCTGAAATAGATACCCTGACATCACAATTAAAAGAACTAGAGAAGCAAGAGCAAACACATTCAAAAGCTAGCAGAAGGCAAGAAATAACTAAGATCAGAGCAGAACTAAAGGAAATAGAGACACAAAAAACCCTTCAAAAAATTAATGAATCCAGGAGCTGGTTTTTTTAAAAGGTCAACAAAATTGATAGACCACTAGCAAGATTAATAAAGAAGAAAAGAGAGAAGAGTCAAATAGATGCAATAAAAAGTGATAAAGGGGATATTACCACCGATCCCACAGAAATACAAACTACCATCAGAGAATACTACAAACACCTCTACACAAATAAACTAGAAAATCTAGAAGAAATGGATAAATTCCTCAACACATACACCCTCCCAAGACTAAACCAGGAAGAAGTTGAATCCCTGAATAGACCAATAACAGGCTCTGAAATTGAGGCAATAATTAATAGCCTACCAACCAAAAAAAGTCCAGGACCAGACGGATTCACAGCCGAATTCTAACAGAGGTACAAGGAGGAGCTGGTACCATTTCTTCTGAAACTATTCCAATCAATAAAAAAAGAGGGAATCCTCCCTAACTCATTTTATGAGGCCAGCATCATCCTGATACCAAAGCCTGGCAGAGACACAACAAAAAAGAGAATTTTAGACCAATATCCTTGATGAACATCGATGCAAAAATCCTCTATAAAACACTGGCAAAGAGAATCCAGCAGCACATCAAAAAGCTTATCCACCATGATCAAGTGGGCTTCATCTCTGGGATGCAAGGCTGGTTCAACATATGAAAATCAATAAACGTAATCCAACATATAAACAGAACCAAAGACAAAAACCAGATGATTATCTCAATAGGTGCAGAAAAGGCCTTTGACAAAATTCAACAGCCCTTCATCCTAAAAACTCTCAATAAATTAGGTATTGATGGGACTCATCTCAAAATCATAAGAGCTATTTATGAGAAACCCACAGCCAATATCATACTGAATGGGCAAAAACTGGAAGCATTCCCTTTGAAAATTGGCACAAGACAGGGATGCCCTCTCTCACCATTCCTATTCAACTTAGTGTTGGAAGTTCTGGCCAGGGCAATGAGACAGGGAAAGAAATGAAGGGTATTCAATTAGCAAAAGAGGAAGTCAAATTGTCCCTGTTTGCAGATGACATGATTGTGTATTTAGAAAACCCCATCGTCTCAGCCCCAAATCTCCTTAAGCTGATAAGCAACTTCAGCAAAGTCTCAGGATACAAAATCAATGTGCAAAAATCACAAGCATTCTTATACACCAATAACAGACAAACAGAGAGCCAAATCATGAGTGAACTCCCATTCACAATTGCTTCAAAGAGAATAAAATACCTAGGAATCCAACTTACAAGGGATGTGAAGGACCTCTTCAAGGAGAACTATAAACACTGCTCAACAAAATAAAAGAGGACACAAACAAATGGAAGAACATTCCATGCTCATGGGTAGGAAGAATCAATATCATGAAAATGGCCATACTGCCCAAGGTAATTTATAGATTCAATGCCATCCCCATCAAGCTACCAAGGACTTTCTTCACAGAATTGGAAAAAACTACTTTAAAGTTCATATGGAACCAAAAAAGGGCCCACATTGCCAAGACAATCCTAAGCCAAAAGAACAAAGCTGGAGGCATCACACTACCTGACTTCAAACTATACTACAAGTCTACAGTAACCAAAACAGCATGGTACTGGTACCATAACAGAGATATAGACCAATGGAACAGAACAGAACCCTCAGAAGTAATACCACACATCTACAACCATCTGATCTTTGACAAACCTGACAAAAACAAGAAATGGCTAAAGGATTCCCTATTTAATAAATGGTGCTGGGAAAACTGGCTAGCCATATGTAGAAAGCTGAATCTGGATCCCTTCCTTACACCTTACACAAAAGTTAATTCAAGATGGATTAAAGACTTAAATGTTAGACCTAAAACCATAAAAGCTCTAGAAGAAAACCTAGGCAATACCATTCAGGACATAGGCATGAGCAAGGACTTCATGTCTAAAGCACCAAAAGCAATGGCAACAAAACCCAAAATTGACCAATGGGATCTAATTAAACTAAAGAGCTTCTGCACAGCAAAAGAAACTACCATCACAGTGAACAGGCAACCTACAGAATGGGAGAAAATTTTTGCAATCTACTCATCTGACAAAGGGCTAATATCCAGAATCTACAAGGAACTCCAACAAACTTACAAGAAAAAAACAAACAACCCCATCAAAAAGTGGGCAAAGGAGATGAACAGACACTTCTCAAAAGAAGACATTTATACAGCCAACAGACACATGAAAAAATGCTCATCATCACTGACCATCAGAGAAATGCAAATCAAAACGACAATGAGATACCATCTCACACCAGTTAGAATGGCAATCATTAAAAACTCAGGAAACAACAGGTTCTGGAGAGGATGTGGAGAAATAGGAACACTTTTACACTGTTGGTGGGACTGTAAACTAGTTCAACCATTGTGGAAGTCAGTGTGGCGATTCCTCAGGGATCTAGAACTAGAAATACCATTTGACCCAGCCATCCCATTACTGGGTATATACCCAAAGGACTATAAATCATGCAGCTATAAAGACACATGCACATGTATGTTTATTGCAGCACTATTCACAATAGCAAAGACTTGGAACCAACCCAAATGTCCATCAATGATAGACTGGATTAAGAAAATGTGGCACATATATACCATGGAATACTATGCAGCCATAAAAAAAGGATGTGTTCATGTCCTTTGTAGGGACATGGATGAAGCTGGAAACCATCATTCTCAGCAAACTATTGCCAGGACAAAAAACCAAACACTGCATGTTCTCACTCATAGGTGGGAATTGAACAATGAGAACACATGGACACAGGAAGGGGAACATCACACACTAGGGCCTGTCGTGGGGTGGGGGGAGGGGGGAGGGATAGCACTGGGAGATACACCTAATGTAAATGACGAGTTAATGGGTGCAGCACACCAATATGGCACATGTATACATGTGTAACAAACCTGCACGTTGTGCACATGTACCCTAGAACTTAAAGCATTAAAAAAAAGAAAATATCAAATTGCCTTCCAGAAAGATTGTACCAATATACACTTTTATAAATAGCATAT
This sequence comes from Homo sapiens, assembly GCF_000001405.40. Lineage (NCBI taxonomy): Eukaryota > Metazoa > Chordata > Mammalia > Primates > Hominidae > Homo > Homo sapiens. Next base: position 96,603,840 of record NC_000023.11, read on the forward strand.
GAGATTATTAGCTCTCCATATTAACATTTGCATCAATATTTGACAGTCTAATAGTATAAAATACCTAATTTTTTAAAATTATGTTTTTGTGATGAACAAGGTGAAGAAATTTCTGTATTTGTAGGAGCTGCTTGTACTTCTTCTACGAATTATCTGTTCATATCGTCTGTGCATATCTGATTTGGCTGTTATTCTTTTACTTGTTGATATATAGCAGCTCTACATGCATACCAACATTAACTCTCTAGATGTCATACATTGCCTATACAGTTGACTCTTGAGTAACATGGATTTGAACTGGGACCATGTTGAACATGTTTGAACTAGCAGATTTTCTTTTGCCTCTGCCATTTCTGAGACAGTAAGACCAACCCTTCTTCCTACCCCTCCTCATCCTACTCAAAGCGATGATGATGAAGATGAAGACCTTGATGATGATCCACTTCTACTTAATGAATAGTACATATATTTTCTCTTCCTTGTGATTTTCGTAATAACATTTTCTTTTCTCTAGCTTACTTTATTGTAAGAGTACAGTGTATAATGCATATAATATACAAAAGGTGTGTTAATCGGCTGTTTATGTTATTGGTAAGGTTTCTGGTCAACAATAGGCTATTAGTAGTTAAGTTTTGGGGGCATCAAAGTTATCTATGGATTTTTGGCTGTGCGGGGCATCAGTTCCCCTGACCCCCATGTTGTTCAAGGGTCAGCTACATATTGTAAATATTTTTTCTAGTTTGACATTTGTATTTTAGCATTATTTACAAAGTCTTTATGCAATGCAAAGGTTAATTCATTCAACAAACATTTATATTGAGAAGCTACTATGTGGCAGCCAGTAGTGTGAGTTGTAGGGACATAGTGGTGAGCAAGACAGACAAGGTCCCTGCACTCAGAGAGTTTACATTCTAATGGAGACGTAGAAAAATAAACAAGCAAGCAAAAGATGTACAGACTGTAGTTGTATGATAATAAAAATAGACAGTGGCAAAGAGTAAATGGGAGAGAATGACCAGTTAAGGTCTTACTGAGGAGATGACATGTGAGGTTAGACCTGACAGATGAAAGTGAGACAAGAAATAAAAGCACATAGGCAGTGGAGGGGGTTGCTGGGTTAAGGGAAAGTTATGGTGGGGAAACAGTAAACCAAAGGACCAAAGGCAGGAAAACGTTTGATGTGTTCAAGGACAAAATGAAAAGCATGGATACTAGAACTTAATAAGAAACAGACAAAATGATACGAATGAGGTTGAAGGAAGGGTAGGTGCCAGATAATGCACGATTTTATTTTATTCTAAGAGCAACAGAGAGCCACTGAAATGTTTTAGGTATGGAGTGGTATGGCTTGATTTATGTTCTTAAAGCTCACTTTTTCAGCTATACAAAGAAAAAATTAGAAAGGAGAAAGAGAAAGAGTACGAACAGAAAGAAGAGTTAGGCAACTATTTCAGGATACTAGGCGAGATATTATAGTGGCTTAGATAATGGTGGTAGCCATGACGAGAAAATAAAGTGGGAAGGGAAGTTTTCAGGCAATCCAATCTGCTCTTCTATCTTTTCCTGCCACACATAATATAACTTCATTTTCATCTATTCTCTCATCCTTTCTAGTATCAAGGAATGTCTCTTCTGTAAAACAAACTTCTCAGGAAACAGCAAGAATCATCTATTCATTAAGCGTTTCTTGAACCTCTTAACTTGGCACAGTCACTTACCTGTGCCACCAGAGTCATGTGTGCAAATTTCTTTTTTTTTTTTTTTGAGACAGAGTCTTGCTCTGTCGCCCAGGCTGGAGTGCAGTGGCGCAATCTCGGCTCACTGCAAGCTCTGCCTCCCGGGTTCATGCCATTCTCCTGCCTCAGCCTCCCAAGTAGCTGGGACTACAGGCGCCCGTCACCACGCCCGGCTAATTTTTTGTATTTTTAGTAGAGATGGGGTTTCACCATGTTAGCCAGGATGGTCTCGATTTCCTGACCTCGTGATCCACCCGCCTTGGCCTCCCAAAGTGCTAGGATTACAGGCATGAGCCACCACGCCCGGCCTTGTGCAAATTTCTATGAAAGCGTTCGACACATTATGTTTTACATATGTTCACTTGGCTTTCTGTTAGTCCATAGCCTTCGTGAGGTAAGTGATTATGTCTTATTCATCTACAAAACACAGTGCCTGACTCAGTATATGTCATGTAGTAAGTACTTAATTATTAATTATTCTTGAATTGAAGGAATGAGTATTAAATTTTACCTAAAGCATCTATGGAGATACTCATTTATCTTCATCTATTGATGTTATATATAAATAGCTTGTCTGGGAAATTGCTCTGTATTTCTGAAATAAGCCCAATATAGTTATGATAGATTATTTCCAGTAATATCAAATTTAATCTACTTATATTTTTCATCTATATTTATAAGTAAATTTGGTGTATCTTGTTAACATTTTGTCACCAGGGTTATGCTGACTGTAACATATATTGAGTAGGTATACAGACAGGGTTCTTAATTTCAAGCAGCAGGAAATGATTGTGGTTAATGTAAACAAAGATGGAGTTTATTGGAAGAATGACAGATATTTCATAGAATTCATAGAAAGATCAAAGACCTAGGATCAGTATGAATGCAAGAACCACAGGAGGATAGGGCTCAGCACTACAGCCTACCTCATGCCATTGAAACCCTCTGTTGAGTACACTACTGGAATTGCTACCGTTAGATACTTGATATTGCAGTCAACATCCATGGTAAGGAAGTCTTCCCCATTCCTGCTTCTTTATTTTAGATTCCAAGCTCCTGATCAGAGAATCTGATAAATTTCGCCTAGGTCATGGACCTAGGCTTGGAGGCAGAGATAACGAGTATCTGGCCTTTTTAGATCCTGTAGTGGAAGCCAAGCCCTGCCTTCTCTCCATACTCATACTCTGAGGAAATCCTCAAACATAAAAAGGAGGTTCTCATGCTGGACAGCCACAAAACATACTCAAGAAACTCTTCCAAAAATGGCAAACAAAAACTGAAGTCCACTTCAGGAGATTATAATCGTTTTGATGATCTTGACTAGACTACATTGTGTGGGAATTTGTCTGTAAACTTGCAAAGAGAATTTCCTGGGGAAAATTCTTCTGTACTTATGATTTAGTTTAGTCTATGGTTATAGCTCTTCTCATGTTGTCTATAATGTTTTCTTATAAATTATTTTCTAAATGTACTAAAATAAAATACAAGGACACAATATGAAATGCCAACCATTTAGATATATAGAGAGTAAAAAAGTGACAGTTTCTTAGACTTTTCCTGACTTCTAGCAACCATTTCTCTATGTAGTTACATAGAGAATATGTGTATACATCCACTAAATATATTTTGTATTTACAAAAATAGCATTACCTCAGGCTAGAGAATGGAAGATGAAAAAAATAGCATTATCTTAAACATTTTACTCTGATTTCACCTAATTAGAAAGCAAAGTCACCTTTCTATGTTATTATGGAGACAACACATTTTTAAGGGCTTTATTATAGTCTATTGTATGGGTTATAATACACTTAGCCAATAGTGTCTTGATGGACACTTAGATTTCCAATTTCCTGACATTACATACTATAATGCAATGAATATTCCTGTACTCATATTTCCGTGTTCTTAATCTACTCGATAATTAGAGGCTGTGATGGTATGTTAAGTTTTACAATTCTATTTCTGTCCATTTCTCTTTTATTTTTAACATCATCATCATATGCTGAATGAATTTTGATGTTACCTTTTAGTGCATAAATTGCATGACTAAAATATCTTCATTGTTTGTTTTTAATCAGTATAAACTTATTTTGCCCCATTAAATTTTTGTTCTTAAATTATACTTTATCTGACACCAGTATTGACATCAGTCTTAATTTTGAATGTGATCGTCATATGTATATTCAGTCATCCATTTATTTTTGTCATTTCTAGATGGTCAAGCTTTAGGAATATCTCCAACACATGTTTGGATGGGCCATCCCCTTGGTTCTGTATGAGAATTCTCCTCCTCCATCATCTTGTTTCCCTTTGCATTGAAAGGAAAGATCAGGTGAGTATAACAGCACCCTTCTCAAAAGAAATCTGTAAGGAGTAGACATGTCACTTCTCAATATTTAGATATGCCAAAATAAAAGATTTTAAAAATCAGTTGGCCAAATAATTGGAAGAAATAACAGTAACATAGATTGAATCTAATCGGGCTTGGTGCTTTAATAATTCCTTTCCTTCCCACAGGTGAGGTCACAGATGCCTCACAAAAGGCTACTGCTTCTATATTGTAACACATAAAGGTAATATTTCCTGGAATTATCCTCCTATCCGATGTCTCAGAATGGTTCTTCCATCTTGGCAGCCTTCTGATTGCAGTCATATTGCTTAACTCCTGCTTTTTACCTCTTTTCCCTGCTCTTTTGATGAGGCTCTTTATATGAATTCTTCAGTTCTTCAAACCAGCTTTGTTACCATGGCTCCAGGATTTGCAGGCCATAGGCTAGACCTACCCTTGCCCCATGCCAAGCCACAGCTTAAAGGAGGCTCCTTGGATCTATGATCTTCAGCATAAAGATTATCCAAGGTAGCAAAAATTCTGAAGTTTATATATGTATGCAAGAGATTTGAAAAAGGAAATAACTATTTGTCTCTCCTGCTTTCTGATCCAGGCAGGACTAATACTAACTATGCCACTAGACTAGAATACAAAAATGGCTCCTCTACCCACTTGGGACCTAGAACATACGAAGGTTCATATTTAGCCATTATTCAGTACTATTCCTAAACTTCTCCATCATCTGGATGCTATTTTATAATTTGTGAGCATTTTTGGCTCCTTTGATAGGCTGAAAGTGCCTGCATCATATCCCTCTTTCTATTCCTTATGTGACCTAGTAGTGTTTTACATGTATAGGCACTCAATAATTGTGTAAAATAAAGAAGAAAATAATAAAACAAATTGTGGGAAAAGAGAAAGAGAACTAATAGTAGTGGTAAAGATGACTTCAGGAATTGTGTTTACATAAAATTGGGATGTGGTAAATTGAATGAAGACTTGTCTAGGTTGGTTGGGTTTTGTAGTAATAGAAAAAAGTAATTATACATATCTGCAATATGCTTGTAACCTTAGTTACTTTAGACTCTACCAATGAGGTGGCACGGAATGTGTGGCCTAAGAGAGTCACAATAATAGTAAAATCTAATCAGTCTCCCAGCCTCTAACAGCTGAGTCTCTGGAATCCAATCCTCCTTCCAATCCCTCTATTCCGGTTCAAGAGGGTGGGACAGGTTCAAAGAGGAACTCACATGGTTTATGAATAGCTAGTGATCATTTTCCTCTTCCTATGGCCTTTGTGATCTCTGCCTTTCCTGCTCCAGACCTGTTCCCTAATGGCAACTACTGCTTCCATAATACCTCTGGATGTCAGCCACAATGTTGTAGCCTTGGCTGCCTTTCCATTCCATTTCAGTACTCCTTTCTGCTCTTATTTGTATATCAATGTATTTCTAAGCCACTAATAGTACTGCCTTGTGCTTTCAAGTTCTTAGGATCACTCTAATGCTAAAACTCTTTCATTTGACCTATTATCTGTCATAGCCCTGCACCAACATCCTGACCCTCAGCATCCAACACAGCACAGATCCATATGTGCTTTCCTAAACCACCATTTACCCCTCTAACACAGATCACATTTTTCTGATCAAACTAGTTTACTTCACCAACATGCCACCTCAAAGCTAGTTTCTTCCCATCTATTCAACTGAATTCTTGTTCAAGGGAGGGTTCTTATTCTTCCAAAACTTGGGGAGATGTCTTAGTGCTGTGGGCGGATATCAATTTCAATTTATCCAGTATTATAGCTCACATCAGAGTCCTCAACCCCCCATATAAATAAACCCCTGATGTGTTTTCCCTGTTGGGCATCTAGATATGCCTGGACATGTTGGAATCCACAGTGGGTACTACCACAACTTAGCCTCTCACTCTAGGACTCCTGCCATACTTGAATAGCTTTTATAATTAAAAAATAACAAACAAACCTGTGAGAACAAAATGAGAGCAAGCATGCGAAAGTGCTTTGCAAATGCAGTGTATTATAATAAGTTCCTTATTGTTTGTTTAGTAGAAATTCATGTCCATGAGGGAACTGAAGGCATCAAATTGGGAAGATTAAAAAACTAAAAGACTAGAATGATTAACTGAGGGAGAAATCAAGTTGATAAACACATGGAAAGCAATTCAAAATCTATGCACAGAATAGAGTTTCTGTGGGCCTATTTGAATGCAAGACACACTTGTCAAATGAACAGATGCAAAAGTTGGAAGATGGTTCTGGAAAACTTAAAAAGTAGTAATACTTGGTCTATAGACTTTAGGCAACATGAACCTAAGTGAAGCTGTACAGTATGGAGTATTACAAAGCTTGACTCCAGAGGTCAACTGCTTGGTTTGAAATCTCAGTCTTACCACTTATGAGCTCTAGATGAATTTTGACAAATTACTTAGTTTCTCATCTGTAATAAATTACAGATATATGTGTCATCTCCCCCATAGGTTGCTTTTTCTTCTTTTTTTTTTCTTTTCTTTTTTTTTTTTTTTTTTTTTGCAAGTACAGTGGTCCTTCAGTATCCATGGGGGATTGGTTCCAGGTCCTCTCTCAGATGCCAAAATCCATGCATGCTAAAGTCCGTTATATAAAATGGTATAGTACTTATATATAATCTACATACATCCTCCTATATACTTCAAGTTATCTCTAGATTACTTATAATATCTAATACACTGTAAATGCTATGTAAATAGCTATTTTACTGTATTGTTTAGTGAATAATGTCTGTACGCTACAGACACAACCATCCTTTTTTCCCAGTATTTTCCATCTGTGGTTGGTTGGATCCAACCACAGATGCAGAATCATGGATACAGATTGCCAACTGTATTATATGAGTCAATACATATAAAACAATATCAGGTCAGGCACATAGCAAGTGCTCGATATAAATAAATTTTACAACTCATCTACTCATGCCATTGTATTTCATAAAAACTAATTGAAGAGGACTATAGCTTACCTAAATTTTCAATAAAGCAGAAATTTAGGGACTTGTATTTTTCAGTTAAATAGTTTGGTGAATGTTACCTGTAATTGAATTGAAAATTACTTTTTTTCTTTAGGTTTAAGCAAAAGTTAGAGAGTAGTCCAGAATATTCAAGTGGCTTAAACAATGCACATTATACACAACTAGGTCATTCATCCTTTTGCTCACAATATGGGCAAAAGGACACACTATCACAGAATAAGATCAAGAAATAACAGTTGATATTAAAATGATTAAAAATCTCATTTACCCAAAATGACTGCTATAAATGGAGATTACTCTCACAATTGCTATAGAAAACTATTAATATTCATGTGCACATACAGTTTTATTTACAAATACCAGATAGTTTACAGTGTACTTCATTTTAAACAACTGCCATAAATGAAAATCACTTTTGTTACTACTATAGAGAGCTGCATTAATAATCATATGTAGATACAGTTGAAGTTCTGAATATTAGTGAGTGTAACAAGTAATTTGTCCTAAAGTACATCCTTATAAAAGGAAATTACTTTCACAACCATTTGAGAGCTTACTTACCTAATCAAACATAGATACAGTTTTTGTTACTAATATTAGTTTATTGTGTAATATTTGAAAGTAATTGTACTCTAAAAACATTTATTTTTGACAATTTTTGAAAACCAAATGCTTAACATAAGCCACAAAATGTTTGCACCATAACAAGACTTTCAAAATGCTGTTTACTAAAACATGAATTTGAAGCAATAATTTTTTTTTAATGATCAGATACCAGCAATGCTTTTATTCTCTCCCAGAAAGGCATGGGGGTGAGTCAATAACATTTCCATTGGTCTAAAAGCAGGGCTGTCTGCCAGAATCTGGACTCATAAGCAGCCTGTTGGCCATATTTAGCAGAGGAGCCTGCAGTTGATTAGCTATGCTCTGATGATAAATATCCTATCATTGCCATCAAGGAAAATCACTACAGTAGAGAGAACTTGTAAGACTATACTGTAATTCATGTTAACCAAGCTAGAATATGTACATGTGAAAACCCTTAATATGAAGATCTGGTTTAGTGACATATATCCTCATGGAATTTCGTTAATAGCTGATCCTCACTGCAGTTAACTCAGCCATTTTGAGGGTGATTATCCAGTTTCTGGGTTATCCATGTCCTGCATTTTCTCCTACCACTTCCTTTGGCTGACATCCCTTTGACCATTTCACTGTTCATTAGCACCTACAAAGGATAACTGAAAGCAGATGAATGCAAGCCACTCAATTATGCTTCTCATTAGCAGCTCTATGGAAGGGTTCTGTCCAGGAGGTGGTTGCGACTATTAGGTAAAATTAGGTTTCTGGATTATCAGCAGGTTTCAATTATCCACGTTGTTTCTGTCCCTCATGACCCTGCATAATCCAGAGTTGGCCACATATACATTATTTGCCTTGCCATATGGAGAAAAGAGTGGGTCTTTAATAGGAAAATTAAAGATACTGGCTCTCTGTTATGCTGTTTCTGTTGAGAATTTTCTCCCTAGTTCCTCTATTGTATAGCTAACTAAAAAGTACATGAGGCTCTGAGAATCCACATTAATTATTCATTTAATTATTATTGTAATCGGTAAAACCCTGAAAGTAATCTTATGGACATGTGGATATTTCACCACATTTCTCACATTTGAAGAGTTTTATGTGAGAGTTTAAAATACTTATTTTGGCAACTCATTACTTATACAAATCTCAATAAGAAATATTGTTGTCAGGAAGTGCCAGTAATAATGCTGTTGGAAGTTTATTCTGTGATGCATGAACAAGGGTGAGTCTCCAGGGAAAATAAGACTTGTATATCTTTCTAAATCGTGAAATCCTTTAGTCTATTGTAATCTTTGTTGTTCCATGCATTCAAACATTTGTATTATAACAGTATTAACATTTTAGAAAATAGGGATAATTATAATCCCACCAGTGATAATCAGTTTCTATTTTGTGTTATATGCTTGTAGAACTTTTCTGTTCATAAACAGATTAACCCATCACCCTCCAAGAGGGGTCACATGTAATGCTGGGTTTTTTTTGTTTGTTTTCTTTTTTGTTTGTTTTGTTTGAGACAGGGTCTCACTGTCACCCAGGCTGGAGTGCAGTGGCACGATCATAGGCACTGCAGCCTCCAACTCCTGGGCTGAGGCGGGAGGCTGAAACTCCCACCTCAGCCTCCCAAGTAACTGGGACTACAGGCATGCACCAACACACCGGGATATACATATATATGTGTGTGTGTGTGTGTGTGTGTGTGTATATGTGTGTGTGTGTGTGTGTGTGTGTGTGTGTGTGTGTGTGTGTGTATATATATATAGTCTTGCTATGTGGCCCAGGCTGGTCTCAAACTCCTGAGCTCAAGCAATCCTCCCATCTTGGCCTCACAAGGTGCAAGGATTACAGGTGTGAGCCACCAGCCTGGCCTGTAATGCTGTTCTCTAACTTCTTTTTTTTCTGTCAATATGATGAAAAAAATGTAGGTAGGTTTTTTGTGCTAATATATACACTTCTACAACATCCTTTCAATTGACTCTCTAGTATTCCATTGTATGAGCGTGCCATAATTTACTTAAATACTTTAGGCTTGGCTATCTAAATTGTTTCCAATTTGAGTTACAATAGCCACGAGAAACACTCTAGGATATAAACCTGCACATTCTTAATATTCTTGTTCAAAGGATATGGATGTGTCACCAAGCACATTTTTTGCTTGCCAAATGCCATCCCTAATTTTAGCCATACTGAGATTGTACAGATTCGTTATGAGTGAAAACAGCAACATACTTCTTATGATTTAACACTCAGGATACAGTGTAACTTCTGAAAGGGGTTTAGTTTAATATGGTACAGCTAATTGTCACACTGATCTTGTTTTCATTATAATTTCTATTTTATGCACATATAGATATTTAATCTTTACAGTTTACTGATATCAATTTAAGAGGACAGCTTGGCACCAAGAATACTTAATTTCTCTCAGTGAATTATCACAATAAAACCCTAACTGAATTTATTTTAATGAGCACAATCTACAATGATAATTTTATTATTTCTTCGATATACCATTTGCACAGCTTTCTGTATGTCAATTACAACTCGAGTGTTCTTTTTTTAAAATCCCATTGGCTGTACCTTAAAAATATATCCTCCATCTGACCAGTTCTTAAAACCTCCACTACTGGCCAGGCACGGTGGCTCATGCCTGTAATCCCAGCACTTTGGGAGGCTGAAGCAGGTGGATCACGAGGTCAGGAGTTCAAGACCAGCCTGGCCAATTGGTGAAACTCTGTCTCTGCTAAAAATACAAAAATTAGCCAGGTGTGGTGGCGGGCACCTATAATCCTAGCTACTCAGGAGGCTGAGGCAGGAGAATTGCTTGAACCCGGGAGGCGGAGGTTGCAGTGAGCCGAGATCGCGCCATTGCACTCCAGCCTGGGCCACGAGAACGAAACTCTGCCTCCGGAAAAAAAAAAAAAAAAAAAGAATTACTTGGTAATCTTCTACCACAACAACTTCTCCCCTTCTATTTGGTCTTCTTTCTTGTTTATGCCTCGGGCCTGCCAGTGGCAGTCAGTGACACCCACATGCATTCCTTCACCCCAAAAGTTTGATTGAAACTGCCATAGTCAGAAATGAATTATTGACCTGCAAGGAATTAGACATGGTGAGTCAACTGGTTATTTTCTTAGAAATATGTCCAATTCGGCCGGGCGCGGTGGCTCACGCCTGTAATCCCAGCACTTTGGGAGGTCGAGGCGGGTGGATCATGAGGTCAGGAGATCGAGACCATCCTGGCTAACAAGGTGAAACCCCGTCTCTACTAAAAATACAAAAAATTAGCCGGGCGCGGTGGCAGGCGCCTGTAGTCCCAGCTACTCAGGAGGCTGAGGCAGGAGAATGGCGTGAACCCGGGAAGCGGAGCTTGCAGTGAGCCAAGATTGCGCCACTGCAGTCCGCAGTCCGGCCTGGGCGACAGAGCGAGACTCTGTCTCAAAAAAAAAAAAAAAAAAAAGAAATATGTCCAATTCTAGTCAGAACCAGTGTTATTTGGCTTAAATCCTTCCATCACTGATCTGTAAGATGTCCAAATATCTAAGATGATTCTGGGTTCCCTTGATTTCTCAATTCTGAGACGTTGGCTTACTGTGGAACAATGCTTTAGGCTATCCCTGGTGGTCTCAAGCAAAATGGAATTTCTTTATCTACTGAACAGCCTGACTGTTCAGGTAAGAGGAATTTAATTGACTTACCTATTTAGGAGATTCTGCTTTGAGATGAGCTATGGAAAAATATAGCTCCAATAGGAACTTTTCACTTTTCTCTCCTCAAAACTCTGTTTTTCTCCTAGTCCAGCCATGCTCATGGGGGTTTTAAGCGGATTAATTAGTGCTTAAAAAGTACCTTTATAAATGAAAAGCAGCTAAGTACAAAGATAATCTTTTAAACTCTAGATGTTTGCCTTTTTTATTCATATTACAGTTCTAATTTCATACTTTTTCCATAATGTCACCAGATTGTAGGTGAGGTCCCAAAACAGACAGTTACTAGGACTAAAACTGTTGTATGACCCAATATGCAAAATAGTTCTGGGAAAAGAATGCCGAAATTGACTTGATTGTAGCAACGGCCTATTCTTTTAAAAGCATTCTTGTTTATTCGATGTCATAACAGTTTTTCAGGGATTTGGAAATGAGAAAACTTGTATTTGGTGTAGTGCAAAAAAGCTATTTATGTAACAGTCATCACAGATTAGCTGTAATGCCATAAGAAAGTTTGTTTCAAAACTCAGCCTTGGAATTTGAGTTTAGCAATAGGTCAGATTAATTTTCATGAAAATCTTGGTATTGTAAGTCCTCGTTCTCCTTCCTTAAACTTTTCATTACATTTTTCACAAATAAAGCTTGGTGGGTTTTTTCAAGACATTTCTCTTCCCAGACTGATTAAAAAAAATTCATTTGGATTTATAACCAAGTGTCTAGGTGAGAAACAAATCAAAATATTAAACCTACAGGCAATGCAGCAATACCATTGCATTGTAATGATTTTCTATTCTATTTCACCTTTCCCAAGTATCTTGCAAAAAAAAAAAAAAAAAAAGCAAAAGCTATAATAATAATATGAGCTGAAGCTACCAAGTTCTGAAATAGGCAGGTTACTGAAAGGTGGCTCAGAGAGTATGTGGGTGTATCATTGTTTCTAACTTTGAACAAGTTTCAACTTTTGTAGCTACTCTATAATTAGTACACAGACTATAATAAAGGAAGATTTGTTTGCTGCATCTACCTGAACAGAATGAGGATCTACTGTTGTCCATAATAAAGATAATGATTACTTAATAGTCTTCTCAGCTAGCTCTATGCATTACAATATTAAGGAAGCCAAAAATTTAACTGCTCTGTCATATGAATGTATTAATTTTGTAAACATTTTTCTTTGGAGATAATCTTTTGTCCTTTTAGGAATTCTATCAGTATAGTCTCTGAAAAATCAAGTGAAGAAAATTGATATAATATAAGCAAATGAAAATATATACATATATTATTCTGATGTAGATATCTAATGAGTTGAACATTTATTCTGTAAAGTGTCTTATGAATATATGTCTTCAGTAATAAATATGTCAGATGCATTTAGTCAGTTAAAGGAATAAGAGTGAATATATGAGAAGAGCTGGAATGCTTGGCAAACTATTTTTTAAGGAAAAATAGAGAATAATTAACTATGATATTCAATAGGTAAACTAAATGGCTACCCTCTAGGGAAAAAAAGCATTTACTTCTATAAAAACAATAGAATTCTCACATTCTTTGGTGATTATATATTAAATTCAGTATCTAAAGGGTGAGCATGTGCCACTTTAGCTGCGGCTTATAAAGTATTTAAGAGGTGGAAAGCTAACAGTAAAAATAACTGACCAACTTTCAGTGTGTACAAAAGGTTAACAGGGCGATGGTATAGCCCTATGTTTGACTGGTGGTGTTGCAGTTTCATCAATTTATTAACAACTAGAAGAGGGATGAGCATAAGACCGAGTTGAAATGAGGTGGGAATTATAAAACACTCCTGGGGAACTGAGCAAATGTTATCATTGGGCAACAGATGAACAATGACAGATATAATTTAATATCTCTGTGTACAAGTCAATGCACGTTGGAAAAAATTAAACTGCTGCATACTCTGAAAGGTTCTGAATTAGCACATCTTGAGGGAGGTAAAAACAAAACAAAACAACAACAACAGCCTTAAATGCTGACCACAGACAGCTCAGTGAGATTGTCTGCTCAATGTTCAGCTGTGGTCAAATACCAAGCAAAGTATTAAAACTGCCATGACACAAGTGAAGAATTATTCAAAAGATATAATGATATACCACATACATCATACATCTAAGCTTTGTGATCACAACACACACACACACACACAATACATACATATATGCATAAAAGTAGTCATTTGGCCTTGTTTAGAGCAAACAAATGTTTTTCAACTTTATTTTCATGTCATGAAATGCAATTAAGGATATAGATAATATTTCACTGTCGCTTAGTGTCACAAAATAAAACAGGAAAAGAAAATATACAAAACCACAGTTGTTTGTCATAAGTAGATAAGGAAGAGAATATCTAATCATAATGGAAGGCTCTACAAGATAGTGGCTATGAGCATGGGTTTGACATCAGACACACCTAAATTCCAATCCCAACTCATCTATCAAAAAGCAATCCCTGCCTCATGAGATTAACCCATTGTGTAGTAGGTAGTAAGTTTTCCCCATGAGTTTAAAATAATATAAATTTCCTGCCATATGTATTCTGATAGTTTTTATAGAACTCAGTAGGTTCTGTTGGATTGCTTATAAGTTTCTTTAATAAATGTTTGTGCCAAAATAAAACATGCATCTTAAAAGTACACAAATCACAAGCATACAGCTCGATGAAATTTCACAGAATGAAAACATCTTGTAACCATCGCCCAACGCAAGAAATAGAGTTACTCAAACTCAAAAAGCCTCCCTCATTCCCCTTCCAACTCATTATTCCCCCTGCTTTCCCAAGGTTTTCACTATTTATCACAGATAAGTTTTGTGGTTCTGAACTTTATATAAATGTAAAAAGAGTATGTAGCCTTATATGTCCAACAGCTTTCACTTAACATGGTGTTTGTGAGATTCATCCATGTTGTTGCCCATGGTAGTAGTTTGTTCATTTTCATAGCTAAGTATTCAAGTTGTCTGAATATACCTCAGTTTATGTATCTGTTCTGTGTAAATAAATATTTTATTTTTTCTGGCTCTGGTATAATGCTTCTGAGATGCCCAAGTTTCTTGGTGAATATATGTACTCATTTTGTGAGATTTGGAATTACTGGGTCATAATTATTTAGCATATATTTAGATTTAATCAAAACAGACAAGTAGTTTTCCAAAGTGGTTTTACCCGTTTACACTTCCACCAGTACTGTGTAAGAATTCCAGTTACTTTAAATCTGTGATGGTTGATTTTAGGTGTTAACTTGATTGAATTAAGGAATATCTAGAGAACTGGTAAAGCATTATTTTGGAGTGAGTCTGTGAGGGTGTTTCCAGAGGAAATTGGTGTGAGTCTACATGCACTAAATGGGAAAGATCTGCCTTCAATGTGGGTAGGCACCATCCAATGGGCTGGAGGCCTAGTATATTAGTCCATTCTCATGCTGCTAATAAAGACATACCCGAGACTGGGTAATTTGTAAAAGAAAGAGGTTTAATTGACTCACAGTTCAGCATGGCTTGGGAGGCCTCAGGAAACTTACAATCATGGTGAAAGTGGAAGCAAACACGTCCTTCCTCACATGGCAGCAGCAAGGAGAAGTGCTGAGCAAAAGGGGGAAAGTCCCTTATAAAACCATCAGATGTCATGAGAACTCACTCACTATCATAAGAACAGCATGAGGGTAACTGTCCCATGATTAAATTACCTCCCACCAGGTCCCTCCCATGACATATGGGGATTATGGGAACTACAATTCAAGATGAGATTTGAGTGGGGACACAGCCAAACCATATCACTTGGATAGAACAAAAAGAGAGGAAAAGCAAATTGATCTCTCTCTCTCAATCCTGGATCTGGAATACACTCTCTTCTTCCCCTGTCCTTGGACATCAGAACTCCAAGCCCTTTGGCCTTTGAACTACAAGACTTACACCTGAGTTCTCATTCTTCAGACTTGGACTCAGCCATGCTACCAGCATCCCAGGGTCTTCAGCTTTCAGATGGCCTGTCATGGAACTTCTCAGCTTCCATAACCCTGTGAGCTGATTTGACTAACAAAACCCCACTCATATCTGTCTCTCTCTCTCTCTCTCTTGATATATATATATATATCTCTCTCAAGAGACACAGAGAGAGAAATACATATAGATATATAGAGACAATAAAATGTATATATATATATTTATATATAGAGAAAATAATATGTATATATATAATAGGTAGATGTATATGTATGTATATATATTTTATTGGTTCTGTCTTATTAGAGAACCCTAATATAACATCCTAATCGACACTTAATTTGGAAAGTTTTTTTTAAAAAATTTCATCATTCTGGGAGAAAATATTTGAAACTATGCATCTGACAGGGGATTAATATCCAGAATTTACAAGAAACTCAAACAATTCAACAATAAAAAGTAATCCCTTAAAAAGTGGGAAAAGGATATGAATAGACATTTTTCAAAGAATACATACAACTGGCATATGAAAAAAATGCTCAACATGATTAATCATCAGAAAAATGCAAATTTAAACCACAATGAGATATTATCTTACACCAGTCAGAATGGCTATTATTACAAAGATAAAAAATAACTTGTTGCCACAGATGTGAAGAAAAGGAAACTCACATACTGTTGGTAGGAATGTAAAGTAGCACAACCTCTATGAAAACACAGTATGGAGATTTCTAAAAGAAGTAAAAATAGATGTAGCAATTTGATGTAGCAATCCCACTACTGAGTATCTATCCAAAGTTAAATAAATTATATAAATATATATATAAATTATATCAAAAAGATTCCTGCACACATATGTTAATCACAACACTATTCACAATAGTGATGATATGGAATCAACCTAAGTATTAACCAACAGAAGACTGGATAAAGAAAATGTGTCATATATACAAAATGGAGTACTATTCAACCATAAAAAAGAATGAAATCATGTCATTCGCAGCAATGTGGACGGACCTGGTGGCCATTATCTTAAGTGAAACAAGTCAGACACAGAAAGACAAATATCACATGTTCTTATAAGTAGGAGCAAAATAATGTGTACACATGGACTTAGAGTGTGGAATAATAAACAAATGGAGACTCTGAAGAGTGAGTGGGGCAGGAAAGGGGTGGATAATGAGAGATTACTTAATGCATACAACGTGCGTTATTTGGTGATGGCTAACCTAAAAGCCCTGACTTCACCACTAGGCAATTTATGCATGTAACACAATTACACTTGTACCCTATAAATTTATACACTTAAAAAATAAATTATTTTAATTCCAGAAAGGAAAAGTGGAGCTTAAAAAACAATAAAAGGGAGTGCCCATCCCACTTGAAATGTTGCTAGAGTTCATAGATCTAGCTGCTGCGTTCCTAAGCAAGCTAGGGGCTGCCATGCACCAAAGCGGGAATCCAGGAGGCAGGCAGCTGTGCAATTAACGCATGTACTTAAAACTCCCAAACCTGCAGATGCCATGCACAAGAACCACCTTTAAGAGATTCCAGACCAGAGTAGCAATGTTACCACCAGCTTCATGTGGGGATAGGATTCCAGCAAGACTTCTGAACTACTGGCAGGCATCGGGGTCTCTGCCCTGGAGAAGGAGGAGGCAGACAGTGAGAATATCCCCAAGGAACTGCTCTAAAACCTGGGCCAATCACACAGCCACCCAAGGAAATGGCTGAATAGCAAAAGGAATGACAAAGACTGTGATCATCAACAGGCCTAAACTAAATGGAGAGAACTTTCCAGGTGTTTCATGGGACTCCCTTCCAGATGAGCTGCTCTTGGGGATATTTTCCTGTCTGCACCTCACTGAGCTGCTAAAGGCCTCCGATGTTTTAAGAGATGGTACTGCCCTAGCATTTGTTGAGTCTCTGTGGCAGACTTTATACCTCACAGGTAAAAATCTGAAGCCAGATGTGATTAGTGTGGGCCGGTTGCCTTCCACTGCCAACAATCATTTATGACCAACCATTGGTTGAACATTTCAGCCCTCTGCATATACAGCAGAGGGATGTGTTGAACTCAGTTATAGATGTGTCTGCCCTACATGGCATTCTGTCTCAGGGCTCCAAGCTGCAGAATCTAAGCTTTCTGGAAGACCTATGGCTTTCAGAACCCATTTTCAATAATCTTGCACAGAACTCAAATTTAGTGCAACTGGGTGTTCTGGGTTCTCCTAATCCAGCTGTTCCAGACTTGATGAGCTAAATCTCTGCTGGTGATATGACTTCACTGAAAAAACATGTGCAAGTGGCTGTTGCGCATTTGTCAGAGAGCATCACCCAGCTGAATCTCAGTGGCTGCCGAAAGAATATCCTGAAATCCAATGTCTCTACTTTAGTTAGAAGATCCTCCAATGAGGGTCTAGATGTCCACCTAAACGTAAGTGATAATGTCATGCTAAAGCTAAAGAATGACTGCTTTCAGATATTTTCCAGCTCAACTACCTCCAATACGTATCACGCAGTCGGTGCTATGATATACCCAAAACTTTACTTGAACTCGAAGCAATTCCCACTCTAAAAACACTACAAGTCTTTGGAATCCTGCCAGACAGCACCCTTCAACTGTTAAAGGAAGCCCTTCCTCATCTACAGATTAATTGCTCCAAGTTAACTACAACTGCCAGGCCAACTATTGGCAACAAAAAGAATTAGGAGATATGGGACATCAAATGCTGACTGACATTGCAAAAGTCCAATTGTCTATAAAGTATTTATTGCAAGATGGTGTCTCCCTTTTCTTTGGGACAGGGAAAATAGGCAGGAAGCCCAATTGCTGGAGTGCTTGGCTAGTTTTATTCTCGGTTTTCTCTTTGCCTTCATTCCAGGAGTATTAAGCAATGATTTAAGAGGGAAAACAATGTGCTTTTCTGAAATGACTGTAAAGCTTCTATCACTGCTTTGCCCTTAAGGTAAAGCCTTTCAAAAAGGCTTTTTGAAATGTTGGGAGAGTGAGCCTATAATTTCAAGATACCTTAAAGAGCAAAATTTGAGCCACCTCTTCCAAGTGCCCTTCTTATTAAGTCTATTCAGAATCAAGCTTAAAAATTACCACCAGCAAACAATCTTCATAGCCTATATGGTAACTTTTATCTATTTAATTTTATAGTATTGCCTTATAAGACAGTTTGGAAGAACAATACGCTATTTTATTGTGAGCTGAACAGAAAGAGAATCATAGGATAGTAGCATTTGAGGCAATTTCTTCTGGAAATAGGAAAAAAATGCATTTTAATTTTGCCTTTAGATTTGAAATTAGGTTAGAGAAACAAATAGCCCCATGTAATTCACCTTAAAACATAAAAATAAATATATAAATAAATAAATAAACAACAAAAGGTAAAGAATTGGTATAGGATTTGAAAGCTCAAGAGACAATTTTCTATGACAGGTTAATTTGAGGTATCCTTTAACGCTTACTAAGGTACTGTTTCCAGAATTCTAAATTAGGTGAAGAAATATAATTCTGGTTTTCTAACTTTGTAATCAAATTATATTAACAGGGGTTCTTTAGCTTTTAAAATGACTTCCTTTGTTTTAGAAAGGTAGTATTAACCCAGTCTCTATTCTTGAAAAGTTTGATGGAAGAATTCAGAACTGTAGTTGCCTGCTGTTTTCCTTTAGCACTGGGTTTCTTGAGGTTACTTGTATATTAATTTGGAATCAAGTATTTTAAATTGTCTTGTTTTAATGGTCTCTCACAATAATTATTCAAAACTATTCATTTTATAGGGTAATGGGGCCTAAAATTCCCTAAGAGGAACTGCATGTTCCCTTCAATTGAAAATAAACACTAGAAGCCTGAGCACGGTGGTTCATGCCTATAATTCCAGCACTTTGGGAGGCCGAGGCAGGCAGATCACTTGAGGTCAGGAGTTCGAGACCAGCCTGGTCAATATGGCAAAACCCCATCTCTACTAAAATTACAAAAATTAGCCAGTCGTGGTACCACACACCTGTAATTCCAGCTACTAGGGAGGCTGAGGCAGGAGAATTGCTTGAACCCAGAGGGCAGAGGCTGCAGTGAGCCGAGATTGCACCGCTACACTCCAGCCTGGGTAACAGAGCCAGACTCTAAAAAAGAAAAAAAAAACTAGAAGAAGGTATATAGGTATATGTTCCATGCAGTTTCAGCAGTAAGCACTACTTTCACCTATGTAAGAGTTAAGATTCAGGTACTGAACGTTTTGATAGCATCAGTGATTTTTTTTTAAACTGGTACATAGAAGTAAAAAGATTATATTCTGCTTTTTAAAAATAACAAAAAAAACTAGTTTAAATTGATGAACTCCTCATGTGTTCAAAATGCAACAAAAAAAGCCAAAACTCATCATTCCTATTAACATTAACTGTTTTTTTAAATCAAAAAAATTTAATGTTAGGAACAATAGTATGAAATGCCCTTATCTGCTCAGACCTAAGTAGTGTTACACAGGAAATCATCAAGCTTCAATTTCTTAGTAGTTAAAAAATGCTAAATTCTACTTGAAATTATTGTTTACAGATTAGTGACAAGGACTGGTCAAGGACTCTGACTTCTGGATGCCCTCAAACATACAGAACTCCCAAACTCAAGTCCAGCTATAACCTACTTTGCATAACCTACTTTGCCAACATGTCAGAGTAATCCATATTTTTGTGTGTGATTTCTACTTTTATAGACTTGTTTTAAAATAAAACACATTGTTGTTTAAAAAAAAAAAAAAAAAAAAAGAGGCCAGGTGTGGTTGCTCATGCCTGTAATCCCAGCACTTTGGGAGGCCGAGGTGGGCAGATCACGAGGTCAGGAGATAGAGACTGTCAGGCCTCTGAGCCCAAGCTAAGTCATCATATCCCCTGTGACCTGCACGTACACATCCAGATGACTGGTTCCTGCCTTAACTGATGACATTCTACCACAAAAGAAATGAAAATGGCCTATTCCTGCCTTAACTGATGACATTATCTTGTGAAATTCCTTCTCCTGGCTCATCCTGGCTCAAAAGCTCCCCTATTGAACACCTTGTGACCCCCACTCCTGCCCACCAGAGAACAACCCCTTTGACTGTAATTTTCCTTTACCTACCCAAATCCTGTAAAACGGCCCCACCCCATCTCCCTCTGCTGACTCTTCGGACTCAGTCTGCCTGCACCCAGGTGATTAAAAGCTTTATTGCTCACACAAAGCCTGTTTGGTGGTCTCTTCACACAGACGCGCATGAAATTTGGTGCTGTGACTCAGATCAATCCCCTGTGCTCCTGCTCTTTGATCCATGAAAAGATCCACCTACGACCTCGGGTCCTCAGACCCACCAGCCCAAGGAACATCTCACCAATTTTAAATCAGGTAAGTGGCCTCTTCTTACTCTCTTCTCCAACCTCTCTCACTATCCCTCAACCACTTTCTCCTTTCAATCTTGGCGCCACCCTTCAATCTCTCCCTTCTCTTAATTTCAATTCCTTTCATTTTCTGGTAGAGACAAAGGAGACACATTTTATCTGTGGACCCAAAACTCTGGCGCCAGTCACGGACTCGGGAAGGCAGCCTTCCCTTGGTGTTTAATCATTGCAGGGACACCTCTCTGATTATTCACCCACGTTTCAGAGGTGTGTGACCACATGGGGACACCTGCCTTGGTCCTTCACCCTTAGCGGCAAGTCCCGCTTTTCTGGGGGAGGGTCAAGAACCCCGAACCCTTCTCTGTCTCTATCTCTTTTCTGCGGGGCAAGAACCCCCCCCAATCCCTTATTTCCATGCCCCAACCCCTTATCTCTGTGCCCTGATCCCTTATTTCCACGCCCCAACCTCTTATCTCTGTGCCCCGATCCCTTATTTCCATGCCCCGACCTCTTATCTCTGTGCCCCGATCCCTTATTTCCACGGCCCAACCTCTTATCTCTGTGCCCCGATCCCTTATTTCCATGCCCCGACCTCTTATCTCTGCACCCCAACCCCTAATTTCCATGCCCCGACCCCTTTCCTGCTTTTCTAGAGGGTAAGAACGCCTGAACCTCTTCACTCCATGTCTCTACTCTCTCTTTTCTCTCGGCTTGCCTCCTTCACTATGGGCAACATTCCACCCTCCATTCCTCCCTCTTCTCCCTTAGTCTGTGTTCTCAAGAACTTAAAACCTCTTCAACTCACACCTGACCTAAAACCTAAATGCCTTATTTTCTTCTACAATGCCACTTGACCCCAATACAAACTCGACAGTGGTTCCAAATAGCCAGAAAATGGCACTTTCATTTTTTCCATCCTATAAGATCTAAATAATTCTTGTTGTAAAATGGGCAAATGGTCTGAGGTGCCTGACGTCCAGGCATTCTTTTACACATCAGTCACTCCCTAGTCTCTGTTCCCAATGCAACTCGTCCCAAATCTTCCTTCTTTCCCTCCCACCTGTCCCCTCAGTCCCAAACCCAAGCGTCGCTGAGTCTTTCTAATCTTCCTTTTCTACAGACCCATCTGACCTCTCCCTTCCTCACCAGGCCGAGCTAGGTCCCAATTCTTCCTCAGCCTCCGCTCCTCCACCCTATAATCCTTTTATCACCTCCCCTGCTCACACCTGGTCTGGCTTACAGTTTCCTTCCGTGACTAGCCCTCCCCCACCTGCCCAGCAATTTCCTCTTAAAAAGGTGGCTAGAGCCAAAGGCATAGTCAAGGTTAATGCTCCTTTTTCTTTATCCCAAATCAGATAGTGTTTAGGCTCTTTTTCATCAAATATAAAAACCCAGCCCAGTTCATGGCTCGTTCGGCAGCAACCCTGAGATGCTTTACACCCCTAGACCCTAAAAGGTCAAAAGGCCATCCTATTCTCAATATACATTTTATTACCCAATCTGCTCCCGACATTAAACTCCAAAAATTAAATTCCGGCCCTCAAACCCCAAAACAGGACTTAATTAACCTCACCTTCAAGGTGTACAATAATAGAGTAAAGGCAGCCAAGTAGCAACATATTTCTGAGTTGCAATTCTTTGCCTCCACTGTGAGACAAACCCCAGCCACATCTCCAGCACACAAGAACTTCCAAACGCCTGAACCGCAGCAGCCAGGCCTTCCTCCAGAACCTCCTCCCCCAGGAGCTTGCTACAAGTGCCAGAAATCTGGCCACCAGGCCAAGGAATGCCTGCAGCCCAGGATTCCTCCTAAGCCACGTCCCATCTGTGCGGGACCCCACTGAAAATCAGACTGTTCAATTCACCTGGTAGCCACTCCCAGAGCCCCTGGAACTCTGGCCCAAGGCTCTCTAAATGACTCCTTCCCAGATCTTCTCAGCTTAGTGGCTGAAGACTGACGCTGCCTGATTGCCTCAGAAGCCCCTAGATCATCACGGATGCCGAGCTTCGGGTAACTTTCACAGTGGAGGGTAAGTCTGTCCCCTTCTTAATCAATACAGAGACTACCCACTCCACATTACCTTCTTTTCAAGGGCCTGTTTCCCTTGCCTCCATAACTGTTGTGGGTATTGACGGCCAGGCTTCTAAACCTCTTAAAATTCCCCAACTCTAGTGCCAACTTAGTCAATACTCTTTTAAGCACTCCTTTTTAGTTATCCCCACCTGCCCAGTTCCCTTATTAGGCTGAGACACTTTAACTAAATTATCTGCTTCCCTGACTATTCCTAGGCTACAGCCACACCTCATTGCTGCCTTTTCCCCCAGTTCAAAGCCTCCTTCACATCCTCCCCTTGTATCTCCCCACCTTAACCCACAAGTATAAGACACCTCTACTCCCTCCTTAGCAACCAATCATGCACCCCTTACCATCCTATTAAAACCTAATCACCCTTACCTCGCTCAATGCCAATATCCCATCCCACAGCACACTTTAAAAGGATTAAAGCCTGTTATCACTCGCCTGCTACAGCATGGGCTTCTAAAACCTATAAACTCTCCTTACAATTCCCCCATTTTACCTGTCCAAAAACCGGACAAGTCTTACAGATTAGTTCAGGATCTGCGCGTTATCAACCAAATTGTTTTGCCTATCCACCCGGTGGTGTCCAACCCATACACTCTTTTGTCCTCAGTACCTTCCTCCACAACTCACTATTCTGTTCTTGATCTTAAAGATGCTTTTTTCACTATTCCCCTGCACCCCTCGTCCCAGCCTCTCTTTGCTTTCACTTGGACTGACCCTGACACCCATCAGGCTCAGCAAATTACCTATGCTGTACTGCTGCAAGGCCTCACAGACAGCCCCCGTTACTTCAGTCAAGCCCAAATTTCTTCCTCATCTGTTACCTATCTTGGCATAATTCTCATAAAAACACACGTGCTCTCCCTGCCCATCGTGTCCAACTGATCTTTCAAACCCCAGCACCTTCTACAAAACAACAACTCCTTTCCTTCCTAGGCATGGTTAGATACTTTCGACTTTAGATACCTGGTTTTGCCATCCTAACAAAACCATTATATAAACTCAACAAAAGGAAACCTAGCTGACCACATAGATCCTAAATCCTTTCCCCACTCCTCTTTCCATTCCTTGAAGACAGCTTTAGAGACTGCCCCCATCCTAGCTCTCCCTGACTCATCCCAACCCTTTTCATTACACACAGCTGAAGTGCAGGGCTGTGCAGTCGGAATTCTTACACAAGGACTGGGATCGCATCCTGTAGCCTTTTTGTCCAAACAACTTGACCTTATTGTTTTAGATTGGCCATCATGTCTCCGTGCAGTGGCTGCTGCCGCCCTAATACTTTTAGAGGCCCTTAAAATCACAAACTATGCTCAACTCACTCTCTACAGTTCTCATAACTTCCAAAATCTATTTTCTTCCTCACACCTGACACATATACTGTCTGCTCCCCGGCTCCTTCAGCTGTACTCACTCTTTGTTGAGTTTCCCACAGTTACCATTGTTCCTGGCCCGGACTTCAATCCGGCCTCCCACATTATTCTGGATACCACACCTGACCCTCATGACTATATCTCTCTGATCCACCTGACATTCACCCCATTTCCCCATATTTCCTTCTTTCCTGTTCCTCACCCTGATCACATTTAGTTTATTGATGGCAGTTCCGCCAGGCCTAATCGCCACTCACCAGCAAAGGCAGGCTATGCTATAGTATCTTCCACACCTATCATTGAGGCTACCGCTCTGCCCCCCTCCACTACCTCTCAGCAAGCCGAACTAGTTGCCTTAACTCAAGCCCTCACTCTTGCAAAAGGACTACTCATCAATATTTATAGTGACTCTAAATATGCCTTTCATATTCTGCACCACCATGCTGTTATACAGGCTGAAAGAGGTTTCCTCACTATGCAAGTGTCCTCCATCATTAACGACTCTTAAATAAAACTCTGCTCAAGGCCGCTTTACTTCCAAAGGAAGCTGGAGTCATTCACTGCAAAGGCCATCAAAAGGCATCAGATCCCATTGCTCTAGGCAATGCTTATGCTGATAAGGTGGCTAGACAAGCAACAGGCTTTCCACCTTCTGTCCCTCATGGCCAGTTTTTCTCCTTCACATCAGTCACTCCCACCTACTCCCCTGCTGAAACTTCCACCTGTCAATCTCTTCCCACACAAGGCAAATGGTTCTTAGACCAAGGAAAATATCTCCTTCCAGCCTCACAGGCCCATTCTATTCTGTCGTCTTTTCATAACCTCTTCCATGTAGGTTATGAGCCGCTAGCCCGTCTCTTAGAACCTCTCATTTCTTTTCCATCCTGGAAATCTATCCTCAAGGAAATCACTTCTCAGTGTTCCATTTGCTATTCTACTACCCCTCAGGGATCGTTCAGGCCTCCTCCCTTTCCCACACATCAAGCTCGGGGATTTGCCCCCACCCAGGACTGGCAAATTGACTTTACTCACATGCCCTGAGTCAGGAAACTAAAATACCTCTTAGTCTGGGTAGACACTTTCCCTGGATGGGTAGAGGCCTTTCCTACAGGGTCTAAGAAGGCCACCACAGTCATTTCTTCCCTTCTGTCAGACATAGTTCCTCGGTTTGGCCTTCCTACCTCTATACAGTCCAATAGCAGACCGGCCTTTATTAGTCAAATCAGCCAAGCGGTTTTTCAGGCTCTTGGTATTCAGTGAAACCTTTATATCCCTTACGGTCCTCAGTCTTCAGGAAAGGTAGAACGGACTGATGGACTTTTAAAAACACACCTCACCAAGCTCAGCTACCAACTTAAAAAGGACTGGACAATACTTTTACCACTTTCCCTTCTCAGAATTCAGGCCTGTCCTTGGAATTTTACAGGGTACAGCCCATTTGAGCTCCTGTATGGACACTCCTTTTTATTAAGCCCCAGTCTCATTCCAGACAACAGACCAACTTGGACTGTGCCCCAAAAAACTTGTCATCCCTACTATCTTCTGTCTAGTCATACTCCTATTCACCGTTCTCAACTACTCATACATGCCCTGCTCTTGTTTACACTGTCGGTTTACACTGTTTCTCCAAGCCATCACAGCTGATATCTCCTGGTGCTATCCCCAAACTGCCACTCTTAACTCTTGAAGTAAATAAATAATCTTTGCTGGCAGGACTATGCTGAATCTCCTTAGGCACTCTAATTAGATGTCCTGGGTCCTCCCAATTCTTAGACCTTTAATACCTGTTTTTCTCCTTCTCTTATTCCGTTTAGTTTTTCAATTCATATAAAACTGTATCCAGGCCATCACAATAATTCTAAATGACAAATGTTTCTTCTAACAGTCCCACAGTATCACCCCTTACCACAAAATCTTCCTTCAGCTTAATGTCTCCCACTCTAGGTTCCCACGCTGCCCCTAATCCCACTGAAAGCAGCCCTGAGAAACAATGCCCATTATCTCTCCATACCACCCCCAAAAATTTTTGCCGCCCCAACACTTTACCACTATTTCGTTTTATTTTTCTTATTAATATAAGAAGACAGGAACGTCAGGCCTCTTAGCCCAAGCTAAGCCATCATATCCCCTGTGACCTGCACGTACACATCCAAATGGCCTGTTCCTGCCTTAACTGATGACATTATCTTGTGAAATTCCTTCTCCTGGCTCATCCTGGCTCAAAAGCTCCCCTACTGAGCACCTTGTGACCCCCACTCCTGCCCACCAGAGAACAACCCCTTTGACTGTAATTTTCCTTTACCTACCCAAATCCTATAAAACGGCCCCACTCCTATCTCCCTTCGCTGACTCTCTTTTTGGATTCAGCCCACCTGCGCCCAGGTGATTAAAAGCTTTATTGCTCGCACAAAGCCTGTTTGGTGGTCTCTTCACATGGACGTGCATGAAAGAGACCATCCTGGCTGACACGGTGAAACCCCATCTCTACTAAAAATACAAAAAATTAGCCGGGTGTGGTGGCGGGCACCTGTAGTCCCAGATACTCAGGAGGCTGAGGCAGGAGAATGACGGGAACCCAGGAGGCTGAGCTTGCAGTGAGCCGAGATCGCACCACTGCACTCCATCCAGCTGGGTGACAGAGCAAGACTCCATCTCAAAAAAAAAAAAAAAAAAAAAAAAAAAGAATTGCATGTACACAGGCTGAGATGCATTCTTCTGTGAAGGATTCATGAACAGAACAACTTCACAACAATACTGAATCACGTAACGGTGAAAACCCAATTATATTCTGATCACAGAAAATGAATAATGGTTCCTTTTCTGTAAGTGAATGGAAATAAAACAGTTAAAATATATATAGAAAAAGTAAATGTCACTTCTGCTTCCATCAAGTGACCAGGCTTGATGATCTCTCTATGTTATACGTTTCCAAGGCAGATTGTACGTTTGGTTTATGGCAATCATCAATATTGAAATAAAATAAATACTTTAGAAATTTTTAGTTATTCTGGTGGGTATCATCATTTGCTATTAAGGCATGTTTCTTGTTTATGAAAAAAAAAACAGGAGAAACAATGGTGGGAGTCTTTGATTATCCAAATTAAGTAAAATTAGGCAGGTTGAGTAGAATTACTCAGATATACCTCTACTGCTGATTGCATTTCTCGGACTCAAGTTTCATAATTGAAAGTTTTAAAAGCAAAGCAAACCCAAGCAAGTTATTTTGTGGGTATTGACTAACTGATTCTAAAGTTTATATAGAGAGGCAAAAGATCCAGAATAGCCAACACAATACTGATGGAGAAGAACAAATAAGACGACTAATACTTCAAGACTTACTATAAGACTACACAGTAATCAAGACAGTAATCAAGTATTGGAAGAAAAATAGACAGATAGATCAGTAGAACAGACTAGAAAGACCAGAAATAGACCAACACAAATATACTCAACTGAACTTTGACATAGGAGCAAAGCAGTTAGGTGGGGAAAAGACAGTCTTTTCAACAATGGTACTGGAACAACTGAGTATCCACATAAAAAGAAAATGAATATTAACATAGACCTTACACTCTTCACAAAAATAAGTTCAAAATGGATCATAGACCTAAATGTAAAATGCAAAACTATAAAATTCTGAGAAGATAACATAGGAGAAAATCTAGATAATCTTGGGTTTGGCAATGACTTTTAAGATACAACACCAGGGCTGGGTGCGGTGGCTCAAGCCTGTAATCCTAGCACTTTGGGAGGCCGAGGTGGGCGGATCACGAGGTCAAGAGATGGAGACCATCCTGGCTAACACGGTGAAACCCCATCTCTACTAAAAATACAAAAAAAATTAGCTGGGCGTGGTGGCAGGCATCTGTAGTCCCAGCTACTCAGGAGGCTGAGGCAGGAGAATGGCGTGAACCCGGAAGGAAGAGCTTGCAGTGAGCCAAGAACACCCCACTGCACTCCAGCCTGGGTGACAGAGAGAGACTCCGTCTCAAAAAAAAAAAAAGATACAACACCAAAGACAAAGCCCATGAAAGAAAGACTTGGTACATTGAACTTCATTCAAAATAAAAACTTCTGCTCTGTAAAAACAGTCAAAAGAATGAGAATACAAGCCACAGATTGGGAGAAAATATTTGCATAAGACATATCTGATAAAGGATTGTTATCCAAAATAAACAAAAGACTCTTAAAACTCAACAGCAAGAAGTCTAACAACCTAATTAAAAATGGGCAAAAGATCTGAACAGATGCCTCACCAAAGAAGATATACAGATGGCAAATAAGAATAAAAAAGATGCTCAACATCATATGTAATTAGAGAATTTCAAATAAAAACAATGAGATACCACTACACACCTATTAGAATGGCTAATATTCAAAACACGGACAACATCAAATGCTGTTGAGGATATGAAACAACAGGAGATCTTATTCATTGCTGGTGGAAATGCAAAATAGTGCAGCCACTTTTGAAGCCAGTTTGGCAGTTTCTCAAAAAACTAAACATACTCTTACCCATATGATCCAGCAATCATACTCCTTAGAATTTACCCCAAGGAGCTGAAAACTTATGTCTACACAAAAACATGCACACAGATGTTTAGAGCAATTTATTCATAATTGCTAAAATTTGGAAGCAACCAAGTTATCCTTAAGTAGGTGAATGGATAGGTTGTAGTACATCCAGCCAATGGAGTGTTATTTAACACTAAAAAGTAATGAGCTATCAAGCCATGAAAAGGCACAGAGGAACCTTAATGAATATTACTAAGTGAACTGGCTAGCCATATGCAGAAAACTGAAACTGGACCCCTTCCTTACACCTTATACAAAAATTTACTCAAGATGGATTAAAGACTTAAATTTAATTCCCAAACCATAGAAACCCTAGAAGAAAGCCTAGGTAGTACCAGTCAGGATGTAGGCATGGGCAAAGACCTCATGACAAAAATGCCAAAAGCAATTGCCACAAAATTCAAAATTGACAAATGGGATCTAATTAAACTAAAGAGCTTCCGCGCAACAAAATAAACTATCATCAGAGTGAACAGGCAACCTACAGAATGGGAGAACATTTTTGCAATCTACCCATCTGACAAAGGTCTGATATCCAGAATCTACAAGAAACTTCAACGAATTTACAAGAAAAAAACAAACAACCCCATCAAAAACTGGGCAAAGGATATGAACAGACAGTTCTTAATAGAAGAAGACATTTATGCGGCCAACAAACGTGAAAAAAAACTCAACATCACTGATCATCAGATAAATGCAAAATCAAAACCACAATGAGATAACCATCTCACACCAGTCAGAATGGCAATTATTAAAAAGTCAGGTAACAATAGATACTGGTGAGGCTGTGGAGAAATAGGAAAGCTTTGACACTGTTAGTGGGAGTGTAAATTAGTTCAACCATTGTGGAAGACAGTATGGCAATTCCTCAAGGATCTAAAGCCAGAAATACCATTTGACCCAGCAATCCTATTACTGGGTATATACCCAAAGGAATATAAATCATTCCACTATAAAGACACATGCACACGTATGTTTATTACAACACTATTTACAGTAACAAAGACATGGAACCAATCCAAATGCCCATAAATTACAGACTGGATAAAGAAAATGTGGCACATATACACTATGGAATACTAGGCAGCCATAAAAAAAGAATGAGATCACGTCCTTTGCAGGGACATGGATGAAACTGGAAGCCGTCATCCTTAGCAAACTAACACAGGAACAGAAAACCAAATACCACATGTTCTCACTCACAAGTGGGAGATGAACAATGAGAACACATGGACACAGAGAAGGGAACAACACATACCAGGGCCTGTTGGGGGTTGGGGGGCAAGGAGAGGGAACTTAGAGGATGATGGGTCAATAGGTGCAGCAAACCACCATGGCATACATGTACCTATGTCACTAACCTGCACGTTCTGCACATGTATCCCAGTTTTTTTTAGAAGAAATTTTTTTTTTTTGAGACGGAGTCTCGCTCTGTCGCCCAGGCCGGACTGCGGACTGCAGTGGCGCAATCTCGGCTCACTGCAAGCTCCGCTTCCCGGGTTCACGCTATTCTCCTGCCTCAGCCTCCCGAGTAGCTGGGACTACAGGCGTCCGCCACCGCGCCCGGCTAATTTTTTGTATTTTTAGTAGAGACGGGGTTTCACCTTGTTAGCCAGGATGGTCTCGATCTCCTGACCTCATGATCCACCCGCCTCGGCCTTCCAAAGTGCTGGGATTACAGGCGTGAGCCACCGCGCCCGGCCTGAAGAAATTTTTTAAAAAAGAATATTGCTAAGTGAATGAAGCCAATCTGAAAAGTCTACATACTATATGATTCCAACTATAGGACCTTCTGGAAAAGGCAAAACTATAGAGAAAGTAAAAAGATTGGTTGTTTCAAGGAAGTGGGAGGAGGGAGGGATACATAGGTGAAACATAGAGGATTTTTAGGGCAGTGAAACTATTCTGTATGATGTTATAATGGTGAATACATAGCATTATACATTTGTCCCAAACCAAAGAATATACAACACCAAGAATGAACCTAAGTATTTACATCAACTATGCACTCTGGGTGATAATGCTGTGTCAATTTAAGTCCCTTTCTTGTAACAAATGTGCCAGTCTGGTGCAGGATGTCGACAGTGGGTAAGGCTGTGGGTGTGTAGGTGTAGGGGGTACATGAGAACTCTGTGCTTTCTGCTCAATTTTGCTGTGAACCTAAAATTGCTGTAAAAAAAAAAGTCTGTTTCAAAATATGTAAAGCAAAAGCTTATGGTTTCTGAGAGATATACTAAGGATGTGGCCATTGTGTATTTTATCATAAGAGTATTAAAAGGCCAGTAATTGCAGTAATTTTTTAGAGCATGCAAGCTTTTATACAGACCCATCGTCTTCTCAATTAAAATGATGTTCTTATTGTTTTCATTATGTAAGAATTGGAGGCAAAACTGGGTAGGCACTTGGGAGGCTCTATTTATTCCCCACCATATGGAGTAGGGCTGCTCTTTAGGTAGGTAGCCACCTACATGGTGAGATATGAGAGATGCTTAAAGGCTACTTTTAACCTAAAATTTCACCTACTATTCTGTCATGGTATCTCCTTCTTCCTCTCCTAACCAGAAATGGATCCTGCCTGCTTCTCATTTTTAACACATCTAGTATCTAGCCCATGTACTGATTGACACATACAAGATGTTCAATAATTGTTTAATAAATTAGTTGTTGATTCTGAATTTTAAAAAAAGGACAAACAGTCCCCAACATCTTTTTTTAAAAAAAGTTGTGTATTCTTTCTTGAATTTGACAAAGCCAAATTATTTAAGCCTGAATATCTCATAACTTTCTTTTAAATTACATTGTTTAGCCAGGTGTGGTGGCTCAGGCCTGTAATCCCAGCACTTTGGGAGGCCAAGGCAGGCAGATCACGAGGTCAGGAGTTCAAGACCAGCCTGGCAAACATAGTGAAACTCTGTCTCTACTAAAAATGCAAAAAATTACCCGGGCGTGGTGGTGGGTGCCTGTAATCCCAGCTACTCAGGAGGCTGAGGCAGGAGAATCATTTGAACCCGGGAGGCGGAGGTTGCAGTGAGCCGAGATCATGCCATTGCACTCCAGCCTGGGCAACAGTGTGACACTCTGTCTCAAAAATAAATAAATAAATAAATAACATTATGTATTTTGCTTCTTACAAGGGCAAATAACATGATTTTGAAACAAATAGAGTGTTTCAAACTGGGTTGACAGACCAGTTGACTTTGAATTCACTGATGTTGCAATTAGGCATGCTCATCCTCAAATGGGCTGATTTTCATATTTGAGGTATAAAGCGTATATGTAAAGAAAATGTATTCATACCTTTTATTTAGTGTTTCTCCTAGTAGAAATGTCAGATGGCATTCTAGAGCCTTTAAATATAATGAAAACTAAATTAAAGCCTATTTCTACGAGTCTGGCTTTATTTCTCATTCTTGTCCTTACTGTTATACACATCTTAAGGCATCATTGCCTTCCTGTATCTTCTTGCTTCCATGCAAAGTGCCAATAGTGTAGATCTTCTGTCATTATGGCCACTACCTCACCACCTGGTCGGGCCCCAAATCACTCTAATGTTTGCATAGACGTACACCCATTTCATTCCTGGCTTTCTGATTGGTGAGCTTTTTGTTCTATACTGATATATAACTAGACTACTTTAGAATTAAAATAGTTTGAGATTCTGCAAAGTAACCTAGAAAATGAAAGGTAGAAACAATAATTGAGATAAATCAAAAACATATCATACATTTGTATAAAAACCATCTGTGATGAAGTAGTAAGGAAAGAGAAAAGTTAAAAGATAAATGAGTCCTCGTCCTTCTGGATATAAGACGAATATAACCTGGGATCAGGAAAAAATTCCCCTTAGGGTGTTTTATTACCCAGTCCCATAGAGTGTAGGATTTATGCTCTCCCCTTTCCCCCATTGAGCACTGTGTAAGAAAGATGTGAATTAAACAGATGGCTAAAAATACAATTGATGCCTAGGTTTCTAAGCTTTGAAATGATAATTCAGCAAATACTACCCTAGTCTCTGACTTTACTCCAAGAAGTGTTTTACAAACTCATTTAGGAGCATGGCCTCCAAAAAAAATAAGTTTTGGAAGGTAATTCTTTATTTTTGTTTTTCCTTTGAAATACCAATAAAGCTCGAGTGACTACAGTCAACAACTTTCTAATCCATATTTCTAGCTTATAAGAACCGAGTTATTCCACAAATATCTCTCTCCCATCACACCAGTACCTGCCCATGTATTTGAAGCAGTCTTCCACTGTTTAAGAAGAGGAACAGCAGGTTGGGCATAGTGGCTAACACCTGTAATCATAGCACTTGGGGAGGCCGAGGTGGGAGGATTGCTTGAGGCCAGGTGTTTGAGACCAGCCTGGGCAACATAGGGAGACTCTGTCTCTACAAAAAATACAAAAATTAGACAGGCATGGTGGCATGCACCTGTCATCCCAGCTGCTCGAGATGCTGAGGCAAGAGGATTGCTTGAGCCAAGGAGTTCAGGTTACAGTAAACTATGATCACACCACTGCACTCCAGCCTGGGTGACAGAGTGAGACCCTGTCTCACAAAAAAAAAAAAAAAGAATTGCAGCAACACATATGTAGTAACAACAGCTTTTCCAAGTCTTTTACAGTGCCCCCTTTAGATGCAAGTAGCAATAAGCCAAGTCCTATTAAGATGGAATGATTACTGCTCTGTAGCTACTTTGTCCAAATATGGGCCCCTGGTTTATGCCATTAAGTTCAGAAGTTTGAACTATACCAACCTTTTCCAGTCATTGTCACTAGACTATGGACATCAGCATTTTTACTGTTAGTAGGTACATAGCTGACAACAGGTGATAGTCTATACTCTGTCTTTAATCTAGGCTTGGCCTAACAAAACAGACAACATCTAAATGGAAAAGAACTGGGGTAGTTTTGATCTCCTTTGACATTGCCAATGCTTTATGTCATTACTCTCTAGGCTGACTTGAAAGAACACAGACCTTGTGAAAACATTTTAATGGAAGGAAGTATCAAGTAAAACTCAGAATTGTAATATTACTTAGCAATGCCTGGAGCCTGCATCTTCCTGCCACCATTATCACAATAAACTCATAAAGGTGTAAAACTATGCAGAGCTATGTCAGACACATTAAAATAACATCTGCTAAATGACTCTTATGGCACATTTCTTTCCTTGTTATTCTTTCCATTCATCATTTTCTCCTTACCTAGTTTTGAACTGGGCTGAGAGAGAAAACAAAGAAACAAAAAACATTACTATAGTTCCCGTAATACAGCTGTTTTGGTATTATCTTTTACATATTTTTTCTATCAGTGGTCTAGGAAATATGAAAGGACAGCAAGCACAGTAGTATGCAAAGAAAAAATACTGTTATCCTGATCTCAATCTACTTGTGAATTTTTGGAAAATAATAAGTTTGTATAAATGTCAACTTTAAGAGTTGAGGCTGTAACATGGTTTGGCTCTGTGTCTCCACTCAAATCTCATCTTGTTGCTCCCATAATTCCCACATGTTGTGGGAAGAACCCAGTGGGAGATGATTGAATCACCGGTCTCACAAGATCTGACGGTTTTAAAAATGAGAGTTTCTCTGCACAAACTCTCTCTTTCCCTGCCACTGTCCATGTAAGACATGACTTGCTCCTCCTTGCCTTTCACCTTCAACCATGATTGTGAGGCTTCCCCAGCCAATAAACCTCTTTCTTTTGTAAATTGCCCAGTCTCGGGTATGTCTTTATCAGCCATGTGAAAATGGACTAACACAGTAAATGGGTACCAATAGAGTGGTGTGCTGCTGAAAAGATACCCGAAAATGTGGAAGTGACTTTGGAACTGGGTAACAGGCAGAGGTTGGAACAGTTTGGAGGGCTCAGAAGGAGACAGGAAAATGTGGGAAAGTTTGGAACTCCCTAGAGACTTGTTGAATGGCTTTGACCAAAATACTGATAATGATATGGACAATGAAATCCAGGCTGAGGTGGTCTCAGATGGAGTTGAGGAACTTGTTGGGAACTGGAGCAAAGGTAACTCTTGTTATGTTTTAGCAAAGAGATTGGTGGTATTTTGTCCCTGCCCTAGAGATTTGTGGAACTTTGAACTTGAGAGAGATGATTTAAAGTATCTGGCAGAAGAAAATTCTAAGCAGCAAAGCATTCAAGAAGTTAGTTGGGTGGTGTTAAAGGCATTCAGTTTTATAAGCGAAGCAAGGCATGAAAGTTTGGAAAATTTGCAGCCTGACAATGTGATAGAAAAGAAAATCCCATTTTCTGAGAAGAAATTCAAGCCAGCTGTAGAAATTTGCGCAAGTAATGACGAGCTGAATGCTAATCCCCAAGACAAGGGGGAAAATGTCTGCAGGGCATGTCACAGCAGCCCCTCCAATTATGGGCCAGGAGGTCTAGGAGGAAAAAGTGGTTTCATGGGCTGGGCCCACGATTTCCATGCTGTGTGCAGCCTATGGACCTGGTGCCCTGCATCCCTGCTGCTCTAGCCATGGCTGAAAGGAGCCAACATAGAGCTTGGGCCGTGGCTTTGGAGGGTGCAAGCTTCAAGCCTTGGCAGCTTCCACATGGTGTTGAGCCTGCCGGTGCACAGAAGTGAAGAACTGGGGTTTAGAAACCTCTGCCTAGATTTCAGAGGATGTATGGAAATGCCTGGATTCCAGGCAGAAGTTTCCTGCAGGGGCAATGCTCTCATGGGGAACTCTGCTAAGACAGTGAGGAAGAAAATGTGGGGTTGGAGCCCCCACACAGAGACCCTACTGGGGCACCACCTAGTGGAGCTGTGAGAAGAGGGCCATCGTTCTCTGGGCCCCAGAATGGTAGATCCACTGGCAGCTGGCACTGGGCACCTGGAAAAGCCACAGACACTCAACGGCAGCCCATGAAGGCAGCCAGGAGGGAGGCTGTACCTTGCAAAGCCACAGGGGCAAAGCTGCCCAACACCATGGGAACCTACCTCTTGCATCAGTGTGACCTGGATATGAGACATGGAGTCAAAGGAGATTATTTTGAAGCTTTAATATTTGACTCCCCCGCTGGATTTCAAACTTGCATGGGGACTGTAGCCCCTTTGTTTTTGCCAATTTCTCCCATTTGCAACGGCTGTATTTACCCAATTCCTGTACCCCCATTGTATCTAGAAAGTAACTAACTTGCTTTTGATTTTACAGGCTCATACATAAAAGAGACTTGCCTTCTCTCAGATGAGACTTTGGACTGTGGACTTTTGAGTTAATGTCAAAATGAGTTGAGACTTTGGGGGACTGTTGGGAAGGCATGATTGGTTTTGAAACATGAAGATATGAGATTTGAGAGGGGCCGGCGCAGAACGATATGGTCTGGCTCTATGTCCCTACCCAAACCTCATCTTGTAGCTCCCGTAATTCCCATGTGTTGAGAGAAGGACTTGGTGGGAGATGATTGAATCATGGGGGCGGGTGTTTCCCTTCCTGTTCTCATGATAGTGAATGGGTCTCACAAGATCTGATGGTTTTAAAAATGGAAGTTTCTCTGCACAAGCTCTCTCTTTGCCTGCTGCCATCCATGTAAGATGTGACTTGCTCCTGCCTTTCACCTTCTGCCATGATTGTGAGGCCTCCCCAGCCACAAGTCCAATAAGCCTCTTTCTTTTGTAAATTGCCCAGTTTCGGGCATGTCTTTATAGCAGCGTGAAAATGAACTAATACAGGCTGTATAATTACTACTTCTGATAGATACTTCTACAATTGGCAAAACACTTAAACTTGCTTCGGTTATCAGGTATCAGAGCTTGGATAATCACGTAACCATCGTCTCCTTCTATATTTCCTATCTTGGTGAATCATCTGGTCACCCTAGACAGAAACCTAAGACTCCTTTTTGAGATAGCTATCTCTTTAGATTCACACATCCAATCTATGTTGATTCTACCTCTTTGATATATTTTGAATTTTTTCTAAGGACCTGTAATTAGTAATTTCAATCTTTTCCATATTCTCCTTTCTACTATCTTAGTTTTGGTTTTAATCACCTGGATTATTTAAGTGTTCTATCTAGTCCACCCGCCACCATCAGCCTCTCCTCCCCAAAATGGTCCTAAATATTCTAACAAAAGGATCTTTCTAAAATGCAAATATTAGGTCATTAAAAAATTTATCAGCCGGGCACAGTGGCTCACACCTGTAACCCCAGCATTTTGGGAGGCCGAGGCGGGTGGATCACTTGAAATCAGGAGTTCGAGACCAGCCTGGCCAACATGGTGAAACCCTGTCTCTACTAAAAATACAAAAAAATTAGCTGGGCATGGTGGTGGGCACCTGTAATCCCAGCTACTCAGGAGGCTGAGGCACAAGAATTGCTTGAACCTGGGAGGCAGAGACTGCAGTGAGCTGAGATTGCACCACTGCACTCCAGCCTGGGTGACAGACTGAGACTCTGTCTCAAAAAATAAATAAATAAATAAATAAAAAATTATAAGTGATGCTCCACAACCTTTACGATAAAGCTCATACTCCCTAACATGGGTTACAAGGAACTGGTCTTTACTTACCTCTCCAACTTCATCTCTAGCCACTTTCCCTTCATAACCCCAACCAATTTGGTCTACTTACAGTTTCTTCACCTTGAAGGTGTCTAACTCCATTAACTCCATGCCTTTGCACATGCTATTGTTTCCCATACCAGGAATGCTTTTCTTGAACTCTCTTCTACCAAATATCAGTTTTGTTTTGTTTTGTTTTGTTTTGTTTTGTTTTGTTTTTTTGAGACAGGGTCTCATTCTATCACTCAGGCTGGAGTGCAATGGTACAATCATAGCTAACCACAGCCCTGACCTCCCAGGTTTAGGTGATCCTCCTACTTCAGCCCAAGAGTAGCTGGGACTACAGAAGCATGCCACCATGCCTGGCTAATTTTTTGTATTTTTACTAGAGATGGGGTTTTGCCATGTTACCCAGGCTGGTCTTGAACTCCTGGGCTCAAGTGATCTGCCCGCCTCAGACTCACAAAGTGTTGGTATTACAGGCATGAGCCACCATGCCCAGTCCCCAGTATTCTTCTTTATTATTTAGAATTGTGTTTAATGACACATAATAGGCACAACAGAAAAGTGACAACAGTAGCTTAAACACAAGTCCAAAGGAAGTAGAAGTTGCATGATATAATCAGAGTCTGAGACTCCTACTATCTCTTTTATTTTACATTATTATAAGGAGGCTTCAAGATGATGGTTCCATCTCTACGTTTCATATCTGCATTCCAACAACAAAGAAAGAGAAGAGCAAAGAACCTGTCAGTTGAGTTTATTTTTATCAGGAAAAAAAATGACTTTCAACAAAGCCCCACTCAGTAGATTTTTTCTTATATGGTCACTAGGCCTAGAATGCTGTATAAAGGGGTAAGCAGATTTTACAAAAAATTCAGAATTCTGTTTGTATGTAAGAAGGGAAGAATAGATATTGTCTGCCACATCCTTTTACCTGGTTATCTCTTACAAGATTCAGATCAAGCTTCACTTTCTCTTGGAAGTTTTTCATGACATCACAAGTCCAGGTTTGGGGTCACCCTCTGTTTTCCCAGATTAGTGCATGGAAAACAGAAGGCACTCAATACATTTGGTTAACCGGATGAGAATGAAAGCCCCTCTCTTCTTTGTTCTTTCAGCACACTATTCTGGAATCACCAGTTTAGATGCTGACTCCTTCACAAACCTGTAAGTTTTCTAAGGCCAAAGCTGTGCTTTATTTACCTCAGTATTCCACAGTATCTGAAATACAGTAAGCATTTAGTAAATGTTTGTTGAATGAATATGTGATTGAACACATTTTAAAATGAGATTTTATAAGCAAGTGAAAATATTTAGAGACACAAAGATTAAATTCATGCTGTGTTGGGGAATAGTAGCAGAGATCTATCTAAATAGAGGTAGCACAGGAATACATTAATCTCAGTGTCTAGCTTAGAACCCTAAGAGCTAAAGAATCCCAATAGCTAAAGCCACTGAATTTCTGCTTATGGGTTAAACTCTGTCCCCAATTTTTCTGAAACCATAATCTCAAAGATCAGTACTACTACCTTTATTTTAGGTTTCATTCTGACCTCTTGCTGTTGCAGAACTTTCTCCTCAGTTCAGTTAAAAACTGGGTTCTTGTCACACAACCAGGAAAGATTACGCTCATGGACACATAGAAGGGTGAGAACAAAAAAGGAAAAAAACTCAGCAAAGCTAGAGGGATTCCTGTTAACAGGCCCCATCTCACTGACTGAATCCCAGGTTACCACCCAGGAGCAGGAGAGGCCAGGCTCCTCCCCCTTGCAAATGGCAAGAACTTCCCGAGGCCCCACCCCATCCTCCCAGTGCGCAGGCCAGGCGGAGGTTCAGCGGGGAGCCGTTTTTACTTGGCTGTCTCATTGCCTTATTATAACCCATCTTAGCTTCATGCATAACTTGGAATCCATGTTTAAAATTTGTCTTTCTTCATGATTTGAGTCTGTCTGCTTTTTTTTTTTTTTTTTTTTTTTGAGACGGAGTCTCGCTCTGTCACCCAGGCTGGAGTGCAGTGACGTGATCTCGGCTCACTGCAAGCTCCGCCTCCCGGGCTCACGCCACTCTCCCGCCTCAGCCTCCTGAGTAGCTGGGATTACAGGCGCTCTCCACCACGCCCGGCTAATTTTTTGTATTTTTAGTAGAGACGGGGTTTCACTGTGTTAGCCAGGATGGTCTCGATCTCCTGACCTCGTGATCCGCCCGCCTCAGCCTCCCAAAGTGCTGGGATTACAGGAGTGAGCCACCGCGCCCAGCCTAGTCTGTCTGCTTTTAACCTTATCCTCATGACTTGTTCCTTGCCATCTCATGTAATACCTCTTTTATACCAAACATTGGCCCTGCTGGACTTAGCATAGCATCTGGGCTCTGTTTAACTATCTGTAGCTCCTTCTAATGCTTGCTATTGCGATGTCTAGACTGCCTGACTCCCTGCTGCCTGCTACCTGTAAGACTGTTTAGATTCTCAGCCCAAACTTCTCCCTCTTTGGCCCATTCTATCAGTGAGAACAAAGCCTGGTTCTGACATGTGTGGGTGGGGCTGGGTTTACCTAAGGAGCACTTTTTCAGAGAATAGCTGGTGTGTCAAAGAGGGAAACAGACATTTGATAAGAATTGTGGGAAATATTCAGATAGTTGAATGAAACCAAATTCTTATTCAATATATGATTGTCTGGACTAATTTGCATAATGCTTTCTATCTTAGGAAGCCAACAACTCTATTTTTCTTTTTCATACAAATGGTGGCTACTATTAACCTTTCTATTACTGACTTATGATTGTAGCTGCAGAAAAGTGTAAATTTAGTATTTTTTACAACACTCAGTATTGCCTTATTTTCTCTGGTAGCAGTTGCTAATTAAGTGGAAGTGTCAGTAAGAACACAGCTTAAGGATACATAATATAAATAGCTAGTGCTGGGATAGATGTGCCAAAGTATACCATCCCTTACCCCATGCTGCTCTGTGTCTTAGGACTACAACTAAGTGCAAGTGGAGTGGACATGTGCAATTCTTCCATTCCTATCTCATTACTCTCATGTAAGTTAAATCTTTATTGAGAGCCTGCTAGGTGCACAATCCTGTGCTAGATGGAGGAATATAAAAAATGAGACTGGGAGGCCGAGGTGGGTGGATCACCTGAGATCAGGAGACTGAGACCGGCCTGGCCAACATGGCAAAACCCCATCTCTACTAAAAATACAAAAATAACCCCGGCATGGTGGCATGCACCGATAATCCCAGCTACTCGGAAGGCTGAGGCAGGAGGATCACTTGAACCCAGGGGGCAGAGGTTGCGGTGAGCCGAGATCGCGCCACTTCACTCCAGCCTGGGTGAAAGAGTGAAACTCTGACTCAAAAAAAAAAAAAAAAAAAAAAAAGAGACAAAGTACCTGCCCTCAGGAAGTTAACCATCTAATTGACTGGAAGAGGAGACAGTACTCTCAGTCATAATTAACAGTCAAATGTTTCAGTAACAACAGAAAACCACTGTATATATAAAATCTCAAATTCCGTTTAAGTGCCACTAGGAGCTATGCTCTCTAGTGCCCCCATTAATAGAAAAGCAAACCAGCCCTACCTTCCATGGCTTTTCACAGTTGAAGAAATGTTACCATAAAATAATGGGATGGTTTCACAAAATACACACCATGAAAAATACAAACATTTCCTCCATTTTTCAAATATCACTGAAAAAATATTTTTTCCTCACTTTTAAAAAAGTCTAAATGCCTTTTCAAATAGTGTCTACTTTGTGTACCTTGTTCTTGAATTTCAAATGCATTCCTAACAAAATTTAACAATGAATAATAATTCAAGAGTCAATTCTGATACTGTTATAGGGGAACTGCTTAAGCTCTAAGACAAATAAACAACAAGAGGTGTTAGAGAAGTCAAAAAAAGTTCTTACATTTCAGATCTTTCCTATTCTTCTCATCCGTATTCTCCAACTGAAAAAGATCTTGTTCCTGCCAGTTGGTGGCCTGACCTTAGACCAGGTTTAATTAATTAGCAATCTTCTCCAGCTGTCATCTGGCCTTATTTGCCTAGACCCTAACCACAGCTCAGTACATTACTGAGGCTGAGATTTAAACCATGAACTTTTTGGTCCACCGAGCCAGAGTGACTCAACAGCCAATCAGATCTACCTCCTCTTTCCACTGTGCCGCAAACCTCATCATCCCTGACAATGGAGGCCAAGTTTAACTTCCCACATGTAGATCAGTGTTTGTCAAAATGTGGATTCCAGACAAGTGTCCTGCACATAACTGTGGTGTTTATAAGAATGCAGATTCCAGGGCGCTATTCTTAGAGATTCTGATAGCGTAGATATGGGATGAGACCTGAGGATATTCATTTTCAAAGGTTACACTTCGTGATTTTCCTTGAGACTCATTGATTGATGGTGCAAATACAATTAAGGAATGAGACCTAAGGCCTATAGGACCCAACTTAATGTCTCAAAAGGTCAAGATGGAAATAATTCAATTTACTGGTAACAATGTGAATAGAATCACTTAGGAAGCTTGTTAAATATACACATTCCTGGGTCCTAACCCCAAACAAAAGGAATCATAATCATAAGGAGGGCCTGAGCATCTGTATGTTTAAAACGACTCAGGTCGTTCTGATAAATTTTAACAGTTGAGATCCTTTGTACCAGATCAATTACTTCAAGCTATCCAGCAACTGGCAGAGTGAAAGAGGTAACTTGCTGAAGACCCAGGAACCTATTCCCCATTCTTGGAGTGTACCTATTTTAAATGACAAAGATACATACATTTTTGCGGTGCTTAAGGGATACCTTACATTGAATGTGGTTGGAGTAAACACCCTGCAGGCTTTGGAGATGGAAGGAAGTAAAAGATACTATAGTGGGCAGTAGGTGATAACAGGTCCTGAGATAGCCAAATGTTTATGGCCTCACTCCCTCTATGTTTATAGCAACCCGTCCCAGCCCACCAATCCCCCCACCCCATCTTGAAGGGCTGAAGGTGGTTAAAGAGTGCTTCAAGGGCTGGCGTGGTGGCTCACACCTGTAATCTCAGCAATTTGCGAGGCTGAGGCGGGCAGATCACATGAGGTCAGGAGTTCAGTTCAAGACCAGCCTGGCAAACATGGTGAAACCCCATCTCTACTAAAAATACAAAAATTAGCCGGGCGTGGTGGTGCACGCTTGTAATCCCAGCAACTTGGGAGGCTGAGGCAGGAGAATTGCTTGAACCCTGGAGGTAGAGGTTGCAGTGAGCCGAGATCACGCCACTGCACTCCAGCCTAGGTGACAGAGCGAGACTCCATCTCAAAAAAAAAAAAAAAAAGAGTCCTTCAAGAAGAAGCAAGTACCTACGTGGAGACAGTAGGGTTTTGTCTTAGCCATTTTTACTAGTCCTATTGGTTCTGTACAAATCAGCAGAATACCACTTCACTAGCTCCAGGAGCAAAGTAGGACAGCCTAGATAGATACATAGTCATGTCACATGGCCGCATATGTTCTCACGCTATCTGCTATTACTCTGTGCTCATTAGTGGCAGTAACGCATCTAAGCAGGCAGGTACCATGCTCTCCTGGAAAAAGAGAACACCTTTCATACCATCCTACTGTCTGTAGTCTATGACTATCTATTAATTCCCTCTCTCTTTTCCCTCTGGGTCTGGAAGGGTGCCTTAGCCATAGAGGTGGCAATCAAGTAGAAGAGTGAAACTAATTTGAATCTACTACTGAGGGTCATGATATCTTAACACATGGTTCCAGAGTATAACAAAAAAGGACCTCATGGCTAACGGAAAGTATATGAGAACTCTTCCCAAAGAGCCTATTTCAGTCATTCTCCTGGAACACATCATAATCCACCTCTAGGCTCTATATTAATAGCACCAAACTCTCTCCAAATGTCCACATCCACAATCCAGCCACCTCCTGGACATAATCTAAATGATTCACTTGCATCTCTAACACTACATATCAAAAACTAAACCTATCTCCTCCAAACTAATTTCTGTTAATGATATTACCATCTTCCCAATTACTCAGGCTAGAAACCTACAGGCTATCTTCAATTCCTTCCTTGACCTCATCCTCTACCTCCAATTAAGACTTTAAACCACTACTGGCTGGGCACAGTGGCTCACACCTGTAATCCCAGCACTTTGGGAGGCCAAGGTAGGTGGATCACGTGAGGTCAGGAGTTCAAGACCAGCCTGGCCAACATGGCGAAACCCCATGTGTACTAAAGATAAGAAAAATAGCCAGGTGTGGTGGCATGTGCCTGTAATCCCAGCTATTTGGGAAGTAGAAGTGGGAGAATCACTTGAACCTGGGAGGCAGAGGCTTCAGTGAGCCGAGATTGTGCCACTGCACTCTGGCCTGGGAAACAGAGCGAGACGCCATCTCAAAAAAACACAAAAACAACAACAACAACAACAACAACAACACTTTAAACCATTACTGATCCAACCAAATAATGACTAAGACACTGGGGAAAAGAAAGTAAAGAATGGGTAGGAGGAATGATCAGGAGACATTTGATAGGATTTACCTTCCAGAACATACAATAGCAACAGTCTCCTTCATGTCTCCACTTATACCCTCCAGGCCTCCTCCTCCTAATTCTTCCACAGGCTTGTTACTCCCCTGTCCAAAACCTTTGCTTTCTCCTCAATCTTACCTTCAGCTCCTCCTCTTGCACACAAAATGACTTTTTAGTTTTTCCCAGTGTTTCCCTACTTATAAACTTTAGCCAAATTATACCATTCCTTCTTTCCTGAACATGCCCCTTGTTTTCCTTGCTCAAAGTTTTTACTAATGCTCTTCCTATTGTTTGAAAATTCCTTCCCCCTCCATCTGTTAAATCTGTACTCATCCCTCTGGGTTCAGCACCAATGCTGTAACACCTCCTTCATCCTTCAACTGAATGTATTCTTTCCTTCTCAGGACTAAAAAGGGCCTCACATTTTAAAGCTGCTTATTGCATTCTGCCTTATCACACTTTTACTTCCCCCACCTAGGGGGATGGAAAGCTTATATTTCCACATGGTACCTAGCAGTGCCTTTCCTATAGCAATGACTTTAAAATTGCGTGGAACGAATGAATTTCCCCTTTCCTCAATTGCCAGGGAAATTCCCTACATGAAACCTACTTGTATTAGTAACAAGAGAAGCTTTCATCCTAGCACATACCTTGGTTTCTTTCTCTGTGCCCATGCCTATCTCTATTCCTATGTAAATCCCTATGTCTAGCTCTCTCTGTGCCTCTGTCTGTTTTCTCCATCATTGACTTTGTCTTCTCACCTCCTTCCCTCCTCTATCTGGCACTGTCAATCTGTCTTTTAGTGTCTTTTTCAGTCTTTTCCTTGTTGCTGTAGGTATGTCTTTAACTTTATCCCTGCTTTCTCTTCTACTGTCTGTCCATTTCTGTTTCTTGTTTCTCTGACACCTACCCCTTCTAACATGGAGGTCAAACTCTGAAGCTCTTTCAAAGCCCTGCTTAAACTGAAACTGATAAGAGAGTGTTCTTGGGTCTTTTCAAGTTGGAACTCAAAGAGAAGCCTTGAAAATCAACATTCCAGGGACAGGTGATGTCCAGTGCCTATGGTAGAGGGTATGAATTGGAATGTTCAGACACTCTGAATGCTTAATTTACATGATAAGGCATAAAGATATAAAAGGTGAC
Organism: Homo sapiens; assembly: GCF_000001405.40. Classification (NCBI taxonomy): domain Eukaryota; kingdom Metazoa; phylum Chordata; class Mammalia; order Primates; family Hominidae; genus Homo; species Homo sapiens. The sequence goes on from NC_000023.11 coordinate 96,648,767, forward strand.
CCACAACAGCTAATCAAAATAACAATGCTAATTTCTCTAACTCTGGCTTCAAAGATAAGGACGTGTTAGAGAGCAAACAAAAAATTCTTGAAAATCATTGGCCACTTTGGCACCTTGCCCAGGAGACTCTAAGGATTCATATATAAGTATAAATGAATTGAAACTAAACACAATAATAATGCCAACAATTTTTTCGGTGCTCACTGTGAGACAAATGTCTTACATATATTAACTTATTTAATCCCAATGCAACATTTTGCGGGAGGAAAACTGAGGTTGAGGGTGGCCAATTAATTCCATGGTCAGCCATCTCCAAGAGGGGGAGCTAGGATTTGAATTCAGGTGTAGTCTGATTCCAAACCCTGGGCCCCTAATCACTCCAGCACTTCTCAAACTTGTCAGCTCTTAGGAATCCTTTGAATGCTCATTAAACCTTCAGAATCCTGAGCCCTGTCCTAAACCTACAAAATCCCAGGGGAAAGATCTGGGAGTCCAGTGTTGAGCAAATGACCCAAGTGATTCTATTTGTCAGAACTATTTGAGAACCAGTGCACTAAATAGCTTCCTTAACCACGATGTAAAGGAGGGGAGAGTTAGATTTTCCTGGTAGTTACTAGCATTACTTGACCCAGCTTCTTCCATTCAGTCCTTTGCTAGCCTCTCCTTTCCAGAGAATCAAAATCAGCCTTAGATTCTTTGTTTAATCTATAGTTTCAATGTACAATGGGAACATTTGAATTTTGAACTGAATTTCAACCAAGTCAGCAAAGAGATAGCACTTTATTGGTGGAATGGAAGTGAATAGAAGAGTATGCTGTGTTCATGTGGGGACTGGGGGAACGAAGGGGTTGGTATTTTCCTGATACTCTTAGAAATCATGCTATGTGGATGATTGACTATTTCATCCTTTTAAAGCTCAGCCTTTATTATAAAAAGAATTTTTCTTTTAATGAATAGAATAGATCTGGTACTAATAATGGTAAACACCAAGAAAATATACATGCTGAAAATACAAAATGACAATGACTTACATATAAAGTATTGACTGTCAGACCCTATACTAAGTGTTTTGCATGAATCTTCTCCTTGAATATCACAACATACTTGTGAAGTAGTTACTTTAATGATCTGTATTTTACAAATGATGAGACTGAGGTTCATAGAAATTCCTTGTCCAAGATCTAAGAGTCCGACCCAGGTTTGTTTGACGTATTACGAGAGAAACTTGAAATACATTAAATTTAACAGAATTTAATTGAGCAAATAATGATTCATGAATCAGGCAGTCACTCTCCCCACCCCTTGCCCCCTTCTCTGCAACCGGAATAGGTTCAGAGAGACTCTAGCTCACTGCCACATGGTTGGGGGTAATTTATGCACAAAAGAAGTAAAGTGATGTACAGAAAATGAAAGTGAGATACAGAAACAGCTGTATTGGTAAGAGTGTCTTATTACACTGCACAGAGTTTGAACAGTTGGCCGCCTTTGATTGGCTGAACCTTGGAGATTGGTACAAGAATAGGTTATACATCCAGTTAGGTTACAGTTCACTATGTATGGAGAAAACTTTAGGCTGAACTTAAAAGGAGGAAGCTTTAGGCTAAACTTAACAGACTGCAGTTTGTGCCCTTAACACTTTGCTGCACACCCTCCACTTCAAATAGGTCAAAGAAAGATTTGGGTAAATTCAGTGATTATAGATTCCTAATGAGATATGAAAAGATGTTTTGGGATATTGAGGGTGTTTTGAAAAATATTTTGAGGTTAATTACTTTGAACAGAAGCACAGGGTTCTCCCACAAAGATTTATTTTAGTATCACTTCTAAAGAGATGCTGATATGATCCAGTATGGCATTTCTTGTGTTTTTATCTTCTTTGGTTTATTAGCAACCAATTTCTTTAGTAAGTGAGGGTACCATTTGGATCACCTATTTTGAATTCACAATGAATTCAGAACCCTTTTCTGAATCCTCAGAACCCAAAATCTCCCAAATTTATAGATGTTAAGATATATACATATATGTGTATGTATATATATATGTATATATATGTGTGTGTATGTGTATAAATATATATATATATTCCTTTAATCAAAGATTCGCCCGAAGTAGAGTGATGAAACAAGAGGAATATGAAGACATTCTTTTCCTTTCTTGAATTTTCTCATTTCTGAAATTTTTCTCCCTATTATGCAAAGAGAGATCATAGTGATGTGGAATATGATAAAAATGCCTCTCACCTAGAAGTACAAGGTATTTGTTTTGGTTTTGTTTCTTTGTTTGAGACAGGGTCTCGCTCTGTTGCCCAAGTTGAAGTGGAGTGACACCATCACTGTTCACTACAGCCTTGGCCTCCTGGGCTCAGGGGATCGCCCTGCCTCAGCCTCCTGAGCAGCTAGAAAAACAGACACACTCCACCACGTCAAGCTAATTTTCTTTTTATTTTTTGTAGATACGGGGTTTTGCCACGTTGCCAGGCTGGTCTCAAAATCATGGGCTCAAGGAACCTCCCACTTCTGATTCCCAAAGCAATGGGATTACAGGCATGAGCCACCAGACCCAGCCTATGGTGATATATACATATATTGAGCCCAGGACATACATATATATATATATTATGTTGACAATTCTTTTCAGCTCATAAAGCTCTACCAAAATTATATATTCTTAAATAAAAGCCTAAGAGCTTTCAAATGTCTGAGTACTTATAATTTCCAAATTTAGAATTCTTTTCCTCTACCCAAACTGTACAAATAAAGATAAATCAGAATTTTGAAAAAACTTCAGCTGTCAAAAAACAAGTGATTATCAAAATTGCTAAACTACTGCATTAATCATTAATTGATTTATACAACTTAGTGACTTTACAAGGGAAGGTGAACATTTTTTAACACATGCCTAATGTTGACTAATCAATCCTCCTTCTGCAAAATTGCTTTTAAAAAATCAACATACAAATTTAATCATTATAAATTCAATCAGTAAAGAATGGCTGCCCCTCTTTCCCACATTTTGATTCCCAGGATACAATCACTTTCAAATATTTTGGGTTTTAGTTCTTCTGTTAACTCACATGTTAAGCTAATATCACTTTTTCTGTAACAAAACCCATATACCTATCATCCAACTACACAAATTATGAACATTTTGTCAATCATGCTTCATCTAGACACACCACCCTCCCATTTTTTCCTGAAGCTCCTTTATGTTTCTGTTTTTTTCTCCCTTCTAACCAGTCTCTGGAGCAGAGGCCAAGTATAACTTCTAGCTGTACTGTCCAGCCCCTTTTTCCTTGCTCACTGTCTAGAAACTCTACCCTCCTGTGTTGTTTGCAGAGGAAACAATTTCGATTGCTGGGAACATAGTAGAGAAAGTAGAGTCTATAACATTAAGCTACGTTTTTTCATAAACAGCATAGATTAGTTTTATGTTTTTGGTACGATTGACATACAATGAACTGCACACATTTAAACTGTACATTTTGAAAATTCTAAAATAAATACATACCTGTGAAACCACCACAATTGAAGTATTGAATACATTCATTACTGCAAAATGTTTTCTCATTGTCATCCTGCCTCTCCCCATACCCTGTCCCCAATCTGGAAACCACTGATCTTCTTTCTGACACTATAGACTAATTTGCATTTTCTATAGTTTTAAATAAATGGAATCAGGCAATAAGTACTCTTTTAGTCTGGATTCTTTCACTCATAATTATTTTGAGATTCATTCATATTGTTGTGTGGATCCATAGTTCTTTCATTTTGGTTTCTGAGTAGTTGTCCACTGAATGGATATACAACCATGTGTTTATTCATTCACTTCTTTATGTATATTTGAGTTGTTTTCAGTTTTGTCTATTACAAATAAATCTGTTATGGACATTCATATACAAGTTTTTGTATGAACACATGCTTTCTTTTCTCTTGGGTAAACACATAGAGATGGAATGGCTGGATTGTATGGTAGGTGTATGCATAACTTTTGAAGAAACTACCAAACTGTTTTTCTGATGTGGTTGTACCTTTTTTTTATCGTTTTTCTTTTTTTCTTTCTTTTTTTTTTTTTTTTTGAGACAGAGTTTCACTCTTGTTGCCCAGGCTGGAGTGCAATGGTGTGATCTCGGCTCAGGCATGGCAACATTTGCCTCCCAGGTTCAGGCGATTCTCCTCCCTCTGCCTCCCAAGTAGCTGGGATTACAGGCATGCGCCACCACGCCCAGCTAATTTTTGTTTTTTTAGTAGAGACATGGTTTCTCCATGTTGGTCAAGCTGGTCTCAAACTCCCGACCTCAGGTGATCTGCCCACCTCAGCCTCCTAAGATTGTACCATTTTATGTTAATGTCAGCCGTGCATGAGAGTTTCAATTTCTCCATACCTTGCCACACTTGGTATGATCAATCTTTTTAATTTTAGTCATCCTAACAGGCATGTAATAGTATCTCATTGTAGTTTATTTTTTTATTGCCCAGACAACTAATCTTATTAAGCAGTTTTTCATGTGCTTACTAGTCATCCTAGTCATCCTTTTATCTTCTTTGGTAAAGTGTTTGTTCAAATACTTTTTCTATTGTCTCAGTGGTCTTAAGACCACCCTCAAGTTCGATAACTCACTAGGACTCACAAAACTCAATAGCAGATTTTATTCACGACTAACATTTGTTAAAGAAAAAGCGTACAGTGCGAGGACAAGGGTAACAAAATATCTGTTGGGTGGAGTCCAGAGTGGTCAGGCACAGGTTACCAATACTTTCCCACATGGGGTCTCAGAGGATATACTTTATCTCTGCTGTGAACTGTATGGGACAAACATATGTGAAGATTCTATATGAGGAAGGCCATTTAAGTCTCAGGATCTGAAGTTTCTATGGAAAGGTGGTCACACAGCACATTCTGCTCTGCAGCCAGCTGTAGCAGTCAAAACTCAAGACCCCAACATGAAATCAGGTTCACATCATCAATCTTGATTTAGTGCAAAGCAAGATGGTATAATATAGTACATTGCTCTAGGTGCATACAATAAAATCCTCAATCGTTAACATGAAGAATCAGCCAAATACCACATTCCCAGAGGTTGTCCAGTGATCAATAACAGCTCCAAGTTCTCTTGGAGGTGTGTGAGAACTGAGCAATGAGACCTACTGGGTCTCGTTAACTCTTTCCTCACACTCATTGTGTTATTGGACTGTGTGTTTACTTATTATTGAGTTTCAGGAGTTCTTTATATATTCTGGATACAATCCTTAAGGACTGTATGATTTCCAAGGATATTCTTCAGTCCTTGATTTGTCCTTTTATATTCTTAAGTGTCTTTTGTATAACAGAAGTTTTAAAAATTCCGATGAAGTCCAATTTAGTTTTTTCTTTTATGCATTGTGCTTTTGGTAATCATATCTAATAATTTTTTGCCAAATCCTTTTAGGTTTTTTTTTTTCTTTGAGGCAGAGTCTCACTCTGTTGCCCAGGCTGGAGTGCAGCGGTGCAATCTCGGCTCACTGCAACCTCAGCCTCCCGGGTTCAAGCGATTCTCCTGCCTCAGCCTCCCGAGTAGCTGGGATTACAGGCATGCACCACCATGCATGGCTAATTTTTGTATTTCTAGTAGAGACGGGGTTTCACTATGTTGGCTAGGCTGGTCTCGAACTCTTGACCTCAAGTGATCCGCCCACCTCAGCCTCCCAAAGTGCTGGGATTACAGGCATGAGCCACTGCACCCGGCCATAGTTTTAGGTTTTTACATTTAGGTCTGTGGTATTTTATGAGTAAAATTTTGTATATGGTTTGACTTGGAGTATTTTAAAGCAAATCTCTGATACCATATCTTTTCACTGAAGTCTTCAGTATATGTCTCAAGCACATGAGAAGCATTTTGAAAACATCATTCTAATACCTTTTTCATAATTATTTACTAGTATTCAGTACCCAACCTGTGTTTGAATTTCCCCAACGGCTCACAAATTATCTTTTCTTTCTTTGAATTAGGATGCAAACAAAATCACCATATTGCATTCTGTTTATTTGTTTCTTAAATCTCTAATCTATAACAGTGCCCTTCCCCCATATTCCCATGTCATTTAAAAAAATTAACTAGGTCTTTTGTGCCATGAAATTTCCCACATTCTAGATTTGGCTAATTTTATCTTTGTGGTGTTTTCAACATGTTTCTCTACTCTGAATTTTCAGTAATGCTTTTTTTTTTTATCTATTGATTTTGGATATTATATATTTACGCTGTGCTGTGAAAGATGAGGATCTGGCTAACAGACTACTCTTCCCTCTCAATAATTATCCATCCAATATCTTCAGAAGTTGAATAAAAATAAAAGATTTTTGAAGACTCAATATGTATACAAGTAAGATCTCACTTCATGTGGTTGATTGATAGGTTCTTGGAACTTTTGACTCTAAGGGAGATGGCATATAACAAAACCAATTTTGCCATAAGATAACTTACATAAACAAGAGTTAACTTCCTATGTCATGTTTCTGGTCACAAAAACAGCATCAGGATTGCAAAAAGAGAGGGCAAGATGGCAGAGCAGATGCAGACAAATGGAATAGCTCTCACAGAGGGACTGAGACAGCTGGCAACAGCTCTTCAGAGAAAAGACACCTAGAGTGGATGGAGGGAAGACACAGAAGCTGGGCTTAAGGAGGAGAAAGCTGGGAACCCTGCACAGGCTATGGTACACTGGGACTCATTTTTGAACCACAACAGCTCCCGGGAACAGGTGAGTTGAACTGGCAAGGAGCAACCGACTCCTTCCATGAGCCTCTGGAACCATCACAGGAGGGAACTCCTCCACCACGGCAGACACTTGACGTGGCAGAGAATGCTGCTTAGAGAAGTGGTGGGGCAGCAAGCCAGCTAATGTGGAGCCCAGAGGATTTGGGGCAGGAGTGTCTACAGTGGAGCACAGCCAAGGACGGCCATCACCCTAGGTTTAATTTGCCCCCATAAGAGACTTTAGCTCTAGGGGAATGGCCTGACCTGATCTCTGCAGGGCAGTCTTGCACAGCAGATAGGCCTGGTCTGACTTGAGTACCCTTTGGTCTGCTGGCCTCTACTGGGGCCCCAACCTGGCACACCTGCTTGCAGGGCAGTCTCGGGTGCCCTGGGGGCTCACAACATAGCTTCTGCGCTGCGGGAGGACGTGTCTGACTGGTGGAGAGCTCCAGCGAGGTGGCCCCTATAGCCACGCACCAGACCACACACTCTCTCCCCATATTGCAGCTTTCCCCAGGCCCACAGCAACTCCCCACACCACTTTGCTGGCTGCACGGTCAGGTTTGGCTTTACTTGCCCCAGAAGCACGCAGGAGTGCATTCCGCCCCCTCACTCCCGCCACTGACTGCCATTGCAGACCGACCCTTGACAGGCACCGAGCCAACAAGCCCTGCGCCGGCCAGCGCCTCACCCTTGCACTAACACTGTGCAGAGAATAGTGGATCCTCCCGCACCCTGAGCGATCACTCCTGCTTGCTGGGCACAGAGAAGGCACCCAGACCTGTGATGGCCAGTACTCTGCCCCCAAGCCAACACCACCTCCAGTGCAACCCCACATACAGTATCCAGAAGGGCCTCACCCCAACCCCTCACCAGCTGTGTTGCCACCGCCACTGTGGTGAATGCCTGCAGGGAGGCAGACACTCCTGTATCCAGCAGCACTCAGCTGCAGCTGCCGCACGTCGGCCCCACCCAGCGCAGTGGACTCCAAACCTCAAGGAGCCAGAGAACAAAGTCAGAGCCCAGTACAAGTCCTCCAGAGTTACAGCACATAGTCCGGGAGTTGGGAGCTAAGCATTGGACCCCTAAAATCTCCCAGAAACGAAGTCAGTCTGCTGAATCCACCTTATACCACAATCAAACCCACAAGGTCATCACATAGGATAAAAGAAAGAAAAAAAACCCATTCAAAGGTCAGCAAGCTCAAAGATTGAAAGTAGATAAGCCCACAAAGATGAGAAAGAATCAGCGCAAGAACACTGAAAACTCAGAAAGCCAGAGTACCTTCTTTCCTCCAAAAGACTGCATCTCCTCTACAGCAAGGGTTCGGAACTGGGCTGAGACAGCTGAAATGACAGAAATAGAATTCAGAATATGGATATGAAATGATCATTGAGCTACAGGAGTGCATTGAAACCCAATGCAAGGAAGCTAAGAATCATGATAAAACAATGCAGGAGCTGACAGACAAAATAGCCAGTATAGAAAAAAAAAACAAAAACAAACCTGACCTGATAGATCTGAAAAGCATAGTACAAGAATTTCATAATGCAATCACGAGTATTAATAGAAGAATAGACCAAGCAGAGGAAAGAATCTCAGAGCTTGAAGACTGACTTTCTGAAATAAGATAGGCAGAAAAGAATAGAGAAAAAAGAAATGAAAAGGAATGAACAAAACCTCCAAGAAATATGGGATTATGTAAAGAGACTGAATCTATGACTGATGGTGTTCCTGAAAGAGATGGGGAGAATGGAATCAATTTGGAAAACATATTTCAGGATATTATCCATGAGAACTTCCCCAACCTGACTAGAGAGGCCAACATTAAAATTCTGAAAATGCAGAGAACCCTAGTAAGATACTTCACAAGAAGATCATCCCTAAGACACATAATCATCAGATTCTCCAAGGTTAAAATGAAAAAACAAAATGTTAAAGGCAGCTAGAGAGAAAGGTCAGGTCACTTACAAAGGGAAGCCCAACAGACTAACAGCGGACATCTCAGCTGAAACCCTACAATACAGAAGAGATTGGGGGCCAATATTTAACATTCTTAAAAAAAAGAAATTCCAACCAAGAATTTCATGTGCAGCCAAAGTAAGCTTCATAAGCAAAGGAGAAATAAAATCCTTTTCAGAGAAGCAAATGCTGAGAGAATGTTTCCATCAGACATGTTTTACAAGAGTTTTTGAAGGAAGCACAGAATATGGAAAGGAAAGACCATTACCAGCCAATACAAAAACACACTGAAGTACACAGACCAGTGACACTATAAAGCAACCACATAAACAAGTCTGCAAAATAACCAGCTAGCATCATGATGACAGATCAAATTCACACATAGCAATACTAACCTTAAATGTAAATGGGCTAAATGCCCCAATTAAAACACACAGAGTGGCAAGGTGGATAAAGAACCAAGACCCATTGGCATGCTGTCTTCAAAACACCTATCTCGCATGCAATGACACACATAGGCTCAAAATAAATGGATGAAGAAAAATCGACCAAGCAAATGGAAAAAAGAAAAAAGCAGGGGTTGCAATCCTAGTTTCTGACAAAACAGACTTTAATCCAAGGAAGATAAAAAAAGACAAAGAAGGGTATTACATAATGGTAAAGGGTTCAATTCCACATGAAGATTTAACTATCCTAAATATATATACACCCAACACAGGAGCACCCACATTGATAAAGCAAGTTATGAGAGACCTTCAAAGAGACTTAGATGCCCACACAATAATAGTGGGAGATGTTAACATCCCACTGACAATGTTAGACAGATCATCGAGACAGAAAATTAACTAAGATATTCAGGATCTGAAATCAGCACTAGAGCAAATTGACCTGATAGATATCTACAGAACTCTCCACCCAAAAGCAACAGAATATACATTCTTCTCATTGCCACATGGCACATACAATAAAATTGATCACATAATTGGAAGTAAAATACTCCTCAGCAAATGCAAAAGAACTGAAATCACAACAAACAATCTCTTGGACCACAGCACAATTAAATTAGAAATCAAGACTAAGAAATTCACTCAAAACCATATAATTACATGGAAATTGAGTAACTTGCTCCTGAATGACTTTTGGGTAAATAATGAAAATAAGGGAGAAATCAAGAAGTTCTTTGAAACTAAGGAGAACAAAGATACAATGTACCAGAATCTGTGGGACACAGCTAAGACAGTGTTAAGAGGGAAATTTATATCATTACAGGCCTACATCTAAAAGTAAGAAAGATCAATTAACAATCTGACATCACAACTAAAAGAACTAGAGAACCAAGAGCAAACAAATCCCAAAGCTAGCAGAAGACAAGAAATAACCAAAATCAGAGCTGAACTGAAGGAGACTGAGACAAGAAAAAACATTCAAAAGACCAAAAATTCAGGATCTGGCTTTTTGAAAAATTTAATGAAATAGATAGACCACTAGCTAGACTAATAAAGAAGAAAGGAAGGAAGATTAAAATAAACACAATCAGAGATGACAAGGGGATATTACCACTGATCCCACAGAAATACAAACAAACATCAGAGAATATTATGAACACCTCTATGCACATAAACTAGAAAATCTAAAAGAAATAGATAAATTCCTGGACGCATACACCATCCTAAGACTGAACCAGGAAGAAATTGAATCCCTGAACAGACCTGTACTGAGTTCTGTAATTGAGGCAGTAATAAATAGCCTACCATCCAACCAAAGCCCAGGACCAGAAGGATTCACAGCTGAAGTCTACCAGATGTACAAAGAATAGCTGGTACCATTCCTACTGAAACTATTCCAAAAATTGAGAAGGAGGGACTTCTCCTTAACTCATTCTATGAAGCCAGCATCATCCTGATGCCAAAACCTGGTGAAGATACAAGAAAAAAAAAAAAAAAGAAAGAAAGAGAGAGAAAACTTCAGGCCAATATCCATGATGAACATCGATGCCAAAAATCCTCAATAAAATACTGGCAAACCAAATCCCACAGCATATCAAAAAGTTTATCCACCATGATCAGCTGGGCTTTATCACTGGGATGGTTGGTTCAACATATGCAAATTAATATATGTGATTCATCACATGAACAGAACTGAAGTAAAAAACCACATGATTATCTCAATAGATGCAAAAAAGGCTTTCAATAAAATTCAACATCCCTTTATGTTAAAAAGTCTCAATGCACTAGGCACTGAAGGAACATACCTCAAAATAATAAGAGCCATGTATAACAAACCCACAACCAGCGTCATACTGAATGGGCAAAAGCTGAAAGCATTTTCTTGACAACTGGCACAACACAAGGATGCCCTCTCTCACTGCTCCTATTCAACACAGTATGAAAGTCCTGGCCAGGGCAATCAGGCAAGAGAAAGAAATAAAGGGCATCCATATAGGAAGAGAGAAAGTCAAACTATCCCCATTTGTAGATAACATGATCCTGTATCTAGAAAACCCCATAGTAACAACCCAAATGCTTCTTAAGCTGATGAGCAATTTCAGCAAAATCTCAGGATACAAAAATCAATGTGCAAAAATCGCTAGCATTCCTGTACATCAACAATAGTCAAGCCGAGAGCCAAATCAAGAATGTAATACCATTCACAATTGCCACAAAAATAAAATATTTAGGAATACAGCTAACTAGAGAGGTGAAAGATCTCTACAAGGAGAACTACAAACCCTAGAAACCACTGCTCAAAGAAACCAGAGAGGACACAAGCAAATGGAAAATCATTCCATGCTCGTGGATAGGAAGAATCAATATCGTTAAAATGGCCCTACTGCCCAAAGCAATTTATAGATTCAGTGCTATTCCTATTAAACTACCATCGAAATTATTCGTAGAACTCAAAAATTATATTTTAAAATTCATATGGGGCTGGGTGCAGTGGCTCACGCCTGTAATTCCAGCACTTTGGGAGGCCAAGGCAGGCGGATCACCTGAGGTCAGGAGTTCGAGACCAGCCTGGCCAACATAATGAGACCCTGTCTCTACTAAAAATACAAAAATTGGCTGGGCATGGTGACATGTGCCTGCAATCCCAGCTACTCGGGAGGCTGAGGCAGGAGAACCGTGTGAACCGGGGAGGCAGAGGTTGCAGTGACCAAAGATCATGGATCTGTCTCAAAAAAATAAAAAATAAAATAAAATAAAATTCATAAGGAACCCAAAAAGAGCCCAAATAGCCAAGGCAATCCTAAACAAATAGAGCAAAGCTGGAAGCATCATGCTACCTGACTTCAAACTATACAACAGGGCTACAGTAACCAAAACAGCATGGTACTGGTACAAAAACAGACACATAAACCAATGGAACAGAATAGAGAACACAGAAATAAGGCCACACAACTACAGCTATCTGATCTTTGACAAACTTGACGAAAACAAGCAATGGGGAAAGAATTCCTTATTTAATAAATGGTGCTGAGAGAACTGGCTAGCCATATGCAAAAGATTGAAACTGGATCCCTTCCTTAAACCATACACAAAAGTTAACTCAAGATGGATTAAAGACTTAAACGTAAAACCCAAAACTATAAAAGCCCTGGAAAACAACCTAGGCAATACCATTCAGGACATGGGCACGGGCAAAGATTTCACGACAAAGACACCAAAAGCAATTGCAACAAAAGCAAAAATCGACAAATGGAATCTAATTAAATTAAGGAGCTTCTGCATAGCAAAAGAAACTATCAACAGAGTAAAGAGACAAACTACAGAATGGGAGAAAATTTTTGCAAACTATGCAACTGACAAAGGTTTAATATCCAGCACCCATAAGGAACTTAAGCAAATTTACAAGAAAAAGCAAACAAGCCCATTAAAAAGTGGGCAAAGGACATGAATAGACACTTTTTTTTTTTTGAGATGAAGTCTTGCTCTGTTGCCCAGGCTGGAGTGCAGTGGCGGAATCTCGGCTCATTGCAACCTCTGCCTCCCGGGTTCAAGCGATTCTTTTGCCTCAGCCTACTGAGTACTTGGTATTACAGGCACGCACCAACATGCCCTGCTAATTTTTGTATTTTTAGTAGAGACGGGGTTTCACCATGTTGGTCAGGCTGGTTTCGAACTTCTGACCTCGTGATCTGCCCACCTCGGCCTCCCAAAGTGCTGGGATTACAGGTGTGAACCACCATGCCCTGCTGAATAGACACTTTTCAAAAGAAGACATACATGCAGCCAACAATCATATGAAAAATGCTCAATATAACTGATCTTTAGAGAAATGCAAATCAAAACCACAATGTGATACCATGTCACACCAGCCAGAATGACTATTATTAAAAAGTAAAAAAAAAAAAAAAAGATGCTGGACAAAAACAGAATGCTTATACACTGTTGGCAGGAGTGTAAATTAATTCAACCATTGTGGAAGACAGTGTGGCGAAGGACCTAAGGACAGAAATACCACCTGACCCAGCAATCCCGTTACTGGGTATATATCCGAAGGAATATAAAGCATTCTATTAAAAAACACATGCACATGTATTTTCATTGCAGCACTATTCAAAATAGCAAGATATGGAATCAACCCAAATGCTCATCAATGATAGACTGGATAAAGAAAATGTGGTACATATATGCCGTGTAATACTATGCAGCCATAAAAAAGAATGAGACCATGTCCTTTGCAGGAACATGAATGGAGCTGGAGGACATTATCCTTAGCAAACTAACACAAGAACAGAAAACCAAATACCACATGTTCTCATTTATAAGCGGGAGCTAAATGATGAGAGCTTATGGACACATAGAAGGGAACAAAACACACTGGAGTCTATCAAAGGGTAGGTGGTGAAAGGAGGGAGAGGAGCAGGAAAAATAACTAATGGGTACTAGGCTTAGTATCTGGGTGATGAAATAATCTGTACAACAAACCCCGTGGCACAAGTTTACCTATGTAACAAACCTGCACATGTACCCCTGAACTTAAAATAGAAGTTAAAAAAATTACCAAATTTCTAAATAAAGACCCAAAATACTTCTTATAGTAAACATTGAAATAAATGTGAGCTACATACACATTTGAAAAAGAATAATGAGAACAAGATAATTACTCAGTTTTTGTTGAATCAGTGAGTGACAATGGTTGTAGTAGTGGGTTAATCAAGGAATAATGATTACAAAGCGAAAATTGGGGTGCACATTTGTAGTCTCAGTTATTTGGGAAGCTGAGGAGGGAGGATCACTTGAGCCTGGGAGGTCAAGGCTGCAGTGAGCTGTGATTGCACCACTGCACTCCAGCCTGTGCTACAGAGTGAGACTCTGTCTCAAAAAAAAAAAGGCAAAAATTGTCAGAAGCACCTGCTACTACCACACAGTTCAAAACAAAGAATAACAAATACAGTAGGCTCACTGAACACTTTCATAGTGCGTCATTTATTGTTGTGTATTTGTATGATTGTATTGTATAACTTACACATTTTTATTTTACAATCATTTGTATTCATTAATTCATTTTGCAACCCGCCTATTTCAGTTCAATGTTTCTGGTGGCCAGAGCTTCTCCCAGCAGCTCAGGGTGCAAAGTGGGAAGTGGACCCAGATAGGTCACCATCCCATCGCAGGGCACACTCACACACACTTCTCCACTCACACACACTGGTACAATTGAGACACACCAGTTAATCTAACATGCATATCTTTGCGATGTATCAGGAAACCAGAATACCCAGAGAAAGCCCACACAGACATGGGGAGAACATGCAAAGCCCACACAGACAGTGGCCCCAGCAAGGAAGCAATTTTTTTTTCTTATCAATGTTATAACAAGACAACATTGAGGCCGAGCATGGTGGCTCACGCCTGTAATCCCAGCACTTTGGGAGGCCGAGGCAGGCGGATCACGGGGTCAGGAGTTTGAGACCAGCCTGACCAACATGGTGAAACCCCATCTCTACTAAAAATACAAAAATTAGCCAGGCGTGGTGGTATGCGCCTATAATCCCAGCTACTCAGGAGGCTGAGCCAGGAGAATGGCTTGAACCCGGGAGGTGGATGTTGCAGTGAGACGAGATCATGCCACTGCACTCCAGCCTGGGCAATAGTGAGACTCCGTCAAAAACAAAAGACGACATTGAATAAAATGACCTTATTGAATGACTTGCTGTAATTAATTTGCCTTTTATCCAGTAAATCATTATTTAGTCTTGGCTGTACCATAAACTACCATATACAATAAACTACCTTTTATCGAAGGCAATAGCAGGGAGAGAGTAGAGAGTAGAGATTTTAGAAATATCTCAGAAGAATAACTGACAGCATTAAATAAATGAAGGAAGAGAGGACTGTAGAATGACTGCTTTGTTTCTGGCTTCAACAACAGTACCTAGTAGTACCATTTACCTAGATAGAGAATAGAAGAGGAGCAGATTTGGGGTAAGGGTTGGGAGCACAGGAAGTAAATAAGTTCAGTTTTGGACATTGACACATGGAATACCTATAAACAATCAAGTGGAAATGTCCAGTAGACCACTGGAAGTATGAATCTGGAGTTCAGGAACAATATGTGCTCTAGAGGTATAGATCTGATAATCATCACTTGTATGTGTTTTAGTTGAAGTCACGGGCATGGATGATATTGCACAGGGAATATGGAAAGAATGAAGAAAGAGGAAGACAACAAAACCTTGAGGAAGACTATGATTTAAGGAGACAGAAGCAAAAAATTAGTATAGTGTATGAGATGATCTGGGATAAATACATGAATGCAATACCCTAGTAACTCTAAATGAAATTGATCAATTTGGTGGGGAGAAGTTATCACAAAAAGTTTCACTTTGAGCCAGGTGTGGTGGCTTATGCCTATAACCTCAGCAATTTGGGGAGGCCTAGGCAGGATTGCTTGAGCCCAGGAGTGCAGACCAGCCTGAGCAATGTAACAAGACTCTGTCTCCTAAAAAAAAAAAAAAAAAGTTTTACTTTGATGTGTGTGTGTGTGTGTGTGTGTGTGTGTGTGTGTGTTTGTGTGTGTATAGGACTGCTTGAGTCCAGGAGTGGAGACCAGCCTGGGCAACATAACAAGACTGTCTCTTAAAAAAAAAAAAAAAAGGTTTTACTTTGGGGTGTGTGTGTGTGTGTGTGTGTGTGTGTATATATATACTTTTATATATACATATATACACATTGATAAAATATATACATTTTATATATATATATATATATATACTTTTTTTTTGAGACAGAGTCTCACTCTGCCACCCAGGCTGGAGTGCAATGGCGCAGTCTAGGCTCACTGCAACCTCTGCCTCTTGGGTTCAAGCGATTCTCCTGCCTCAGCCTCCCAAGTAGCTGGGACTACAGGCATGTGCCACCATGCCTGGCTAATTTTTGTATTTTTAGTAGAGACAGGGTTTCACCGTGTTGACCAGGCTTGTCTCGAACTCCTGACCTCAAGTGATCTGCCCATCTCAGCCACCCAAAGTGCTGGGATTACAGGCATGAGCCACCGTGCCTGGCCTGGGTATGTATATTTAAGGATGTATGAGAGTGTGGCCGATGGGATGAGGAGCAGAAAAAAACACAAACTTACCTGTCTCACAAGGAAAACAGAGGAATTCAAATGAGAACTCTCTCAACCATCCCCCACCCCATAAACTCAAATCCAGAACAGTGTTCCTTCAAGTGTGGTCCACAATTTCCTTCCATGAGAATCACGTAGGGGCTTTACCAAAATGAATATCATGTACTAAATGTTGCACAAACTAATTTACAGTGTGACCATGGAATGTGCAGCCAAAGTGGAGCAGAGATAAAAGGCTTTGGAGTTGATGAGGTCAAAGAATTGTGACCTTCAAGTTGCCAGTTTTAGCAAGAAGGCATAGTGGGAAAACTGGGGGGACAAGGAGGTTTTGCAAGAGGATAATTGACTAAATCTTTTTTCCCTTATTAAAAAGGAAAAATGAACCAGATAAGACTAAAAGTGGAGTAGTTTTCTCCTGAGCTGGTCCCAAGTCAACCAGACAGCACAAATAGTCACCTTGATGAAAAAGAAATAAACGATTTGATTGACTGGATGTGGTCATTAAAAAAACACCAAAAACAACAATGCACCCATGAATTACCCTGATTTTGTTTTCACTTTTCAGCTGGTTATCTGGCACTTTACACTCAGCCCTTCCTAATCAACTGATGGTACCTGAAGTCACTGAATGCTTATAGTCTTTTATTTGATCGATAATTAATTGATAAACGTTGTCCATGTTTCCCATAGTTTTTACTCTAAAAGGAGGAAACCTCGAGTCAAGTTACTGTCTACTCTTAAGTCAGAAAACGTTTCTATGTCCTCATAAAAAAGATAGATGACTATAAGTTTGGAAATACATCATTTGAAGTACATCCCAAACTAGATTTCTCTTGGGAATTAATTCGCCATATCTTTATGGAATCCCAGGCCTGTACTCTCAAACTAAATTTGATAGCTTAAGAATATTCTGCTATGGCTAGAAATGTTCTTCTTCTGATAAATTTGCTAATATGTTTCATTATTATGTTAAAGGAGCTATTTACATGGCTCTCTAGAGTTGGATATATCTTATTAGGAATAAACTATTGGACTTCAAAAGATTGTAACATATTATTTTGTTTTCAGAAAAACTGTTAATTTTCCTAGTCATTCCTTGTAACTTTTCCAGAAAAAAAAAAAACATAAAAAACAATTGCCTCCTTTGAAAAGAATATGATACCAGACCCTTCTTGTGATAAAATTAAGTCAATTCTAATATCAAAATTAAATATGAAGAATAATAAGATTTCTTAAAAGAACTAGCTCTTCTTTTTGTGTATTAATTAATTCTGTTGATCATTCATAGTTTTTTGTTTGTTTGAGACGGAGTCTCTCACTGTCGCCTGGGCTGGAGTGCAGTGGTGCGATCTCGGCTCACTACAACCTCTGCCTCCTGGATTCACGCCATTCTCCTGCCTCAGCCTCCTGAGTAGCTGGGATTAGAAGCATCCGCCACCACTCCTGGCTAATTTTTTGTATTTTTAGTAGAGACAGGGTTTCACTGTGTTGGCCAGGATGGTCTCGAACACCTGACCTCGTGATCCACCCCCGTCGGCCTCCCAAAGTGCTGGGATTACAGGCATGAGCCACCACACCTGGCCTTATCATTCATAGTTTTTTAAGATAAGGTTCCTGTCCCACATATTGTGCTAGTAAATTAATAATGCTGAAGAAGCAAATTATAGTCGCTAGTTAAAGAGAAATTAGAAGATGCTTTAGAAAGTATTAGAGGTGACTGGGAGCGATGGCTCACACCTGTAATCCTAGCACTTTGGGAGGCTGAGGTGGGCAGATCACAAGGTCAGGAGTTGGAGAACAGCCTGGCCAACATAGTGAAATCCCGTCTCTACTAAAAATACAAAAATTAGCTGGATGTGGTCGCACATGCCTGTAGTCCCAGCTACTCGGGAGGCTGAGGCAGGAGAATTGCTTGAACCCACGAGGCGGAGGTTGCAGTGAGCCTAGACCACACCATTGCACTCCAGCCTGGCGACAGAGCGAGACTCCATTTCAAAAAAAAAAAAAAAGTATTAGAGATAAGATGGGGAAATAAACTGTCATTTTTACTGTGATTCTACTCAGGAGCTGAGAGATTATGATGTTAAAAGGGGTGTGGGGGCAGTGTGGTGGCTCATACCTATAATCCTAGCACTTTGGGAGGCTGAGGCAGGAGGATCACTTGAGCCTAGTCCAGCCCTGGCAACATAGTGAGACTCCCATCTCTATAGAAAATTTTTAAAAATTAGCTGGACGTGGTGGTGTGCACCTATAGCCCCAGCTATTCAGGAGGCTGAGGTGGGCTGGATCCTGGAAGATCAAGGCCATAGTGTGCTGTGATGGCACCACTGTACTCCTGTCAGGGAGACAGAGTGAGACTCTGTGAATAAGGAACTGTCAGTATGTGCACAAATTTGTCTTAAGGAAAGACACTAAAGAAAAGAAAGACGCTGGGTCACTATAGTGTTATATTTTCTGTACAGGGGAAGAGACTCTAATATAGTATACATAAATATTCCCATAGGAGCATGAGAATTTTTTCAATCCTACGCTTACCAAAACAATCTTTTAGTGATTTTATTAGTTTGCTAGCTATTGTATTAGTTGCTAAGACAGCTATAACAAAGTACCACAGACTGTGTGGCTTAAGCAACATAAATTAATTTTCTCACAATTCTGGAGGCTAGAAGTCAGTCTGAAGTCCAGGCATCAGCAGGGTTGGTTTCTTCTGAGGCCTCTCTCATTGGCTTGCAGAGATGGCTGTCTCCTTCCTGTGTCTTCACTTGGTTTTCCTTTGTGTGTCTGTGTCCTAACTGCCTCTTATAAGAATAACAGTCATATTGGATTAGGGCCCACTCTAATGACCTCATTTTAACTTAATTACCTCTTTACCTTATCTCCAAATACAGTCATATTCTGAGATATGGGGGTTAGGACTTCAACATATCCATTTTGGGGGGCACAGTTCGGCCCAAAACAGTGATTATTTCAGGTTTCCAAATACATGAATACAAAGAACGTCTCCCGTAAGTATATATCATCTAGTATATATTTGTATTACTCCACTCTCACACTGTTATAAAGAACTACCTGAGACTGGCTAATTTATGAAGAAAAGAGGTTTAATTGGCTCACAGTTGTGCAGGCTGTACAGGAAGCATGGCTGGGGAGGCCTCAGGAAACTTACAATCATGGTGGAAGGGCAAAGGGGAAGCAAGCATGTCTTAACATGGTGGCAGGAGAGAGAGTGCCACACACTTTCAAATGACAAGATCTCGTGATAACTCACTCATGAGTACAGCAAGGGGGAAATTCATCCCCATGATCCAATCACCTCTCATCAGGCCCCTCCCCCGACATTGGGAATTATAATTCAACATGAGATTTGGGTGGGGATACAGAGCCAAACCATACCAACATTTAAAAATCAGTAACTATGAGTTACTTTTCTAAATGTCTTATCTACCTGGAGAATCAACATCTACTTGCTTAATATCTACCCTGTTCCAGGTACTGGTTTAGGTGCTCAGGCTGGAAAGACAAAGAAATACATTTCCTGCCCTTGAGAAGTTTGCACTCTAGAGAAGGAGAAATACCATAAACAACAAATACACTAAAATGTGCTAAGTATTATTAAAGAAGAAATGCAATGTTGAAGGAACAAATTCAGCTAGACCCATGGTGATGCA
Organism: Homo sapiens; assembly: GCF_000001405.40. Lineage (NCBI taxonomy): Eukaryota > Metazoa > Chordata > Mammalia > Primates > Hominidae > Homo > Homo sapiens. The sequence goes on from NC_000023.11 coordinate 96,668,699, forward strand.
ACCAAGGTAATAAAGGAATATATTAAGCCCCAGAATATTGCTTAATTAACACTACTGCATCAAGTATTGGAGCTTATTATTTTTAAGACTTAATGTACTCATTTGTTTAGTTTTTTGCCTGAAGTCTTAAAACCCAGTTGATGTAGATATCTTTAAAAACATTTTATAAAATGTTGTTTATATTTGTCAAAAAATTCAGTAGAAATACATGAATTTTGTCATTATAAAATGGTCATGACCATTTGTTTAGTTTTTTGCCTGAAGTCTTAAACCCAGTTGATGTAGATATCTTTAAAAATTATTTATAAAATGTTGTTTATATTTGTCAAAAAATTCAGTAGAAATATGTGAATTTTGTCATTATAAAATGGTCATGACCTTGCAGACTATGTTATTCAAATTAAAAATCAGTCTTGATAGGATACTATAAACTAATCATTAACAACAATGCTATATAGAATAACTCAGAAATCTAAGAGCAGTTCAACTATACAGAATTGTTTGCAAAGTTCTAGAACAATCCCTAATAATACATAAGAACCAGAGTAAAAAAGTGGTGAGATAACCCAATTTATAATGAAGTACTGTATCACTTAGATAGCAGATATCTATCTTATAAAAGTTATTCTGAAATTATGATACACTTCAAGAAGCATCCAGTCCATTCTAAAATTATTTTTCATAATACCACCATTTTTCCTGATAACCAAGAATAAAATGATCACCAGTCCCTACATACACCAGTGACTCTTCATTTTAGATCTCTTTTCTTTAGTCTTTCAAAGATGCTATTAGAAACATAAAGTCAGCAAATATCACCAAGAAAAAGTCAGAGACTCCTCTTTGGAGTTGTGTATTCAAAATGGTCCTCTAATATTTGTATAACAAATAAACAGAAATATGGCATGACAAATGCTTACAAAATCTATTTCATAAAGAAACCAGCTTTTGCTTCCTATAGATTTCTTCTTTCTCAGCTTTCATGAAATTAAATACACAACTGTGATTTAGCTTTAAAATTTTTCAAATGAGAAATTTGAACTAAATTATTTTTACGGTCCTTGTCAGGAACTTTGAAGGGTCTGAGATTTTATACTATGTACAAGTTAATAAGTTAGTCAGCCATATAGATGCTGGCAGAATACACAAGACTCTAGGGTCAGAGACAAAGAATAGTTTACTAATACGAGCAACGGCAGTAGCCAGAATGTCAGCATTTGTACCAGTTCCCTGAGCTCCTCTTCCCATAGTGTGACGCAAAGAAGGGCAGAAGATACCTGCATATGTAGTAGGGTACATTATAATAGAGGAATCCTGAATTTATCATTTATAATAGGCAGTAAGCTCTGGAAGGAAACTATCTCTGTTTCTCATGCCTGCTCACAATATATTCTTTAAAAATTGAGATATAATTCACATAACACTTTCCAAGTGTACAATTCAGTAGTTTTGAGTGTATTCACAAAGTTGTGCAACCATCACCACTCCTTAATGCTATAATTCCAAGCATTTTCTATTACCTGAGAAAAAAACCTCATACCCATGGTAGTTATTTCCAATTACCCCTTCTCTAACTCCCTAGGAATCACTAATCTATTTTTGTCTCTGTGGATGTGCCTGTTCTGGACATTTCATGTAAATGAAATCATACAATATGTGGCTTTTTGTGACTGGATTCTTTTGCTTAGCATAATATTTTCAAGGTTCATCAGATATTTATTGCCTGGATCCCTCTGTGCCTTGACCCACCTGCCTGACTGGATACTTTGGCACCAGCTACAGCCTACACAACAGCAGAGCCTGCTAAGCCTTTCTAAGTGAATGACCACCTTCTTGCTCTTCCACCACCACCTCAAGCCAAACTATATAGATGAGTTGGTTCCCAGGTCCTTATTTATTTATTTAATTTAATTTTGTTTTGTTTTGTTTTGAGACTGAGTCTTGCTCTGTTGCCTAGGCTGGAGTGCAGTGGCATGATCTTGGCTCACTGCAACCTCCGCCTCCCAGGTTCAAGCGATTCTCCTGCCTCAGCCTCCCGAGTAGCTGGAATTACAGGCACCCACCAGCACACCCAGTTAATTTTTGTAGTTTTAGTAGAGACAGGGTTTCACCATGTTGGCCAGGCTGGTCTTGAACTCCTGACCTCAAGTGATCTGCCTGCCTCAGCCTCCCAAAGTGCTGGGATTACAGGCGTGAGCCACCGCACCTGGTGCCAGGTCCTTGATCTTAAATACCTGGATCTCTACCAATCCTAGATAGTTTCCTCTCACAGACTTTGTGCTGCTGATAACCGTAAATTCTACTGGCAAGTATATTCAAATTATGACAAAGGCTAGTTTACAACCATTAAAACCATCTTAGTCAGATTTAAATGTATCTACTTTCTTATAGATCCATTGATTTATGTTAGTATTAGAAATTCCATGCCCATTTGAGGGCTATGAATGTGAAATAAGGTGGTTTCATAGACCACGCCCCACTGCTAAATATCAAAGGCCTGGCTTATTCTGAATGTCTTGTTTTTTTCAAGCACCCCCTCAGATAATTTTGGAATATCAATACCAATATATATATCCCTTCCCCTTGACCTCATTCCTACCCTTGGAGCGGCTTGTTCTTCTCTCTGGTAGTGTCAGGAGTGTCAGAGCTTCCCTAAACTATCAGAAGCAACTGATTCACCTCCTTTTACTTATCTACCACTGTTGTGCTTTGTTCTACTCTTGATGGTTCCTGCTGGTTTGAATTAGATTCATCTCTTAACACCATCCACCCCTGACTCTGTTTCTACCTTTGACTCAACATTTGGTCTCCCATTCCACTCCATTTATTGCTGCATTTTAAATGTGTAGTTTAGCCATTTTAAAACATCCACATGGAAGAATTGTTCTTGAGAAAGCAGTCAGAAGGATACTATTTGGTAAACTACTCCTTCAGTATTCCCCTCCTTAATTCAATTCTATCTCCACTTCTGGTATCATGTTTTTCTCTTCTCTGTCCTATAACCCTCCTGCTCATGACATGTTTTCTTCTATTTCAGTCATTTTCAAGTTTTAGTGGGCATCAGAATCAGCTGGTGGGCTTGTTAAGACACAGATTGCTGGATTTCACCACAGAGCTTTTGGTCTAGTAGACCTGGGTTGGTGCTCAAGAATTTTTATTTCTATCAGGTTTTCAAGTAATGCTGATGTTGTTGGTCTGGGGACCATAGTTAGAGAACCACTGTTCTAGTTCAACACTGTTCATATTGACAACCTGTATATTTCCATGGCTTGTCCTCTAGACCCTTTCCTGTGAATTGCCTTGATGTATAGAACTAGCTAATGTAGCTAAGAATTCTCACCTCTGATGGCCACATGGTGAACCCTCTGGATATGCCATAATCACCCAGAGGCAAGTCTCTAAATTAGAATCAATTATCATGGGTCACTCTAAAGTTATACATTTAATGTGCTGCTGTATTAGTTTATGTTCATGCTGCTGATAAAGACATACCCAAGACTGGGTAACATACAAAAGAAAGAGGTTTAATGGACTTACAGTTCCAAGTGGCTAGGGAGGCCTCACAATCATGGAGGAAGGTGAAAGGCATGTTTCATATGGCGGCAGACAAGAGAAGAGAGCTTATGCAGGGAAACTCCCCTTTTTAAAACCATCAGATCTCATGAGTCTTATTCGCTATCACGAGAACAGCACAGGAAAGACCTGCCACCATGATTCAATTACCTCCCACCAGGTCCCTCCCATAACACGTGGGAATTCAAGATGAGATTTGAGTGGGGACACGGCCAAACAATATCAGCTGCCTAGAGGAAAGAAGCTCAGAATCAAGATGTAGGATTTGTATGCTAAAGCTCTTGAAACGTATTTCCAAAGTGCAGCTCACTGCCCAAGTAAAGCTAGTTCTGCTTTCTAGAAGTAACAGAGAGGAAAAATAAATTTAGAAAGTGAAATGCAATCTACTCTCAAATAACCAAAATAAATGTAGTCTCTCATATTCATATTCTCTCTCTAGGTCATTATTAAAATAGGCATGTTTGTATGTGTACATATTAATGTGATAAATTAAGGGTTATCTTCATGTGTAGCTATCTGTGTGCTTTGTATATGACCTTTCATATATAAGCATATATCTAGGAAATTCTTAACTTACTGTAATTTGTATATTATAAGCCTCCAGCCCTTAAAGCAGACTTTCAGCACACAAATACAATTATGGCAGCCAGTCTACTTTCTGATACACTGCAATTACTGCTTTCCTTGGATCCTGGCTTCAATTTGGCTCCTTGGACTAGCCTCTACCCTATATAGTTCCTCTACCCTGTGTGTGGTCAGAGGTCAACACAGCAGAAACTTTCATGGAAACAGAGGGGTAGGGTTAGAACTACTATATCTGGCAGAAAGGGGAGAATAATGAACTAAGCTGAGTAAATGTGAGAGAGAGTAGGGAAGAGCGAAGTGGGAGGAGTATAAGAGAGAAAGAAACCACCAGACACACATGAAAGTCAACAGTGGGGACCCTCTGACGTTTTATTAAGCTGGTGAACTGTCTCTGAAAGGAATTTCAAAAGTGGAGTTCTGAGGAACGTTAGCTTGATTTTAATGTGGGTATGGTCTTCTAGGGGTACATTGTTTCCAAGAAGAAATCTGCTCTTCAGTTTCCTGATTTCCATCTTTAACGTCACCAAAGATCTCATTCTTTCTGACTTTTCTGGCTACCATGTCTTTAAAGTTAATCCATGGCTTTTGTGTTCTTGCACATGAATCCCATCTGAGATGTGTGAATTTTTCTCTCAGCATCCATCCATCCAATACCAAAAATGTTTCTCCTTCTAGATTATTTATCTGCCTTACATATCATGGTATCACCACTCTCCCTGTCACTCAGTACTGAAATCTCAGAATCTACCATGAGTAATAAACTCCAGTAGGCTCTTTCCTTGGATGGTTTATTTTCCTTGTCCACACTTCACATGAGTTCCCACAGACTTCTTTCTTTGATTCCCATAAACTCTACACTCTCCTTTGATGATCTCACCTACTCTCACATCTTCAACTAATACTGTTATGTATTAGGTTGCTGCAAAAGTAATGGCAGTTTTTGCCATAATGGTGGTGATGGTGTGAAGCAACAACATGGTGAGGGATTAAGCATTATTCTATGGATTTGGAATCAAACTCACCCCTGTGTGCCTTTGAATGGAGCCACTATTTTAATCAAAGTTTGGAGACATTTTGATGGTGTGAAATAATAACATGGTGAGGGATTAAAGGAGGAAAATTTTGATGCAGGCCGGGCCCAGGTGGGAGGATCAATTGAGCCCAGGGGTTTGAGACCAATCTAGGCAACAAAGCAAGACCCCATCTCTACAAAAAAAATTTGCCATAATGGCAAAAACTGCAATTGCTTTTGCACCAAGCTAATAATTCTTCATCTCCATCTCCAAACTTTCTCAGTAATGCCAGACCTAATTTCTAAAAACATCTACATTTGTGTATCTTGCAGGCACCTGAAGTGTTGCTTCATCTCTCTCTCTCTCTCTCTCTCTCTCTCTCTCTATCTCATCACATTTTTAAAAATGTATTTCTCTTCCTAGATTTCCAATCTGAATGTAATATAATCACTCCTCCTACTCAGTGTTTAAATCTCAGAATCCTCTTCCACTCTTCCCATTCTCCCATTGCCTATATTAGGTCACCAAATCCTGACAACTTTACCTATAAAATCTCTTCCCATCTTTCCATTCTCTTTCCTACTGCCCCAGATCCTAGTCTCATTATTGTATGTCTGTCATTGAAATATCTAACTACCCCTGGTCCCTTAAACCAGACCAACGTACATATGCATCTCATATCCACCAACATAAGGTCTGGATGCCTCTAGGCTGTTTACCATTCATTCTCTTTCCTTCCTTAAAACACCTTCTCACTTTGATCCTGGCTCCAATTTGTCAACTCTTGGGTCCACAAGCCAAGTCTAATGGAGACTTTAACCTTTTGCACTCTGTTTATTTTTGTTTTCGTTTTTTGACTCTTGGTTATTCTTAGCAGATTTTGTCTCAGCTCACCCTTCCAGGTCCTCCCTCTCTGGACTTCCCTGGATATCTACCCTAGGTCAGGTTCCTGTAACTGGCACCCAGGCTGAACTAACACATATTCCCCAATAGGAGAACGGCTTTTGAAAGGGCTTTCCTAATTCATCTCCCCACCTCCAGTTTCTCAATTTACAAACCATTCTACATACCAATGCCAGAGCATTTTTCCTAAAACATAGGTCTGATCATGTGTTTATCCTTTTCATTTTTTTCTGGTGACTCTCCACAGTCTATAGAATAAATTTGGAATTCATTATGGCATTCAAAATATTTCTGATGTGATGCCACTCTGCTTTTTCAGCTTTATCTCCCACTATACAATCACAACCCCTACTCTTTGGCTCCATTTAGACCACTAATCAAATTCAGCCCACATTTTCCTTTCTCTATGCTGCTGGGTTATACTGTCCCATCTGCCTGAATGCCCTTTTCTCTCACTTCCAACATTTGGGATCCTACTTACAATTAAAGGCTCAGATTTTCTATGAAACCTTCCCTGTTTTCTTTCTCCTGTATGTTTCTGTAATTCTTTTGCAGTTAGTTGCATACTTGTCAGTTGCCTTGACTAGATACTAAGCCTGTTGAGACCATGAATAGTATATCTTTCACTTATCTTTACTTAGCATAATGCCCTGGACATAGTTACTGCTAAATATTTGTTAATATTATTTAATTAAAATTAGATACATAAGTTCTAACATGCTAGATAAAATCTAATCTGCTTTATAATCCTACATCATAGTCATCAAAAATAGCTTAGAATAGAAAAAAACAATCTTCTAATAGTTCTATATTATTGTAGGGCCACATACAGGGCTATGGCTATGATAGAAAAGTATTATTCTATGGATTTGGAATCAAGCTCACCCTTGTGTGCCTTTGGATTTGGCCACCATTTTAATCAAAGTTTGGAGACATTTTGATGGTGTGAAGCAACAACATGGTGAGGGATTAAAGGAGTGAAATTTTGATGCAGGCCGGGGCCCAGGTGGGAGGATCAATTGAGCCCAAGAGTTTGAGACCAACCTGGGCAACAAAGCAAGACCCCATCTCTACCAAAAAAACTAAAAATTAGCTGCGTGTGGTGGTGGATGTCTGTAGTCCCAGCCACTCAGAAGGATGAGGCAGGAGGATGGTTGAGCCTGAGAGTCTGAGGATACAATGAGCTATGATCACACTACTGCACTCCAGCCTAGGTGACAGAGCGAGACCCTCTCTCAAAAAAAAAAAAAAAAAAAAGAATTAAAATGTTGATGCAAATCAGGGTTGGTTCATAGGGTTTAGAGGCAGGTCTGCCCTTATATCAGGTGGGAGGTGAAGCTGCTAATGTTGATGAGATGGCTGCTCAAGTTAGCCTGTTTTGAAGGCAGCAGAAGGCCAATGTTACAGGGGTATTTGAAAAAATAATAAGTACAATGAAAGCAGCAGCAAAATATATATTCTGGCATCTGTTTTTCAGGAAATCATCCAGTGACTGAAGTCTTTCTCAAAAATTTTCTTAAAAACTCATGTGCAAATTTCTTGAAAGAAGGCCTTCCAAATGAATCTAATGTCAATGTAGGTGTACCTTTTAGCTTATAATATGTTAGAATAGGAGACTTAAGAAACAAGTAAGTTAAGGCCTATGTATTCCCTGGTACTATACCAGGTAAAATATAATTTAATATAATTGGTTTCTGAATTGTTCTGTTTAATCAACTCCTAGGAGCTGTTCTGGTACATAATGTATACCTGACTAAATATGGTATTTGTGGTCATTTCTATAAAATGTCAGACATCAGGCCATGGATCAGGAGGAACTTCCTCTATTATATAATTGTATGGGAAATCAAACTCCCAAATCTCTGGCCTTTACCAGGAGACAGGGGGCAAGATTACATGTGTTCACATGAGAATATCAAAACTCTTTGGAATTGTACATAGGCACATTTTGGTCACTGTGTGCATGGCAGGGGAGGGGCTTAAACAACTGATTTGTATCTGTGTCCAAGAAACAGATAATAATGAGCAAACCAAAATTGATGTGGGCTGGATGAATCTTAAAAACATTATTCTCAGTGAAAGAAGCCAATTCCAAAAGACTACCATTGTATGATTCCATTTACATGAGACATCCAGAACAGGCAAATCTACAGACATAGATTAGTGGTTGCCTTGGGCAGTGCATGTGTTGGAGGGGGTGGTTTGGGATGACTGAGGGAGGAGTGACAGCTAAGGGGTAAATGGGGTGGTGATGGTCATACAGCTCTGTGAATATACTAAAAACCATTGAATTGAATTGTACACTTTAAAATAGTAGATTTTATGATATATGAATTATATCTGAATAAAGCTGTTAAAATTGATGTGGGAGAATATATAAAACATAAATAAGGCTGTTTTTAGGCTTATCTGACTAGCGATGCCCAGATATGAAAACATGTTATTTACAGATGTCAAACATGTGTTTCTCAATTTTCATGTAATTAATAATATTTTGAAAAGGTCGTAATAAACACAAACCACAAAATAAGAGACACTAGATTTTAATAGCATAATTTTAGTCTTGCTTTTGAACTCTATGAAAACTCTATTCTCTGAGTACTCATTACTATACCTATGTCTTAGTAACTTACAGGTTGGATAATTACCACTCATGATCTGTTAAGCCATTCTTGAAAATCACTTTGGGGCCTTGGTGAATGTAAGAAAGAAAAGTCTGTTGTTCTTTGTTAGAAGCAGATTTTCCAGATAACATTCAAAGAGTTGGTTTTCAGCATACTATATAAAACTATAGGAGGCGTAATATGTTTGAGGATTCTCAAAGTCTCTATTAGGCTTGACATTTTCCCCAAAAGGAGAAACTGGCACTGGTGTCTCTTAGACAGATTTTCTGGGGCTGTGCTTTAGCTGCCTGGCTTCTTGCCCCCAGCCCTATAATCATCATACCTGAGCCCAGTAACCTTTACCTCCAGGTAAGTGACCATTACTGGTTATTATCGTTTACAGGTTTTTTCTTGTTGTCTTCTTTTCCTCCATTGGAACCAATCCTGCTCCTATTCAGAGAGGATTTAAGGAGCAGTATTTCAGTAGTTTGGTGGCTTGGCATCAAGCGGACCTATCCCTGATGGTCCTATTTCGCTCTCACAGACCATTTGAAGAAACTGAGTATCTTGGGTACCAGTTTTATTTGTCTGTGTCTGCCTCCTTTCACAGACTTCATCTGATGTGCTGGTTCCTTTAGGACCAGTGCTCTGCCTTATTTGACACTCTCTTGACAGACCTCTTAAGGGATTAATCATTTGTTTTTGAATCCCAATCCCCATGACTGGATTGCTGCTCCATACTCTTTGAATCAACCTCTGACTATTGGCTGCCACCAGATTTTCTGGATTCTGTTTTGTCAGCCTGAAAGGACATCCATTGCTGGACTTTCAGAGTCCAGCAGTTTGCCTGCTTATGCCTACTGTTACGTCCCCACCCCCCTACTCCATGCTTTACCAGCTTGACCAGACTCTTCTTGCTGGTGACTAGAGGAACGTTCTTAGCTTTCCTGTCCTGCCCTAATTAGGTTTTTTTAGTTTCTAGGTACCAGGCTCCTTGATCTGGCTTTGCCTGTCAATAACAGGCACCTGCTGACATAGTATCTCCTTGTTTACCACTAGTTTTTTATTTCCTTGGAACAACATTTTGGTAATTCTTGTTTACTCTCTCTTTTCCTTTGTTTCCTGTATATAATCCGTGAGGAGGAACAGTTTATTCCTTTTAAACAGCTCTTGGATTCAACTGTTGCTATTCATTTCCTTTGGGGCCACTCCAGTTCCAATCCTCACAACTTTATCTAGTTTAAGCTGGGATTCAGTAGTGGTGCCTTAAAGGGTTGCCTCAGAGGATGAGAGGGGAAGCCAAGTGGACATGAGCAGTTCTCCACTCTCTCACTGATTTCAAACAGGTCATCTACATTTGTATCTGTTGGGGTTCTATGAAGAGTTTTATTTAGAAAAAAATCCTGTACTCGGCCGGGCGCGGTGGCTCACGCCTGTAACTCCAGCATTTTGGAAGGCTGAGGTGGGCAGGTCATCTGAGGTCAGGAGTTCAAGACCAGCCTGGCCAACATGGTGAAACCCTGTCCCTACTAAAGATACAAAAATTAGCCGAGCGTGGTGGCACATGCCTGTAATCCCAGCTACTCAGGAGACTGAGGCAGGAGAATCACTTGAACCCAGGAGGCAGAGGTTGCAGTGAACCGAGATTGCAACACTGGACTCCAGCCTGGGCGACAGAGCAAGACTCCATCTCAAAAAAAAAAAAAAAAAAAAAAAAAAGAATCCTGTACTAAAGGCAAAATAAGTTTGAAAATCAGTGTTCAAAGTTATTCTGCATACCATTGCCAAAGCAGCTCCCTGAAACATCTTTTGTTTTATAACTTCCCTGCTAAAGATCTGTATCAGTCACTATGTCTTGCATTCAAATGTGTTTACAAACTGGGAACACACTATGGGGATACGCATGTTTCCTACAATTATTCAACATCTATGTTCTCACCATTCTACTCAAGTGCCACTGGCCTCTCAACATTATTGGTCAGTATTGTTTCCACACCATTCCATATGTTGTCTTTTCCTTACTTCCTTTCTTTGCTTTGTCTATTCAAGTCTGATTTCTGCTTCATAGCTTAGCAGCTCAAGTCCTACCTCCTCCTTGAAAACTTTATCTATTCTAGGTCCCACCGATTTCACTCCTTCACCATATTATATTGAATTTAGAGTCAGTATCTCCAAGCTAGGCAGCTAATTTTCTCTTACTGTTTCACACCTTAGTTCTCCTGCTTATTTTCTCAAGATTTTAGGCCTAATGATGGCAGGGATTTTACATTTTACAGTCTGTTTCATTACAAGTGTTTGTGTACCACAAACAGCATATTAGCAATTGGCAAATAGAATAATGTCAAAATAATGTGGCAGTCCAGTTGATACATGTGTGTGAATTTTCATAGCACTTTCTTTTTTTGAGACAGGGTCTCACTCTGTCACCCAGGCTGGAGTGCAGTGGTGTGATCATAGTTCACTGCAGCCTCAATCTTCCGGGCTCAAGCCATCCTCCCACGTCAGCCTCCTGAGTAGCTGGGACTACAGGTGTGCACCACTAGGCCTGGCTAATTTTTTAATTTTTATTTTTAGTAGAGACAAGGTCTCACTACGTTGCCCAGGCTCGTTTCAAACCTGAGCTCAAGTGATCCTCCTGTCTTGGCTTCCCAAAGTGTTGGGATTACAGGCATGAGCCACTGTGCGTAGCCAGCACTTTGTTTTGAAGTGATCAGAAACAAACTTTCTCACAAATAAGAAGTCTTAGCAATATATGAAGACTTTTAAGAAAAAGTGAAGAATCCTGCACAAAGCTCTGCCTTCAGTATAAGTAGTGACTGGTTTAGTGGCTACAACCTCTAAGTTTTCAACAACATTAAACTATCTGGTGAAGCTGTGAGTCCCGTGCTAATGAAGCTGTGACGACCTTTCACCATGTGTTTTTAAAAAGCTGACTACTCCTCAATTAGATTTTTAATTCTGATGAAAATGGCATCTATTAAAAGTGAATGCCCTTGAGGATCCACATCAGGAAGGAGGAAGCATAAAGGCTACCAAGCATTGATGACTGTGATGCTGGGGGCAAAGGCCAGTGGAGATTTATCTGTGGTTTTTATTAGGATGGTTGTTTTCATTAGTGCTCTGACTATAAAGTTGCATTGGATTTAAGTGGTCTTTCCTAACCATATTTTCCCAGTAAGCCCTGCTATTTTAGGTGTGCAATTCTGCAAAACAGGAGATTCTTCAGTAAAGACAATATGACATTATAGTAGAATATCTGGCATTTTTTAGAAACATCTGCAGGACATCTAGTTTGGTGTTAACCATGTAGTATACCTGCTTAATACCTGGTAAATACCTGCTTATTCTTAGGAATCCTTTAATGCATAAACATTTTGCTGTGACCTTGGAGGTGGTTCTCATTTTTTTCAAATCCATGTTTCATCTATGAACGACACAGACTGTTCAGATGAGAATACACTGTAGACGGGAGACATAGAAACTCAGAGGGGTACTATCAGGATGGTCAGAAATCCTCAGGGGTAATAGATGGCTCTAAGGTCAGTTTGAAGACAGAACCCAGTAGCCTTTTATTGGTCTCCCCCAGGACTGGCTTTTAAATGCTGATTGGGTGCTACATTCATGAGAGTCCAGAGGGAGAGACCACAAGGTCAGTGGTTCTAACATACATTTAAGTTTTGATATCCCAATTGATGGTGGTAGCCTCCTTCTTTCTTCAGCATCAGAGAAGAGATGTTCCATCCACCAACCTATTTGTGTGACCCAGGAGGGTAAAAATAAAGGATTACAGATGCAGAGAGATCTGCTGTAGGACCACAATTGGTGAGGTGCTTGGTTCATAATCAGTGGACAAAGAGTCCTTACCGAGAGCAGTGGCTCCTTTCCTGTGTTAGTTTCTGCCAGGCCAATGACCCTGAAGCCTGAAGGAAAGGTTTTTGCTTGTTTTTAAACCACTGTTTACATTAACTAGAGCAAAATGCTGAAAAAAACATCAAGAATTAAGACGGGCCAAAATAACCACAATAAAGTCAAATGTAAGACATATCAGGGACAAACTTTCATTTTTTGCAGAAAAGATTATCAATCTTTTACATGTACTTCTAACTGGATATGACATGCAGATTAACCTGGCCTGAGGATGATGAAACCCAACCTTACATTCAAAATAATATCAATACATTTTCAAGTCTATTTATACGTTCTAAACAGAAGTAATTCATATTACAATGGCCTCCTTATTCTGCTTTTCCACTTTTTAGTTTTTATTTTTATGGAGACAGAGCCTCGCTCTGTCACCCAGGCTGGAGTGCAGTGGCATGATCTCGGCTCACTGCAACCTCTGCCTCCCGGGTTCAAGCCATTCTCCTGCCTCAAGCCTCCTGAGTAGCTGGGATTACAGGCACCTGCCACCATGCCCTGCTAATTTTTGTATTTTCAGTAGGGACTGGGTTTTTCCATGTTGGCCAGGCTGGTCTCGAACTCCTGACCTCAGGTGATCCACCCACCTCAGCCTCCCAAAGTGCTGGGATTACAGGCGTGAGCCACCGTGCCTGACCCCCTTCCACTTTTTAAACAACAGTAATGAAACTTATTAAGTAGGGGGCTTCAATCTGGAAACTCCTTATCTGTTCTGCTGCTTCTCCTGCCAACAGTCTCCCCAGCTCCCCACCAATTTCTTAACCACAGGGCTTCTGCACATGCTATTGTCATTTCCTTTGCCTGAATGCCCTTCACTGTCCTTATTTGCCTTGTAATTGCTTAATACATTTTTAATATCTTTCCCAAGGTTGGGCGCAGTGGCTCATGCCTGTAATCCCAGCACTTTGGGAGGCCAAGGCAGTCGGATCACCTGAGTTCGGGAGTTTGAGACCAGCCTGACCAATATGGAGAAACCCAATCTGTACTAAAAATACAAAATTAGCCAGGCGTGGTGGCACATGCCTGTAATCCCAGCTACTCGGGAGGCTGAGGCAGGAGAATCGCTTGAACCTGGGAGGCGGAGGTTGCCGTGAGCTGAGATTGCGCCATTGCACTCTAGCCTGGGCAATAAGAGTGAAACTATATATATCTTTCCCGATAGCATGAAAGCTCCCTAAGACCAAACCATGTCTGTCTTGTTCACCACTGTACTCATGATGCCTTGCACAGTACCTCACACTTAGTAGGCTGCCAACAAATGTTAACTTGAATCAGACCCTTAAGACTCAGCTCAAACATCATCTTCTTTGGGAAGGTGTCCCTGAGCCTCTGACACTCCGATAGTTACCTCTTTCATGTGCTTCAAAGGCTTCCTGTTCATATCTGTTATAGTGCAGTGCAGTTCTTTAATGGTCTGTCTCTCCCAGTAGGCTCTGAAGTTCTAAAAGGCGGAAACTGTGTCATCTTCATCCTTCTTACTCATGACACTCTGTATCACCTAGTGTACTCTAAGGAGCTGAAGAAATGTCTACTGGGCAGATTACTGAACCATGTTTGCGCTTGGAGGGCCCTCAGCTATGGACCACACCTATGGCACAAACAGGAATTACGCATTGGCTAAACAGGTCATGTCTTTCTGAAGCACCCATTTTGACTCAATTTTTCAGGAGAGGAGACATTTATATAAATTGTGTTTGTGTGTGTGTGTATGTAGTGAGTTGAATTCAAAATATACACTAAACTTTAAGTAAGTAAAACGGGAACTTCAACAAAGCAAAGTTACCATGGGGCTCCTTGAGCACCCTGTTTGGGAGCATGTATTCCCTCTTCTCTGCTGTCCTTTGGTAGCTTGCCACCTTAGGAGTAGAGAAGTCACACCTCCATGATTAAAAAGAAAGTCAGCCGGGCACGGTGGCTCACGCCTGTAATCCCAGCTCTTTGGGAGGCCAAGGCAGGCGGATCACCTAAGCTCAGGAGTTTGAGAGCAGCCTGACCAACACGGAGAAACCCCATCTCTACTAAAAATGCAGAATTAGCTGGGCGTGGTGGTGGGTCCCTGTAATCCCAGCTACTTGGGAGGCTGAGGCAGGAGAATCGCTTGAACCCGGGAGGTGGAGATTGCGGTGAGCTGAGATTGCACCTTTGCACTCCAGCCTGGGCAACAAGAGGGAAACTCTGTCTCAGAATTAAAAAAAAAAGAAAGTTAATGACAATGACAAAGCTAGAATTAAAGCTGTTTTCAGATATCTGGTGTTCTTTTCATTCTACTGCCCAAGTTAGCTGTCTCCTTGCACCTATAGCATGGTCAAATGCATCCTAATGCACTCTCAATAAATATGTTCAGATACAAATTCCATTCAGCATATTAAATTTAGGCCGAAGGGGAGAAGGTCAAAAGGAGTCATAGTCTGGAGATATCTTCAGTAATAGGTGTATGGCATGTTTATAGATTTCATATTTAAATTTACTTTATAGGTAGCTTTCCTAGCATATGTGCTCCTATTCTATGATGGTGGTTCATTCAAATCCTACCCACCCCGTCTAATGTTCTCAGTGTGTACCTTTACTTTTAAAGGGCATCATTTAAAGAGGATGGAAGAAATACAGTGTGGGTACTATATTTTGTCCTGAGGACAAAATGCTAGGTATGACGCAAGGACTTAAGACTATCGTCCCAACAGTGCCCTGCTGCTGCACAAAAACACCTAGCATTTGTCTAGGGATTTTCATTTACAACAAAGCTTTGACACACATGATCTTATTCACTCCCCACAACAACTCTAAACTAGTTCGGGAACCTGAAAATAGCACTCAATTCAATTGCTAGCTGTATGTAAGTGTTTTGGTTATAGAACCTAACAATCCCCTAGGGATTAAGCGGTGGGCGCCTGCTGCTTCAACAACCCTGCAGCAAGGGAATAAAGGAACAACTGTATTTCTTCGGTCACAACGTAATCACGACAACAGAAAGCACTCACTCTTTCCACTCTGACCCACACACAGTCTGTCGAGGCAATTAATCAGCACTCCCGGTGGTTTTCCTATAGGATGCCAGTTCCCTTGCCAATCAAGTCTTTCCACAGACTGTAGCAGGACCACACCCCCGGAGAGGCCTCAGGGAGGGAAGGTGCTGTGGCCCACAGAAGTGAAAGCTGATACTCAGGTTGACCCGCCAGTGAAACTTACAGGCGGATCTTCCCGGGCCTCAGTTTCCCCATCTCTAAAATGGGCTACCCTTCCTTTCTCTTGACTAGTTCCCTCCCTGTTCTCGCTGGGCCACTAGGAAGTGAAATCAGTGCCTAACCGCAGCTGAAAGTGCTCTGTTAGGCTCCAGTCACCGCGCCGGGCATGCTCAGTAGCTGGGGCCGGCTCGGCTGCGGGAGTAGGAAGCAGCTTTGCGCGCCCGGGCGGCCGATGCGGGCACTTTGAAGAATCACGTGTGTTGAGGCCCTCTTAAAGAGATAGGCACCTACTTTTCCCTCCACCCTAAACACCGCCCTGAGGGCGGCGGCGACCGTGGTAATTGCAACTGCTCAGGGGCAGGGCTTGCCCCAGCGCCGAGTAGTGGCAACGGCGTGGTTGCGTCGGGGGTGCCTGGGAGCCTGGAGTCCCGGGGGCCTGAAATCGGCAGCTTCCCGGGCAGACACTCTCTCCCTCAGGAAGAGGTGCCGCCGAGTCAGCGCGGGGCAGTGTGAGCGCCCCGAGGTGCTTTCTCAGTTGAGGAGAGGTGGGGTTACAGGGCACAGGTGACAGGGCCGGAGAAAGATGGAGCAGCCCGGGGCGGCGGCGTCGGGAGCGGGAGGCGGCAGCGAGGAACCCGGTGGGGGCCGGAGCAACAAGCGGAGCGCGGGGAACCGGGCCGCCAATGAAGAGGAAACGAAAAACAAACCCAAATTGGTGAGTGCTCCCGCAGCCCCCGCCGGCCTTAGGGACAGGGAGAGCCCCGGGATCCTCCTGCCATTGAACACGGGGGCACCCGGGGCCCCCTCCCAAGGATGACCGCGACCTCGCTGTGCAACTCGGGGAGCCGCTAAAGGAGTGGCCACGCCGAGGCGCGGAGACGGCGTGGGGGCGGAAGAGCACCCCCTTCTCTACTTAACCCCTTTCTCACTCTTGTCAGCCCGGGAGGCGGTGCGGGAAGGAGAAAGGCCCAGCCCCAACTTGGGGACACCCCGAGTACTGGGTAGGGCTGTTGTTTGTCTAACTTGTGGGCGCAAACCTTTGCGCGATTCCATTCTCCTCCCACTTCTTGTTAGTTGCTGTTTTGCCTCCTAACGCGTAGGGTCCGGGGCAGGGGAACCTCCCTCCTTTTTATTCCAAGTCCTTGGGAGCCCACCTACAGCTTCGCAAATCAAGAAGAACACTATTTATGCTCCCAGTCTTTCTACTTTACCAGAAATCTCAGGAAGAGGCGCCTACGTGCCTTTTTCCTCCTCCTTGCCTCTCTCCATGTGCTCTCCCAAGAAATGTTTCTTTGGAAGGGTGGGGGCGCGTGGGAGTTTGAGGCTGGGTGAGGTACCACCAACTGTCGAGTGTGTGTAATAGGCATAGTCATACAGTACTTCCACTTAGTTGATTAAGAACGCTCAAAAGCAGTAGGCACAAACTGTGCAAATCTCACCGTGCTGATAGTGTGAACCGATGGTAGCAGTCCATTTCCTGCCACTGAATGTGCAGAGGAATGAAATCGATGAGGCCTGGTATTGCATTGGGAAATACTGGAGTTTCCTCAGCTCATCAGAAGGGTTCCGCTTTTTGTAAACTTTCTAATTTGGGTGGTGTGAGGGGAAAGGGTTTTCCTGTACAAATTCAGCAGATACTCCTTAGAGCTGTATTCTTAGTCCAGATCCGAAGCACAAGCCACATGTTGAATGTATAGATTTCAGCTTTAACTACCAACTTGATTATAATAGACAAGGAGAGGGTGACATATAAATAAAGCCGTTTCTTATGGCATCTGGCCATTTGGTTTGGATCCAGTACAAAACTGTGGTTTAATCAGTGATTAAAAATTTAAGTAAAAAGTTAACTGATAGTTTCCACAAATGGTTTGGTACGTCTAGCAAGAATCTGCCACTTTTAAGAAGTATGCTTTCGAGAAAAAAAAAAACACTTATCTCTGTTAGTAGTAACACCTTGATTATATTCTTCTCTTCCCTTTAGCCATTTGTCCTGATTCATCTTTTATGTTTTACTTGCTTTGACAAGGTAACTAGATAGTTATGAGATCGTATCATTTTCAGTTCCTAGCTAACTTCACTGTTCCGGTTCCTAGCTAACTTCACTGTTCCGTGTTGAACATAGCTTGATACGGTAGAACAAGATTTGAATCCAAGAGTTTGTTAATATTAACATGAATTTTCTTTTTTTGCTCAAACATAACTTTTGAGCCTTACGTGATTTTACAAGCAGATGTGTCAGAGTTAACAAAAACAAATTTAGGAAGACATTGTGGCACATTTTAAGGCAAGCAAGTTGACCAAACAGTAAGATTTAGTAAGCTTTTCAGGAAAGAATTCATCTGGGATTCTTAGAAGTTTGCTAGTAAGATACAACTTTACTTAGATGAAATTTTTTTATTTTGAGTATTATGTTAATAATCTCTGAACTAGTCCTTAATTTGTGTGTGTATATGAGTGTAAAGGAGTTGTGGTATGGGATTATAAAAGAGAGCCATATGGTGATAGAAATTATTTGTGTAGGTGATCTTGGGGCATAGGGGTTCTTAAACTCCTGAAATTGTATGAAAATATTTGAGTGTATATGGGTACATTTATTTTTCTGGGCCCCATGGCTTTCATCAGTTTTTCAAAGGCATCCATTACCTATAGAAGAGTAAGAACTATGGCATTACAAAAGATAGAAAGTAAAGGAAAGAATAGTTGATTCCACTCTAAGTTACTGAGTAGGGAAGAAGGGGAAATGGCATTGACCACACAGGTGATTGATATTGAAACGAATTCTTCTAGTGGTAAAAAAGAAGTTAACTACTCAATGTCTACATAGATTAAAATTTCCGCTACAGAGGAAAATTAATTCAGTCGCTCCAGTATAATGGATTCATAAGGTATAAGGCTTGTGTAGTTTGGTTGTTTTCATTTAGTTCCTCAGAATTCTGGAAAAATGGAAATGGAACACATATTTTCTTTTCTTTTTTTTTTTTTGGGACGAAGTCTCGCTCTGTTGCCATGGCTGGAGTCCAGTGGCGCGATCTTGGCTCACTGCAACCTCTGCCTCCCGGGTTCAAGTGATTCTCCTGCCTCAGCCTCCTGAGTAGCTGGGATTACAGGCACGTGCCACCACACCCAGCTAATTTTTGTATTTTTAGTAGAGACGGGATTTCACCATGTTGGTCAGCCTGGAAAGCAGATTTTCTATAGAGAGGAACTGCTTTCATTTATATCCTCAACTTTTTAATGAGTATTAGTGAGAAATTTTTCAGAGTGGCATTTCAACACTATAATGATTTCTATTTAAGATTACTTAAATAAAAATTTAATGGAATTCACTTCAGTTTTTTTCATATAAGCATCCTCATAATGACCCTTTTGTTTTGATTCTTTTAAAATAAGGCATTCCTGTCTTGGACTCATCACATTTTGAATAATGCATTAGTAGTAGAGTTTTGGATTTTATGTAACTATTTTGGTTAGGCCCAGATTGCAACATGTCATCAAACAGCATGAATCTTAGATTAATTTGTAATTTGATGTCAACCATGGAATGCATTTTGTTAAATTGAGTAGAAGAGAAAGCTCTATAAATGTTGTGAAGGAACTACATCTTGAATCCTACTTATTTAAGGCAGTGACTTAACCATTAAGAGAGGCCAATGTTGATGCAGAACACCGCACCCCACACCACACGGTAGTGTAGAGTGACCTAACAGTATTTGATGTTTTTGCATTTTTGACTTTGTGTTCCTGCATAATTTCTGAAGCCTTTGGTTCTTCAAACAGTAAAGTCAAATTAGTTAATTTTTCTGGTTATTATGTAACTTCCTATTTGGTTATTTGTTTACAACTGGATAAATTATGTTTTTATTTATTTATTTATTTTGAGACGGAGTCTCGCTCTGTTGCCCAGGCTGGAGTGCAGTGGTGTGATCTCGGCCCACTGCAACCTCTGCCTCCTGGGTGCAAGCGATTCTCCTGCCTCAGCCTCCCTAGCAGCTGGGATTACAGGTGTGCACCACCAGGCCCAGCTAATCTTTTTTGTATTTTTGTAGAGACGGGGTTTCACCATATTGGCCAGGCTGGTCTTGAATTCTTGACCTCAAGTGATCCACCCACCTCCACCTCCCAAAGTGCTAGGATTACAGGCTTGAGCCACTGCACCCAGTCTTGATTTTTAATGATAAGGTATGAGCAACAATGATTTCATTTATGCAATACAGGTTTACTGAGTACCTACTGTGTGCTAGGCATAATTCTAAGGGTTGGTGATACAAAGATACTTGTAGTCTACTGAGACAGACAGGGAAGTTAATTAATGCTTAAAATGCAATGTGAGCCAGACGTGGTAGCTTGTGCCTATAATCCCAGCTACACAGGCTGCTAAGGCAGGAGGATTTCTTGAGCTCAGGAGTTTGAAGCTGCAGTGAGCTGTGACTATACCACTGTATTACAGCCTTGGCGACAGAGAACCCATCTCTTTAAGGAAAAAAAAAAAAGCAGTGTGATAAGTTGCTATAGGAATATGCATGGTTGGGGGTGGTCATGGAGAGGCATCTACGTAGAATTGCATGCTTGAGTAAGAAAAGGCTTATCGCAGTAGGTGACATTTGCAGCTGAAGGCTGAAGAAAATAGGTGAGGGAAAGGCATTCTAGGTTGAAAAAACAACATATACAAAGGTAAACAGATAAGGGAGCATATCCAATAAAGAAAGTTCACTTAGATGAATATGGCTGAAACAAAGGGTACACATGGTAGACTTGCTAGAAAAGAGACGGGGTCCGGATCATGATGGATCTTGTATGCCATGTTAGAGTTTCAACTTCTTTCTGAAAGTAGGGGTAACCCATTAAAGAGATTAAGGCGGAGAATGACCTGATCAGATTTGGGTTTCAGAAAAAAAAGTACTTTGGAGAATTTCTTGGAAAAGCATGCTAGAATGGAGGCAGGAAGACCATTTAGAAGGAGCAGAGTAGCATAAAAGAGTTTTTGATATTTGGAGACCTGGATTCCAGTTGCAGCTTATCCATTCATTCATTTACCAGCTCATCCATTTACTAGGTGTTTTTCTCTGCACCTCAGTTTCCTTCTGCCACCTCCCTTGCCTCTCCTTAGTACCACACACCCTGAACATCCCCACCAAATCTGAAATGGCCACCCCTTTCTCTTTTATAACTTTCACCCCCTTTCACAGCCCAGCTCATGTCTCAATATTCTCTCACTCTTCCATTAAACACCGATTACTTCAGTTTAGTGAGGGCTTTCCTTCTTCTGGACTCAATAACTGTCATGAGTCTGAATGTTACATGCTGATCTTGTCTCTGCAAATATTTTAAACTGCCTCTGGGAATGGGTCCCATTTTATGTCTATTCTTGAAAACCTGGCAGGCCGGTGCTTGGGTGCAAAACTATTCAGTAAATAATTATTAGCTGGGGATTTTTTTCCCCTATATACCAGGTATTTTGAGAGTGTAAATTGGTGAAAAGAGGCTTTTTAAAAAAATGTTTATTTGTATGTGCCTTTTTTTTTTTTAAAGTATATGTACTCCATCAATTGAACCTATCCATACATTCCTCTTTGTCTTTTCTCCAATTTTGAAACTCAGTAAACTTCTTCAGGGCTGTGAGAACTCTTCTACCCCCAGCTTGTTTGAATTCTTGTGATGTCAGAGCCTAAACTTCCAAGCATGGAAACAGTACCAACAACGATGAGCCAAGTAACATTTTACTCTTATTAGCAGGAGACTTCATATTATTGGCAAAAGAATATGGAACGGAGAGCCAAAAGACCTGGGTTCCAGTGTCCCATCTGTCTTTTATTTGCTTGTGATTTCTGATGAGCCATTTAGCACCAGAAGTTTGAGCTCTTTGATTAATGTTTGCCAGTTGGGGATAATGCTGCCTGCCTGATTTGCTTCACAAGGTGTTTTAGATAAAATACAGTAAGGAATGAGAAAGCATTAGGAAATTCTATATTGTTATACAAATATAGAGCATTTTTATTAACCCCTTATATTACTTGAATCAAATATGATTATGGTTGGATGGTTTAATGTCTTTCTTGCATTTTGACAGCACTAATGTTATTATTGTATAAAGTACCATAATATGGTTATATGTTGAAAGATTCCTTATTCTCTCCCCAATACCATTTGTCCCTTTGGAGGAATATGCATTCTATCCTTTTACTAAGATTTCATTCTGTTGAATGAATATAAGATGTGAGTCTAATTTTTTTCCATGATAATTTTTTGGAGGACTAGTCTACCCTTTTCTTTCATTGTGTCAATTTGAGGCATTAAAATTTTTTTAAACAAAACTTCCATTTGATATCTGTGACATTATGCCTTGTCAGGCAGCTTACTGCCTTTGTACAAATAAAGAAACTGAGTCACTGAAATGTTAAGAGGACTGCTTTAGAGATAAGTTTAAAAGCTACCTCCTCTATTGTAGAAATTATCCGTAGCACTGAGTCATTGTGCTTCAGGGACTCTGAAGGTGAAAAAGTTATTCAATTTTTCTTCTTTTGTTCCTTTTTGGAACAATTCTAATTGTAATCCACCTAGATATTATTAAGCTCTGGCAGTAGCAACATGTTACTGAAGTGAAATCATGTTCTTTTCCAACCTGCTTTCAAAGAACACTGTAAATAACAGCATACATAATATATGCTAATTTATATAAATCAGCACATCTGGTTAAATGTTACTGGGTACCACTAGCACTACAGGGGTTATTGTTGAAGACCCAACTCCAGTCTACCATGCAGAAGAAACCGGTTCCTTCTGCTGGATTTGGGGTGTTTGATACATTTTTTTCCCCTCAAGACAGGAGAAACTATGATGATGTCCAGGTAACTTAAAATATAGTTATTAGCTTGATATCCAAGTGGGCATGTTGTGGAAGACACCCATTGTGGGATACAGCTCAAAACTGATGCATTTAAAGAAAGATTAAGATATATTTTCACATAGCTATTTATTGTGAATGTCAGTAATGGAGAGAAATTAACTCATACTGATTTAAAACTTATTTTCCTCATCAGGTTGAGTCTGTTTCCAAATAATATACTCTGGCTGTAGCTTAAACAGACAACTGAATTCTGGTATTTAACTGACTTTGTGTGAGGTTACCTGGCAGGGAAAGGTATTGGTCCCTTTCTCATGAAAGAATGTAGAAAACAAAATTCTTACTTATCACCATTTGCACAGTCTTTGGTTTACTGAAGATTTTACTGTATTGCTTTAAGGAGAGTAAGCTACATTGCTACAAATACATACCAGCATATTGGCCACCAGCTGTATACAGTGTGGCCTATGAATGAGTGAGAAGCTTCTAGGTAGCTATTAAGGCAGGCCTAGGTAGGAATCCAACACTTTATTAGGAAGGAATTATTCCGAAATGGCTGTTGACTCAATCACCTGGCAGTTCTGGCACTCACCCAAGGGAGAAGAGATTTTGGGTACAATCCTTTTTAAAAAATCTATTTGTTGTTCTGTGATATCATAGACATCCAGGCTTTAAAAAGAAAGATCTGCTCAAAATTAAGAGGAATTTTAACCTACCCTTAATTCGTTGGTCTGTTATTAAGCTAAAAGTAAAAGAAATAAACTTTTAAACTTCATAATATGAGCCAGTTAATGAGACTTTTTTACAAAACTTAAACAAATTTTCAAACGTGCTAAAAAGTAGAATAGTACAATGAACCACCACCATCTATCCATTGCCCAGATATAAGTTATCTACATTTTGCAACATTTGCTTGATCCATCCTTTATTTTTCCCTTGCTAAAGTATTTTAGTGCAAATCTCAGATATCTTGTCATTTTACTCCTACATACTGTCACGTCTTTAAAAATTAAAATTAACATATTCCTTGGTATCATCCAGCATTCATTCCATAATCAAATATTACCAATTGCCTAAAAAAATTAGATTTTTGATCTAAGGTGTACCTAATTGATATACATGTCACTGAACTCCTTAAACAAATACAGCTTTAAATTACTGGTAAAATCTTATTCAGAGTTACTCCACATAAAGTGCTATCATAAAGCCTCAGCCCAAATTAAGTTCACTTCTGTCTTTAATTCTGTAGAAGTATCTGGAAAGGTTGACTATACAAGGGTGGATAGACTCCTTGGAACAGCTGTTATGTACCATCAAAAATAGAACAAATTAGTTTTGGCTTTACTCACTGGTTGGGCAATCACTAATTCTTCATTTTGCAATTTGTGAAGTGGGGTGGGGCTTATGTGTAAGAATTTTCCTTTCAGGGAAATGCTGTAGATAGTTAGGCAAAGGAAAATTATTCTTCATTTCTCTAGATAAAGCGTTCATATGACTCTTTGACATTCACACCCCACCACAACAACTAAGTTTATGTTACTGGCTCTAGTTTTATTTCAAAACAAATGCCGGTTTGGTCTATCTTTGTTTTTCAGCCCCTTTGATATAGTCTAGGTTGCTGAATCTGGATAATTGGGTGAGTAAACCTTTACATAGAAGTTATTCTTATTGAGATGTTTGTGGGCTTACAATTGAAAATCAGACTACACTAATGAGGTGATGGAGCTGGGGATGGGTGGAGTAGGTAAATATGAGAAATCAACTTGGGCAAATGGCCTAGACTCCACACAGATTTGCTAAAGAAATTGTGTAACTATTACTTTCCAGACAGCAGTTTAGTGCTGTTATTGTGCTGAGAGGCAATAGGCAAATAATTTCACTAGCTGTAGACTCAAGTAGATTTAGGCTAGTAATCTGTCTCCACTCTGCAACTTCTAGACTGACCATTTACTAACCCAGTCAGTTGGGTAGTTTTCCTCAAAACAGATAGATGAGTGATAATTGTTGGAGCCAGAGAGCTGGCATTTTCTTCTTTTGTTTGGCCCGGGAGGGAAAACTATGGAGGTGGTGTTTTATGTGCTCTGAAATCAATCACTGATAAAGTCTTAAATGCTTAGTAGTCTATTGTGCTGGCTGAAACTGTTTACAAAGATTCTATATGTAGATAGGAAGACCTTGTATAGGCTGTACACTTGCATTGTGAGCTTTAATAATGTATACGTATAACAGAGACCAGGTCGGTATGTATGGGTGGGCCCTGACCAAGGGTGTGAGACCACAGAGGTCACACCACTTACCAAATCATGTGCCAGTTACAAGACTATGTCTTCCTGGGGCTGCGTTTTCTGATTCACACAGAGGCACCATATGGGCTAGCTAATACATTTAAAGCCAGATGGATTTTAGTCTCATACCTGATAAGAAATTCAGCAAGGATTCCGGGCATGGTGGCTCACGCCTGTAGTCCCAGGACTTTGGGAGGCTGAGGCGGGTGGATCACCTGAGGTCAGAAGTTTGAGACCAGCCTGGCCAACATGGTGAAACCCCATCTCTACTAAAAATACAAAAATTAGCTGTGCATGATGGGAGACGCCTGTAATCCCAGCTACTCGGGAGGCTGAGGCAGAAGAATTGCTTGAACCCAGAAGGCAGAGGTTGCAGTGAGCCAAGATTGCACCATTGTACTCTAGCATGGGCAACAAGAGTGAAACTTCATTTTGAGTAGGGATTTCTTATTTGTCATTGGTTCTGAGAAAAGAATGTAAGATGTATATTTATGTAATATCCTACACCTGATTACTTTTGCTTTTGAATTATTGAAATCTTCAAATGTAGATGGCTGTGCCCTTGAGGGCCTAGGTTATAGTTCAGTATGTTCATTATCTTCCCCAACTTAAGGGTTGAGTTCTGTTATAGCTAATTGTAGATCAATTAGCTTAAGGCTCCTCCCTTTCTGCACTCCTTTCAGCAATTTTCTTGACATAATTGTTTCACAGAGTTTTATATGGTTACGCATTATCTAGGCTGCATTTTTTTTTTTTTTAGATGGAGTCTCACTCTGTCACCCAGGCTGGAGTGCAGTGGCCTGATCTCTGCTTACTGCAACCTCCGCCTCCCGGGTTCAAGCGATTCTTCTGCCTCAGCCTCCCGAGTACCTGGGATTACAAGCATGCACCACCACGCCCAGCTAATTTTTGTATTTTTAGTAGAGATGGGGTTTCCCAATGTTTCCCAGGCTAGTCTCAAACTCCTGACCTCAAGTGATCCGCCCTCCTGGGCCTCCCAAAGTGCTGGGATTACAGGCATGAGCTACCGCGCCTGGCTGCATTGTTTTTTGAAGTTTGTACCATGCTTATTTCCACTTTCATTGCTCACGATACAGGGCAGAACATATAGAAAGTTAAGATGGGTTAAAACAAATTTGGCAGAAGCATTTCCTCTGATAATATGCTCTGCAATCTAGTACCTCACATTACAAAATCAACGTTTTTCAGAAGAGTCAGTGTGTACATAAAATATTTGTGAGTGAAAATAAACTTCTTAGGGTGCCCTCAGCTTGTTTTTCATTGACATTGCATTAGTTTACATTATCTACCTCCCCACCCCCACTTTGGTTGACTAGCTAATGGTCTTTTTTTTTTTTTTTTTTGAGACAGAGTCTCGCTCTGTCGCCCGGGCTGAAGCACAGTGGCATGATTTCGGCTCACTGCAACCTCCACTTCTTGGGTTCAAAAGATTCTCCTGCCTCAGCCTCCTGAGTAGCTGGTATCACAGGTGTACATCACCCCACCCGGCTAATTTTTTGTGTGTTTTTAGTAGAGACAGGGTTTTGCCATTTTGGCCAGGCTGGTCCTGAACTCCTGGCCTCAAGTGATATGCCTGCCTCGGCCTCCCAAAGTGCTGGAGTTACAGGTATGAGCCACAACGCCTGGCGCTAATGGTCTTTAAACAAGCTGTTACAGGGAAGAATAAGTTTATGATTCAAAAATGGCCTGGATTTTATCCATGCTGGCAGTTTAGATTTTCACGTGTTTGTTTTACGAAAGTAGGGCTTCCCTGTATTCTCTTATCTCAAATTCTTAGGCTTCTTCATTACAGCCTATACTTGCTTCATCAAACTGCATTCAGATGGTCTTGTAAGTTCCCATGAGAGCAAAATCCTACATTTTAATATAAGCTGAGTTGGTCTGGGACAAAATACTAGATTTTAAATGGCCATTATCTCTGTATAAAATGGAGCTGAGGTATTAGTTGCACTTTACAGTAGGAACTGTGTAGGGCTCTGGGCCCAATTTTTCACATTCTTCCTATGGGTTCTGTTATAGCTAATTGTAGATCAAGATATGTTACAAATCCCTACTTTCAACCTCCTCTCTCCTCCTTAAATAATGTTACTACTTGCATGTTTATAACTCTGAAGGGCATCTTATTTCTTGTTGTTTTTACTGATTTCTGTGACTATTATCAATGGTGTATCCTATTGTCTGACCACGGAGATAACAGGCAGAAGGATGGCCATTGGATGTTAAATCGATTACTGAACATGACAGAGATTTATTTTAAAGCATTTCCTATCCTCACTCATCACCACGTAGTTATGAACTAGTCAAAACTTCATTTTGATCTTAGCACCACCACTTCATGTTTTTCAAGATGCCTACATTGTATTTTATGGAATCTAAATGTATTTAATATGCTATACAGAGTTGAAATAAGCTAAATAGGATATTTGATCCTATTAAGTGTTTTTTAGGAGTTTGTTTCTGGTTATTTAAAAAGGTTGGGCTGGGTGCAGTGGCTGATGCCTATAATCCTAGCACTTTGGGAGGCCAAGGCAGGAGGATTGCTTGAGCCCAGGAGGTTGAGGCTGCAGTGAGCTGTGATCGTACCACTGCATTCCAGCCTGGGTGACAGAGTGAGACCCTGACTCTAAAAGAAAAGAAAAATTTTAAAAAAAGATCCTGTAGAGATAAGCCGACTACTTTTTAAAAATGTGACTCTGGACAAGTCTTTTATTTTTCTTCTCTCTGGGTGTCAGTGTATTCTGTAAAATAAGGGAATCGAAATAGATGATCTACAAAGTTCCATTTAGCTCTGGCATACTGGGAGTCAAAGTTTATTGAAAGCTGTAATACATCTACCCTAACATAAATACAAGACCTCTGGATTCCAGTTAGACAAAAAGTTGGAATTAGGCTGAATGCTAAAGAGTGAATATCCCAGTTAACTTTATTGTCCTGTTTCTGGAGTCTAGGTTAGCCTAGTCTAGTGAAGGCCACATCAACGTTTCTTTTTAACTATGAATTGTACGGAAGGTAATGGTCTGAGCCCTAGGGAATGCTGGCTTCCTCTGCGTCATCCTGATTCTTGGGAGGATGCTTTGGTTCAGTGACCAAGTACAGTATGCAAGCCTTCCCAGAGATGATTCTCAATAGTACACAATATCATAGGTACCAGTTTTTGTTCTAAGTGCTTTGCGTGTATTTGTTAAGAACTGTGCAAGGTCTGGGATTTTCCCTTACTTACCTACCTGTTAACTGTTTAATGGATGATTGCAGAAGACCCAAAGGACAAAAGACAGTTTATTATTCATTGCAAAAGCAGTAGCCAGAATGTCAGCATGACATGCTGGTTCACTATGACCATAAGTCCCATCGTGGGTAGACCAGCATGATGGCCACAAACGGAGTCAGTGACATTGCAGGAGAGGAACTCTGAGCTTGGGGGTTTGCTACTTTTATAGCATTAAGAAGTCAGCTTGATCTTTGGGGTGGGGAGATATCACCTCATCCTCAAGGTTGTTTGCTACAAACACAGCCATGGGAAATGGCCCCAGTAAAATGCTGTCAGTGCCTTTTAGTCTTGGCATAGCCAGCAAGAATGGGCAGGGGATGCTCAGGGATTCATGGCAGATTGCCTCCTTCATCAGTTTTAACTAATTTCATCCTCACAGCAATCATTTTGTAGGTGAAGAAAACGTCTCCAAGCAGATGAGTAACTGGCCCGAGGACATGCAAAGGTGAATTTAGAATTGAAGACCAATGTGGGGCCAGATGTGGTGGCTCACACCTGTAATCCCAGCACTTTGGGCGGCCGAGGCAGGTGGATCACCAGAGGTCAGGAGTTCAAGACCAGCCTGGCCAACATGGTGGAACCCTGTCTCTACTGAAAATACAAAAATTAGCCAGGCATGGTGGCATGTACCTGTAATCCCAGCTACCTGGGAGGCCGAGGCAGGAGAATTGCTTGATCCCGGGAGGCAGAGGTTGCAGTGAGCCGAGATCCGCCACTGCACTTCAGCCTGGGCAACAGAGCGAGACTCTGTCTCAAAAAAATAAAATATTTTTAAAAATAAAATAGAATTCAAGACCAATGTGACTGTAAAATGTATGTTTTACACCACGATTTTCTATACTGCCTGAGAACCTCAAGGTAGCTCTAAATTGAAGACCTAGTGGTTCTCTAGACTGGTGATGGTGGGACCTAGCCTAGATTTGCACTCTGCTTATGTATAATTTAGAAGACAGAGTTCAGGGGCCATTCGTTTTAGTGCCATTGTCAAAAAAAAAAAAATTCTTTGAATCACTGCCATGAAGTAATGGGTCAGAAATGTGACCACTAAGAAAAAGCCAAGAGGACAAAAGTGATATGGCTGTGGATTTTAAGGCTACTTGAACACAGTTCTTAAAAATACCAGCCTGTGATAGCCCACCACTGGGGAAAAAAAAAATACCTGTCTAGCAGTCTGGCCTTTATTAACTAATTGCATGGCCAGCAGAAGGCCTGTGTACTTTACTACTGTTGCATATTGCATATGATTTTCTTGTTGTTTGTACGTCAGCCTTGCAGAGACTAGCTTCTGAAGAGGTTACATTGCAAGTTATACTGCCTACTTCATGTTTTAGCTTCTCTCTCTCCTCTATTGCCCACTTCCTTTCTGTTTGTGATCTTTTGCATGAAGTAAAAGTGCTTTGGAAAAATTAATGCTATCTCCTGTTAAACAAGTACACGATATGCATTGTTTCTTGTTTAGGGGAGTGCCAAGAACCACCTACCCTCTCCTGCTGCTTCCTGCGTGTGCTTTGCCTAAAGATTGGCTGCTATAAAAGTGTGGTATATTCAGCCAAGTGCTATCTTTTTAATTAGTTTGCAGAAAGTGTTGTGACAAACTATTTTTGTGTTGACTTGTGACGAGTAATAGACCCCTAAACTACGGGCGTTAAGTGCCAGACAATATGGAAGTGCATAATGTAGTTTGAGTTCTAGTCCCCTTAGTTTGATCCATCATCCTTCCCCAAAGAAAAAGCCCCTAATTTTTAAAAATGTGACAGGTAAAATAGATTACGAATATACCAGTATGTGTCTGGAGCCTGAAATTGGCCTATTTCTTATAATTACTAATCTTAAACTTTTTTTTTTTTTTTTTTAAGAGATGAGGTCTTGCTCTGTTGCCCAGACTGGAATGCAGTGGCATGATCATAGCTCACTGCAAACTCAAACTCCTGGGTTCAGGTTATCCTCCTCCCTTAGCATCCCAAGTAGCTGGTACTACAGGCATGTGCCACCATGCCCCACTAAATTTTTTTTTTTTTTCAGTAGAGACAGCATTTTGCTGTGTTGCCCAGGCTGGTCTGGAACTCCTGGCCTCAAGTGATCCTCCTGCCTCAACTCAGCCTCTCACTTGGATTATAGGAATGAGCCACCACACCTGGCTTGATTACCAATGTTAATGAGCTAATATTTCCATATTGGTTCTGTTCATACAACTGTGTACAACACAGCATGAAACTAGAAAGTGAAGGATATCTTAAGCTCTCATAATGATAGAGACATAACTGGGAAAGCTGATAATTAAGCAGACTAAGAATCTTAGTAAATTTTTGTTTTTCAAATACTTCTTATCAATTTTTACAAATTCATATTTTCTCTAAATATAGTCCTGGTTGTTGATGTTCTTTTGTTTTTCACTCCATCTAACCCAAAGGGCTTCGTGTTACGGATAAATATGTAAGGAAGGATATAGCATTCCCATGTCCCAAAAACTGTGTTGTTCTTTTTATTTAGACCAGTGATTTTCAGTGGGGGCTAATTTTACCTCCCAGGGAACATTTGGTAATGTCTGGAGACATTTTTGGTTCTCACAACTGGGGGAGGGTGCTACACTGGCATCTAGTGAATAGAGGCCTGGGTTGCTGTTCTCTATCCTACAATCATAGGACATTCTCTCCAGCACAAAGAATTATTCAGTCTAAAATGTCAAGGTTAAGAAACTCTGCTTTAGACCCTATAACATTTTGTATATTTAGTGTGAAAAACTTTTTGTATATTTAGTGTGAAAAATTTCTGTGGCTCCTCAGCTGTTCTTTACTTTCCATTCTCTCCTTTCCTCTCTATTCAGACAGGGTCAGCTAATCCCTGTCTTCATGGAAGCATGGTTTGTTTCATTGATTCCCGCCAATTTTATTTGCATTTTCTTCTTTTCTGCTACTGGAAATCTGGTGGACTGCACTGTTGTGAACTTTTTAGTTGTCAACTATACCTTTTATCACTTACCTCATTTCTGACATCTAAGGAAAATATTCATTTTCATCGTAGTGAGTTTAAAAGGCTCTTTTTCCATCTGTGGATTCTTTGATACTTCAACAACTTTTGATGCTGGTGACTTTTAACTCATCATCTATATGAATTTTATTTATTTATATATCATTTTGAGACAGGGTCTCCCTCTACTGCCCAGGCTAGAGTGCAGTGGCGCAATCATGGCTCACTGCAGCCTCGACCTCCCTGGCTCAAGCCATCCTCCCACCTCAGCCTCCTGAGTAGCTGGGACTACAGGCACATGCCATCATGCTCAGCTAATTTTTGTATTTTTCATAGAGATGTGGTTTCGCCATGTTGCCCAGGCTGGTCTTGAACCCCTGGGTTCAAGCGATCCACCCGTCTCAGCCTCCCAAAGTGATTACAGGCCTGAGCCATGCATCTGGCCTGAATTTTAGATTCTATGGTACAGTCTTCTCTGACAACTTCTGCCTCTTGATTTGCTGACTGCTAAAGTGCCAGCTTTGTTTGCCTTCCATCTCAAAACTTCTCACTGTTATCTGTTCTTCTCCACATACAATTGCAGGCAATCATATGCCTCTTCAAATACCACCTGGATGCAGATGCAGATGCAGATGATGCCAAACTTTTCTATCTACTTTGACATCTAAGTTTGATACTTTGTCATCATTTGCTGAGAGGCATCTCCTGACTGTGTTGCAGTTCTACTAAAAACTGCATAACACCTCAAATACTTCATAGTGGTGTTTTTAATATTTTTCCTTTTTACAGGAAAAATAAAAATTAACTTGATGCTCTCAACACACATACATACACATACACAGACACACATGGACACACACACACTGTTTATCAGGTTTACCTTTTCAAGCTAAGGTTTACTTGCTTCACTTATCACCAGACTGTATTATTCTGTTGTTAGTCACTGACTGACCTTTATGATTTCTGGTCCAGTTGAATGAAGGTTAACTTCCCTATTTGACCAGTGAAAGTCAGTGACTCCTTCTCATTCAACTCATCAGGTCCCACTGTATTTTTACATTTAGGGCTACTATTAGGCACCTAATTGTATCTTCTTCCTTTTTTAATTTGCTCCCCTTTTAAAAGTTGAAGCCGTTAGGTGTATTGTCTCATATGCCTGAAATAACCTCTTCTTTTTTCTGTTCTCAGTGAATCCTAAGTACTTTCTTTCTAGTTCTTTATATAACTCTTAAACCCTTTATTGCCTACTTGAAGGTGACATGATCATTTCATTCCCCTTCAATTTCCCATAGAGAGCCAGTTCATTTCTGCAGCATGCATGGCCATATTAACAATTGTCCTTATTATAAATGTATGTTATAGTGTTCATTCCAGACACATCAAATCTTTGTTATGTATGGGGCATCATGCTGAGGGTATAAACATAAGTATATACAGGTCTTACTCTTGAGGAGCTCATGGCCTAATGAGAAAAGGACAGATACATATAAAGTAGTAAATTCTATAATAAATAGGTATGAGGAGAACGCTCTTGGGAATGCCGCATACTGTGCTTGGTAGGGAGAGGAAAGACTTCACAGAGGTAACATTTGATTTGGGTCTTAGGGATGAAGAACAGCTTTGTAAGATTAAAAGGCAAGTTTTTTTTTTTAAGACTAGTCGAGTGCAGTAGTGAGAAGTGGGGAAAGAGTAGAACAAGGAGTTAGATCTGTAACTGACTGTGAACAATCATTCGAGATAACTTACTACCTTCAGACCAGCCAAGGCAAGCCATTCTTAATAGTGGGATTATCATGTATGCAAGTTTAGAGTTATGTAAAGGCACATATTTGTTTTAAGTGTCATTGATTTTAAAATATTAAGATCTTAGAGAGAAGGTTGTGACTGAACTTGTTTTATGACTGAACGTAGGTGATCATAGGAAATATTTTTCACCAACTCAGAAGTGGGATAGAGAGAGGGAACTAACGTTTAGTGAGCACCTACAGTATTTCAGGTGTTGTTCTAGGAGCTTTACATCACCATCTTAATTTTTTATTATAAACACGTAGGCATAGTTATTTCCCACATTTAACAAATATGGGAAACGAGTCTCAGAGAGGTTAATTGATTCTGATTCCAAAATACATGATATTTTATGATAGCATTCTGTCTTCTTCTTACAAGTAACAGGCTATATTTAAAATCTAGAAATGAGCTGTAATTTTCTATTTTTTACATAAATATGTTTTATTTTTCTCCTATCGCAGATCCTATTAGGAGTCTAATAAATGTATTTTAACACATTTCCTTTTTGTTGGATTACATTAGTTGAGAAATAATAGAGCTTGAGAAATTGGCTGGGAATTGTCCACAAACATCTAATTTGTAGCTGTATCTGGTTAGTTTTATTACTGATGATTTGGGCAAGCTCCTCAGTTGGTAATATTCTACCTCTGAAATTCTTCATGTTCAATAGTTAATCTAATTTAATAAATGTTTTGGAGAAGCTCACCTCAGTGCTGCGGTAAGCATTATCAGGGTTAAAGTAAAGAACTCCTACCCACTAGAAACATAGAGTTGGAGAATCTGATGTATACAAACCTGTGGTGCTGGGTGGAATGTGATAAGTGCTACTGTAGAAGGAAAAAGTGCTATGGGAGCACAAATCGTGTTAATTCCAAATGAAGTATTAGGGATGACTTCATGGAAAGATAGGCAATAGAAGAGAGTCTTAAAGTGCAGAGATTTTTTTTAAAACAGTTATTGTGATAGAATGGAGAAAGGGCATTGTCTGTAGTGAGAAAAATATGCATATCTCAGTCAGCACAGGCTGCTATAGCAAATTCCCATAGACTAGGTGGCATATGAACAACAGAAATTTATTACACACAGTTGTGGAGACTGGAAGTCCAAGATCAGGGTACCAGCTTGATAGAGTTCTGGTAAGGGCCCTCTTCCGAGTTGCAAACTGCTGACTTCTTGTGGTATCCTCACATGGTGGAGAATGGAGAGCGAAAGCAAACTCTCTTGTGAGTTTTACAGAGTCACTAATCCCATTCATGAAGGTTCTACCTTCATGACCTCATCTAATCCTTATTACCTCCCAGAGACCTCACCTCCTACTACCATCACATGGGGTGGGGGTTCAGTTTCACGGTATACATTTTAGGGGGAAACAGACATTCAGTCCATGACAACGCATAACTGCAAGAGAGCTAGGAAGTTAGGGCATGTTTGAGGAAAAATATGAGTTAGTCTAGTAAAGCCCAGATGTATGTATGAGAGTGGTGGAGGTCAGTCTGGATGGAGAGACTGCAGCTTGATTACATAAGCATTCAGTGCTCACCATAAACAATTTGGAATTCATTCTATAACCCATGTAGAGTATTTGAGCAGGAGATTGATGTGATCAGAGCTTACAATCATATCTTACTTTAGACATTTTACAGTTGGAAATATGAAGTCTAAAATCTTATGTCCAAACTTTCTGGTAATTGGCCTGTTTGTAGTATAAATATAAAGATATTTATTAATTCTGATACCTTTTGGCATGCTTTAATTTGACAGCTTTGAACTTGCAAAATTAAACATGTACTGTAAATAGTGTGTACTTTGATAACTTACTGTTTTACAGCAACTTAATTGGCCCTTGCTCCCAGCCTACTATTCTGTAGATCTGTGCCTCTAAGTCTAAAGATCTTGTTGTTGTTTTTTTCCTCCACAAATAGATCCTACTCTAAAGGTCAGGTAGCTTAGATTACAAGGCTGCTGCTGTCAAACTGAATGTGTTGGGTCTAGGCTGAATTACAGTCTTATAGTCCCTGGAATATTCCAAGAGAAGCTGCAAGATTTATGACATACAAAACTAGGTAAAGTTATCCTCACTAGATAAAGTTGTCCTCAATCAAGTGTTATCATGAATTTTTTTTCCGTTTGCATATATCAATCCCCTATGACAAAATGAGAAGAGATACATTGCTTACAACTGTGGCAAAGTAGTCTTAGGGCTATGATTTGAACTCAAGTCCCCTACTTAAGATAATTCACTTAAATAAGTGGAATTTTTATTAAGAGACTCCCTCCCTCCTTTTCTTTTCTTTTCTGTTTTGAGACAGGGTCTTGCTCTGTCATCAGGCTGGAATGCAATGTTGTGATCATGGCTTACTGCTGCCTCGGACTGTTGGGCTCAAGGGATCCCCCCACCTTAGCCTCCTGAGCAGCTAGGACTACAGGCATGTGTCACCATGCCTGGCTTTTTTTATGCAGTGGGTTGTAGCTATAGAAAGAGGACATTATTTCACAAGGTATAGGCTGGGAAAATGTTCAGGTTCCTTGTGGGGTTACAAAATTATTTTAAAAAGATATAGGTCTTTAGGACATGAATCATCTTTTGGTAGACTACTTTCTCATGAGGGATTTGTGATCCTGGCAAAATCCCTTTTGAGCCTTTGAAACATGAAGAGCATTAACTACAAATGAAGAAGACAGGAACTTCCTGAGTTATAAATACCTGGCCATATGAAAGGCCCTTGGGCAGGGGCTCCCCTGGTATGTTGAGTCAAAATATTGCCTGGCCTTTTTCTCCCCCTTGCTACTGATGTTGCCTTGGGAATTTGAGACCCAGTCACATCAGAGTACTCTTTGTTTATTTCTTTCTCAGTGACCTTCATAAATGTGATAGTGCTGGGAACAATCTTCTGAAGCATCTCTCTTACTTGCCCTACCATATGATTTTTTTGCCAAAAAGGTTGGGGCTGATAGGAGCTTTTACTCTGCTACTGGTCTCTCCTCCATTTTTGCTTAGTAGTGTGGAGCACATTTTCCCATGAACATTATTCCTGTATTTGATATGTATTGTAGTATAGTTCAGTTTCCTAATATGTTTAGTGCTTAAAGATATAGGTCATGAGATACAGGTACTTGTTATCAAGGAATTTACAATATTATAAGGAAAACAGCTGTATATAACCTCAGTATTCGGTAAGTTCCATATGAATGATTCAGATTTAGGAACAGGAAAGATTAATAATTTGGATTAAAATAGACTAGGAACTGAGTCACTGGGAACTTCTCTTCCTCCCTCCACGTACTTACTCCAAGGGAAGAATGCATTCAGAGTTCAAAACAGAGGGTTTTTTTTTTTTTTTTTTTTGAGGTGGAGTCTTGCTCTGTTGCCCAGGCTGGAGTGCAGTGGTGCGATCTTGGTTCACTACAACCTCCACCTCCCAGGTACAAGCAATTCTCCTGCCTCAGCCTCTTGAGTAGCTGGGATTACAGGCACATGCCACTACGCCCGGCTAATTTTTGTATTTTTAGTCGAGACAGGGTTTCACCATGTTGGTCAGGCTGGTCTTGAACTGACCTCATGATCCGCCCGCCTCGGCCTTCCAAAGTGCTGGGATTACAGGCGTGAGCCACTGTGCCTGGCCAAAACCGAGTTTTGAGGCTGCAGTGAGCTATGATCGTGCCACTGCATTCCAGCCTGGGCTACATAGTGAGACCTCAACTCTAAAAAATAAAAATTAAAAGAAAAAAGAAGTTTGTGGCATAGGTATTTCTTGTTTTAAGAAAATATATCAGCAGGAAATTTGAATTAAGGAAGCAGACAATTAATGGGCAATGATTGCTTTTACAAGAGTTAATACAGGGTTACCGCAGCCAACTCCTTTCTTCTTTTAAAATGTTTTATATGCCAAAAATAAATACTACTTTTAAAATAATTTTTTAAATAAACAAAATGTTTATGATTTTTTTAGAAGACCACCTTATATTTTAATGCTAATTATAACCATCTCCACACTATTGATCTGAAATGTGCAGTACATTGAAAAACGTAAAAGTATTTTCAATGCATTAGAAACATAGTTTCCATTTTCCCAAGCTTCTCATTCCCCTTAATCCTGTAGATTCCCTTTCTCACAGATTAAAGTAGCATTAGAATCACTTGCCTCAAGGCCACTGGGAAAGCTTGCAAAAAATATAGATACAGGAGTCCCAATGGACCTATTGAAACAGAATCCTTTGAGTGCAGGCCCTGGGAATCTGCATTAATAAGCTGCCTGCATGATTTTGTACTCTAAAGTTGGAGAACCACTAAACTTGTGCACAGTTTGCAAAATGGCAGCCCTGCAAGTCATACCTGGCCCATAGATTTGTTTGGTTTGGCTTTCAGTATTAGCAATGTGGTTTTTAAAATTTGATTTGTTTGCTAACTCTTAAGAATTGGGAGTTTGTACACATAAATCTAAATTCCTGGCTTCTCTTGAAACATCAGAGTAATTTTTACAGTACTAGGCTCATGTTCTCACATGGCTGGCAGCAATCCACTGTGTCTGAATAAGATCTGTCTTATTTGAATAGGCCATGTGCTCTTGAATTGGCCACAGACCACCCTCCTGCATTTCACCTGGGGTCCAGTGTTAATTGACATTTATTTTTCTATAGCTGGCCTGCATCACTCAATTATATCCCCTGCTTAGAATCCATATACATTTGAGTTTTTGACTCTGGATCTAGAGGTTAAGAACTACACAGAAACTATGGGAAAGAAGTGAGACTGGAAGCTGGGAGACCAGAGAGATTATAATAGTGGAGATAAGAAATGAACCATGGAACTACGGCAGTGGTACTAGGGATGGAGAAGAGGAGGAAGATTAGGATTTAGAAGCTACTAATTGAGTTGGGTTGGGGATCTGGATGGGAGAAGGAAGAATGAGTGTGGTGGAGTTGGGAGAGATGAAAGTAGGTGGGAAGATGAATTTGTTTCTGGATACAGTCACTTGAGGTGATCGTGGGACATCATTGCGAGGTACTGAAGTATAGCTTGCTATGGAGCAGAGACTCTACAGTGTTGGAGAGGATGACTCCTGGATGGAGCATATGACAGACTCCTGGGTGTATGTGTAGACTGAGAAAGCATATTCAGAAGCCTACCATCTTTTCCTAATGCAAGCTGAAAAAAAGTAGAGATCTATATGTACCCTATAAACATGTATGAATATTACATATCAGTGAATGTAGAGATCTACAAAATTGTGGCTAGCATAAATAGCATATCCTCAACTTTAACTAAAGTAGAAACACACACAGAATCTTTGGGTGGAGGTATATCCAAATCTCTGGAGGATAGGAGATTCTTATCCAAATTGTCAAAGATTATTAAAGGTTGACACATTGCAGGTGGGCACGGTGACTCAAGCCTGTAATCCCAGCACTTTGGGAGGCTGAGGCAGGCAGATCACTTGAGGTCAGGGGTTTGAGACCAGCCTGGCCAACATGATGAAACCCTGTCTCTACTTTTTGATTGATTGATTGATGGATTGATTGACTGATGGATTGATTGATTTAGAGACAGAGTCTCGCTCAGTTGCCCAGGCTGGAGTGCAGTGGCGTGATCTCGGCTCACTGCAACCTCTGCCTCCGGGGCTCAAGCGATTCTCATGCCTCAGTCTCCCAAGTAGCTGGGATTACAGGTGTCCGCCACCATGCCCAGCTAACGTTTTTGTATTTTTAGTAGAGACGGGGTTTCACCATGTTGGCCAGGCCGGTCTTGAACTCCTGGTCTCAGGTGATCTACCTGCCTCGGCCTCCCAAAGTGCTGGGATTATAGGTGTGAGCCACCATGCCTGGCCTTAGTAATTTTAATTTTTAGTACAAAAATTAACCTGATATGGTGGCATATGCCTGTAATCCCAGCTACTCTGGAGGTTGAGGCAGGAGAATCACTTGAACCTGGGAGGTGGAGGTTGCAGTGAGCCAAGATCACGCCATTGCACTCCAGCCTGGGAGACAGAGTGAGACTCTGTCTCAAAAAAATAAATAAGTAAAAGAATACATATGTACTCGTCTCAAAAGAAAAAAAAATGCTTGGCACATTGCTGTAGGGTATCACCAAGACACAATGATTTAATGACAACCACTTCTTTCTTGCAAGTGGTAATTTTGGTTTCTTTCTCCCTTTATCTCTTCTGCATTTTAAATTTTGCTCTGTGAGTATTCTTTAGTTCTGCGGATGCTAGGAGCATGCTGTATTCTAAAAAGTGTTTGCAAGGCATTTTTCTTTTTTTATATCTCCAAGAAAATGTTTCTTTGGGAACATGTTATGAATGGAGGTTAGGTTCCCAGGGTAGCTCATCTTTTTCAAATCCCACTTAATCTACATTGCAGATGAGCTGTTCTATTAATAGCATGTGTCTGAGCTCTGGGAGCAGACATGTG
Source organism: Homo sapiens (assembly GCF_000001405.40). Lineage (NCBI taxonomy): Eukaryota > Metazoa > Chordata > Mammalia > Primates > Hominidae > Homo > Homo sapiens. The sequence goes on from NC_000023.11 coordinate 96,708,057, forward strand.
CCATGTGGTATAGAAACATTGAAGAAAGTCTCTTCCTCTTTTCTGACCATAGGCTAAATTTGGAAACTGGTAAATTTTATCTTTGGGATGCTCCAAATCCCTTTCTGTACCTCTTTTCCATATAATTGTACCCCTCCCCTCAGGTGACACCCATCCTCCTGTGACTCTTCCCCACCCCCCACCCAGATCATTTTTTTTTTTTTTTTGAGGTGGAGTCTGCTCTGTTGCCAGGCTGGAGTGCAGTGGCGTGATCTTGGCTCACTGCAACCTCCGCCTCCCGGGTTCAAGCAATTCTCTGCCTCAGCCTCCCAAATAGCTGGGATTACAGGCGCCTGCCACCGCGCCTGGCTAATTTTTGTATTTTTAGTAGAGATAGGGTTTCACCATCTTGGCCAGGCTGGTCTTGAACTCCTGACCTTGTGATCCACCTGCCTCAGTCTCCCAAAGTGCTGGGATTAGAGGCGTGAGCCACCGTGCCCGTCCCCCACCCCCTGCGACATCTTTCCCATTCCTCAGTGTACCTACCTCTTCCCAAACTTGATTTCTGTCACATCTCTGCTGAGTGTTAGAATGAACTAAGTTATGCAATTATTTTTGAATGTACTTTATTGTGATTTAAAAAATGATTATTAACATCCATTAATTGCTTGGTGAAATATCTGTCAAGTAGCACAATAAAGTGAATAAAGCCTGGCAGTGCAGTAGAATGTTCTGGGGAGGTAGGTAATCATATAAGCAGTCTTGCTTTGAGGTTCTCCCCTAGGGATAATTGTTTCTACTTTTCAAGTCTTGCCTTCATTCACATATAAGCCTATTTTTCAGAAGTTCTCTTTTTTCATGACTGCCTCTATGAGAGCAGCAGAGAGGCTTCCGGGGTTGAGGGTAGGCAAATAGGGCAAGAAGAGTGGCTGTATGGGATGGGACTTCCGTAAGTCTAGGACTGCCCATATGGCCTTTTGAATGAAGGGAATATTCCATAATGGCTTATTTTAAGCAGTAATTAACAAATGAAAAAAATTTCATATTTCTTCCCATAAATGGTAACATGTAATTTGTAAGCTTAGACAATTTGATCACTGAGGTAAATGATGAATATCATTAAAAGCATTGGTTCCTAATAATTTGTAAAGTACTTCGTTTCTGTTTGTTAATTTGCTTACCAAATCTGTCTATCAGTCACTTGCATTTGTTCCCAAACCTATATATGCCAGTGGTAATTGCTATTGTAACTATATTATTTAATTAAACATGCAATTTGATGAAATGTGTGAGGCAAAAGAAATCTTTCTATGAAAATTGAGAAGTCTTTTGCATAAATTGATAAAGGCGCTAAAAGGATTGCTACTGAATTAAGCATAGGTGAGGTAACTGAAAGCCTAGGAAAAAAATAACAAGTCCAAAAGGATTCATATGGCTTTGCAGGTGTCTCCAGTTTCTATCTTCTAAAGAAAATGAAACTACATATAGTAGAGAATGCATTAAGGGATGGTTTATGAAAGGAAGATGCTCTGATGTAGCTCTACATCAAAATATTGATAAATGTGTATTTTGATGTCATAAATTAAAATGTTGAAGGTAATGTTTGCTTTTAATGATTCCTCCATTACCAACTTTAAAAAAATTAACCACACACTGGACCTTATCATGTCTGTATAATACTTTACAGTAAAAGCTCGTTTTCCATGCTATGAAATGACGTTCTAGTTAACATTTCCCTTCTTTGCCATTTCTAGGTGTAGTGAAGGACCAGCATACCTTCGAATCAAAGTTTGTTGAATGATCATCGTAGTCAAACAGATTTTATTCTAATTATTTAGAATTTACTAATCACAAATTGTTGCTTTGTTATAACATTCTTTCCATGACAGATAAAGGCATTTATTGAATATGGTAATTTTATTTTGTGAACATGATAAAGTAGGGAATGATTTCAGTATATAGTGACTGAGTCCTTGCCATTAAAGATTTTTTCAAGTACGGTACTTATCCAGGGACATACTTTCTGGAACATTTGTGGTTCCTCTTAGGTAATCTTGAGGAATTCTATATATTTGTACCTTGACATTATCTTAGTACTCCTGCTGTTTTTAGTAGGATTTTTGTTTGGGAGGTTGCTAAGTATTATTTAGAAGTGAAATCTGATAAGGGGATTCTAAAACCTTTCTCCTACCACAATAGTTCTTTTCAAATGCAGATAAACTGTCATTCAGTGAGACTACCTAGGCTCAGCCTTCAGGGTAGGATGAATAAAGCAATATATTTGCTGGATTGACTTTTTGTCCAGGCTGTATCGAAAAAATAATGTACTTAGCCACTGACCATTTATGTCTTTTTAATGATTGTATGTATAGTAGTCAAATGGTTAGAATTTATATGCAGAAGGATATACCATATCACATTTTCATTGTAAATTGCTGCTTTACTCTCCTGTCTGCCACATTCTTTCTGGTGATTCTATATTTGTGTTGATTGCTTTTCATGGATAATAAAGAAATTTACATTTTTCTCTTTTTACTTTGTGTGGATTAATGCTCTAGATTTGAATGCCTAATGCTAGTCAATCTTTGGATCACATATGTAATACTCCTCCATAATAGCACCCCCCTCCACTCCCACCATATGATGAGGAGGGAAAATTTTTTCTAAATATTTTATTTTTATTTCAGTAGTTTTGGGGGAACGGGGGGTTTTTGGTTACATGGATAAGTTCTTTAGTGGTGATTTCTGAGATTTTGGTGCACTTGTCACCTGAGCAGTTTACACTGTACCCAATGTGTAGTCTTTTATCCCTCACCCTCCCTCCTGAAAATTCATTGCATCATTCTCATACCTTTGCATCCTCATAGCTTAGCACCCACTTATGAGTGAGAATAAATGATGTTTGGTTTTACATTGCTGAGTTACTTCACTTAGAATAATTGTCTCCAACACTCCACTCAGGTTGCTGCAAATGCCATTATTTCATTCCTTTTTATGGCTGAGTAGTATTCCATGTTGTATACATAACACATTTGCTTTATCCACTTGCTGGCTGATGGGCATTTAGGCTGGTTTCATATTTTTGCAGTTGCTAATTGTTCTGCTATAAACATGCATGTGCAAGTGTCCTTTTCATATAATGACTTCTTTTCCTTTGGGTAGTGGGATTGCTGGATTAAATGGTAGATCTACTTTTAGTTCTTTAAGGAATCTCCATACTGTTTTCCATAGTGGTTGTACTAGTTTACATTCCCACCAGCAGTATGTGAAAGTGTTCCCTTTTCACCACATCCATGCCAACATCTATTATTTTTTGATTTTTAGATTATGGCCATTCTTGCAGGAGTAAGGTGGTATCGCATTGTGGGTTTAATTTGCACTTCCTTGATAATTAGTGATGTTGAGCATTTTTTCATGTTTGTTGGCCATTTGCATATCTTCTTTTGAGAATTGTCTATTTATGTCCTTTGCCCACTTTTTGATGGGATTATTTGTTTTTTTCTTGCTGATTTGAGTTCCTTGTAGATGCTGGATGTCCTTTGTCAGATGCATGGGAGGAAAATTAACAACTGGTTAGAGTAATAGTTTTAGAATTTGTGTATATAGATTGCTGGTACAAAATGATTGAATGCCTATGTGTTATCCTGGCTGTATAGTGAATCAAATGGGTAAACTATTAGAGATAGTATATGAGGTAAAGACAACTTTTTTTTTTACTTTTTTTCATTTTCAGAAATAACTTGCTTTTTCTTTTAGCTCTGCTGTTGCTGTGTTTATCTATATTAGTTTTTAGATGTAACAGTCTATTCAAATGTCATAATATTTGTTAGAATTTTCTGTTCTTGCACAGGGTGGACTTTCTGTAGACAGTAGGTCTGTGGTAAAAAATAAATTTAAAAACCCCTGAACTTCTAAATGGGTGATATCCTTGGCAAACTAAAGTAATCACATGGCTAGATATTGAATTTTTAGAATATTGAACTGTACTAAATAAGCAGATTTATTACAAAGAGGTTGTAAAGGTAGAGTTAGGTTCTAATCTTAACTCCTCTGTGGCTTTAGCTACATCACTATGCTGGCTCTTCTTCATGTTTGTATCTGTCATCTTCTCTGTCATCATCATATATTGTTCTCCCCAGTTGTGTTTCATTTGACTTCATCACGCCTGCCAACCAGGTCCCTAATGTTATTTTTCAGATGTTTTATTCTCTGAAAAACGTTGTTGCTCCTTCTTTTGTGGATTTTTTATATAATTTTTTCATCCTTTTTTTTCTAGAGCTCTACCAGCTTGGCTTTTACTTCCCCTTTTATAATTTTTCTTAAAAAGATCTTTATTTTTATCAAAGTACCATATGTACATAATTAAAGTTAGGCATACAGAGGGCTTGCCATAAAAAGTAACAACTGATGCCCCACCCTTTCCTATTCCTAATGTTGCTCACCCTGTGGCAACCCTGTTAACTCTTTTGTTTTGTCTGGTAGTTTTCTCCTTATTTCTAAATAATATGCTTATAATGTTATGTATTACCTTATCTATTTTAGATATTATCTATTGCCTGCCTGCTATGATAGAAGAAGATTAATCTCACATCAATCTTCATCACCCTGTCCTTATCATCAACAATACAGTTATGATTTTTAGTTTCTCTCGTCTAAAGTAAACCTTCTTTGATCTTTTTTACATAATCTATGAAGAATAATACCTGTAGTCCATCTAGATTTGTTTGTTGCAAATTTTATGCATAGATCCTCTGGTCACTTTCTGATCATTGATTTGAAAAATTAAGTTCTATTTATTTTTTTCCACACTGGCGAAAGTTCTCAGGGAACTCAAAGATAGTTAAACATTTTAACTATCCCTCTTGATACTCTCTGCTTTTGAATTTACCAAGCAGAGGAGAGAGCAGGAGTCTCAATTTTTAGTGGTTCCCTATTTTCTTATGCTATTCGATCCCACTCATGATTTGTCTTGGAATTGGTCTGGCTATCTACTATGAAGAGTGGTATGGTGTATGTGCACAGATGTGCACATACACACTTATGTGCACAAGGCACGTACTAGTACATATTTCCAAACTCATGCATGTAAAAGAGATGATAAAGGGGACCTGGATTAACTCACAGCCTGAACTTGAGCTTGTTTTCTTGTGTACCTTTGTTCCTAATTTTTAAAAAATTTCCTTTATCTTGAGAATGTCTTCCCGAGGTTTTGCAATCAGTGATCTTTGTAGCAGTGTCAACCTAACCTCCTGCCTCAAGGATTGTGTGTGTGTGTTAGTGTGTTTTATTTTTTTTAAGATGAACTCTATTTTTTACAGCAGTTTTAGGTGCACAGCAAAATCAAGCAGAAAGCAGAGTTCTCATATTCCCTCTATTCCCACACACCCACAGGTTACCTGCTATTGACATCCTACACCACAGTGATACATTTGTTGCAGTCAAGGAACTTATGTTGACACATCATTCACCCAGAGTCCATAGTTCAGGTTCACTCTTGGTGTGCCTTGTGTGATTTTAGGCAAATACATAATGGCATGGATTTACCATTATAGTAGAACATACAGAGTAATTCCACTGCCATAAAAATCCTCTATTCACCACCTGTTTATTCTTCCCTCCCTTTAACTCCTGGCAACCACTGATCTTTTCCTGTCTCTATAGTTTTGCCTTTTCCAGAATGACATATAGTTGGAATGATAGAGTATGTAGCCTTTTCAGACTGGCTTCTTTCACTTAGTAATATGCATCTAAGGTTCCACCATGTTTTTTTCATGGCTGGATAGCTCATTTCTTTGTAGCACTGTATGATATTCCATTGTCTGAATGTACCACTGTTTATCCGTTCACCTACTGAAGGACATTTTGGTTGTTTCTAAATTACAGCAATTATGAATAAAGCTGCTATAAACATCCAAGTGCAGGTTTTTATGTGGACATAAGTTTTAACTCATTTGGGTAAATGAGTGCTATTGCTGGATCCTTTGGTAAGAGTATGTTTAGTTTTCTAAGACACTGCCAAACTGTGTTCCAAAGTAGATATATCAAGGATTTTTGCATAGGTTGTTCCTACAGCCTCCACTTTTTTTTCTAATTAGACTATACTCTTCCTTAGGACTTCTCAGCTCAGCAATCTCTCATTACCTCATTGATTTAGTAACTACCTGCCATTATATGCATTCATGGCACATGTATTGCTTCTTTATAGCACGTATCATAAGTTTGTGTGTGTGTTTTTTTTTTTTTTTTTTGAGATGGAGTTTTGCTCGTTGCCCAGGCTGGAGTGCAGTGGTGTGACCTCGGCTCACCGCAACCTACACCTCCCAGGTTCAAGCCATTCTTCTGCCTCAGCCTCCCGAGTAGCTGGGATTACAGGCATGCGCCACCACACCCGGCTAATTTTGTATTTTTAGTAGAGACTGGGTTTCTCCATGTTGGTCAGGTTGGTCTCGAACTCCTGACCTCGGGTCATCCATCTGCCTCAGCCTCCCAAAGTGCTGGGATTACAGGCATGAGCCATCGCGCCTGGCCTGTGTGTAATATGTTAATGTCTAGCTTCCTCATTAGTTTGTAAGCTCTATGAAAGCATGGATCATGTTTCATTTGTTGCTCAGCATTTTACCTCTAGCACTTAGCCTGGTGTCTGGCATTTTAGCAAGTATTTATTAAATATATGTTAAATGAGTGAATGAATGAGTAAATAAATAAATCAATAAATTGTATCAATGTTCTTTTTTTCCATAGTGATTGATAACTATGTTTTGATTTGGCAAGTTTATTTTGCTTGGAGAATTTTACCTATAAGATAGCAGAAAAGCTGGGCAAAATCACTTGAAACTTCATATCAGAAGAGACTAGACACAAAAGTTTTTCAAACCCCATTTTTTGTATATATGTGTCTGTGTGTGTACATATGATTGTGTATGTTTAAGTATTAAAAATGGTGTGTTTTCAAGTGAATTAATTTGTGATAGCTATTGACCTGGCAAGGAAAACATTAGGTAACTTTTTAAAAATTGTTATTATTAAGCAAGGGACATTTCTTGACTTCTCTTAAATGCCATGAATGATTAAATAGTGAATTAGAGAGTTCTGTATCTTTTAAAAAATTACTACACTAAAACTTTGCTTGCATTCTTATAGGATAAATGTATATTGCACACAAAATCACATGTATGATTTAAATCTTAGTGAAGACTTGCATGCAGCTTATTTCTGATAATCATTTGATTACTCCTCAGTCCAAATAAAAAAAAATCTAGGTAGCAAGGCATTTATTCACATCATTCATTTTTGTGCAACAAAATAGTCTTGCAGTTGACAGTGAACTTCAGAATGCAGGTTTTCAACTCAGGGCAATAATTATTAACATGAATATTCACCTTATGAATATTGACTATATGAATATGCAAGCTATTAATGGAGTCAAATGTCTTTGAAAGTCACACTCTAGGGACACTTGTTGCAATTCTTCACTCTTTATGGCTGGATTATATATGCTTTCCCGTGGCAGTATTGATTACACAGTGAAGATTTATTCTCTTTCACCATTGGAGTTACATAGTCCTAGTGAAGAGGAAGTGGGGCACATGCAAGATGTAATGTGCTGCTTTGCCTCATCTTTATTTCTATTTTAAGCTTCAATGACCTAGACTAGAGTATTTTACAAGAAATTTTATGTGTGATTAAGAGTGAGTCTTTTCATGTTTGTTTAATGATGAGAAACGATTAGGGTTTGAGGGAGTGACTGCTACCCAGTATGTATTTAAACATAGCCAAAAGTAGCAGTCTTATCATAGAAATATTTTCATAGACGTAATAGCATGAGAATAAGATGCATTTGTTGTCTTCTTTGCTTTTGGTTTAATCTTTTTTTTTTTTTTTCTTCTTGTCTTGCAGTATCCTTCCAAAACAAAAGGCATAACCTAACACTTTTATTGTGCTTTGAGTACCTCTCCTCTGGACCAGGTCAACCATACAACTCTTTCAGTCATCTGGTTAGGATAGAAAACTTATTTTGCCTTAGTGTTAACACATCTCAGATGACAACGGATAAACTGAGCCTTTAATATAATAAGTGCACAACATTTTGCAGATATGTTTAATCATTGTCCCTTCAATAGGGGTTTGGTTTTGATTTTGTTCTGATGCTGCTACCATTTTAAAAAATGCCTTTAGGATTGTTTGGGAACTGTATTCAGAATTAATTTTGTAAGAAACATGAGAAAGCTATTCTTATGGTCACATTAGTTTTGAGTCTAGGATATACTTGAGAGCCTGCAATAGTAATCAGAGTTTATTGTTTTTGAAAAGGAGCAAGTGATTTGAGTATGTACATTCTAGTGTATTAAAGAATGAATTCAATCCTTATATTATTTTCATACCTTATAATGGAGATAAGTTAGTTACTGATGTATAGTCTCTTATGTATTGTTTATTTCAGCAGCTTTATTATTTAAATATAATTGACATACAGTAAGCTGCACATACTTAATGTGTACAGTTTACTAAACTTTGCGTATGTGAAAACCACCCTCACAATCAAGACAGTGAACATATTCATCACCCTCAAAGGGGTTATACCTCTTGGTTACCTCCCGTCCCTCTCTTCCATCCCCAAACTGAGAATTAGTTTGCATTTTTGTCAGTTTTCTGGAAGAGTTGCCGTAGAATTGATGTTTACTAGAACACCCCAGTAAAGCCATAGTGTTGGGTCTTCTCTCATTGTTTATCAGTTTTATGGATCTTCAAAGAAGCAACTTTTGGTTTTATTTTTCTATATTTTGATATTTCATGATTTAAATTTTGACCCATTATTTCTTTTAGCTTGCTTACTTTGAGTTTCATTTGCTTTTCTTTTTCTATTTGCCTAAGGTGACAGCGAAGGTCATTGATTTGAGTACTTAAGAGCTTATTTTATAATATAGGCATTCATTGTTAGAAATTTCTCCCCAATTACTGCTTTTTGGTGTCCCACAAATCCTTATATTTTGTGATTTTAATTTTACTTAGTTTAAATATTTTCTAATTTCTCTTCTGATTTCTTCTTCTACCGATCGTTTACTTAGAAGTGCATTGTTTATTTTCCAATTATTTGGGGATTTTGTAGAAATCTTTTGGTTTTGATTTCTAAAGACTGCTGTGGTCAGAAAATATACTTTGTATGACTTGAATACTTTTACATTTATTGAGACTTTGTTTTATGGTAAATGTTCCATGTGCACTTGACAAAAAATATGTAGTCTTCTGTTGTTGGGTCGAGTCTTGTTCGGGGCCTCCATATCCCTGCTGATTTTCTGTCTGCTTGTTCTATCAATTATTGAGAGAAGAGCACTGAAGTCTGACTGTTACTGTGGATTTGTCTGTTTCTCCTTGTAGTTTTCTGTTTCTGCTTCGTGTATTTTGAAGCTCTGTTATTACAGGCATAACTGTTTAGGACTGTATATCCTCCCGATAATTGACCCCTTTGTCATTATGAAATGACCCTTTTTATACCAGGTGATTTTTTTTTTTTTTTGCTGTGAAATCCACTTTGCCTGATATTAATACAGCCACTCTAACCTTCTTTTGACTAGTGTTAGCATGGTTTATCTTTTATCCTTTTATATAACATGTCTTTCCCCCACCCGCTCTGGCTGCTTTTAATATTTGCTCTTTATCACACTGGCTTTCAGTAACTTAAGATGTGCCTTGGTGTACTTTTCTTCATATTTCTTGTGCTGGGGTTCTTTGGGCTTTTGGGAATCACTGGTTTATATGTTTTTTAATTTTTGTGGGTATATAGTATATATATATATATATATATATATATATATATATATATATATTCACATGAGATATTTTGATACAGGCATACAATGTATAATAATCACATTGGGGGAAATGGGCTAACCATCACCTCAAACATCCTTTGGTACAAACAATCCAATTATACTCTTTTGGTTTTTAAAAAATATACAATAAACTTGTTGACTGTAGTCACTTGATTGTGCTATCAAATACTAGATCTTAATTATTCAATCTAACTTTATTTTTGTACCAATTAACCATCCCCACACCTCACTCTCCAACTTCCCAGCCTCTGGTAAACATCATTCTACTGTCTATCTCCATGAGTTCAATTGTTATAATTTTTTTAGATCCCACAAATAAGTGAAAACATGCAACGTTTGCCTTTCTGTGCCTGGCTTTTTTTTCACTTAACATGTCCTTTAGTTCCATCTGTGCTGTTATAAATGACAAGATCTTGTTCTTTTTTATGGCTGGATAGTACTCCATTGTATATATGTACCACATTTTCTTTGTTTTTTTTTTTTTTTTTTTTTTTTTTTTTTTTTTTTTTATGGTGTCTCATTCTGTTGCCTAAGCTGGAGTGCAGTGGCATGATCTCAGCTAACTGCAACCTCTGCCTCCCACGTTCAAGCGATTCTCCTGCCTCAGCCTCCCAAGTAGCTGGGACTATAGGCGCGTGCCATCATACCCAGCTAATTTTTGTATTTTTAGTAAAGATGGGGTTTCACCATGTTGGCCAGGCTGGTCTTGAACTCCTGACCTCAGGTAATCCACCCGCCTCAGCCTCCCAAAATGCTGGGATTACAGGCGTGAGCCACTGTGCCCAGCCACCACGTTTTCTTTATCCATTCATCTGTTTATGGATACTTAGGTTGCTTCCAAATCTTGGCTGTTATGAATAGTGCCACAATAAACATGAGAGAGCAGATATCTCTTTTAATATACTTATTTTCTTTCTTTTGGGTATATACTCAGCTGTGGCATTGCTGGATCATATGGTACTTCTATTTTTAGTTTCTTGAGAAACTGCTAAATTATTCTCCGTAGCGGTTGTACTGATTTACATTCCCACCGACAGTGTACGAGGAATCCCTCTTTTCCACATCCTTGCCAGCATTTGTTATTGCCTGTCTTTTGGATAAAAGCAATTTTAACTGGGGGTAACATGATACCTCTGTAATTTTGATTTGCATTTCCGTGATCAATGATGTTAAGCACCTTTTCATATACCTGTTTGCCATTTGTATGTCTTCTTTTGAGAAAAGTCTATTCAGATCTTTTGTCCATTTTAAAATTGGATTATTAGATTTTTTTCTCTATATAGAGTTGTTTGAGCTACTTATATATTCTGGTTATTAATCCCTTGTCAGATGGGTAGTTTGCAAATATTTTCTCCTATACTGTGGGTTATCTCTTCACTTTGTTGATTGTTTCCTTTGCTGTGCAGAAGATTTTTTAATTTGATGTGATCTTATGTGTCCATTTTTGGTTTGGTTGCCTGTGCTTGTGGAATATTATGCAAGTAATCTTTGCCCGGTCCAATGTCCTAGAGGACCTTCCCCAATGTTTTCTTGTAACAGTTTCATAATTTGAGGTCTTAGATTTAAGTCTTGAATCCACTTTGATTTCATTTTTGTATATGGAGAGACACAGGGGTCTAGTTTCTTTCTTCTGCATATGGAGATCTAGTTTTCTCATTACATTTATTGAAGAAACTGTCCTTTACCCGATGTATGTTCTTGGCACCTTTGTTGAAAATGAGTTCACTGTAGATTTATGGACTTATTTCTGTGTTCTCTATTCCGTTCCATTGGTCTCTGTGTCTGTTTTTATGCCAGTACCATGCTGTTTTGGTTACTATAGCTCTATAGTATAATTCGAAGTCAGGTAATCTGATGCTTTCGGTTTTGTTCTTTTTTTCTCAGCATAGCTTTGGCTATTCTGTATCTTTTGTGGTTCTGTATAACAGTTACCATTTAAAAAAAATTTCTGTGAAGAATGTCATTGGTATTTTGATAGGGATGCATCAAAAACAAAAACAAAAGTAAAAAATGAAAACACAAAAACCAGTTTGTGACATGGTTAATTAAAGTGATCGGGATTTTTACAATTCTCTTTCACTTTTCTACCCTTCTACCTGAGCATCTGGTTAATCATGGCTGAACGTTAACCAACCCCTTCCAACTTTCTTGCTTAGACTCCAGGTATAACCTCTTGGATTCGGGTCAAAATTGCTTACTCAATAATTATCTTAACCTCAATCTGACAGTCTCCTTTTATTTTGCTTAATAGTTATTTGGCAATTCCTTTACTGAACTTCATTAGTCCTTAAAAACTGTGTACATATAGCTTCTTTCAGTTTCCAAACATTTTTCCTTCTAATTATTGTTTCTCTGGTCATGTGATGTATCTTTTCCTTGCCTGTTGTTTATTACAAAAATCTCTCCAGCCTTGGTCAAAATTCTATCCTTCTGGGCTCACATACCACAGGCTCCAGCTCAGGCACATATTGTATTTTTATTAAAAATATAGCATAGATACAGAATTTTGGTACTAACAAGAACAATACAGTTTATTACTTACACTCGAAGAGATTGAGAGCATACTTCTCAGTCTCTCTTCTAGGTTTTGCCTTGTCACATGATGCTTAAGGTATTTTCACCCTTGATTATTGGAAAAATTCAGCAAAACCTTATTAGAATACTTTAAATATATATAATACAGTTTGGGGATTATTTTATTAGCATAACTTTGTATGTTCTTTAAGCTAGAACATTCTCATTGGTCATGCTGGCAGGGAAAAGAGAAGCCAGAAGAAAATTCAAGTCACTGTTCCGTAAGAACAAATGTTAACATTTGGGCTGGATGGTCACATCAACATGGATTTTGACAGAAAATGTCCTGTCAATTTGATGGATTTTACTTGTGATAAATATACTTCCAGAGAGCTTGCAACAAACCACTCGGTTATAAATGGGTATTTCTGAAGTAATCCTTTCTGATTTGTTTTCAGTTCTAGTCCCTCCCCAATAAAACTGTACCCTAGAATGATGTAATTAAAACATATGAGATGTAGAGACTAGGAAACTTTTTAGTAACATGTTATACATGTGACCTCATTGTATACTGGTTTTCCTTGTCCTGATTCCATTCAGTAGGACTCTTAGGCCTGTGGTTCTACCTTCTTACTGGAACTGGAGGGAAGCTTCTGTTTGACCAAGCTAGGTCAAAGAAAATGAATTTTTTTGCTGTTGGCTGTCTCCAGAGTTTATCTTGAAATCATCAAGTACCTGAGGGATTAAGTTAATATACTCATTTTGCATGTTGCTGGAACTAAAATTAGGTAGAAGAAAGCAGAAACTGGGAAGTTTTTATGTTTGTTTAAAGATTTATTATGTATTATGGGTGTATCTAATCTTCTTGTCATGTAATTTAAATAAATAGGATAAATATTTTTAATGCAAATCCAAACTGAAAATTCACTTTGCAGAGATCATTAACATTTATTTCATGTCATTGTCCTTCTATAGTTTTAAAATGCAAATACCATGGGAAAATCTTCTGGTATATGCTCATGAGAGTGCATTTGTTGCTTACTGACTGTTTTATATTTTACAGTTGGCTAGTCAAGTGCTGACTAATGAACACAAAGCCTGTGTTTGAAAATAAATTTAACAGCTTTATACACAAGCTAAGTTTATGTAAAGTGATCTAGGAGACACATGACCTTTGTGCTCCATAGCCCTTGCTCAAATTCTGAAAGTAAACTATGTAAATGATCTAACATGTCAGGTCAAACAGTTTCAGTGGTTTTCAGCCAAGGGAACTATTGAATATGTTGAGGTGCTTCCCTCTACTATGATGGGTCATGCATCATACCATAGTACTCTGTTTGCTGTTTACCTTGTGAAGGTGTATTTGCTGCTGGAACCATGATGCTGCATACAGGACAGAGAACATTATATGGTTCTGTTTTTACCTCAGTATGCCTTGGTTTCCTAATCAGAAAAACGGGAATAATAATAATAGCTACATTACAGGTTTGTTTTAGGAATTAATTAAATCAGAGAACTAAAAACAATGCCTGGCACATAGAAGGTGCTCAGTGAATCATAAATAGTAGTACTAATAGTAGTGATGCTCTCTCTTTAGGTCTAGCTTTTCTTTTTTCTTTTTAATATACAAATTATAAATTAACAATTTCCTTTTAGGTATTCATGTCTACAATTTGGCATTTAAAGAGACTCTTGGCCGGGCACAGTGGCTCATGCCTGTAATCCCAGCACTTTGGGAGGCCAAGGAGGGCGGATCACCTGGGGTCAGGAGTTTGAGACCAGTCTGGCCAACATGGTGAAAGCCTGTCTCTACTAAAAGTACAAAAAATTAGCCGGGCGTGGTGGTGGGCGCCTGTGATCTCAGCTACTTGGGAGGCTGAGGCAGGAGAATTGCTTGAACCTGGGAGGTGGAGGTTGCAGTGAGTTGAGATTGCACCACTGCACTCCAACCTGGGCAGCAGAGCGAGACTCCGTCTTAGAAAAAAAAAAAGAGAGACTCTCATTCATTCATTCGTTCCCTCCTTCTCTCCTCTTTCTCTCTTCCCTTGTCCCTGTTTCCTTCCCTTCCTCTACTGTATTTCCTTGACTTGTTGCTGTCTAGCTGCAGCAGTGTAGGCAAACCAGGCAGGCTCTAATGGCTAAAAATTGGTTTGTTTGGGCTACATTTAAAATAATTGGATATGTAGCAATTTGAGGTGGGCTTTGAGCTAATGGGTCTTATGCTGCTGTGAAGAAGTAAACAACATAAGGCCAATATACAGAGGCCATCTTTAACCCATTTATGTAATATATACAAAACTATATAAGACCCACCTCCTGCCTTAGGAAATTCATACATTCTAGTGAGAAATTATCGCACTATGATAAATGCTAAAATCAAAGTTTGAACTAAGACCTTGGGAGTAATAAAAAATTCCACTTTTGTGGTGTTTCCAGGTTTTTTCAAGCATATTGTAGCTCAGGAAGCACTCTACATTGTTGGCTACTGGCGACTGACATTGCATCATAACTTTTAAGTTTTAAAACTGTGTCACCCTTTCAATATCTGTGGGTTACGTGTTCATATTCAGTTATGTTTGTAGCTTTGAGTCTACATACAGTCTCATTTCTGCATTTCATGTGAAAGAAAATGCCAGTCTTAGCACATTCTCTTATGCTATTAATGGAGAGGGGAAGAAGCCATTCTAGTTCCTTCCTAAAAAAAGTGATCACTGTTTAAAGCTCAAGTAGGTGGGTGCTTGTGTATAGTTCATGAAATTTGGGATACTCAGAGCTCAGTGAATACCTGAAAATGAAGAGACCTTTTAACCTGGTGGGTCAAGTTTGACTTAAGTTCTTGAACAAATTCACTGTAAGTACTCTAGAGGCAGTGTTTATGAGGGAATTTAGATGCCAGGATAATTTTTTTAAATAGAAGGAATAAATTGCCCCTTGTTTCCCAATTAAGACACCTAAGAAGCTTGATCTGTAATCATGTCTTCTGTGGTTACTCTCTGAAGTCTTATGTTGAAATAAGTGGCTGTCTCTCTTCTGTCCCTTTATGTACCATCACTGGTATAGCCAGTCCTGCCTATAGAAAGGAAAAATCAAGTTTTTTACACCTCGTGTTAGAATGGGTATTTTCTACAGAAACTGTTTCAAAGGAGAATGGAGTTGGAATACTACTTACTACCAGTGTGACTCTGAAGGTGTATTATAGATTTTTATAGGATTTTAATAAGGTTTTTTAAAGCTGATTTGCGAATTCAACCATCATTGAGAACTTTGTTTCTGTAAGAAAATGTAGTCGCAGAACTAACTCCATATGTTTCATCAGGGCTACGAAGGGCCCATGTATGTAGAAAACTTCAGTAGTATTGATTATGGCTACTAAATAGGTAATTTTGTTGAAAATAAGTTTAACATTATTAGCAAATAGAATGGTAATTGAAGAGAAGTTAATTTAGGAATTTTGTAAAAAACTTGGCTATGATTATGGTACTGACACAGTAATGTGGGGCCAGAACTTATGGTAACCCCATAAGAGTGATTCTATAATTTTTTTTTTTTTTTTTTTTTTTTTGAGACTGAGTCTCATTCTGTTGCCCGGGCTGGAGTGCAGTGGTGCGATCTCGGCTCACTGCAACCACTGCCTCCTGGGTTTAAGTGATTCTCCTGCCTCGGCCTCCCAAGTAGCTTGGATTACAGGCGCCCACCACCACGCATGGCTAATTTTTTTGTATTTTTAGCAGAGACGGGGTTTCACTATGTTGGTCAGGCTGGTCTTGAACTCCTGACCTCAAGTGATCCGCCCGCCTCCGCCTTCCAAAGTGTCGGGATTACAGGCGTGAGCCACCACGCTTGGCTAATTCTATAAATTTTTAAGCGTATCTTTATTTGTTTTTCAGTGATCTACTGACTGTAAATCATTCTGTCAGCTTCATAGTAACATTTAATTTCAACCTACCCAGTCCCTAATTGGCCAAACTGTTATAAAACCAAATTACGCAGCAGTGAGGAAAATAGAAACTTGAATGAATGCTATTAAAATAAGTTTAGACCATCTCAAATTTATCCTCATAATTCAGACTTTCTCTGTTTTCAAAGAAGACGTCTCATACACACTGAGTGTTATTGGCAGATTTGACATGGCTGGAGTCTTATGTGCAGAAATATAATATGTATCTGTCAGTGGTTTTCAGGAGCCCCTATGAAAGGGCTTGATTTTGCTGGTTTGAAGCCTTTGTTGGCATCAGCAAAGTCAAAGAGTTGTAGGCAAGGTTAACAGCCACTTCATATTTAATGGGTTTATGCAAACCGTGATCTATATATTGATTATATAAAATACATCACTGTTGTCTTAACATCCAGATGAAAAGGAAAAAAATGTTTTCTACATCAAAATCTTTAGACTTAAAAATCTCTGTGATTCATAATATTAATTAAAAGAGAAAATAAAAATCTGAATAATTTGCTTTGACCTGTGTATGTATAAGGGTCATTATAAGGGTTAGTGCTTGGGTTGCTTGTGAGTTTTCAGGCAAAGGGACATACAGCTCATCTTTTTTATATTGCAACTGATCAGTGATTAATACTTAAGAGGCTTCAGGGGCTAAGTATAGTTGCTGATTTATTTGCAGCTCTTACTCCACTTCAATTATTTAAATACAGCGAAGAGTCCGTCGTGAGAAACACAACAGAGTAGGAGAAATTTGAGATCTATCAGCATAAACAGATACAAGTGTTGCTTTGCCCCAAATCATAAAAAGTAAAAAAATTAAAACTACCTGTTAATTCATTGTGATATTATTTGTAAAACACAGTGACATAAATGATATTTTCCTACAATGTGTTATTTATTATTTTGACAATTTCTGTCACTATGTTGAGAAAGAATCTCTTATCCAAATTAAAACTAAGTAAAAAACTATTTAAGGAACATTATGAGACAAAAGGTTTTTTCAGTTATCACTACTCAGCATAGAATCTGAAGCCCATTGGGGGAAAAATGAAGTTTATAAAATTGAGTAATTTATAATATTAAATTTTTCCAAAAACACTTTTTAAATTTTCTGAAAATTATTTTTTGTTCACCATATAATCACATTCTGTTTAAGCTTCTACGTTTTAAATATTTGATATAATATTTAGTGATTTTTAAAGTTCTTCCTGTGTGAGTAAATGAGCTGTTTTTGTTTTCCATGTAGAGAAGTTTGTCTGCTTTCACTCTGGAAATGATTTCTTATGGGTTAACGCCTTTGGATACATGTGTTCCAAGAGCTAAACAACTGCTATACAAGTGAATTTTGAGACATGGCCCATTCCTGAATTGGGGATTGTTTGCAAATTCAAGACCATCAGTTAAAAGTACTAATAGTGAAGTTAACTTAAATCACTGTATGACTTTTATGTATTTTTTCCTACAAAAAATATAATAATACCTTATTCACAACTCAGGTATAATTTTCAGTTTTTGGCAATTTATACTCTTGAATTTTTAAAGCAGTGAATCATTTTGTTTTGTCAGATTAATTTTGCAACTACATCAGAAAACTAAATGATGTGGTTATTTGTAAAAGCTGCTTGAAGTAGACAGATAGCAAGTCATTGTGAGGTGAAGTATCTCCAGAGTGATAATCATAGCCATTTAGAGGTTATTTTTGCATTATAAAGATAGTAATCATAACAACAGATATTTAAATTACTCTATTTAATACAAACAGCAATCATATGTCTGGGTACATTGCTTCAATAACAAGCGTTATTTTAAACAAAATTATATATACTAACTGCCTTATCTATTTATATTGCTCCCATCCTAGGCTAAGCTTTTATCATCTTGCAACTGGATCACATTCTCTCTCTGTCGCTCTCTTCCTCTGTCTCTCTCCTCCCCCAGCCCCAATTCTGTCAATCATCACAGGTTTGAGTACTTACTATGTGCTAGAAATAGTGCAAAAACCTGAGGACACAGTGGGAATCGAGAAAAACCTGGTCCTTACTACATTGAGTTTACAGTATTGCACAGAAGACTGATATTGATAGGTAATTAGGATTTGATACGTGGAATGTGTTGCAGAAGGAACCATGGGAGACTATAACAGGATCAACTGTATCCTTAGCTGAGAGCAGAACAGTTGAGTAGAAGATGGCTAGATGATTAAGAAAGAGGTGAGGTGGGATGGAGCGGGTGCTGTAAGCAGAGCAAAGAGCACCTGGAAAGGCCGAGACTGAAAAAGAGCTGGAGCTCTAACCAGTATTGTTATACTGATGAAGACTGTTGCACACAGATTTCAGAATATAGATAGATGTTCTAGAGTGTGTGTTCTAGTCAGACCTGAATGCTAATCTGGACTGTGTAATTTATTATCTTTGTGATTTAGGCAAATGACTTAATGACTGTAAACCTTGATTTCCTGATGAGTAAAACAAGACAGTACCTTCTTGTACATAGGATTATTGTGAGGATTTAAACAAGGCAATGCCTGTAAAGCTCTTAGCATAGTGCCTATAAATGCTCAGTAAATGGTAGCTATTAGTTAGGTAGAATAGACCAAACTTGCTGATCTCTGCAAGCCGCCTTTTTAGCCTTTGATTCCTTCTTTAGTTTATTCTCAATATTACAGGTCCATAACCCTTTTCTGAAATTCTGAAATATGAATGCTCTGAAAACACTCTTATCATTTGGCCACAAGCCCCAACCTTCTTAAGGCCGTATAGGTACTCTTTATTTATCCTGTTTTGTGAAATATCCATGTTTTCCTTTTAAACTTGAATACATTTGAGTTAATGTGTTACCCCAGATCCTGCTTAGTGTGTTTTGTAAGATATGATACACCTAGCATATTCCTTTCTAAAACATGAAACATGCTGAGTTCCAAGACGTGTTTGGCTTGAAAGGTTTCAAATAAAAGATTGTACACGTGTGCCAACCCAAAGTCAGCTTTCTAAAATACCATTTTCTCCATGTCTGTCTTCAAATCAGAAAATCATAAGAACGCCTAGTGGTTTTCCAGTTTAGTTTTGACTATTCCTTGTGGTTTTCAAGACTGCCTCTAATCCACCCTACATATTCAAAATTTAATACCCTTGTACTTGAACCATTTGTTTCATAAGTCTGTTCTCTTCAACTTCCCTGAAGTAAAATGTTAATGCTGCTCCTTTTGTCTGACTTCCCTCTCTTTCTCTCTTTGTGGCTCTTCAGATCCCTACCCAACAATTAGGCCACAATTCTTTGTAGTTTCTCAATGAAGCTATATTTATCTATTTCTTCTCTGAATTCTTATTGTGCTTAAATGAATTTATTTAACAGTATTTGAGCAGATATTATGTGCCAGCTACTGTTCTAAGTGTCAGAGATCTGAAAGTGAATAAGACAGTTAAGGTCTCTACTGTTAGGGAACTTGTTTTCTAGAAAGTAGAAGACAACCTGTAATCCCAGCACTTTGGGAGGCTGAGGTGGATGGATCACGAGGTCAGAAGTTCGAGACCAGCCTGGCCAAGATGATGAAACCTGATCTCTACTAAAAATACAAAAATTAGCCGGGCATGATGGCGGGCACCTGTATCCAAGCTACTCGGGAGGCTGAGGCAGGGAATTGCTTGAATCCGGGAGGTGGAGGTTGCAGTGAGCCGAGATCGTGCCACTGCACTCCAGCCTGGGTGACAGAGGGAGACTCCGTCTCAAAAAAAAAAAAAGAAAAAAAAAAGTAGAACACAAATAAGTGAACAATATCATTTCAGATAACAGTTAATGCTGTCAAGATAAGACAGGAGGATAGTGCCTTGGGAGAAGCGACATACCTGAGAAACTCATAGTTTCGCATTTAGTTATTTTTGTTTTTATATGGTTAGTTTTTTTTTTTTGGTTTGACGGAGTCCCACTCTCTCGCCCAGGCTGGAATGTAATGGCATGATCTCGGTTCACTGCAACCTCTGCCTTCCAGGTTCAAGCAATTCTCCTGCCTCAGTCTCCCAAGTAGCTGGGATTACAGGTGCCCACCACTACACCCAGCTAATTTTTGTATTTTTAGTAGAGACGGGGGTTTCACCATGTTGGTCAGGCTGGTCTCGAATTCCTGACCTGAGGTGACCCACCCGCCTTGGCCTCCCAAAGTGCTGGTAGTACAGGTGTGAGCCACCAAGCCCAGCCTATATGGTTAGTTTTTACTCCCTGGTTAGACTGTAAATGCCTTAAGGGAAGAATCCTTAAACTTCTATGTGCCATAAAGTGTTGGGTATAAAATGGGTGCTTGATTAAGGTTTGGTTGAGAAATTTGTCCTTTTTTGACAGAGAAGGTAAAAATCTATTTATTAAATATAAAGCACTACTTGGCTAAATCATTGATCTAAGAGTATCTGTTATGTACAAAGTACTGTGTTGGTTTTGAAATTTTTGTATTTGTCTAAATCTAGCTTTTTCATTTCTATTGCTTTTTATTCATAGTCTAAGAAAGAAGAACTTTCATGTCTACACAACTTTTTTTTCCCATTTGAAATGCTTTAATATTGTGAACCCCATAAATTTGAGACAGGTCTCAGTTTAGAAAGTTTATTTTGCCAAGGTTGACAATGCGCTTGTGACACAGCCTCAGGAAGTCCTGATGACATGTGCCCAAGGTGGTCAGTGCACAGCTTGCTTTTATACATGTTAGGGAGACATGAGACATCAATCAATATGTAAGAAGTACATTAGTTCCATCCAGAAATGTGGAGACAACTCAAAGTAAGGCCTCCCTACTGGGGGCTTCCAGGTCACAGGTAGGTGAGAGTCAGATGGTTACATTCTTTTGAGTTTCTGGTAAGTCTTTTCAAAAGAGGCAATCAGAATATGCATTTGTCTCTGTGAGCAGAGGGATGACTTTGAATAGAATAAGAGGCGGTTCCCAGCTTGAAGAGGCCCAAGATATTTTCCTTTCACAGTATAAAGCAAACAAACATTCTTTCTATACCTGTAGAGGATGCTACTACTCTAAAAGCTGGATTATTCCTGCAATTGTTTCTGCTTAATTCAGGCACTAAGTGACTTCCTCCAATTCATTAGTGTGAACATTCTTAAAGACCTAAGTGGCAGACATATTTCCTGAACCATTTACCCTTAGTCCTGAAGCTGATCAGGTTTGTCACACACAGACTGCTATAGTCACCCCTCCTGGCAGTTCAAGATTGAGCTTTATGGCAAGACAATTCATTTAAGATTGAGCATAACTTGTTATGACAGATTTATCAAAATTATCCAGTGAAGTAACATAGACTTCTGCTTTGTGAAGAAAACTGAAACCCTATACTGTGATGTCATATTTGTTCTCTTATAGATAAATATTTTGTTCTTTATAAATTGAAAGAGCATCTTGAGAAGAGAATCTCAAAAGGATTTTTTTCTTGTCATAAAAATGGTGGAATGAATTTTGATTTGTAATAGCAAAGAACTCTGGTGGGTTAAAATTTGAGGCTTTTGAATTGACTGTACTTCTGAGATGGTGTGCTTATGGTCACAAAAATACAAAAGTATTGCTCTACTAAAATGATGAAATGGACAGTTCAAGATGTTAACAATGGCAAAGTAAGGTGGAGAACTGGAACTTCATATCTGTAACTTCATCTTCTCAACTACTAGGCTTTTGAGCTTTGAGGGCAGGGCCATATCTCTCTAAATCCCCAGTGCCTCACACACCACCACTTGATCTAGCATCTATTCTTAAGTGCTAATGGTGATAGAGGACTACAGTGCCTAAGATGAAGTGTAGGTGGCTGAAAATGACTCTTACTTTTAGAAAGGAGATGAAAGAATGATTGGGAGTAATTTTAAGTACACGCAGTAAATAGTTCAGTGATTGCAAAAGGAAAAATTTGTTTTCTAAAAGGTCATCTTAGACTCAAGCCTGTACTTTGAGCTTAGTTCTAAAAATAAAATTAGACATTGCTTTCTTGGTGAAATTAAACACAACTGAGAGGTACTCAACTAACAGAAAATCTTTATAATAAAGCATTTGAATGCCTGAACAGAATGTTCAGCTTGGTTACCAGGTGATTGGCCTTGAGTTGTTTGGATTGGCCTTACTGGTTTTTAAAGTTCAGGAGTGAGTATAGGGTCTGAAAAGTTGGAAGGCAGGCCTTTGAATAGTAACTACTTCCCTCTGTGACTGCTGCTTATCTGAATAGGGATTGGGCAGGGATGTCGTCCAGAGAAATCAAACCCTGAATCATTGGTTGATGTTGATTACCTTTCTCAAGGTCCATTCTGACTTGGAAAATATATGGAGATTATAATAGAGTATTACCATATCAGAACTCTCAGAAGCTTTATATTGTGATTGTTCTTTCATTCTTCTGATCTTCAACTAGAGTGTAACCTCCTTAAAGGAAGACAGCATGCTTACCTTGTTTACCACTGTATTCCCAGTGCCCAGTACTGAACAGTTTCACTTATGTCACTCGTGTCCATGTGAAGAGACCACCAAACAGGCTTTGTGTGAGCAACAAGGCTGTTTATTTCACCTGGGCGCAGGCGGGCTGAGTCCGAAAAGAGAGTCAGTGAAGGGAGGTAGGGGTGGGGCCGTTTTATAGGATTTGGGTAGGTAAAGGAAAACTACAGTCAAAGGGGGTTCTCTGGCGGGCAGGAGTGGGAGTCACAAGGTGCTCAGTGGGGGAACTTTTTGAGCCAGGATGAGCCAGGAGAAGGAATTTCACAAGGTAATGTCATCAGTTAAGGCAAGGACCAGCCATTTTCACTTCTTTTGTGGTGGAATGTCATCAGTTAAGGCAGGAACAGGCCATTTTCACTTCTTTTGTGATTCTTCAGTTACTTCGGGCCATCGGGGTGTATAGGTGCAGGTCACAGGGGATGCTATGGCTTAGCTTGGGTCCAGAGGCCTGACAAACAGATGCATAGTAGATGCTTAAATATTTGTTCAGCTGAAGTGAAGGTTGTTTTTTGTGTCCTATTGTACCTGCCATTCTTGGAACGCAAGAAACTTAAGGAAGGTAAAGAGTTGACCCTTCATCTCTATTGTAATGGCCAACTTAATTCATTTTCTTTAAGAGAGAAGAAAATAGTCAAATAGTGCGAATACGTTTTTGAGTTGGTGGTGAGACTTTTGAATTATATGCAACTTAGTTGTCCAATTTCTGTGGTAGTAGAGTAATTGCACGATGTTTATAAAACATTGTATTACCATGTAACATTAGCTATAAGAGAGTTGAATCTTTACATCTTGCTCTTTTTGTTAATTTCTGCCTGATTGAGAAAATTAAAACTTAATTTTCTTACAATAATGACTCTTGCATTGCAATCACAACTTCAGCATTAGAGTTTATAAGTAAGTCAGTCATTTCTCTTAGTCTTAAGGGGTTGAGACTCTGGAGTGATACTTTTATAGTTACACAATATTCATATAATACTGTGCTAAGTTATATTTAATATAGCTGATCATAAATGAAGTTTAATAAACTCTGATTGCTTGACTAATGCACAGTCTTATTGCTTTTCCAGAGTTGATTTTAATGAAAATATATGGTCACTATATTTATTGGTACAATATGCCCTCATTGTAATGAGCATGATCATTAGATTTGCATAATAAAAACTTACAAAAATGACTTTAATCAGTGCTTTTAATTCAGGGGTATGACTCTAATAAAGATTTTTGGGGGGGTCATTTTTGTTTCTGACTTTTTTTAACTCCATAGTAGCTCTGTAGTTTGTACACAGGAATGAAATCCATGTTTACTTGCATGTGGTGTGAGACAGATGCACCCATCCACATAAATGAATTTTGAGAGCTTGTCCCAGAAGACCATCATTATAAATGAAAAAAATTTTTTTGGTGTTTCTGTTGTTATTCTCAAGTCCTTTTATACCTTTCTTTTTTGACTAATATAGAAAGATAATTGTGTAGCAGAAATGATTTCGTTTTGTTTGCAGATCATTTAATTGTAACTTATACAATGATTTCAATGCATGTTTAATGTACAGTGGCTAAAAATTACCCCTTCTGAAATTCAGCCCTTCATATCTGCTTAAAGATTTTCCTTTTCGATAGACCATATTTGTTCTTTTTTCTGAACAGTTATAACGAAGAGCTTTAAATAGTATTATATTTATGAAAGCAGATTTTTACATGAGGGAAATCTGAGAAAATATTCGTATTAAATGTATGTGGTTATACAGGATATCCACTCTAGTTGAATGAAATTTACAAATCAAGAAATCAGGAGTGGGGTGTTTTTCTTTATGTTTCTCTATCACACGTAATTAGGATAATTTTTTACATAAGTATAATTTCCTATGTGCCTTCGGGTACTCTATCATTCTTGTAGATGCCTGTCAGGAAAAAAGAAAATTCTTTAAGAATAAAACAAAGCACAGTCCTTCTCCAGTATTATTTTTGACCAGGGGTCCACATTTGGTTTATCAACAACTAAACTTTCAATTCAAGGGCAGCTCTAGAATTAGAAATGTATATAGCAGAATGGACATTCCAAATCAAAGGGAACAGTAGGGGCACAAAGAGGACATCATGGGAGTATGCATTGGGAAGAGGATTTTAATTTTTGTTTTCTGTAGAATAGGGATCATAAGAGAAGAAGTAGAAGATAGCCCAGGGCTGAATCATACAGGGCTTTGAATTCCATATTAAGGATATTCATCTTTATTCTATAGGTCATCAGGAGGCATTGAATATTTATGAACAGGAGGGAGTATGATAGTCATTCATACTCTTTATTGAGCCTCAATGTGCCAAACACTGCTTTAGGCGTTAGGGTTACATCCCTAAACCAGATGGGCAAAAATCCCTGTCCTTGTGGAGCTTATATTTTTTGTTGGAAAAACAGACCAAGATAATGATAATTAAGTAAATTATAGACTATGTTAGAACGTGCTAAATCTTGTTCAGGAGTGCCAGGAATATGTGGAGGGAGGCAGATGTTTCCATTTGAAATAGGATGGCCAGGGTAGGCCTCACTGAGCAAAACCTTGAAAGCAGGAAGAGGGAGTAAGCCATATGGGCCATGGAGAAAGAGCATTCCAGGCAGAGAGAAGAGCCAGTGCATGTGGCTTATTGCCTCATTGGGGAGCCGTGAAGTGGTCAGTGTGACTGGAGCTGGGGGAATGAAGGGAGAGTAGTAGGAGATGAGGTCAGAGGGATATGGAGAGTGTATAGATCAGTAGGGCCTTGTAGGTCATTGTAATAACTTTGACTTGCACTAGGAGGGAAAATAGCCCTTGGAAAGTGTTGAGCCAAGGAGTGACATGACGTGACTTCAGTTTTCACAGTATCACTTTGTCAGCTGTGTTCAAAATTAACTGTAGGAGAGCAAAGGTGGAAGCAAGGAGATAGATTAGGAAGTCACTACAGAAATTTAGTTAAGAGCTGATGGTGGCTTGAACCACATCTTTGCAAATGGCAGAATGATTATCATGGGACTGGATAGCTGCTTGGCTATTGGAAATGAAGGAGAGGAAGGAGAACAAGATTTGGAAATCTTAAACCTAGACAAGTGGAATGCAGGTGGAGCCACTAACAAATGTTACCCTCTTGTTTGTAAAATGAGAGGCTTTGACTAGATTATCTTGAATTCCATCTAACTTGAATAGTTTCTACCTCTATACTCTGTGGTTTACTATAGATAAAAAGTATGTTAATTCCAAAGAAGAGTACTGAGGGGAAGGGAAGACTTCAGTCTCGTCCCATAGGACCAAGTGAAAATATTGCTAGCAATGCTTTTTTTCTTGTGTCTGTCTCCCATGATTAAACTGTCAACATGTATTCAATTGAGATACAGATTTGAAACATTTTAAACATATGTGTACCTTAATTTAGATAATTTGACTAAAGCAAAAAGTATTTTCCCTTCATTTACATTCTTGCTTTGGAGATATAGATGGGTTTCCAGCCTGGAGTTTATAACCCCAAAAGATGGGAAGAGAAGGAAAGCAGTAGTTGCATGAAGAACTGTATAATCTGTCTCAAAAACACATGTGGACAAGCGCACATAGGGATGGTAGCAGAATTAGTTCAGGCACTTTTGATACTTTGTCATTTTCTCTCTGATTTGGTATTGCAGGAAATCATGAAATTGGCCATTGTGTTTAAAACAGTTTTCTATAACCCACTAGAAAAATTAAGGAGAAAATACCTGGTAGAGAGAGTTGCAGGGTGAATTCATCCTTCTTAAAGTGGTTTCAGTTCTGATATAAATAATTCCCACTTTTTTCCTAGGCAGTAAAGATTGATTGGGGTTTGTGTCAGCAGGATGTGATGAAGACATGGTATAGAGATTAGAAGTTTAGATCCCTGAGGGAATCAGTGGATTAAAAGTAGAAAAGAAAAGAGTTATACATAGAATAGTATATTTGCCCCAGCTGATCTGGGGAGGATGGTCTTTAACAGCATTGGATTGGTGGTATTTGAAGACAATTTTCTGAGATCCAAGCAATTTTCATTCACTTAAAACTCATAATGGAATCCTCCCCACTGTGAGAAGACCCTATTTTTTTTTTAGTGTGCATGACCAAGTTGATATACATTATTCAGCTTCTGTTGTAAGAAATAAATGTATAGGATCTGGCAGAACATTTAATTCAATTTCTAACAGACAATTAAAAAAAATCTGGTTCTTTCCTAATCACACCCCTAATTGGCACTTCAACATATTTATAATAAAAACTATATTTCATGCTTATCATACATTATTGTAAGGTCTTGAACTATCCCGTGAATCATGGAACATAACTACATTATTAGGTATTGCTTTAGTATTGCTGTACTTAAATTCTTCAAATAATGTTGCTCATATATGTTCAATTTTATGTTCAAATAAGTTCAATTTTATTTAGAATATTTTAAAAATATTTCTAATTTATTTATAAGGATAGTTTTTAAAAATAAGTTCAATTTTATTTAGCATATTTATAAAAGTGTCCTTTAAATATCCATCAGGAATAACACAGTTCTTAGGCCAAGCTGTTTCATTATATTTCATTCTTGTTAAATGTGACATTTTTCCTATTGTACGTGGTGTTGTTTTTTAAATTTAGGTATCTTAGCTTGAGGATTCATTTCCAAACTTATATATAGCATGCCAGGGCTTATGATTTTGTTGTATCTTTTCTCACATTTCAGCACTGTGGTAGTGACGTCTGATTTAGATCTGATTTGGGACATTGGGAGCCGTATTTAAAAACAAATATATACACCTTTGCCAAACCTTCATTTTTAATCATTAAAAAGATTTTTTTCTTTAAAGAATGTATTGTTTATATGTTTGAACTTTCTGATTCTTTTTGACTGTTTACAGTTAATAAAAATGAAAATTATTAAATTATTTTATTGTTTGATCTATGAGTTTCTCTTATCTGATGGGTTTTTTTTGTTTGTTTCTTTTTGGTTTTAATAGAACATTCAAATAAAAACTTTGGCAGATGATGTGGTAAGGTGGTCTTAGCATGTTATTACATTACTTATGCATGTTGCCTTTTAATTAAAATGGGTGGACATAAAAGCATTGATATATGTAAGATACAAAATGTCTGGATATTTACAAAGTATAGTAGAATGGAATAATTGTCAATTCAGTGACTTCCTTTTCGAATATTAACACAAACAATTATATGAGATCCCAACAGAATTTTCATATCATCCTAATATTTACCTTAACCAAATGTTTTTTAAAATCTTGTGAATCTAGACTCTGGAAAACACAGATGCTTCCTTTTTTGATGGCCAAATAAATTGTGAATGTATTAAACATTAATATTGGAGGAAATTAATTTCCATTAGAAAGGAAATTAAGTTCACTGTTAGTCAGATGTGTGCTACTAAATTTAAAAACCAGTATTTTAAAGCTGAATTTGTCATAGTATATCTTTTTAAAAGTTATGGGCTCAAAATGTAAATATACCCTTTTATAGCTAAACTATAAAAAATGGTATTTTAAGCCTTGTCAGTTTTTTTTTTCCTATGTGAAATTACCTATTTACAAATAATTTAAAGTAGTGATAGTGCTCAAAGGAGATGAAGGTATGTGGCTTAACTACATTTTCTTTTTGAGACAGAGTCTCGCCCTGTCACCCAGGCTGGAGTGCAGTGGCGCGATCTCGGCTCACTGCAACCTCGCCTCACTGCAACCTCCACTTCCCTGGTTCAAGCAATTCCCCTGCCTCACCCTCCCAAGTAGCTGGGATTACAGGTGCCCACCACCACGCCTGGCCAAATTTTGTATTTTTAGTAGAGATGGGGTTTCACCGTCTTAGCCAGACTGGTCTCAAACTTTTCCTGGTGATCCACCCACCTCAGTTTCCCAAAGTGCTGGGATTACAGGCGTGAGCCACCGCACCCAGCCAACTACATTTTCTTACCAAGGTATAGCTGAAATCAAAAGCTAATTTTCTAGATAAACTGAAAGACACAGTGGAATATCAAATATATATGTTATTAATGCTACTCAGTAAAAAGGCTAGTACTGGAAAAGTAAATATTAAGTGATATGAAGGGAAAGGAGAAGAGATATGTTGATTTAATGGTCAGTTGCATATTTAAATGCTTTCATGTCCACCATATTTTTAGTGAAATTTGACTATTGGATATATCCTCAGCTTATTTTGGATTACTTAACTTTTTTCTTGAGTTGTTTGAAGATATACTATATAACTAAACCAACTTAATTTCCCTCAAAAAGTTAAAAGAAAATGTGAAAATATAGTTCAAGATGATTAGAAGAAATGAATCTTAAGTTAATGTGAAGACTGGGATAGGAACCAGGGGCTGTTGGATTTAGGAAAATCACCTTCTCTGTGAAATGAGGGGATTGGTTTAGATTATTTTTCAAGTTTCTTCTCAGCTCTAAAATACTATGATTTATATAATGTCTTTGTCAGCAACTGTGTACTCAAATTGCTTTTGTAATCCTAAATAAGCTGCTTAAAACTGCTCATATTTCTTTCAAAGTATACTTTTTGGTTTTAAAAAAGTGTTCTTTGAATTTAAAATAAAAGTTATGCTCATTAATGAGGAGTTCACATAATTTTACATAAGCTATGGTAATAACTTCTGTGATGCTCTTTGTATTGTTGAAGTAATTATATAAGGATTCTGGTTACATGGCGGTGAAGATATATTCTCCTGATATTTAACATATCTGCTTGTTTAATGTGAGCTTGATGGTATGCATGTGCTTCCTAACAGAAACCATAATAAAACTGAGTTGCATTCAGTTTTATGCACATTACTAACTTTTGATGTCCCATGTTTTGTGGTTTAAAATAGAATATCCTATTTACATGCAACTGAAGTCATTAACTCACTTTATGTGAAATAGCAAGCTAATTATTAGAGATTTTACATGGAATCAGTGGTTCGAAGTCAATATCCGTAAAATAGCAAGTTTTTCTTAATGATATTTGTAGGAATAAGAAATTTCTGTTTGTTACATTTCCAGTAAATGGAAAAGCCGATGTTTTTATCTTTGTTTTGCTTCCTCATTGGCCCAACATTTTAGGGAAGAAAATGCTGGGGGAAAATAATAATAGTAACAACAATAATAAATAGCAGCTAAGTGCAATAAACATATTAACTTATTTAAATTTCACAGTAACCCTATGGTGTAAGTAATATCATTATCCCTATTTCAGAGATGAGGAAACAGAGAGAGACCAAGTAAACTTTCACAAGGTTACTCAGCTAGTAAATGGCAGAGCTTGGACTGAAACCCAAGTAATCTGTCTTGAGTCCACGCTCTTAACCATTCTACTGCTACACTGACACATTATTCATTTATACTTGTCACAATTTTTGCAACTTTGAAGGAGAAAAACATTACCATAATTTTCTCTTAGAATTGGAAATCAGTAGCTCTTTTTCAGTTTCTTTCTCTTTTTTCATAGTTCTAAAGTTGCCACCAAAGACACACTCTCCCAGAAACAACCAACAGGACTTTGATCCGAGACTTTTTTTTTCACTTATTTACTGTGCAAAACAGAAATGACAAGGGACTAAGTTTTACTTTTGAAGAATACTTTTCACCCCCAGAGTTCTGAGGCTGAAGAGTACTTCAAGGTTTCAAAATAGTACAATCTCTAACTGGAGCTTGCTGCTTAAAATAGTATTTTGTCAGAAGACAATAATGATATGTATTATACTAAGTGCCGTTTTGATGTTTCAATTCTTCATGTTAGTAGTTCTTGATCTTTTTCTCAGGGCTTTTTATTTATTTATTTTTGTTTGCAGCGTGACCGAATTACAAGTTTTAGAAAATCTACTGTCAAAAAAGAAAAACCTCTTATTCAACATCCTATTGATTCTCAAGTCGCGATGAGTGAGTTTCCTGCAGCTCAGCCATTATATGATGAACGATCTTTGAATTTGTCAGAAAAGGAAGTATTGGATCTCTTTGAAAAAATGATGGTAAGTTATACCCCTAATTTTGATGTAATTTTAAAATGTGTGTGCCCAGAATAGCACTGAGTTTTAAGGAGGTGTGTTTGTATGGACAGTGTTTATATCACATAAAGAAGAGACCAGAAACTTGATATAACAAAACTATTTGCAAAAGTATCCTTTTTTTTTCTTTTTTCTTGGCAAAAATGTCCTTACCTGTCTATCTCTTCCACTGTGAGCTCCTAAAAGTAGAGGCAGTTTTATTTATCTTTGTTTTCTACTATTTAGTAGTCTCTAGGACATCGAGTCAGTTTTTCAGTTAACTGATTTGTGTGTCTGTTTCTACAAAGCAAAAGAGGCCTAGGTCCTCTGCTGAAAACATCACAAGGTCTCTTGTTGGGTATATGAAATAGACTTGGGAGGGTAGAGAGTAACAATAGAAGGGACAGAGAAATTAATTCATCCAAGTTTGTTCTATTAGCAACATTCACACAACCTACATTTTCTAGCATGTTTCCTGTGTTTTATAGCTTGTGGCCTAAATCACTGCCTATATTAGATAATGAATACCATATTTTGAGTATTCAGAAGTTTATGGCAGGAGAGGGGAGAGATGAGGAATTAAACCGTATTACATTGTTAATTTGACCAGAGAAGAACTAGAGATCTTGATTTGTGATTCATTCATTCAAAATTATATCCCACATGTTACTGTACATTTTTTGTGGTTGTCTATTTACCTGTAGTTGTCCACAGGAGTTTCAAAGGTCGCCTTACACCAAAATAAAAGGTTAAGGATCAGTGAAATCTAGACCCTACTGTGCCCACTGTGGAACATCTTGTCATCACCTCTCCTGCTACCCTCATGTTTATTTCTCTCCTGCACCTAGAAGAGTTAGTAGGCCTTGAATAAATATTTGTTGGTAGCTGTTGAATGAATCCAAACAAAATTTCCCTTTAAAATTTTCCTTGACTATTCCTTCCATCTAGCCACAACTGGCATTTTGGGTATTCCCCTGAAACGAGTCCTGACACTTTTACCCTTTTTCACTCTTCTTCCTGCTTCTGTGGTGCACCCTTTTTCCTGCTGCTCCTTTCGTGCTATCTTCTTTAAACCATCTTTCAACAACCTTTTCTCTTTTGAAGTCTGTTATTGCTGACCTTCCTTGATGATAGCACCTGGCTATGCTTTTGTCCTTTACCCTTGCTACTCATTTTGGTGATTTCAACTATTACGCTAATAGCCTTCAATACATTTTTTGCTCTTAGTTCCTTGTTTGCTAAACTCTGACTTTTGCATTTATATATTTAGCTAATTATAGGTATGACTGTACCTTGGACTGTGTCATCCTTTAGAATAATTCCACCTCTAAGAGCTTTAACTCTAAAATTTTCCTTAGAAGCTAAACAATTTACACTACCTTTCCAAGACCCTTAATTTTATAGAGCATGTATTGTGTAGTGGTTAAAAACCTGGACTTTGGGGTCATTCAGAATGTTTGTAGTGTTTCTTTCCTTTATCAAATAAGCTCTGTTGTGTCTTTAATTGCTAGTATTTTCTGATTACCTAGATACCCCTCAGTTTATCACCCTGGTGTCCTTAATCACTGAAAACAATGATGACAGCAACAAACACAGAAACATTCCTTGATACTATTAACACTTTTTATCTTTTTAAATCTTTCTTCTCTTTAAATAAAAATTATACTCATTGCTTTAAGCTGCTGACAATTTGGTTACTACCTTTTGCAGTATTGAAATAGTTCTCCGAGTTCATCAGTGGCATTGCTGTATTCAGTTTTTCTACACTGAGCATTACAGGGCTATCTTCCCTTCATTGATTATCTCATTCACTTCTAATTTCTTGCCAAATCCCATTGGTTTTGCTTTTGTAATAACTGTTACATTTGTGTCCTCAGATGTCCTCCAGCTGTTCTTGCCCTACTTTAGATGATAACCCTCTCTAGTTGTTTCTCATGGCTATTAAAATAGCCTCCCAACTGGTCTTCCTCCCATCCTCCAGGTTTTGCCTATTCCAATCCAGTATTGCCCTATGATTTGGACACAGAGTTCTTTTCTGAAGCCCCAGGTGGGCCTTTATGTTTTCAGAGAATCAGTTTATATGTCCCTACTCCGTTCCCTCAACTATGCCCCTAGATGCCTTTCACACCTTTGCTTTTCTGCTCCAACCTCAGAGCTCTTCCCCATCTTTATTCTCTGCTGATGACCTTGCTGCTTAATTTACGAGTAAATTGAAGCATTCAGAAGAGAACTTCCACAGGCTCCCCCCACCACATTTACCTTTTAGTATCTGCATTCATGTATCTGTCTTGCTACCTATCACCATAGATGAAATTTTCATGTCCGCATTCTTCTGCTTGTGTATAAATTTTCATTCCTTTCAGCTACTCACAGATATTGCTTCAATAATTTTTTCTTCTCTCTCCTACCATTCTGAGCAGCATGTAAACATGCGGTCCCATTTTTCAAAAGCCTTCTTTTGACCCTTTCTCTGTTGCTAGCTATCACTCCATTTATTTACTCTCCTTGGAAGCAAAGCACCTCACAATATAATTTTATTCATATGCACTGCTTCCAGTTTTAATCCTCTCACTTTCTCTTCTAAACTCACTCCAACCAGGTTTCCATCCCACCATTCTATCAAAACTGCTCTTATCAATGTCACCAGATATCTTCATGCTGCCAAATCCCATGGTCAATTCTCAGTTCTCATCTTAATTTTTTTTTTTTTTTTTTTGAGACAGGATCTCACTCTTTCACCCAGGCTGGAGTGCAGTGGCATAATTATGGCTTACTGCAGCCTCAATCTCCTGGGCTCAGGTGATCCTCCCACCTTAACCTCCCAAGTAACTGGGACCACAGGCATGCAGTGCACCACCATACCCAGCTAATCATTTTGTATTTTTTGGTAGAGACCAGGTCTTGCTACATTGTCCAGGCTGGTCTTGGACTCCTGAGCTCATGTGATCTGCCTGCCTTGGCCTCCCAAAGTGCTGGGATTACAGGCATGAGCCACCATGCCCAGTCTCTCATCTTAATTGACCTATCAGTAGCATTCTGTGCAGTTGATTATTCTCTCCAATTTGAAACACTTTTTATTTTTTTGTCTCCTCAACATTCATCTTGTTTTCCTCCTACCTCTCAGGCCACTCCTTTTCAGTCTTCTTTGCTCATTCCTCTTTATGTCCTGAACCTCTAAATCAAATTTACATTCAACTTAGTCCTCACATTTGAACTCCAGACTCATATATTAAACTTCATAACCAACATCTTTCCTTGGATGCACAATAGATCTCTCAAAATAACACAACCAAAACTGAACTGCTAATATTCCCCTCCAGACCTGCTCCTACAAAAGTCTTCCCTTTCTCAGTTGACGGTATCTCCATCCGTCCACCTAGGCCAAAAACTTTGGATTTGTCCTTCACTACCCTTTTCTCACATTCTACAGTCAAACCATTAGAAAATCTCATTAGCTTTTCCTTCAAAGTAAGGCACTTTCAACAGCTGACCATTTCTTACCCACCTCCACTGATACCACACTAGTTGAAGTCTCAGCTGGACCACTATAATAATGGTAGGATTATTAGGATTACCACAACCCCTAATTGATCTTCCTGCTTTCACTCATGACCCTCTATTCTTAGCACAGAAAGATTATTCATTTAAAATATGAACATCATGTCACTTGGCTCCTCAAATCTCCACCATGGTTCTCATGTCACTCAGTGAATAAAAGCCGATGTACTTGCAGTAGCTTATAAGATCCTATATGTTTTGACACCCACCACACCTTACCTTTTTGATATCTTCCTCTACTATTCTCTTTCCGCTAGCTCACAGCTTCAGTTGCACTCATGCCTTTTATTTTATTGTAGCTCTAAGGAACAATGATTCCTGTTAGTTTTTCTTTCTTTTTTTTTTTTTTGAGATGGAGTCTCACTCTGTCATCCAGGCTGGAGTGCAGTGGCGTGATCTTGGCTCACTGCAACCTCTGCCTCCCAGGTTCAAACGATTCTCGTGCCTCAGCTTCCCAAGTAGCTGGGATTACAGGTGCATGCCACCATGCCTGACTTATTTTTGTATTTTTAGTAGAGACGGGGTTTCACCGTGGCCAAGCTGGTCTCGAACTCCTGACCTCTGGTGATCCGCCTGCCTTGGCCTCCCAAAGCGTTGGGATTACAGGCATGAGCCACTGTGCCCAGCCGATTCCTGTTAGTTTTTAATTTTTAAATTTATGTACAACATTTACAGTGTTTTTAAACTTCGTACATTTCTATTTTGTGGTTTGAATATCATAATGTTTCATCAGAAAATTACTATTTCCTCTTTATGATTTTTTTTAAAAAAGGATTTGCTTGTTGGATTCATAAATGTGATTTAAAGAACTGTACAACTTTGTGCCACATTTTCTCAAATGGGAATTTTTTCTTCCATGGGAATTTTGAAATAGGATATTAAGAAAATATGTTTTTCAGGTACTATCATATTGTGTTATAATTTTATTTGATGGATCTCTTTTATGTTATGTGACCCACATAATCATTATAGACTTGTATATGCAGATATTAAAATCCTGTTTATATCTAGTAGTGGAATTGCTGGATCATATGGTAGTTCTGTTTTTAATTTTTAAAGGAACCTTCATACTATTTATCATAGTAGCTGTACTAATTTACATTTTTACCAACAGTGTATACAAGTCCCCTTTTCTCCACATCCTGGTCAACAGTTGTTATCTTTTGTCTTCAGTAATAGCCATTCTAAAAGATGTGAAGTCATATCTCATTGGTGTCTTAATTTGCATTATGTTAAGTGAAATAGGCTAGGCATAGAAAGACAAATAGCACATGATCTCATTCCTATGTGAAATCTAAAAATGTTGATTTCATAGAAGTCGAGAGTAGAATGGTGGTTACCAGGGGCTAGGGTAATTGGGCAGTGGGGAGAGGGGTAGGTTGAGGAGATAGTGGTCAAAGGATACAAAATTTCAGTTAGATAGAGGAATAACTTCAAGAGATCTATTATACAACATGGTGACTATTGTATTTTTGAAAAATGCTAAGAGTAGATGTAAAGTGTTCTCACCACAAAAATCACAACCATGTGAGGTAATGCACATATTAATTAGCTAGATTTAGTCATCCCACAGTGAGTATATACTTCAAAACATTGTGCTGTACATGCTAAATGCATACAATTTTATCTGTCAATTAAAAAAACTTATTTATAAATGGACATATATTATTTTTAAATAACAGTATAATATAATAGGATATCAGAGAAATATGGTTTGATTAAAAGTAACAACCAAAAGTTAAACTGAAAACTTTAAAGATTATCTCTCTACTTTGAGAGAAGTCTACTTATACCCTGAATATTGCGTATTTTCTATATTAGTTTGACGGTAATAACCTTACAGTGAACAAATTATTTTATGAATAACTATAGTTTTCATCTACTGTATACTTATGCCTAAGGCATGAAACTAAAACATTTAAGTGTATTATTTCAATTGATCCTTATGACAGTGCCACAAAGTAAGTAAGATTGTTATACCCCATTTTCAGATGAGGAAAGTGAAGCTTAGAGAGAGGCAAGAAAATTGGTTCATTAACTTGACTAAGCTAGTAAGTAGCTGAGCCGAAACTTAAATTTAGGTACATAAAAATCTAAAACATTGACTTTTTGTAACATCTGCCTTTAATAATGCTTCATTTAAACTAAATATAAAATTAGTACATTTTCCTTGCACACATAGTGAGGAGAAGTAGAAGGCAAATCAGAGGTACATTAGAGTGGTAGGTAAAGCCAGCCTGGGATGGATTATTTCCTACTGATAATGGAACATTGTCTGTAATTGCTTTTTATGGAGCATCAATTGAGAAGAATGAGTCCAAAAATCTAGCAATGGAAAACTGTTAAAAATGTCATTATCACAGTTGATTGGGAGAAAGCACTTAAGTCATTCTGTTTCTAAAACACGGAAGTAGACTTCCAGATATGAAATTTATCTTTTTTTATTTCACTCCTTGTGGGTGTCTTTCCTTGTACAAATAACGTAAAAGGTGTTCTTGTCGTATTTGATGGCTCTTATGACAATCTTCCTTCTTCTGGGTCTTTTGATGGTAGCTTTATTGTGCTGTTTCTCTTGATTGGCTTTTCTGACTTTAGAGAACTACAAAGGTTTAGACCATTTGGTTTCAATACTATATATGTATTTTAGGATAACATACTTTGAGGTGTAAAACTTTTTTTTTTTTTTTTGAGATGGAGTTTTGCTCTTGTTGCCCAGGCTGGAGTGCAATGGCGCGATCTTGGTTCATTGCAACCTCCACCTCCTGGGTTGAAGCGATTCTCCTGTCTCAGCCTCCCGAGTAGGTGGGATTACAGGCACGCGCCACCATGCCTGGCTAATTTTGGATTTTTATTAGAGACGGGTTTTCTCCATGTTGGTAAGGCTGATCTTGAACTCCTGACCTCAGGTGATCTGCCAGCCTCAGCCTCCCAAAGTGCTGGGATTACAGGCATGAGCCACCGTGCCCAGCCAAAACGTTTTAAATAATTGCAGCACATAGCATGAGATTATGCACAGTAATAATATATGAGACACTTGACAAGAAATAAATTACCTTACAATTTACTATTTAGAATTTCTGGGTAATGATGTATTGGTGAAACTTTTGGTTAAAAACTTAACAAAAGATAATATTCAAATATAATCCTTTCTTACTCTGAAAATTGAAACTCTTGTTATACCTGAGGATCACATCTATCAACAGCAGTTCTCATTGGATAGGCTTGTAGATGTAGATAATTGAGCTAAATCTAAAATTACTGCAGGATATGTTTTTTCTAAAAGAAGGTAGCTGTTTTTACTTAATTACTAATAGATCATTTCACAAATCACTTGATTCTTCATAGCTAAGAAAAATTGTGAAATGAGTCCAGTTAACTGAAAGATCTGAGTAGTCTGGTTTTACTAGTGTATTAGTAGACTACTAATGTCTCATTGACTCTGGCATCTATTCTGTGCATTGGTGCATCACTTTTCATATTGTGCTTATTCAATGATGCAATTTTAAAGGGACTTTCTAAGTAATGGTATCAATGGCTATTGCTGGCAAGTTTAAAGTTCCAAATTTGAAATAAATATTTATTTATTTTTTTGTTTAGAGACAGGACCTTGCTCTGTTGTCCAGGTTGTATCATGGGTCACAGCAGCCTCAAACTCCTCGGCTCAAGCCCTCCTCCCACTTGAGCCTCCCAAGTATCTGGGACTACAGGCATGTGCCAAATAAACGTGATTTTTTTGTTTATTTTTTGTGGAGATGAGGTTTTGCCATGTTGCCCAAGCTGGTCTCCAACTCCTAGGCTCAAGACATCCTCCTGCCTTGGCCTCCAAAGTGCTGGGATTATAGGTATGAGCCACGGCACCTGGCTTTGAAATTTCTTGATGATTGTTTATTTTATAGAATATAAGCTCTTTATTAAGAGAGTGTCTTTCATAGTTTGTAAAAGTGAATTTTGTATTTAGAGTATGGTTACCAACTACTAACTGAAAATTGAGAAGTGGTTCTTTTACTAAAGTTTTCAAGAATTAAAACCACTGCTTTTATAAGATTGATAAAATTACCTGCATGGGGTAAATCACACTTGCTCTTTAAGATTCTTGTCTCCCTCCCATACCCAGAGTCATGTTTTCAAATCTTCCACAAGTGGGTAAAGGTAGTAGGATGAAAACAATACTCCTTCCATGTTATTATTATTGGTAACTTTTTTTTTCTTTTGTTTTTTTTGTTTGTTTGTTTTTTCGAGATGGAGTCTTGCTGTGTCCATTAGGCTGTAGTGCAGTGGTGTGATCATGGCTCACTGTGGCCTTGACCTTCTGGGATCACACAATCCTCCCACCTCAGCATCCTGAGTAGCTGAGACTGTATGCACGTGCCACCATGCCTGCCTAATTGTTTTGTAGAGTGTGGGTCTTGCTATTTTGCCCAGGCTGATCTTGAACTCCTGGGCTCAAGCATTCCTACTGACTTGGCCTCCCAAAGTGCTGGGGGTTACACTGTACCCAGCCTATATTTAGTGACTTTTAAAGATGACTGAACTAAAGCGGTTCATATTCGTAACTCTTCTCATATTGATCAGAAGCATTTTATATTGCCTCTAATTAGGATTGGATGAAAT
This sequence comes from Homo sapiens, assembly GCF_000001405.40. Taxonomy (NCBI): domain Eukaryota; kingdom Metazoa; phylum Chordata; class Mammalia; order Primates; family Hominidae; genus Homo; species Homo sapiens. Next base: position 96,746,947 of record NC_000023.11, read on the forward strand.
ATCTCCTCAATTCCACTTTAAATGTAAGGAAATTAATAATGCTGTAATTGAGTAACTCTTCAATATTTTAAGTTGTCATAACCTTTGAGCTTGCTGAGAATAACTGATCTGGTTTTTGTACATTGAGTATACTGCTTAGGGACTGTTAAATGCTTATTAGTGTTTTCATCTAGACTGAATTATGCAATTAGAGTTCTTTTTGGGGAGAGGGGTGTTGGGAGAGGGGAGATTTTCATTTTAAGATTAAAAAAGTAAACCCATAGAAATTTCTTGGGAGTTCATGTTGGAATTTGATTTCTATTAGCAGCACAAGGAACTCCCAAGTGGAGGTTCAGGTTGCATTGGCAACATATAGATACGTCAATAAGGACTGTGTTCTGATATAGGTAATTAAATAGTTTGTCTTATGCAAAAGATGAGGCTAGTAATGATTTATGATTAACCTCTAGCCATATTTCATTTCAACCTAATTTGTTAAAGGTAATGTTTAATATATGATTATACATGCAAATTTGATGTTTTACACTCTTTTCTATTCAGCAATTTATATTAATATACTTTGCATTTTTGTCATAATTTAATGATAATAGTTATATGCAATAAATACTAAATTATTCCATCTGCTAGAACTCTCATAAGTAATCCCAAACCTTTTAATTTTTGTTCTCTCACTTTTCTCTTTCATTAATTTAGAGAGAATAGTTGTGCTTGAACACCAGGTGTTATACATTAACCCAAGCATCCTTGTTCTCCACTGACTGCTATTATAGGTTTCTTTCTCACCCAACCCTAGTCTTTTAGAAGTTAGTTAGCTTGGATGAATCTTTTCATGCCCTCAGAATAAGTAATTTTAATTAATAGTTTAAGGTAGCACAAAATAAATTATTGGTAAACTAGGTCTTAAAATCTATAATAAGCCATGGAAATAGTTGTCAGAAATGATTAGAATCTCAGAAATTGTCTAGACAGCATAATATCCATAGGTTATATTTACATTTTCAATATCCTTACTCCATATCATTAGACGGAGATAATGCCAGAAGCATTTCTAGACAACATGTTTTATTTTCTTATAAAACTCCTATGACGAGCTTATAAAAGAGGAGCAAAACTTACCCAGTAAACAGATCTAAAAGGTAACTAAATCTGGGTCAATTTTTAATTTTATTGCCGAGCATGATTTTTTAAAAACTTGGCTCTGTTCTTGATTTGTACAGAGAAATGCTTTCAAAAATATTTCTTCTGTTTTGAAGGATTCTACTAGTATTTATTTGCATGAGTGTATTTAAGCAACTATTTATTCATATGTGCAATGTGCCAGGTAGGATGCTACATGTTGGAAGTGTAAAGATGAATGCAACACCTCCCTTACCCTCAGAGAGCTCAGTGTTTACTCAGGGAGAAAAGTACATAAATTATTTCCATAGCACTAGGATAGCTGTGAATAGGCTACTGTGGGAACTTAGCCCTGTGTAGGGGCTCAGGATGGAAGCAGAGAACACCACCTAAATACACTGTGAAACCCAGTGTTACTTCTGAATTATCCGTCTTTATTTTTTGGCATAAATGTTCTCAAAATTTGAACAGTTTAGTTCATCAAAGTCCCATGCCTTCCATATGCCCAATACTGTTTTAAGGTCTGAGAAGAGAGCAGTGAACAACTTAAAGAAAATCCCTGCCATCAAGGAGCTTATGTTCTGGCAAGGGTGATATACTGGAACATAAGGTGGAGTTATAAAAGAAAAGGAAAAGACAAATATCTGTGTCATGGTGAAGTTTATTTGACAACTCTCTACTGAATGCCAGATACTTTGTTAGGTACAGCAGACATAAAGATGTCAAAGGTACTATCCCTGCCACAAGGTTTTTATTTTGTATATCCTGCTGACTAAGAATGGTTTTATATTTTTAAATTGTTACCCAAAAAAAGACTGTTTCAGGGCACATGAAAGTTATATGAATTTCAGTGTCCACAAATAAAGTTTTGCTGAATGTATCCACGCCCATTTGTTTATGTATTGTCTATAGCTCCTTTGTGCTACAGTAGAGTTGAGTAGTTGAGACAAAGATTATATAGTTTGCAAAACCTAAAATATTTACTGTCTGGCAATTTACAGAAAAAGTTTGCCAACCTCTGGACTAGTCCAAGAGTCTCTAAACCTTTTATTTCCTACCCCATCAGAAAAAAAAAAAAAAAAAATATATATATATATATATATATGTTTGAGTAAGTAGCCCTAATATATTTTAAACATTATATACATGCATGTATGTACTAATATTAATATGTACATTACAAAATATACACAGTAAAAATGAGAAAAACATGAACAAGATTTTAAAATGATTTAAAATTAGTTTATTTCTTAATCATACAGAAGTCTTTGCTGTCATGATTAATAACTTTTTAGTGAGAACAGTGTCACTATGTCATTTTTTTATGTCTTGCTTAAAAATAGGCGGTAATTAGAAAGTTTAGCTCCAAGTTCATTTTATTTTGATATTTGGTTTAATTTCTCTCATAATTGAAACATAAATCTGACAAAGATTTGTAGGTCCAAATCGAACAAATGCACCATTAGCAACTTACTAAATTGTAGTATTAACTTTTATCAGACCAATCCATGAATCAAGCAAAGATTTCCTGCTGAACCATGACTAGTAAATTCCTGTCTTACTTGATGACAGCCAGTTATTCTTGCAACTAATCTGGGGTGTTGCATTTTTATATTTCTAAATAAATGGGTTTAAATTGGACTTTAATAAATGGGTCTTCAACAAGTGCCATTGGGAAGATGGGCTCTTTCCATTTTTTCTTCTACATTATTAATGTGTAGACCCTCATCCTCATGTTTGTGTACTCATGCCTGTTCCAGACAGTACATCTAACACCAGGAAGAAAGAGGAAGTAATTCAAGCAAGGGTGAAGGGGACTGACTTGGAAGTTGAGTCTGTTGGGACTGACTTGGAAGCTGGGTCTGTCTGTGTGGCTTTTCCAGTAAAGTAGGTTTGAAAAGGAGTTACTTTCTTACTAATTGTTAAAACGTCAAGGAATTTCTTCACTTTTTGTAAATGAAAAATGCCTAACTCATGCTATATTTCAAGTTTTTTTTTTTTTTTTTTTTTTTTGAGATGGAAACTCACTCTGTCACCCAGGCTGGAGTGCAGCTGCGCGATCTCTGCTCACTGCACCCTTTGCCTCCTGGGTTCAAGCGATTCTCTTGCCTCAGCCTCCTACGCCTGGCTAATGTTTGTATTTTTAGTAGAGATGGGGTTTTGCCATGTCGGCCAGGCTGGTCTCGAACTCCTGACCTCAGGTGATCCGCCCGCCTTGGCCTCCCAAAGTGCTGGGATTACAGGCATGACACTGTGCCTGGCTAATTTCGACAGTTTTAAAATACTTTATCTTGAAATAACCAGAAATATCTCTGGTTTTCATGTTAACTTCCTATTTCATTTCAAAATATTGTAAATATTTTATTGTATTTGAAATATCTTGCTTTTATTTAAAGAAGAACAATCTTCTTGACTCTGTAGTATTCTGTATACTTCAGTTTCAACTTCTTGCAATGGCCTTGAATTTTACGTGTAGGTTTACCTGACTCAGGAATCCTTCCCTCATAGTTTTTCCACAAAACCTCTTTTTATTAAATAAATCATTTATTTTGGTTATGTGTTTTCTCTGTTAAATTGTTCTAACGGTGACACAAAGAAAAGTAGTTTATATATGTCATTATGGAAACAATCTAGCAAATACTATAAGGTGAGGTGTTTTTAAAAAGGTTATATTTTTATCCAACTGTATAGTAAACCTCCTACACTAATTGCTTAAATACTTGCTTTAGCAAATTTTCAGTAATGATCTATACGTGTCTTCTGATACGTCAGTATTTGCTGACAAAGAAATGTACTTCAGCTTCCTGCCATGTTGTTTTGCATGGATTGTTTCAGCTGCTTTTACCAAGTGTTTCTCTAATGCCATGGTACCTTTTGTCAGTTGTTATTAAAGAAAATTCATGAGAAGCTTCTAAACACATATCATTAAGTTTACAAAGTATCACTAAGGTACTGGATTTGAGTATAACATTCTAATTATTGCGGAGAAAAATGACGAATGACTGAGAATTGAAGAATGAATGAATGAGAATACAAATGAATGAATAGGCAGCTGGTTCAACTTTTGACCTTCTCATTTGATCCTATTCTTATGGCTTCTCAGTAATAGCTTTAAGAATATAATGTTTGCTGAAGTGAAGGAATTTGTCTATAATAGGAAATTGTATCATGGCATATGAGAAGCATAAAAAAATGGTTTAGTATTTACAAATGTGGCTTTAAAAACATTATAGGCTGGGCGCGGTGGCTCAAGTCTGTAATTCCAGCACTTTGGGAGGCCGAGGCAGGCGGATCACGAGGTCAGGAGATCGAGACCATCCTGGCTAACACGGTGAAACCCAGTCTCTACTAAAAATACAAAAAATTAGCCGAGCGTGGTGGTGGGCGCCTGTAGTCTCAGCTACTCGGGAGGCTGAGGCAGGAGAATGGCGTGAACCCGGGAGGCGGAGCTTGCAGTGAGCCTAGATCTCGACACTGCACTCCAGCCTGGGTGGAAGAGCGAGACTCTGTCTCAAAAAAAATAATAATAATAATAAAGAAAAAATAATAAAAATAACATTATAAATGGTCAACTAGACTTCAGTGTTTTGTTTTTTTTTTTTTTTTTTTGAGACGAAGTCTCGCTCTGTCGCCCAGGCTGGAGTGCAGTGGCGGGATCTCGGCTCACTGCAAGCTCCGCCTCCCGGGTTCACGCCATTCTCCTGCCTCAGCCTCCCAAGTAGCTGGGACTACAGGCGCCCGCCACTACGCCCGGCTAATTTTTTGTATTTTTAGTAGAGACAGGGTTTCACCGTTTTAGCCGGGATGGTCTCGATCTCCTGACCTCGTGATCCGCCCGCCTCGGCCTCCCAAAGTGCTGGTATTACAGGCGTGAGCCACCGCGCCCGGCCGACTTCAGTGTTTTTTAAAATCACAAAATACTACATTTTTTCTCATGTATTATAGATATATCAAATGTTAAACATGCTAAAAGCTTGCTTTTGTTTTGAATACCATAAGAAATCAGTATGTTTAGAAATAGTTTCATATTCAATTACGCTGTTTAGAGTTAATATTGAATTATGAATATTGCTCTATTTAGCTTTATTATTGTATTATGGATCTGGAGTTAATGATTTGGAAGTGTTAGCTGCCTAATTAGTAGAATGTATCTTATTTCTATAGAATAAAATGAGTCATTATGGTCTTTTCACATGAATGATACTCATTTCCAATCAACCTATGCAGCAAATTTATAAGTATAAAAAACTGTTGCTGATTCTAAAGCAAGTTAATATATTTAAAGAAAAGGTCTTAAATATCACATTGGTTCAACAAATATTTATTAAATGTTTACTGCATTCCAGGAATTATGCTCTTTGCTAGGAGTACAAAGATAAGTAAGTTCCTATTTTCAGCTTCGAGTTTAGAAGAGATAGATTTATCACATAATTTCAATGTAAGTGACACATAAGGAATTAATATGGAAGACTAGGATAAGGGTAATTATTTTCAAATCAGGTGCTTTAGGAGAAGTCTTCCTGAAAAATTAGTGGTTGAGCACAGTCTTGAAGTATAATAGCCAGATGTGAATTTGGAGGGGGCAAGGATGGGCATTAACAGATGGAGAGGATGGTAAAGATGACCACATTTCAGGCAGGGAGAACAGCGCATCATGAGCAAAATAATGAGTGTGTAACAACACAGTTTATGTAGCAAAACTACAAACAACCTAACATTATTAAAACATAAGGGGTAAGATGAAAAGCGGTTAAAAGGCTGAGGTTGGGAGGTGATAACGCTAATAGCTAGCATTCTTTGAAAGCTAGTTAATATACACCAGGCTTGTCATGCATGATCACACCCAGTCTTGACAACATTCCTCTGAGGTGTATAATCTTACATTGCTCTTATTGTCCTGCCTGCCTCCCTACAAAATAATTCTGTGATGGCGTGATATCAGCAGTGTGTGCCATTAAAAACTGAATGGGTACACGGTAATGTAGAAATGTCACTGGAAGCAGAGAAACTCTCTACCTAGAGACTGCCAAAGGTGACGCCACCACACTCTTAGGCCAGGCTGTGAAGTATACAAATACAGACACTTAATCTTGTCACTGTTCCAGAGTTGATTCTACTTGGAGGTTGCGGATTGATGATAACCACATTTACAGGAGACTGAAATTTAACCAGAATTTTTTTAGGCAATAGAGACATAGCCCAGCATATGTGAGCAGAACATAGGGATTTTGATGAAAACAAAAACAATATGAGTCAGCAGAATGATGTACTTGGCCAGTAAGATAATAAAATCAAGAGGGTGAATTAACAGAGGTGTAAGTATTTCAAGGTGAGGGAGGTGGACATTCTTTCCTACCTTGCATTTGTTAAACCACAGAGTATTTGAGAGAGAGAGAGATGTGGACACCAACCCATGTTACATGAAGATAAGTTGAGTACTTTAGCCTGAAAGAAGGAATGTGGTCTTCAAATAACATTTATGTGGCTCTTGAATTAATTTCCTTCTGTCCAATCTGAGTTTTCTTCTTAGTTCGACTCTTATCTCTAGTCACTTAAATTACTTCAGCCCAAATTATTGAACATAAGAAAAATCCACTCTGGCAGGTTTAAATAGAATATAATTTTAGAGGATATTACGTAGTCTTGAATTAACAGAGTTGCAGAAACAGGCTCTAGATAACATTATAGGACTAACTTCCAGAACCACACAACTGAAATACAGTTCCAATTAAGGAGCTCTTATCCCAGAACTATTTGATCAAAATGTCTTAATGAAAAAGACACAGTTAATGCCATCAGTTCTGTAACAACATCACCTCTGTTGCCACCTACATCAGCAAAATGAATGGCCTATTCGTGGCCTGCTTCCTCACATAGTTCACTTCTAAATCTACACCTCCTATGCATGCATTTTATTGGTGGAGACTAAGCCACATGCCTGCACTCTAGTTAAAAGGGAGACTGACAAATGTAGTTTTTATGGATTCTACCTTTGTCAGGTGGGACTGACAATGTGAGGATGTATTAAATTGTAGAGGGTATGTTCAAGTGATGTTGAGCAGCAAAAAATGACACATGACCGCTAGAGTTTCCTGACCGGTCTCCTTCCTTCCAGTCAGATTTTTTTCATCCTTTGAGACCCACAACCTGGTGAAGACTTCTCTGACCTTTCCATCTGCCCTGTGTTTCCAAAGAATCTGATACATGCCTCAGTTAGAATTATTTGTTACTACTGGACCATAAATTATTTATTCAACAAACATATATAGCATTTACTAAGTATCAGGCATTGTTCTAAGTGCTTTATAAATAATATGTAATTTGAGTATAAAAACAGTCTACCAGATTAGACAGCCTAGCATAGTTTCTGGTGTGTAGTATGTGTTCAGTAAATAAGTGATTCAGAATTTTAAAAGAGAAGAAAAAAGGTCATGCCACCCACCTTAACACACATTATTTTGTTGTACATATTTCATGTCCAATCATTGAAGGAAAAATTTGGCAAAAATTAAACTACCCTAAGATGAGTGGGGCTGTCTGAGGACGTAGGGAGTACACTGTCAGTTGAAATAGATACATATGCTGGGTGTGGTGGCTCACGCTTGTAATCCCAGCACTTTGGGAGGCCGAGGCGGGTGGATCACTTGAGGCCAGGAGTTTGAGACCACCCCAGCCAACCTGGCAAAGCTCTGTCTCTAAAAATACAAAAAAATTAGCTGGGTGTGGTGGTGCGTGCCTGTAATCCCAGCTACTTGGGAGGCTGAGGCAGGAGAATCGCTTGAACTTGGGAAGCGGAGGTTGCAGTGAGCCAAGATCAGGCCACTGCACTCCAGCCTGGGCAACAGAGCAAGTCTCCACCTCAAAAAAAAAAAAAAAAAAAAAAAAAAAAAGGAAATAGATACAGAACATAGATGAGCATCTGTGGACCACATTATGAGTGCTATCCAACCTAGTTTCTGTGATTCTACTGTGATTCAACAATGCCAGAGCCTATGAGAGAGAGATGAAAAAGATGTCTTCTGCCTTCTAGTAAGTCATTAACAAGTAAAATATCCAAATGAGAAATAACATTAGATAGAAAAGTGGGGATAGGGACAGTGATCCAGATAATTAGGAAGAAAGGTCATGTATATATACACAAAATTTATAGGTATTGACTATGAATGAATCATCATAGGAGTTGCTGCAGTGGTTGCAAATATAGATTTTTGCTGTCAACAAAGTTATTATTCAATAGATAGATGCAATTTGTCTACTTTTGAGGATTGTCTTCCACATTCTCACATATGCATCTTTAAAATAACTTTGATGCCAGGCGTGGTGGCTCACGCCTGTAATCCCAGCACTTTGGGAGGTCGAGGTGGGTGGATCATGAGATCAGGAGATCGAGATCATCCTGGCTAATGCAGTGAAACCCTGTCTCTACTAAAAATACAAAAAATTAGCCGGGCATGGTGGCGGGCGCCTGTAGTCCCAGCTACTCGGGAGGCTGAGGGAGGAGAATCACTTGAACTTGGGAGGTGGAGCTTGCAGTGAGCCGAGATCGCGCCACTGCACTCCAGCCTGGGCGACAGAGGGAAACTCCATCTCAAAAAGTAAAATAAAATAAAATAACATTGATACTGTTCTTCGCCAATTAGTTTATTTACTTTATCAAAAAAAAAAATAGAATGCTCAGAATTTCTGTAAGAGTAAAGGGATAAAAATACTGATTTGTTTTCTTAAAAAATTTAGATATGATTCACATACCATAAAATTCACCCTTTTACAATGTGCTCTTTTTTTTGCTTTTTCTTTCTTTCTTCCTTTTTTTTTTTTGGAGACAGGGTCTTGCTCAGATTTCCAGGCTGGAGTGCAGTGACAGGAACACAGCTCACTGCAACCTCTACCTCCTGGTCTCAAGCGACCCTCCTGCCTCAGTCTCCCAAGTAGCTGGGACTGCTGGTGCACACCACCATGTCCAGGTAATTTTTTAAAAGTTTTTATAGAAGCGAGGTCTTGCTATGTTGCCCAGGCTGGTCTCAAACTCCTGGGCCCAAGTGATCCTCCTTCTTGGGCCTCCCAAAGTGCTAGGACTTTGGCGTGAGCCACTGTGCGTGGCCAAATTCATAATTTTTTTTTTGTATATTCAAAGAGTGTGAAACTAGCACAACAACTTTGAGAACAGTTGTATCACCCCATAAAGAAACACCATACCCATAATCAGTCAGAATCCAAACTCCCTCCTCTTCTCCCCTGGCCCTGGCAACCTCTAATTTATTTTTTGTCCCTATAAATTTGCCTATTTGGGACATTTAATATGAATAGAATCATAGAATATATGGTCTTTTATAATGCTTCTTTCACTTAGCATAATGTGATTTCAAGATTCATCCAGGTTATAGCATGTATCAGTACTTCATTCCTTTTTAGAGCTGAATAATATTTCATTGTATGATATGCCACATTTTGTTTATCCATTCGTCAATTGATGGATGTTTGGATTGTTTCTACTCCTTGGCTATTATCAATAATGCTGCTATGAACATTCGTGTGCAAGTTTTTGTATGGACATATGTTTTCATTTTGCTTAGGTATGTAAGCTGGGTCATATGGTAGATAAATCTGTTTAACTTTTGGAGGAACTGCCAGACTGTTTTCCAAAGTGGTTGTATCATTTCTCTTTCCCACCAGCAATGTGTGAGGGTTCCAATTTTTTCAATTCGTTGCCAACATTTATTATTTTCCTCTTTTTTTCTAGTTATCCTAGTAGAAGTGAAGTAGTATCTCACTGTGGTTTTGATTTGCATTTCCCCACAGATTAATGATGTTGAATATCTTTTCCTGTGCTTATTGGCCATTTATATATCTTTTTTTTTTTTTTTTTTTTTTTTGAGATGGAGTCTTGCTCTGTCACCCAGGCTGGAGTGCAGTGGTGTGATCTCAGCTCACTGCAAGCTCTGCCTCCTGGGTTTGCGCCATTCTCCTGCCTCAGCTTCCTGAGAAGCTGGGACTACAGGCACCCGCCACCACGCCTGGCTAATTTTTTGTATTTTTAGTAGAGATGGGGTTTCACCGTGTTAGCCAGGATGGTCTCGATCTCCTGACCTCGTGATCCACCCGCCTTGGCCTCCCAAAGTGCTGGGATTACAGGTGTGAGCCACCGTGCCTGGCCTGTATATCTTCTTTAGAAAAATGCCTATTCAAGTGTTTTGCTCATTTGTTACTGGACTCTTGTCTTTTTATTATTGAGTTGTAAAAGTTCTTTGTATATCTGGGTACACATCTATATCAGACATATGATTTGTAACCATTTTCACCTATTCTGTAGATTGACTTTTCATTTGGTGTTGCATTTTGAGGCACAGCCATTTCCAACTTGGTTTTGTGACCCTGTCAAGGGTGTCTTCATATGTCACAAGGATTACCATGAATTTCAAAATGAAGAAAAACAATTTGTCTAATCAAAGTGTTATAAGTGTATATATCACAAAATAAAGGTAGATTTCCAACTGAATTAAAGTTTATTGAACCTCAAAACAATGTGTTCTTGTAACTGAATACTTTTCCTTCTAATGAGTGACATTTATTACCGCAATACCGCTGTTTCTGCTTTTTTTTCTTTTCCAAATCCAACAACTTCTTGTGAACTTTCTTCAGTGACATATTATAGATATATAGACCCTGACAATTTGCAAATTGTATTTGCTTTCCCAGGTAATAATGATCCTAAGGGAGCATATGCCAAACAGCATTTTGTGTGTGTATTTGCTATCAAGATAAATAAAGAGCTTTGTTAGCATAGATACCATGTATATCTATGTTATAAACTGCCAATTTATTCTGTGGAATAGTTTTAAAAATATTTTTTTCTTTCTGCTCAGTAGTTGGCTAGGTAGAGATGTGAACCGTGAATACATGGTAGAATTTACACAAAACTGTGGTATCTAGAGTGAAAAATAATAGCGAAGTATCCCAAAAAAGGATTTTTGACATTAGTCACCACATGAATTAGTATTTTAAGACATAGAAATTATTAATGTTTACTAATCACTTTTGAAGCTCTTAAGTGGAAATTTATCAATGCCCACAGTAAATGTTATCTCTTACAGGAGGACATGAACCTTAACGAAGAGAAAAAAGCTCCTTTACGAAACAAAGACTTTACCACCAAACGTGAGATGGTTGTCCAGTATATTTCTGCCACTGCCAAATCTGTAAGTAGGGAGATTTTTCTAGCTCCAACAGAATGAGCAATGAGCTTAGCATCATTTTGCTTAAAAATAAACAAACCTCAGCTCTTCAGATTACCTCATTGTACTCATATAGACTGTTCAGAAGACAATTTATATATGTTATACATTTAGTATTAAGTATATATTTTTAAACTATTCATCATTAGAAATGGGACGTTTCCATTATTACAAGCAAGACAAAGGATACAAAGCTCTGAGGTAATCCAGTCCAGTCCTGAGCTTTTGTGTACATACTAAAAATCGACTGCATTTTGCAGATATTCCACCAAAATGTGGTTTGTTAGATGAAAATTTCGGATTTTGAAGAAGGTACAACTTAGTATAGTCACAGCTTAAGTTTACATTAAAGCTACATGTCTGGTGTCTACTTGCATGAAACTTTTAGCCATATTTTTTAATTCGCAGTTAGCTTTTTTCATAATTTTATATGATGCAAACTAAGCTGCCTCATAATTGCTATTGTATAGCTTCATTTAATGTAAAGGATGTCACCTAATAGGAGCTTTAATCAAATCTGTTTGTGAGTCCCAAGACTTGAAAGTAAAGTTCATTGAAAGGACTTGTTGTTATTAGGAAACTGTGTGTTTTAGTGGAGTATTTTGCTCTGTTCTCTTCCTAATGCACTTCCAAATATAGTCTTAAGCTTTGATTTTTTTTTTTTTGGTAAGAAAAAATTGTATTTTTGAAATAGCAAAATGCATCTTTTACATTTCTGTAAAGAAAAAGCTTTTAATACCTAGAGTTCATAAAATCACTGTATGTGTGTATATGTGTGTATATATATGTATACACACACAGTGATATTTTGTGTGTATACATATGCATGTACACACACATACACTATTTAGGTCATGTGTTTTAAATTTCATAAGTTGACCATTGCAGAAAACAAGTCTTCATTGAAAAAATATATTCTAAAGTTATTTGGCTATCCTATTAATGCTATTTCAGTACAGCAATTCCAGTGGCAATTACTAATGCATTTTGCCATGAATTCTACGATTGTATTGATTCTATATTGTACTTGAAACAAGCTAAATCTGAATGCTGAGCTATTTAAACATAACACATTGCAGCTCCGCCATAGCAGAGCAACAGCATGTTTTTAAATTTGCTTCTGGTATCCAAGGGCAGAAATATGTTTCAAGTGATAAGTGAAATTTGCCATGAGCGTCGTTTTCAATAGAATTAGGTGATGCATAGGGTTTTACTTTGAAATTCTGATGAATCTCTTCTCATTTTTGCACTCAAGTTATTGTTCACCATAAAATGCTTTAGGAAATGCAGGATGTACATTCAATGTTATTTTTCAAAGACCTAAAGGCTGATACACTAGTAAATCTATATGACTGAATCTGAGTGCAAAGTACAGATAATAACATATGAATAATCATGTGGTGGTTTTAATGATAAGATTTTGTTAGAGTCTCTGGCTCATTTGTTGTTGTTTGTGTAAGTGGGACTGAATATAATGATTATATGAAACTCTTATTCCTTGACCTTTTGAGTATTACATGATTTCTGTGCAGAACTTGTTTTCATTTATTCTCATATTATTTCCTCTTCAAGTGACCAAAGAAATGCACACTTCAAGTTATATACTGATTTTTCAGATTAAAATGCAAAAAATTGGATAAATATTAGATGAGCTCACTTGAACTGCATTATTCAAAAGATGGAAATTCAATGTTCCTCAAAAGACATGAAAATTCTATGTTTAAGGCATTAGCCTCAAAATCAGAACTACTTAAGGGCCCTTATTTGTTTCATTCAGTGTACATATGAGCACCTGAAATATGCACAGCACTCTGATAAGATTTCCAGGATTATACATATTTTTGCTAATATTTTTCGTGGGCCAGATACTATGATGGAAGAAAGCCTGTTGACAAGCATTTTTGAAGCTTTCTCATCTTGGAAAGACGTTAATTAGTACTATGTTTTCTATCATTAAAACCACAAAAATTAGTTATGTAATTTCCTTTTGAAGGTGAGAGGGTTGGCCTTCAGTGACAAACAATAATCTAACCTTTTTACCTTTTCATTATCACAGCACTAAAGTTTGCATTTAGAGTAGACATGATAGTTACCACTACTTTATGAAAATGCTTTCTAGTTAGTCACAGCTTTCATCTTGAGGTAGCAAAGTTAAGAGCTAGAGTCCCTGGTGGAGAAATGTTTTATAGTCACATGTAAAACATGTGAGAATTGTAGTGAAATTTAAACGTAAATCATACATTTTCCCCGTTTAACACCTGCATTAATCATTTTGTATGGGATCTAAAACCAGATTTTAGATAGAAATGTCTATCATGCTCCTGGGTTCTTGAGTAAGGACATAAAAGTAAAATGAAGCTATACACCAATATGTGGTCAAAACTCGTTTCTAAAGCAAACAAGAGTCTTTTGTCGTATAATTAACTTTGCTAAAATTAGCATGGAAAAGGAGACTATAAAGGAAACCATAAGATAATAATAAAAACTATTGCTTAGTTTTTTCTTCTCGAAGTCCCATAATAGAGAATGTTAAATTGTGTGAATGTTAAAGGAAAAAGTTTGAATAACTCTGTCCATGATGAATGAACTTTAAATAGAGGGATGGAGAAGAACCTTCTTTCTGCATTTTATCCTCCATTGTTCATTGTAGGAAGCGTAGTTATGGATCTGACGTAGGGTAATAGGAATATGTAGATAATTTGACCACAAATAACCTGGAAGAGTCTATATTTTCAAAACACCAGCATATGTTTTCAGAAAATGGAAAACCAAGCTTTGTTAATATTGCAAAAGTTGTCCTACCGATTGGTAATCCTGAAACAATATGTTGGTAATTTAGAGGGGATCTCACGGGCACTTAACAGCACATATAGACATTTATGAGGAAAAGTTATTCACCGAAGTCCCAACGTTAGTTTGTCAAATGCCAGTGTCATTCCTAGAATGTTAAGGGATTGGTTTATTTTGAATTTAAATCATAATCTTTGAAATTTTAAAATATGTAAAGTTATATTTTTTAAGACATGTGAACCATTGAGAGGCAGCATTGGTTTTTTTTTTTTTAATCTCAGTAGGAAATAATTTAAAATAGTGGTGCTAGCTACATCTGCAGATTTGTTAGACTGACCTGTATAATGAGTAGTTAAAAGTTGCAGTATATCTATATGTGTATGTGTATACATGTATTATGGTTTTGCTTTTGTCATTATCAGATACTCTTTCAGCTCTTTTCCAGGTATGATCTGGATATGATCAAACAGTTGAACCCAGACATGGCCAAAATATTTTCTCTTAGCTTCTGTTGGGTACTAAATCTTATCTATTGCCGTTTGTGCTTTAGCTAAATGCAGTTATTTTGCAATGCAAATGAATCATTAAATGGGCCATATTCTGGTTGTTTCACTGAGTATAGACCTGCTTTAATTGTTAACGCAGGCTCACATTCTTTTGTTAGTCTCATGTCTGTGCTAAATAAACAAGGGACAAATACGACCTCTGTCTTTTCGGTGGGAGGAAATAATTGAGGTCAATAGCATATCTTTTAATTCAGAAGACTGTTAATGGCACCAAAGAGGCTTTTATTCAACTAAATAATCACTGCTTGTAAATAGTCTACTGAATGAATATTTAAGAAAGCTGCTTCTGTATTCTGAGATTCATGGATTCTTCTGAAATAATTTACTTGGAAACTGTCATTATCTTTTTGTATTTTATGATATCCTTTTCAACATAGGATTCTTACTGGGGTTTCAGTTAAATTTGATTTTTATTTTTAAAGCACTAGCTGAAAAATAGAACACATTTTGATAATAACTGCTATCGGATTAATGGTTTTGTATTGTGGCTTAGCTGTTTTTTGGACACTGCTTGATATTCAAGTGTGGGAATCTGATAACAGTGATTTGATTTATATTTGGATTTTTGGATAAAATTATGTTTAGGACTATGAGTTTACTTCCTGCTTTCTTAAACACAATTCTGCCTCTCAGAAATTCTTTTATCACTTATCCATTAGGAAAGCTCAGTTGGAGCTGCAATTTTTGAACTATTTCCTCCTTCTGAACATGTGCATGTTTAGATGTAAAATGCTTCTTTGTCTTCACATTATGTAGAAAATTCTGATCTTATAATAGAAATGCTAGGATTACCTAGAAAACTAGAATAATAAGTAATCTATCTTTTTTATAATTTTCAAGTATAATATAAAACAGTATCGTACACCTTAAATTTATAACAATAAAAAATATTTGTTTTCAACCTAAAGTTTACTTCTGAACTTAATGCATGACTTTAAATGTAACATTTATATACTAAAATACCTTAATAGTATACCTGCCATAAGAAGGTGTACTATTTCAACCTTGATAGTATACCTGCCATAAGAAGGAAAGAAAAGAAAAGGCAATATTGGAAAAAACAAAATTTCTATTGATAATTTTTTCAGGGACTATGAGCTGGTAAAAAAATCTGATGCCTGATTACACTTAACATTGCATAACTTGATATTTAGATTATACTATATGAGAAGCCCATTATAGTACATTAAAAAAATCCTCAAATAGTAATTATCACTTATTTGAGAATCCTTATTCTGTAGACTTTACACATTTTTGAAACATAGTAGAAATTAATATTGATGTATCTATTTTAGCCTGTATATCTAAAGTATCAAAAATATAAATAGGGTTAGCTATTTACTAATTTACTAAACACTTAACCTCTGTGAAAAGCTTCTGACTACTAATATTGTTGCTGTTTGTTTTTTTTTTACACCATAACCACTCTTCGTTGACCACTGCATGCAGATAGTTGGAAGTAAAGTTACGGTGAGTACAAAAGATGTGTTTTACCCTTAGATATGAATTTGTGGTTTTGTAAATTGTGATTTTTGCTTGTAGTATTTTATATGTTTGGTTCTTTTGGTATATATTTTACCAAAGCAATGAGATGAATATTATGATCAGGTGATTAGAATTTAGCCTGGACAAGTATTTTTTCTGTGGTTTTTGGGAGATGTTTTAGAACTAGAATATGCTTGTATATTTTATCTTAGAAGTTTTCACCTTTTTTTTTGTTTTTGGAATTATGCCTGTGTCAGTCTTTATGATTCTGATGAAATTGTATGTTTTACCTCAATTTATCAGGAGGAGAATCCTAAAATGTTGGTTTATGCTAACAGGAATTCTTATTAAAATATGTCACTTTGATTTCAGTATGATTGAGCACATAGAGTAATGAAAACAACCCTTTCCATGCAGTCGGGAGGCCTGGGTGCTTGTCTTTGTTGTATGCTACTAATCAGCTTTTGCTACTTTGGGCAAGTCATGTAATTTCTCTGGGGCTCAATTATTAAATGGATAAATTGAAATGATTAGCTGAAATTATCTTTTAAGGTTCTTTCCATGGCTGTCATTTAAAGGTTTTATATTCAAGGCACTATATTTCAGTGCTATAATTACATGATACACTATTATATAACACGCCCAAAGTGGCCCGTACTGTGATTGAGAGCTGTTTGTAATTACCTTATCTTCATGACTAAGCACTCCCTAGAGAACAGGGTGGTAGGAAACATTATCTTTAACATCACCGAGTACTGAGGTATCTAGAATAGTGGATTTATTTGTTCATTTTGCTTTTAAAAATTGATTCCTTCTTTTCATTATCTTACTCTTCTTTTTTTTTTTTTTAAATTCACGAGACATCTAGGGGGAAAAGCCATCATCCTTTCAGGATAATTTTAAAAATCGAATATTTATTTAGTGCTTATTATATGCCAAGAATTATTCTAGGTGCACTGATGACTGGAAAATAAGAATGAGATAGGACCTAGTTGATATGTGTTGAAATAATCAAACCTTAAATTATGCATGCTGACTATAAATGTAATAGGAATTCATAAGTAGGAGAGAGAAGTAAGGTTGGAGTAATTAGAGAAAAATCTGTGTAAATTTCTGCACTTAAATTGGGCTTTCAGGGAATAATTAGTTATGATGGCTGGTGTTTGGCTAGGGAGGAGAGACTGTGGAGAAGCTCTCAGATTCTGGAAGTAATATTAAATGCAAAGGCCTGAAGAGAACCAAACCATGTGTGTGGAGGCAGAGAAGAAGGAAGTGAGAGATGAGGTTGACTTTGTTGAAACAAAGAATGTATATTGGAAAGAGTAAAAAATCAAGTTGAAGGATGGTCTTGAAGTCCAGGCGGCAAATTATAAATTAGTTTGAGCAAGGAGGTAACATGATGGAAGCAGTGTTTAAGAAAAATAAATTCGATAGGTGGATAGGCTGGATTAGGCTAATGGTTCTCAAACTGGAAAGTACATGAAAATGCAAATTTTGTCCTGCTCCAGGAAGATTGTGATTCAGGTGGCCTGGGATATGGCCAAGAAATTTGCATTTTTATCTAGCACCTCCAGAGATTCTGCTAAGGTAGTCTGAGAAGTATACTTCACACTTTAAGAAGTACTGGATTCTGATAGACTTATTCGGGAAGCTACCTAGGAGATTTTTGAGTGATTCAGTGAGGACTTGTATTAAAGTCCTCACTTTGAGGCTAGGTGGGGTTAAATAACGAGTTTGGGGAGATAAGAGATTTTTAGCTTATTTTAATAAGGGCTGGAAGCAGCCTGTATTTCTAGTCTTGGTACCAACTCTCTCCCCTAATTACCCACACTGTTACTTCCTTAGTTCAGACTGTCATCATTTAACACCCCTGTGATTGCTGTAGCCTACCAAGCAGTCTCCTTGTCTTCAGTCTCTCACCCACCCATGCATATTCTACACTGTTACCAGTTATCTTGCTCCAGCAGTACCCTCTTATCTGTGGTTTCATTTTCTGTTTCAGTTACCTGAGGTGCAGCACAATAATACATTTTGAGAGAGAGAGACCATATTCACATGTTTTTTTTTTTTTTTTTTTTTTGAGAAAGGGTCTCACTCTGTTGCCCAGGCTGGAGTGCAGTGGCATGATCTTGGCTCACTGCATCCTTGATCTCCCGGGCTCAAGCCATCCTCCCACCTTAGCCTCCAGAATAGCTGGGACTACAGGTGTGCACCACCATGCCCAGCTAATTTTTGTATTTTTTTGTAGAGATGGGGTTTTGCCATGTTGCCCAGGCTGGTCTCAAAGTCCTGAGCTCAAGCGATCCGCCTGCCCTGGCCTCTTAAAGTGCTGAGATTACAGGCGTGAGCCACCACGTCCGGTCCACATAATTCTATTATAGTATATTGTTATAATTTTTCTATTTTATTAGCTATTGTTAATTTCTTACTGTGCCTAATTTATAAATTAAGTGTTATAGGTTTATATGCATAGGAAAAAGCATACTATATTTAGAGTTTCAAAACTATCCACAGTTTTAGGCATCCACTGGGTGTCTTGGGGCGTACCTCCTGTGGATAAAGAGAGACTACTATATTTCCCTCCTCAAAACATTCAAATGGCTCCCTGTTGTCCTTTGTGATCTCATCCCTGCCTGCTTCTCTAGTTTCATCTCCAGCTTCGTTCTTACTGGTACCTGTCTTCTATCTGCATAGGAACACTTGGCAATTCCTTCATGCCTTATTCTTTAATACCTTTAAATCAAGCATGTTCTATTTTTTTGAGCTGGAATGCCGTTTTCTTCTTTAGTGTGTCCGCCAAGCTCCTAAATATCCATCAAGATTAAGCTTCCTGTCAGTCTTAGAAGAAGCTGTCCTAGGTAACTCCTTCCTTCCCATAGCACCATGTTTATAGCTCTATTGTTATATTTAACATATTTTATTATAATAAGTCATTTATATGTTCTTTTTCCACAATGTACACAGCTTCTGTGTTCAAGAAACTAGGTCTAACGGGGAAGACAGACAGGTAAACAGAATAAAGATAGGACCTGAAGATGCAATATGGTAAAATGGCAGGCCAGCAGGCTATATGTAGTGTATATATATATATATACACATATATATATATTTCCCAGAGTGTTTTGAAAAACAGTATAATGAGGTACGTGTTTTGATCCACAATGTAAACTATTTCATACCCATTGTCTTATCTGTGACCTCCTCACATTTGAGTTTGCAAATCCTGCTATAAAGGGAAGAAACTATAGGAATTAGCTTCTAGAGGAAATGATTAGGGGTTTGTTCTAGAGTTTAGGTGGGATGGTTGTCTTAAGGAAGAAATTTTTTTGTTTGTTTTTTTTTCTGCAACTAAAGGGAATAAGAAAACAATATGTAAGATCACTGGTGAAAACCAGGTACAAAAGGGCTTTTGCATCATGGTCTCAATCTTCAACAGATGGAGAGGTTTATTCATTGATAAAAAGGGCAGGTAGGAAATTTATAGAGGTGTTTCAAAAAGAAATTCTAGAATAATCACTTTAAGTATTGCATTTGCCCAGAGATTACGTACATTGGTCCAAAAATGAGTGATACGAAAGCTAGACTGAAATCCAACAGATGGAATATGTAATGAACTAGGAGGTCGGCATGGGCCTGTTTTGCGTTTGTCTAACCAATGTTGATTAGAAGCAGAAATGGAGGCATTTGAGGCCCTCCTGATCTTGAGCTACCATCAGTCTTTACTTTTCACTATCCTATATAAATTGTACTTTAAAAGTCAAGCCAGGAAACTGCCTGTTACCTGAACAAAACCACCCCCTTAGCCTCAGGCAGTATTGCTTCTGACTTTGCTCAAGGGATCTTTTTTGTATAGAATGTTTTCTTTCCTTTGTCAACATTCTAGCCATCCTCCACAGCTCTTCCATGAAGCCTGTCTTGATCTTGATCCGCTCTCCCATTTCCACCTACAGTAATATATCTGAACTCCTATAGCACTTTATTTTTAACTCTTAGGGAGTCACTCTTAACTTTATCTTATAGTTCCTATTTCTTTATATATTCCTTAAGGGCTTTCAGAATACTCCTATTTTACTTTATGCCTGTAGTAATTTATATCCTTAAATAATACTGTCTCACATACTATGAGTCTTTGTATATCCACGATACAGACTCTATGAAGGAAGGCAAATTTTAGTAGCAATCATGGGTTTAGAGGCAAATGGACCTGGTTTCAGATTCTGTCTCTGCTATCCAAGGTCACATACTAGCTGTGTGACCTTGGATAATTTACTTCTCTGAATCTCAGTCTTTTCATTGATAAAATGAAGAGAATAATACTAAATTTGTGATATTTTTGAAGTATATTGTTTATGTTTAATATATTTAACATGTAAAGAATCTTGCAAATAGTAGGTCTGAATTACATTTTTGTTAAATGTCTTGAATTCTACAAAATGCTTGATATGAAAGACATAAAACATAAAGACTACATGGTAAAATGAGATAAGACTGAGCTGCCTTTTTTGTTGTTGTTCAGTGTTCAAGATGTTTGCTATTTGAAGATTTAAAGGGAAAAATGGGATTTATTCTGGGTCAAGAATGGTGGGAAGGATTCAGCTGGATGCTGGAAGGAGAATGTTTTGCCTGTTTATTGGAAGCTATTTGTTATGTGGTGTGGATTATTGCTGGGCTTTGAGGAAAAAAGTAAAATCATATATGATCTCAAGTTAATATTGACAAGATTATTTTAAAGATTTAATAAAATAGTTGAGGATTTGGTATAGATACTGTCTGTGATGGGAAATGATAAAATATCTTTCTGGTAGATCTCTAGAAATAGCAAACAGAATTTGGAGTAGGGAAGAGATAAAACTGAATTACTTTTTTCAATGGCTTCTCGTTCTAAATAACTGTTGCAGAATTTTGTGAAGCAAAATAAATTGTTTTTATTATTTAGTAACAATGCATGAAACAGATTTAGAAAACAGCTAAAATGATTGATTTTATTTCACTACAAGCCAGGAATAATTTATCCACAGGTAGAAAAATAAGCATTCTTCTGTGACAAAAAGTAAGAATTGATATGATTACATATGATAGTTGGAAAATAGCAAACATTGTAATGACCAGACCTTATAATTTTAAATAAGAGGTAATTTAATAAGTTGGCAGCAGCAACGGCTTTTTGGGAAAGCATTTGTCTCGTCATCAGAAGAGTCTGAGTTTGAATCCTGATTCACTACTCATTCATTCCCTGTGAGCTTGTAAACCTCTCTAGACTCAGTTTCATTCCTTTCTTGAACACAAAGTTACTGGGTACTTATTAGTGCCAGGCATTATTCCAGGTGCTGGAATGATGAACCATACAGATAATGTCTTCATGGAACTTACATTCAAGATGGGGAAACAGACAATATGACACATATAAAATATAATGACAGGTAAGCGCTATTAGAGAAAGCAGAGAGTGATCAGGGTGTGGTATTTTAGATAGGCGAGCTCTTTGGGCAAATGACATTTGAAAGGAGACCTGAATGAAAATGGGAAGAGCCATGCAAATATCTAGGGAAGAGAGAACATCAAGTGCGAAGGCCTTGAGGCAGGAGTGTGCTTGGAGTATCTGAAGGAATAGCAGAGGTCACTGTGCATGGAGTGGGGTGAACAAGGGAAAGTATGGGGGTGTTTAATCCCAAGAGTTAGGGTGACTAAAAACATATGTTAAGCATAGTTAGTGGGTTGTTAATTTGGAAAGGTAAGTTCAGGTCATTTTAGGAGAGATATTTTGAAGAATTGTCACTTTAATAGCCAGCCAGGAGCCCTGGAAGGGTTTGAGCCGTGGAACGACAAAATCCAAGGTGTATTTGGGGAAGAGAAAGGTAGCAGTGGAAATTGGAGAGGTTAGACATAAGGGCAAGGAGATCAAGTTGGGGGTTGTTGCTGTAGTTTAAGTAATAAGGGTGCTGAACTGGAGTGTGGTTAGTAGGAACTAAATGGAGGATATAGATGAGAGACAGAGACTGTGGAAGTAAAATATCCCAGCCTCAGCAAATGATTTTAAAAGGGCAGAAGAGATGTATGAATCAATAATGACTGAAATTTCAAGCATGGGTGACCAAAATGACTTGAGCATTCATAGAGTAGTCAGGGACGAGACCGAGTTTGGAGTAAAAGAAGATTGAGTTCAGTTAGATATGTTAATCAGGGAGAAATTACTAGAATCACAATAGCAGGAGTAAAGGTATCACCATGCAAGAACATTTATTTAGCTCTTACAGCATTAGCAGTATAATTTTATAATTTGGTTCTCTGTTTCAAACTACTGCTTTTACCATTTTAAATGTACTCTCTGTATATTGCTGCTGAGACTATGTTGCTGATCATTCTAATAACATTTACCTGCTTAAAAGCTGAAGCCTGAATATCTTTACTAGGTATTGAAGGCCAAGTATACTTGTAGATGATTCAGTGGACCAAGACAGAGAAGAGTGAATCATTTTGGTGGCTTGTAGTATCATTTACCAGATAAACAATCTGACATAAAATTAAGAGGTCATATTTGTACCTTTTGCAATGTTCCTAATAATCTCAGTCAAAAAAACAAGCCCATAATAGTGAAGGTCAGATACAAATGCATGCTTCTTTGCCCTAATGGAGCATGGGAATCATGAGCACTAACTGAATGACTGTTGCAAGAGTTTTCTCAAAATAGAGCCAAATGAACTCCCACCCGCCAGCCGGCCCTCTTCCAGGCTGACAATGAAGGTAATACTGAGAGTAAGTTTCTGTTAAAAGTATAAACATGGCTGGGCGCCGTGGCTCACGCTTGTAACCCCAGCACTTTGGGAGGCTGAGGTGGGTGGATCACTTGAGGTCAGGAGTTCAAGACCAGCCTGGCCAACATGGTAAAACACCATTTCTACTAAAACTACAAAAATTAGCTGGGCCTGGTGGCAGGCCCCTGTAATCCCAGCTACTAGGGAGGCTGAGGCAGGAGAATTGCTTGAACCCGGGAGGCAGAGGTTGCAGTGAGCCGAGATGGTGCCACTGCACCCCAGCCTGGGTGACAGAGCGAGACTGTGTCTCAAAAAAAAAAAAAAAGGATAAACATATGATCAGGCTTAAAATAATAAATTTAGTGTTATCTATGTATTACTTACTATAAGCTGCCTGATAGTAATATACCTAAAATACCACCAAGTGTGGCAGCATGCTTTGTAGGCTGTTAAGCTGCTACTACATTAATAAATTGAAGTTTTATTAGTTTATTTATAGAATAGTATTTGATAATTACCTCACGTAATATTACACTTGTGTCAGGCCAATTATTTGAATATGTTCTGTGAAAAAAGATTAAATCTTATTTTTCCTTTTTTCTCCTTTTTATAATTGTGTAGTCCAGAAGGGGGAGACAAAACATTGATTATTGGAGGTTGAAGTAGCTGCTTCGTGATGATAAAACATTGTGTTCTTGTATTCCAATTTGATTTTTTTAAATGGGTTTAGAAATTGTAGGATAGTTGCTACTGTAAAATATTTAGTTTTATGGTGGTGATAATTTTGTTAAAAATCTAAATTCAGTCAGAATAAAAATAATGCCATTATTTTAAACTAGCATATATAAAATAGAAAAACTCATTTGGTGATCAGATGAAAATAAGACCTGAAACTATTTAATGATGGTATATTATAAGTGATCTTTTAAAAATAGCACAAACACTATTAAAGTACCAATTTCAGTCTTTTCTAATTTCACATTCATTATATGCAACGAGTAGCTACTTTCCCATTTCCTAATGTTTTAACACTGCAAGCTAACTTGTACATTATACTTATTTTGGATAGGGGTATCTGTATATGTTTTGAAAGGTTTTGTTATTTGAATTTCCCTTCATTTTTGGAACACTATCGTATCAGTTCCTTCCCTTCCCGTGCATTGTCATAAATTGCATTATTTCATCATGCCAGATTAAATTCATTGTTCAATGAATGCTGAAATATAGATTATGAAATATTAACAAGTCATCTTACCTTGGGCATTTGGAAATGTCTAAAAGACAGCATGAATGTTAGTATTATGTTTAGACATGTATTTTGAAAATTGATTATATTAATATTTATGAATAGGGGTCATTATGTTTTATAATCTATCCTGATATTAGAAATGAAAAGATGTATATTTCATGTATGATTTTGCATCACAAATTCATTAGCTGTGCATTTTGATTGTGATCATGTTGGATATTTCTATTGAGGATATTTTTCTGTGTGTATAATCAGGTAAAAGAATCAATTTAAAATCTGATGCTTGATATAAGACATTTAAGACTAGTATAGCCATTATTTTTTGTACTGGATTGGTTTATTTTACTAACAATGGAAAAAATTTTGATCATCTATGTAGAATGAGGTAATTATATGATGTCTTTTTTTGTGTGTTTTTGTTGTTAAGTAATATAGTCTCTACAATATATATCCTTTAAAAGCTCTGTATAAAATTTGCTGTTGCCATTATAAAACTTAAAGTGGCATAACAGAGGGATTTTTTTTATGAGGCAATGCTTCCTCTATCCAGATAGCCTTGTCGGCAGGGGAAAAAGAGGAAACAATCAGATTACAATCAATGTTTAGAAGTTACCTTAGGCTAGATGTAGTTGGCTCATGCCTGTAATCCCAGCACTTTAGGAGGGTGAGATGGGAGGATCACTTGAGCCCAGGAGTTCAAGATCAGCCTGGGCAACATGGCAAGACCCTGTCTCTACAAAAAAATAAAACAATTAGCTGGGTGTGGTGGCACACTCCTGTAGTCCAATCTCCTAGGGAGGTTGAGGTAGGAGAATCTCTTGAGCCTGGAAGTCAAGGCTGCAGTGAGCCGAGATGGCGCCACTGCCCTCAAGCCTGGGTGACACAGTTGAGACCCTGTCTCAAAAAAAAAAAGTTAGCTTAGCTACTGTATATAAAATTTTGGGCCCTTTTCTCATATATTTGATTCCATTTTTCATTTTAGTTAATCAAGTTTCTTCTGTCTGTTTATCTGTTCGGAAAGGACTGTTTGGTTGAACAAACATTAGTTCCTTTGAATAAGTAGAATAAGATAATCTTAAAAAGAAAAAGGCCGCCTTAGATTTATGAAGTGTTTCAGAGTGTTTAAAGCCCTTCATGTATTTCCTCACTTAAGCTACGTGTTATATGTATTTCTGTAGGTTCGTGCATCAGTTTTTCAGAAGACATTGCCTCCATCTCCAAATTCTTGGAGGCTAGTTAGAGTCTGGCCTTATCCCATGGAGATTTTTTTGGCTGAAAGCTATATGGACAGTCTTTTGAGTAGTTTGTACTGACCAAGGTATTTCCTGTCAGTGGTCCACTGATATTCATAACATTTAAAAATGATACATGATATTCATAACTTGTATTAATATCTAGTTTATATGCTTGTATGAAATGCTTTCTGGGTCTGCATTGCTAAATAATGGTGATGTGACCAGTGACATTTAGAGTAATTTTTTGTACTGTGGTCACCATAATTCGGATACCATGATTATTACATTAATTGCATGTGCTTTTATAGTTGCAGCCATAATTACCTATTAAAACAATATAGAAAAAAATGAACTTTAACAGCATCAAAGATATTAAAAGCATTTGGGTTCATTTTTTATGCTGATCTGTTTGTAAATTTTTAGTAACCTGTCATGGTTCTTTTCTTTAATGAATTTGTGATCTAAGGAGAAAATAACTGCTTGTGCAATGTAACTCTTGTGCTTGGAGAACATAACTGCTTTGTATATTTCTGGTAAATCATTTATTTTTATTGATGATTATGATGCTTTTTTGGCAGAGTGCTTATCCACTCAAAGAGCTGTTCTACGAAGTGTGATTGGTGTCTGTATCCAAGATATAACATGTATTCTATGTGTTTATATATGTCTCTCTATATCTATTTATCCATCTTTCTGTCTATCCTCCCAAAGTTAAATGAGCTTAAATAGGTTGCCTCTGTGTTAGAAAGCAGAGAAGTATTACTAGAGAACTGAGGCTCTTCCCCAAAATTATTTCAGATTTTCTTATTGTGTGGAGTGGTTTTGCTTGGAATGAGAAAAGCTATGTGTTACCGGCTGAATTGTTTCCCCCCCCCTCCCGCCCTCCCCAAATTTGTATGTTGAAACCCTAACATATCAGAATGTGACTGTGTTTAGAGATAGGGCTTTTAAAGTGTTAAGTTAAAAAAAAAAAGATGCCTTTAGTGTGAGCCCTAATCCAGTCTGACTGGTGTCCTGGTAAGAGGACATTTGGACACACAGAGAGGTGCCAGGGTTGTGTGCAGACACAGAGGAAAGGCCATTTGAAGACAGAGAGAAAAGATGACCATCTGTAAGCCAAGGAGGGAGGCCTCAGAAGAAACCAAACTTACTGACACTTTGGTCTTGGACTTTTAATGTCAAGAATGGGGAGAGGGGCCGGGTGATGTGGCTCATGCCTGTAATCACCAACACTTTGGGAGGCCGAGGCAGGCGGATCACTTGAGGTCAGGAGTTTGAGACCAGCCTGGGCAGCGTGGCAAAACCCCATCTCTACTAATAATATCAAAATTAGCTGGGTGTGGTGGCACATGCCTATAGTTCCAGCTACTCAGCAGGCTGGGGCACGAGAATCACTGGAACCAAGGCAGAGGTTGCAGTGAGCTGAGATCGCGCCTCTGCACTCCAACCTGGGCAACAGAGTAAGACTCTGTCTCAAAAAACAAACAAACAAAACACAAAACAAAACAAAAAAATAAAGGGACAACAAATTTACAAAAATAAACAAAACAACAAATTTCTGTTGTTTGTGTTCCAGTCTGTGGTATTTTATTATGGCAGCCCTAGCAAACTAATACAGTATGTAACAGTCATTTTGTTGTATTTAACACTGAATAATAGTGAACTTTTAGAGAACACTAAGTGCCAAGAACCGTGCTAGGCAAGCTTCATGTAAAACCTAATTTAATCCTCATAAGAATTATCACCCCCATTTTATAGATTAGGAAAGTGTGGCTTAGAAAAGTAGGTACATTGTTTGGGGTTACATAGTAAGTAAGTGGGAGAGCTGGGATTTGAATCCAGTCAGGCTGACTTCAGAGCTTGGCCTCTTAACCAATAACTAAGTAAGATTTGGTGGATTTCAGGCAGTTGTGGATAATAATTGACACCACAGGTGTTCATCCTCTCTAACACTGTTAATATTTAGTCTTTCACCATGTGCTAGTAGGCAATTCTTATTTTCTGCCAACTGGAGAATACCTACAGTCATACCTACAACACAGAGAGAACCTTGCCCATGGAAAAGCTGCTACATTACAGAGAATTAAAGACCTCTGTGCACGTGTTGCTCAATGGGCCAAAAATGACTCTGCCGATATGGTCTTTGTGGCTTTCATAGCAGATGTTCACGAACAGGTAACATCAATGCAGATAAACCATATACTCAGCAATTTAAATGTGAGGAAAAAGATACATAAATATTAGAAAGAATCCCATTTTTAGCAATGGCCTATAATTCTAAGCCATTTTTCCTGTGTCTGAAATAGATTAACCATTGTGCCTCTTCGAGTTTTTTTTCTATCTGTGTGTTCACCTTTCTTATGCACGCTTGCCTTTTATAATTAATTTCAATTAAACATTAGTTTTGTTTAAATAATACTGTGTAATTAAAATGCTTATGTGCTCTCAGAGGGCAAGGACCATGTCTTAATACACTTTAGACATTTTTAAATACACTAGGCTATAACAGCAATAAAATAATTAAACATCGTTTTGTTCAATCTCTACATATTCACAATTCCTCTGACACTGAACTGTGTATAAACTAAAATCAGAAAGCTGCTAGTTATTTTATAATGCTTCTCAAAACAGAAGTCCTCTTCCATTGGAAATGCAGTCTAGCATCTTAAAATCTTTTTTTTTCTTTCAAGAATAAAACTAAATTTCTTCTATTGTAATTTAGGTCCCTTGCCTCTTGGTAAGTTTTCTATTTCTGCTGAGGACCGTTGTTCATCATCACCCATGCAATCTCTCTTAGAGTACTCATAGGTTTAAGTGGTCCCTCAGCTGCTGCTTCTCCCACTTCCTTTAATTTTTCCATATAATACTGCCTTCTTTTTAATTGCTTTTAGAGTGTCTACAGTTTGGGGCCTCAGAAGTGGAAATGCTACTTGATAATACACCCAATCTAAATGTTCATTCTTATTTTACTCAACGTGTGCTTGTGTGTGTGTGTGTGTGTGTGTGTGTGTGTGTGTGTGTATACTTCCTCAGTTTTGGTGGTGCCTCTTCTATTGATGGTGATTGTTATTTTTTTGTTATACAGATGTGACTAAAATTGAGAGTTTTTTCTCCCCGTTCTCTTCGCATTATCTAGGAAACTCCAAAGATAGCTCTTCATCATACCAACTAGAAACATCTTGAGTGTTCACCTGGAGTTTTTCTCCAGTTGTTTTCGCTTATAGCTTGGTGTGCGAAGTTAATCATACCCGTAGGAAAACCACCACATGAAATGGATGCTTAGAGCGTACGTTAAAACACAGTGAAAATCATAATATTTGGGCTTTGAAGACCTGGGGGTTTAGGTCATGGCTCTCTCTCTTAATGGCTAAGTGATTGGGGGTAAAACACACTCAACCTTTCTGGAGCCTAAGTCTCTTTATCTGTACTTACTCTGTCATCCTAATAGAGTTACTGAATACTTTGTAAACTGTAAAACACAGTACACATTTAAATCATTATAGTAATCAGTTAAGGAAGTGATTCTCATGGTAATTCCTAATATATATATTTTTGAAGAATGTGTTGATCACAACTACTGCCACCTTTTAGTGACACATACATCAATGCATTTGTTCCTTTATTACTCAGTGTTAGTTTAGAAGCCAGTTATAGTTATAAACTTTGTAAAAGCTGACGTCTTCTAAGGTAGCCCCTAGGCTACAGACTACATGTAAAGTTACCCTTTTTATGAAAAGCCACAAGCAACTGTGAAGATTATCCCTAATCTTCCATCTAAATATGAAAATATTTGCATTTTAAGCTGCATAACCATGGTATCCTTTTCTTCTTTTCTTTTCTTTTCTTTCTGTGTTTTTGAGACAGAGTCTCACTCTGTCACCCAGGCTGGAGTGCAGTGGCGCAATCCCTGCTCACTGCACCCTCTGCCTCCTGGGTTCAAGTGATTCTCTTGTGTCAGCCTCCTGAGTAGCTGGGACTACAGGTGTGCGCCACCACACCTGGCTAATTTTTGTATTTTTAGTAGAGACGGGGTTTCACCATATCGGCCAGGCTGGTCTCGAACTCCTGACCTCAAGTGATCCGCCTGCCTTGGCCTCCCAACGTGCTGGGATTACAGGTGTGAGTCACCATGCCTGGCTGCTTTTCTTATTTCATTTGAACTCTTTTCTCCAGGTATATTATATATACTGTATAAATATTATTAAATTAAATATTATTATATATAGTATATAAATTTGGGGTTTAATGACTGTTTCTAAACTAAGATCACATGAACTCAGAAATGGTAAAGTAGTACTTTGAGATTTGTGGTAGTAAAGAATTTGACTTTTTTTCCTCCTAAGTTTACTAAATATTTCAATACAAAAGCCCATATTTCCTTAAAAGATATGATGTAAACCAACTATGCAATTTAAAGCAAATCATTTTTCAAGTTTGCTATTCTCATTATAAGAAGAGTTCAATACATTTTAGAAAATGTGAGAATGCAGTTAAGGAGAAGGAATCAAAACAATTGCCTATAAACTTTACATAAACTATTGTTAGTAATTTGGTATGTTTATATTTAATCGTTTGTCAGCTGTGTAGTTAAACTTTTAGAATTCTTTCTACCACTTTTTGTAGCTATACTTCCCTTTCAGAAATGAATTCCTATTTTATTATAAGGTACACTGATACAGATAATTTTGGTAGATGATAGCTTCTAATAGCAAAGTAGTATTTTAATAAATCCTGGCACCCTCACTTCATTTAATTATAGTCTGGTTACTGGAAATTCAGTATCTAGAAGCATTTTATGCCTTGAATAGTTGTGGCATAATTTTATCTTTAGTCATGTTTGAGTATGTCAGTAGTCATAGGCCATTTTTATGTGTTTTGCTGGATAGCTTTAAAAACCTAATGAAAAATGTTTATGATTTATCCCTTTATCGGATTAAAATTATACACAATTTGCTATCAAGATGTAAAACAACAGAATCTCAGTTTTCTCAGATTAGTAATTATAATGATACATTTTTCTTATTTTTGAGATGGGAATAATTTGGAAAAAATCTAGAGGTGTAGAGTGGATATGTAGTACTAGAAACATATCAACAAGTTTCAGGAAATCTTGTAAACCTCTATTTTCATTATTTTGGGATGGGGGGGTTCTATTGAATTACCATTGCAAATGAAGCAAGATCTTCATTTGGAAAATTTACTTGTATTAAACAGATGACTGGGCTGAAATGGCTGCTAAAACAATTTCATGCTTTTGTTTTTAATGTAGTCCAGTTATAAAATGTCACATCAGATTGTGTGTGAGTACACAAATGCATAATTTTAATTTTATTTCTGAGTTATCACATTTTAGGAAGTTGATTAAAATCACCCAGAATTTTTTCTAAGCTTTTTATATATAACAAATTAACTATTTGAAATGAGTTAAAACAAGATTGATATTTTGGCAGTAATACCTTTATTAAAGAAATTGATCAATTCTTCAGTAGTTACCCATTTTGTCCTTTTTTAAATTTTATTATTATTATACTTTAAGTTTTAGGGTACATGTGCACAGTGTGCAGGTTTGTTACATATGTATACATGTGCCATGTTGGTGTGCTGCACCCATTAACTTGTCATTTAGCATTAGGTATATCTCCTAATGCTATCCCTCCCCCCTCCCCCCACCTCACAACAGTCCCCAGTGTGTGATGTTCCCCTTCCTGTGTCCATGTGTTCTCATTGTTCAATTCCCACCTATGAGTGAGAACATGTGGTGTCTGGTTTTTTGTCCTTGCGATAGTTTGCTGAGAATGATGGTTTCCAGCTTTATCCATGTCCCTACAAAGGACGTGAACTCATCATTTTCCATTTTGTCCTTTTATTTTTGAATATGTAACTCACTGCCAAATTTTATTTGCTCTAATTTCTTATTTTAGAAATGTCAAGCCTACAGAATCATTGTAAGAATATTACAATGAATAGCCATAGACCTTTCACCCATATTTTAAAATTGTTAACATTATGTTATATTTGCTTTATCATTCTCTTTTAAAATTTTTTTTCTTTTTTTGCCTTTTCTGAGCCTTAGTTGCCTATTTGTAACACTTTACTCCTAAATACTTAAGCATGTCTCTCTTACGAACAGGGACTTTCTCCTATATAAACATAGTTTAATTACTAAATCAGGAAATTCATCACTATTATAATGTTGTTGCCTAATATAGAGCCCGTATTCAAATTTCTCCAACTATCCCAATAATGCCCTTTATAACTTCTTGTTTTCTAGAATCTAATCAAGGATTGCACATTACATTTATTTGTCATATCTTCCTAATCTTCTGTAGAACAAGTCCTAGACTTAAAAAAAAATTTCATTTCATTAACATTTTCAAGAGACCAAGACACTTATTTTGCAAAATGTTTCTCAGTGGATTGGTTTCATTGTTTCCCCATGATTAGATTCAGGGTAAACATTGTGGGCAAGGATGCTACACAGGTGATGTTCTTCCTCAGTACATCACATCAGGAGGCACAGGGATATCAGTTTGCTCCATTATTGATGATGTTACATGTGATCATTTGGTTGGAGAAGTATCTTCCCTATTTGTCTTTGTAATTAATAAGTGATATGTAGGATAATACTTTGAGATCATGTAAATAACCTATTTCTCTGAAACATTTCACATGGTTTTAAAATCTGTTGATGAGATTCTTGCCTGAATGAATTATAACTAGGATTGCTACAAAATAGTGATTTTTCTAATTCATTGTTACTTCTGTATTTATCATCTGGTATTCTTCTGTAAAGTAGAACTTTCCCTTACCTCTTTAACCTTCTTTGACTTTTTAAAAGAAATATCAGCATGGACTCACAGATTCTTTATTTAAATTCAATTAACTACCCTACCTTATTGATAGAAACTCTATAAAATCCATTCAATTGTTTACTGAAAATAACACATAAAATAAAGAAATCAAACAATTAACATCTGTTGGTTTTTACTTTATGAGGTAACTATACCCATACTAACTCATTAAGTCTCATCTAGAAGCAGTTCTACTTTTCCCCCTAGAAGAAAACATTAGACAGGTGCAGTGGAATTTGAAGTAATGAAATGTCTGATGTGATACATTTATTCACTGCATTTGTTATATTTAGGCCTTACTTATATTCATTGCTGCATAATCCTTCTGAATATCTTAAACATTAAAATCTACTTTTCTATCTTATCAGATACAAGTCTTACTTCAGATTGCTATTTGAATTAGAATGCCTTTAGCCATCTTCATTTTCAGGCTTCCATTGTTTAAAAAGTCATGATGGCTTATCCTTAACTGTTATCAAGCATGAATCTATAAATACCTACAAATGTGTTTTCTAAAAACAAAAAAATTATGGTGTTTACATATAGAAATGTATGTTGCCATAGTGTTCAATAATCCAGAGCAATGCTTTTCAGCCTATCTTCCTTGTAAAAAGCTGTTCACCTTAGGCTTTTGTAGCGGTGCTTTGTAAGTTCTACGTTTTTTTCCGATTCTGTTTTAGAACTCTATTTATTTTAAAAATTTACAAAAATAGCACCCATGTTCAAAGACCTCAAAATTAGTAACTTGTAAGACCAGATGAATTCATTTTTGTGTACACCCCAGAATGTAGTTTATCTTTGCATCTTTAATGGCAAGGTATTCTAAGACTGCAAGAGATGCTATTTTAACTGTTAAGATTTGTAGATACTTATTTGTGAAAATCTGGATTTTCTTTGTATGATACAACTAAAACAAAATGTGTAAATCATCTGGATGTTTTGTTTAATAGGACTGTAGCTCTTCTATAAAATGCCTGGTGTTAGATGTTAATGTTTATTCAAATAGTCTCATTGTTCTTTTCGATTAACTTATAAATCAATCCCCACTAATGGAACACTACTTTAATATGCTTGAAAAAATGTTTAGTCTTGGGGAAAAAAGCTTTAAAACTACTGATCTTACAGAAAATGTCCATTTCAATATGTAAATTTAGTATACCCATTATTTAAAATGTGTGTGTGTGTGCGTGACACTTTTAAATGCATTTGTATTTGCTATCATGGGACATTGAATCAGGGTTTTATTTTTTTATTTTTTGTTTTTTATTTTTAATTTTGAGATGGAGTCTTGCTCTGTTGCCCAGGCTGGAGTGCAGTGGCACGATCTAAGCTCACTGCAACCTCTGCCTTCTGGGTTCAAGCGATTCTCCTGCCTCAGCCTCCCAAGTAACTGGGACTATAAGTGTGTGCCACCATGCCTGGCTAATTTTTTTGTATTTTTAGTAGAGACGGGGTTTCACCATGTTAGCCAGGATAGTCTCGATCTCCTGACCTCGTGATCCGCCCGCCTCAGCCTCCCAAAGTGCTGGGATTACAGGCGTGAGCCACCATGCCCTGTCGAGTCAGGATTTTAAAACTAGCTCTCCCTGATCTTTTTTTTTTTCGATGAAGTCTCGCTTTGCACCCCCAGGCTGGAGTGCAGTGGCTCGATCTCACTCACTGCAACCTCCGCCTCCTGGGATCAAGCAATTCTCCTACCTCAGTGTCCTGAGTAGCTAGGATTATAGGCGCCCACCACCACACCCGACTAATTTTTGTATTTTTAGTAGAGACGGGGTTTTGCCATGTTGGTCAAGCTGGTCTCAAACTGCCGACCTCAGGCGATCTGCCTGCCTCTGGCCTCCCAAAGTGCTGGGATTACAGGAGTGAGCCACCGTGCCGGGCCTCTGATCTTTATAAAAATAAGATAAATGGTGAAAATTGGGAATTCTTACTGCTCTTATGTAAAAACAAGAATAATTTTAGTGGTCTGAATTGAAGGGTCATGAGAAGCAGCAGGTATACTAAGCTGTAAATCTGTGGGACTAAACTATAAATCGTGGACAAGTGGTCAAGCAGCCTTTAGGAAGGCAACAATATCATGGCAATACTCTATTTCTGAGCTGATGTTAGAGTTTGTATTGTCAATAAGATCATGGTAAAGTTTAACCACAAGTTTTGCAGCCTTTCATGTTT
The DNA here is from genome assembly GCF_000001405.40 of Homo sapiens. Classification (NCBI taxonomy): domain Eukaryota; kingdom Metazoa; phylum Chordata; class Mammalia; order Primates; family Hominidae; genus Homo; species Homo sapiens. Next base: position 96,781,398 of record NC_000023.11, read on the forward strand.
CCTCCATACTCGTGGAATATTACCCTTCCAACACAGACATTTCCCTTTTAATAGAGGGTTATCCTTATTACCTCCACCACATTCACTATCCATTTTATATCCATATCTTGATTTCTGCCCTTCTAATTAGTCTACTTTGAGTAATTAGGATAAAGCATTTCTGAAATTTCATTATATAAGCATTAATTACTGTCTCTTAGGTCTAAAATAATTTTTCGGTCACATTTTCTAATTGCCAAAATTATTCCTTGGATCGACATTCATACTATTTTTCTACAAACATTATATTACATAAATAAAAAGAAAAAGTTTATATATATATATAAGTATTTTATGGATGAAGGTAAAACATGAGATAATTTCCTTATGTATGGAACAACTAATATTAAATTAATTCTTTAAGGTTGTATTTATAGCTCTCTTATGCAAGGAGAATAACTTAAGCAAAATAGTACACCAGATAACTGTTATGTGGTAATAGAGAGATTGAATTAACACTAAAATGTGTTAAAACACATATATTTATAAAATAGACTTAAATTTCAAGAAATAAAATTAATACTGTTGAAAGAAGTGTAGAAATCATATAGTGACTTTAAAAGTACACAAGTTCCCCTCATTTCAAAGGTGTGAATCTTTTGTGACTTTTATACTAGTATTTAATACTATATAAACCTCACTGTTTATTCTAAATATTTTATTTTATTTTATTTTATTGTAGAGACAATGTCTCACTATGTCACTCAGGCTGGAGTGCAATGGCACAGTCTTGGTCACTGCAACCTCCACCTCCTGGGCTCAAGCTGCCCTCTCATCTCAGCCTCCTGAGTAGCTGGGACTACAGGTGCATGCCACCACACCCGGCCAATTGTTTTGTATTTTTGTTTGTTTGTTTGTTTGTTTGTTTGTTTTGAGACGGAGTCTCGCTCTGTCACCCAGGCTAGATGGGGTGCAGTGGCGCGATCTCGGCTCACTGCAAGCTCCGCCTCCGGGGTTCACGCCATTCTCCTGCCTCAGCCTCCCGAGTAGCTGGGACTACAGGTGCTCACCACCACACCCGGCTAATTTTTTGTATTTTTTTAGTAGAGACGGGGTTTCACCGTGTTATAACCAGGATGGTCTTGATCTCCTGACCTCGTGATCCGCCCGCCTCGGCCTCCCAAAGTGCTGGGATTACAGGCGTGAGCCACCGCGCCCGGCCTTGTTTTGTGTGTTTTGTAGAGATGGGGTTTCGCCATGTTGCCCAGGCTGGTCTCCAACTCCTGGGCTCAAGCGATCTGCCCTCCTCCGCCTCCCAAAGTACTGAGGTTACAGACATGAGCTGCTACTCCTGGCCAATATTTCTTATTTATTTATTTAAAATATTTAGTGAGTGCTTACAGAACGTGCCGGCTACTTTTCTAGGTACTGGGGTGGGGGCAGGGAGAAAAAGACCCCTGGGGTATATAGTCTACTTGGGTTAGTGTTAGAGTAGACCATTGATAAATGTATTTGTTTTGTAAGGGGATGGGGGAAGCCACATTTTCTAGTTTTCAATATACCTTTATAAATGGAGCATTTGCTTTGATAAAATTGCAATTCTGTTAACGTCTCTTAAAGTATTTTGTTTCTCCACAAGGGATTATTCAGTATTAATCATTCAATGCGTACGATCAGTGAAATCTTAGCAGGCCAAGGATAACTCTTGTGATACTCGTAAAACAACCAGAACAGATACCACTTTACAAATAAAGGACGGTGTGGGGATCTACTGTGGTGGTTAGAAAAGCCCTGAATATCTGATTTGTGACTAAAATGTGGAGAGGGAGGGGAAGAAAAAAGGGAGAACATGAGGGCCAGCCAGAGTTAAAGAAGACTCTGGAATTACATTTTTAATTGTTAAGTCATTGGTTTAACGACAAGAGAAAAAGGCATGTTCTGGCTGGTAACTGACTTCAGAAGCCTAGGGCTTCTTGGACAGAAGATACAAAGGAAAAAACTAAGAGACCAAGAAGGAAGAGAGTGAACATGATCGTTCATAGTGGTAACATCGATGGCTTGTAGATATTAAAGCCATCACTGGCAGATGCAAACTAGAGATGGTGGTAACAATTTTCTGATGGACTTTAGGAGTAGTGACCAAGCTAGTTGGATGGAGATAAATGTAATGAAGACATATGTAGAAGAGCTCTTTATTTCAGCAGGTCAAGGAGTAACCAGGCCCAAAGGGCAAGGTCACAAGGCATTGCCTCTGTGAGTTTTCAACATGCAGATGAGTGATGTCACCAGTTTGAGAAGCCTACTCACCCTCCTCCCAGTCTTGATTCTGAGGACAGATACTTGTAACTTGAAAAAGTTCTCTCCCTTCCTCCTTTGGGAATCACTCCTCTATTCTGTGGGTTTTCTGACTGTATAGAAAAATCTGCTGGTATCTTAAAATAACTGCTAAGGATATTGTGTGAATGTAGAACCTGTAACACACACTGTTCGGTCATTTGGCCCTAGTTACCATCCATCTGCATCTGAATATCCCAGGCATATCTATAGCAGATTGTAACATGTTCAGATCACTGGGAGGTATAATAGTACATTGTAGACAGACAGAGACATATTTTAACCTAAAATCTTAAAAATAGATGCATTGGAATGGATACTCTGATCTCCCCAGAATATTTTATTTTCCTAAAATGCCTCATTCTTTTCCGATCTTTAGGTAAGGAGGTATTTTGCTTTATCAATCTGCTTTCCAGCTGTTTGGGATTTAATATTCCACATAGATGCATGCATTTTCTTTGTAAATAATGACAAAGACAGATTACATAATTACAGGCATAAAATTATCTCATCTTGCTAAAAATAATACAGTAACAGGATTAGTATGTGTATCATCTGTATGAATTAACCATTTATTTTTATTAAAATACTAAGATCCATATTATGACCACCCTTATGTGTTCATTGTCTACTTGTTTGAATCAAGAAACATTCTGGCCTTTGATTTCTTGTAGTTATAGATATATGGAATTGGTAATGTTGATTGAAATATAACATAGTCCCTTTAGCTTCAGTACTTTAGGAAAAGGTTCCTCTGTCCACTATAACATTTCTCAAACCCATGTAAAAACAGTAGTGTAAATATAAGCATACACAATTAAATGAGTGAAGTAAAACTCATTGGTGTGACTATCAGGGCTTTAAAAAAGTGTGCAGTTTGAAAAAAAATGAAGGTGATTATATAGTAAAACAAACATCTGTCTCTTTCCTACTATCCCTGCACTATGTATAGGACTTGCTTAATTAGAAAGAAGAAGACATGATGGAATATGGTCCAAAAGTTTGAAGAACAGTGAGGGGCATCAGGGCCTGGATGATAAAGCTGGACTTCAGTGGATTCTGTGTTAACTGTCTAGATACTGAATTATTGTGTAGTAAATCATCAATGCAGAGTGGAAACCTTGGAAATGTTGGCTGGACCTTGACTACAGTTGGAGAATAGCAATTTCTGTAAGGCTGGCTGAATCATAGTCAGATCATCTCAGAAAAGATGAGCAGCAGTGGTTAAGAAGGCAATCTCTGGAGTCTGTCTGCCCAGGTCTGAATCGTGGCAGGCTGTCTAATCTTGCTTTTCTCATTTATAAAATGAGATGACAAAAATAGTATTTATTTCCAAGGTATGTTGTGAGGATTAAATGTCAGCCATTGCTATTGTTGTTGTTAGGAGGGGAGTTAAATGGATTTTGGTTTTGGACAGAAAAAATGGATTTGGTTTGTAAAAGTAATCAAATATAAGCAGAAATATCTGCTAAGCTATTGGAGAGACTGAATAGATACTAGGTGAAAGGGAAGAGTAAGAGTTGTTATTTTGTGAGTCCTTGTTTTTGTTTGTGGTTCTATCACAGAATACCTGAGGCTGGGTAATGTATAAAGAACAGAAATGTATTTTCTCACAGTTCTGGAGGCTAGGAAGTCCAAGATGAAGGTGATGGAATTTCGTGAGGGCTCTCTTGCTGCATCCTCTGGAGGGTGCCACGGACAATGCCATGTCCTCAACATGGTGAAAGGTGGAAGGGTAAAGAGACAAAAGGTGGCCAAACTTGCCTTTTTTTTTTTTTTTTTTTTTTGGAGACAGAGTTTCGCTCTTGTTGCCCAGGCACGATCTTGGCTCACTGCAATCTGCGCTCGCCTCCTGGGTTCAAGCGATTCTCCTGCCTCAGCCTCCTGAGTAGCTGGCATTACAGGTGCCTGCCACCATGCCCTGCTAGTTTTTTTTTTGTATTTTTAGTAGAGATGGGGTTTCATCATGTTGCCCAGGCTGGTCTCGAACTCCTGACCTCAGGTGATCCACCCGCCTTGGCCTCCCAAAGTGCTGGGATTACAGGCATAAGCCACCACTCCCGGCCCCGAATTTGCCCTTATATAATGGGATTAGCCTACCCAGTGGGACATAGCACCCAGAGCCGTATCACCTCCCAAAGTTCCTACCTCCTAATACCGCCACAATGGCAACCAAATTTCAACATGAGCTTTGGAGGGGACTAACATTCAAACTGTAGCAGTCCTTATATAGGAGCCACAACCCAAACCTTAGAAAATTTTGAGCTCCCTGGAGCAAATGGAAGAGCAGAGGAGAATGTCCTTGAGGACTACAGGGAACAAGTAGATGAGTAGGGTCAAGTAGAAACTTTCACAAGGTTAAGGACACCTGTGTATGTTTGAAGGTAGAGTTGGAGAAACCAAGGGAGGTAATCCAAAATGTGATTATACCCACAGGCCCTTTTCCACAGAAAGGTACTGAGAGTCCCCTGTTGCCATCAGTGAAACTTTACACTATTATGTAGTATTAAAGTTATTTAGTGCAGTAGTAGTCAAGAATTTGGCAGCTGAAATGAGCTAAATGCCCCCTTGATAACCTGTGAAGATGTTACTATCCTACTGTAAGTGCTCATCTGATTACCAGGGAGTCATGAAGGTACTGTGGAGAAAGGGGCTTCAGGTAATTAGAACTTGGAAGTAGCCATGTCTGTTGTGAAGAGCTGGGATTGTAAACACATTTTGCAACAGTATAAAAACTGATAACAAATATAATTTAGTTATTCTAAATGTAATTGTTACTACAGCGGAGATAACAGATGTATTTAGATCAGCTTCTGTTTGTGTAAAGAAAAATGTAAACTATTGATTCCAATTTAATGAGCACTCACAATGGTTATAGCTGTGTTATTTACATAGCTATGTAACAGAGGAAACAAATACCTAGAGAAGATAAATGAGAGAACCCCAAACTGAAACACCTCTCACTGGGCTTTACTTTCACTGCTGATGACACTAATCCTTTTACTTTACTCCAGCAATAATTTAATGTTTTGTTTTGCATACTAGAATCCTTCTAGTATTAGGAAGAATTCAAAAGGTAAGGGAGAACCCTTGTCAATACTATATAGGTAATTGCTAGTAAATTTTCTTTTAATATTGCCTATGCCAAATTTTAGAAAATGTAATAATCGAAGCTAGTATGCAAGCAGTAGCTTCTGTAATAAAATAACTTTATATTATGTACCGTGATGTAAACCTTATTGCTTGCTTTGATTTATATGCAAATATTTCTTTTTCTTATAGTTTATACTGCTTTCAGCTGCTATCTTAGTTTTTGTGCTCTAGACAGTCTCCATTTTTTCCGTGATTACCACAATAAAATAGGCAAGCAGGAAAAATTATGGCTACTTCCTGTCTAATTTTGTGTATTTGTTTCAGTAGCAGTACCAATCTTTTAGGCAACCAGTGTTGTCGATGCCATGAATTTACAGTAAACCTGTGGAATTCACGTATATAAAACATAGATGTCATGCTGGTGAATTCAACTTACAAGGCATGGAATAGAACTCTTGCAGTGAGGCTATTAGTTTCAGGTAATTTAAATCTCAGTGGGAACCAATAAATGGATTTTGAACTAATATATTTTTGAAGTCTTCAAAGATAGGAGAAGATTGTAATATTCTGAGTAAAGAAAAAAATCATGGGTGATTTTTTTAAGGTAAAGAGGTTTAAATTTAATGAAGTGATTAAAAGTAATTTCAAGCTTTATTTTCCCTCTATAAACATTGTTTTTAGTTGATTTAAAGGAAATTGGTTAAAAAATTAGGCTTCTTTTCAATATAATGCCAAATAGAACTAAACATATCTTTCAATGTTGAGAACTTTTTCTAATGGGAGGAATGTGAAATGACATATTTCTGAGGACCTACACAGAGCCTAATGTAATTTATTCACCAATCCCATTGTTGATTAGGATGGTAGACATTACTCTTTTCTCTTTTTTTTTTTTTTTTTTTTTTGAGACAGAGTCTCACTCTGTCCCTCAGACTGGAGTACAGTGGCATGATCTTGGCTTACTGCAACCTCCGCCTCCCGGGTTCAAACGATTCTCATGCCTCAGTCTCCTGAGTAGCTGGGATTATAGGCACCTGCCACTACGCCCAGCTAATTTTTTTCTTTTTTTTTTTTATTTTTTATTTTTAGTAGAGACGGGTTTCTCCATGTTGGCCAGGCTGGTCTCGAACTCCTGACCTCAGGTGATCTGCCCACCTTGGCCTCCCAAAATGTTGGGATTACAGACATAAGCCACCATGCCCGGCCCTAGAAATTAGTTTTAAAGGATATTTTACACTAGTTTTTCATCAGGAAAAGTATATCTTGATAAAATGTTTTTCTAATTTTAGAACTTAAAGGGAAATGTATAACTACATTAAAGTATAGGTAGTAGTAATAATCTTATAGCTAATTTTAAGACTCTGCCACTAAGGTGTTATAATTCTTAGCTCCTTCTCACACATTTGTTTTCTAACATAAATGATGTGTAACGGCAGAGATCATGAGTTACATGTTCCTCATTTGCCTTGTCATATCACCTAGTGCAAACTTCTCACACCTGTAACCTGGAATGATAATAATTTATTTACTTCTTTGTCTCTTTTAGGACACTGTGGGATATTTGAAGGTTAGAGCTTGGTTTCTATTTCTATGCCAGACAAATCTTACATAGGGTTTGATACTTAGTTGTTAGCCAGTAAAAATCTAGGACGGCTCCTACAAGAAACATTTAAAGGGTTTGGCAAGACCTAGGGCCAACCACCTCCCAACCCGTCCCCACCCTCCAAAATGTTTTGAGGAAAATTAACACCCCTATTATTATTAGGGAAGCATGCAAATTGTGTAAGTAAAATTATAAGTCAGAGAAAATCGAAATGTCCATGTGGAATAGTTAACATCTTTTTGTTTCTGTTATTTCAGGGACTGTCATATCCAAGAGGATAATTTGTTACTGTGTGCATGTTCTATTAGTACTGTAAGCCCCTTTATACAAAGGATGCGTTTAATTTTTATATTCCCATTATGTCTGTTACCTAGCATTGCCAAGAATACAATAGAGGCTCATTAAAATCTTGAATGTATGATCAGTGTATGTTGTTGCCAGCACACCCTCCCAACTCTCCCATTAGATGACAAGCAATTTGAGGGGAGCACCCAAGTATTTGTCATTTTTAAATTCTTCTCTCTTTCACACTCAACACAGTGCCACAGGTATAGTAGGCGTGTGTGTTGAAGGTTTTTAAGAGCATTCCCACTTTGGGGGATTTGTTAGAAGGACTCACAGGACTCAGAATATCATTTCACTAATGGCGAAGATTTATTACAGTGACATAGTAGAGATGCACAGCCAGATCATAGGGGAAAAGATACAGGCGGAGTTTGGAGGAATCTACTGGTGGGCTGCCTTATGCTGTGTCCCTCCCACGAGGGGTCACATAGAACACTCTTTTCCTTCAGCAGTGAAAATGCAGCAATATATGTGTGATGCACCTGCCCAAGGAAGCCCATTAGAGAGTCAGTGCCCAAGGTTTTTATTGGGGGCCGGTTATGTAGACACACTCTGTTTAGCATGTACCAAGATTTCAGACTCCCCAAAGTAAAGCAGATATTCAATATAGACTGCATTGTTTGTACAAACAGGCATAGTAAACCATCCTTATCAGCTAAGGAGCAGTGGGGACACTCCCCAAAATCCAGGTTCCCAGATACCAGCCAAGGGCCAACTTTGCATGCAAGCCTTTCTATAAATAGCAGTAGTAGGCTTGCTATGTCCACTTTTCTGCATAGCATGGCTTTGTATGAATACTGCTTTAGGCGGGAGAAGGAAACTGTATGGCATTTCTTTCAGTACTTAGTCTTAGGCTCAATTTGTTAGGGAGATTAAGGTTTCTTTTCTTTGTTAGAGGTGCTTCTAATGTCTTGGTTGTTTTAAGTGCCTGTTCGTCGACTTGCATCATTGCTGAATTCCTTTTTTGAACTTTATGAATGTACCAAACATACCTGATCCCCACTCCCCCAACTAGAGCTTGAAAGCTTGCTGAAAGTACAGGGCTTAAACTCCACGTCTCCTTGCAAATACAGTATCTAGGCATATTCTCTGTTGATTCCTGGTTTCAGGTAGTTGTTTGAGTTCCATATAATATTATGTTGGCTTTTATTCAGATCGTGCAATTTTCTTTATTTTGGTTGGTGGGCTGGGGTATTCATAGTGCAGGACCTAAGAAAGCAGTAAAGCAAAGAAAAAAGTGAGAATTCCAGAAAATCTGGGTATATTATTATAGTATCACATGTCCTAAAATGTTCAAAATTTAATTTCTTTTTTGTTTTTTGTTTTTTTTTTTTTGAGACAGAGTTTCGCTCTTGTTGCCCAGGCTGGAGTGCAATGGTGCGATCCCGGCTCACTGCAACCTCCGCCTCCTGGGTTCTAGTGATTCTCCTGCCTCAGCCTCCTGAGTAGCTGGGATTACAGGCATGTGCCACCACGCCCAGCTAATTTTTTGTATTTTTAGTAGAGACAGGGTTTCTCTATGTTGGTCAGGCTGGTCTCAAACTCCCAACCTCAGGTGATCCGCCTGCCTCGGCCTCCCAAAGTGCTGGAATTACAGGCATGAGCCACCATGCCTGGCTTCAAAATTTAATTGCTGAGCTGTTTAGATGAATCCCTGATAGCATCTCCATGGTGATTGTTAGAAAATCATCTTTGATTACTGCTTCATGTGTTTTTCTGTAATAACACATTTTCTGATTGTAAAGGTTTCTATCAATTGGTCATTACCTTGTTGCTTTTGGAAGAACAATTATGGCTGTTTTATATTCAACAGAGGCCCCCTTATCAGAAACAGTATTGTCTTCACTTTGCAAATAATTGCAGTATTGTCTTCATTTTTGCAAATAAAGAGGGAAAAAAAATCCTATGTATCTTAGAGAATTGTGGGTGTCAACTCAGGTTCTCACCCAGTTAATTGTACGTTTTGAAAATTTAAAAAAAATGAAAGGGCTATTGACAGTGAGATGTGACAGCTAACAGGAGAAGGAGGAACTATAAAAATATAGTAGTCTTCAGTTGTTTCACAGAGAGGAAAACAGGCCCAGGCTCTTCAGTGGTTTTGGAGGGCAGTGCTGTATGATTGCGCAGAATAGAAATTGATCTTGATGAGGTATTATCAAGAGGAGATTCAATGTACTCCTCATCAGTGCTGTCTGTGTGTAATATTTTCAAAAAGTTTTCATCGGGAATGGTTAGCTTTCTCCCCCCTTTTAGTTGTTATACTTAAAGAGATATCTTTGACGTACACAGCACACATTCATGGATCACTGATTATGCCTGATAAAGGACTCATTGTATTTTGCTCTCTTTATGAAAACTCATGGAAAAAAATAGGTATCTATAACTTATTTAGCACTTAGTATAATCAACAATGTTATGGGTACAACAACAGAGAACTACACCAAATGAAAGAGGGAGTTTCCAGAAATATTTAGTAAAGTTTGGAGCATGTTTTTCATGCTCACCATTTCCCCACATTAATATTTCTGAGATTAATTTCCAAAGAAAATAATTGGTCACCAAATATATTGTTTTAAAAAATGTTTCATGTTTTTGCTGAGGCAAAGAAGTCTTAACACTTTGTGGAGAAAGGGAAGGCAATTAATCATTGAAATAAGATAAAAGATACTTCAGCCACTTGGGAGGCTGAGGCATGAGGATTGCTTGAACCCAGGAATTGGAGGCTGCAGGGAGCTATGATCATGCCACTGTCCCCCAGCTTGGGTGACAGTGAGACTCCTTTTTTTTTTTTTTTTGAGACTCCTTAAAAAAAAGGATTAAAGATGCTTGAACCTTGGTGCCATCCCATGGGGAGGAAAAAACCCCTATTTTTCAGATTTCTGCAGTGCAGTTCTTTGGCTAGCTGGTAGTTGTACTTGATTAAGTAGAAGAGGGATGATGCTGGTTTTATTACATAATGGTCTATTTCTGTCCTAGCATGTTCGGTAGGCAAGCCTCCAATAACGTTTACTGACCACTTACTGTGCTTGCCAGGCAATGTGATAAATGTTTTTTTTTGGATGACCTCATTTAATTCTCACCGTAATCCTTTGGGGAGATCATTTTTATCTCCAGTTTAGGAGGCGGCTGAAATTCAGAGAAGTTAACTAACTTACCCAGGGTTAGTTGTGCCTGATGCTCAACCCTGATGTCTTAATTGCTATACTGTGCTGCTTCCTACCCAAATGTGCTCTTTGAGTTTCATGATATGGTATTTAGTAGGTTTGCCCCAGTCTCTACAGGGAAACAGGGAAGATTGTAGACGTAAGAATATACAAGAAATGCTAAGTGGCTCTTTATTCTTCTGAGAGTTTCTAGTAGGGGAATTTACCTATAATAAATGAAATATAGACCTATCATTCCTTACTTTTATGTTCCAAATTGTGAAACAGAATGTTGTTTTATGATATTTACAGATCTCTATATGGTTTTGTACAGTTATACTTCCTGGATTGTTTTGATACTTTCTTACAAGCAGTCCTTGATTGCTCCTTTTATAGACGGTTTATGTAACCTCCTGAACAAGAATGCATGGCCACCATAATGCTGGAGCTCTCCTTTGTTGTTTTTAGTGTCCTAGTGCTACCAAAGCTGGAATGGTGGTCCTCTGCTCCTGACAAACAACTCCATTTTCAGGGTTTCCTCTTGCCTCCATCCTTCCCTGCCAGCAGTTGCAAGGGGATTCAGAGCTTAGTACTTTTATTATTATGGGAGTATTTTTCAGGATAGCTTTACTGCTTAAGCATTTTATTTAAACTTACTTTTCTTGTGAAATATGTCCCAGAGGGTTTTATTTTTTATTTTTTGCCAACTGATTTACAAATAGACTTTAGAATACAAACCACTTATAAATTGGGACTGCTTGTATAACACATAGAGGTTTGAGGATACTTTTTCTATCAGATTAGATTGAATATTCTTATTAATTTGAATCCTGTGATAAATATGATATTGTGTATGCTGCAGTTAGTTTAACACTTCAGTTGCTATAAAAGCATAATTTCAATAGTATGTAAATTTAATGTAACTTTGGAGACTTAGAGTTGGTTTGTTCATTTTGATGTTAATTTATTTAAATTTTAGATATTTTAAAATAAGTTTGTGTAGGCCTGGTAATGTATTTTATTCCAATGTCATTATATTTTGAAATTAAAGTTACTTTAAAATAGGCTCCAAGGAGGTGTTAGTTAAATTACTAGTAATGCATTTGGATGCTCTGAAAAAAGTATACTTGTCAAGGAATAAACATAATGGGATGGCAGTAGAATCCCTTTATAATGCTGCTGTTACATGGACACTATCTGTTATGAGGACTGATTTTGCTATATCATTTTACTATATAGAGTAATAATTTCAAGAGCAATAAGTTTTTTAATTTTTTATTTTTTGAGACAGGGTCTCACTCTGTCGCCCAGGCTAGAGTGCAGTGGCGTGACCTCGGCTCACTGTATCCTCTGTCTCCCGGGTTCAAGCGATTCTCCTGCCTCAGCCTCCTGAGTAGCTGAGTAGCTGGGATTACGGGCATGCGCCACCACACCTGGCTAATTTTTGTATTTTTAGTAGAGACTGGGTTTCGCCATGCTGGCCAGCGTCGTCTCCAGCTCCTGATCACAGGTGATCTGCCCACCTCAGCCTCCCACAGTGCTGGGATTACAGGCACAAGTGACCGTGCCCGGCCCCCTTCCACTTTTTAAACAACAGAAATGAAACTTATTAAGTAGGGGCCTTCGATCTGGAGGCTGGGAAGTCCAAGGTCTATGTGCTAGCATATTCCTTTTTTGGTGAGGGCCCTTTTCCTGGCTTTCAGACTGTTCCCTTCTCACTGTATCCTCACATATTAGGAAGAGGAAGCTTTGGTGTTTCTTCCTCTTATAAGGGTGCTAATCCTATCTGGGGTTTCCACCCTCATGATGTCATCTAAACCTAATTACTTCCCAAAGATCCCACCTCCTAATACAATCACATTGCAGGTTGGACTTCAACATTTATTTTGCGGGGGACATAAACATAGTCCATAATTGGTGTTTTCATAAAAAGACCATATATCAAACAGTAGTGTGGTGCACAGTAAATAAGTGCCATGGGCGTTCAGATTAGAGAAAAACTATTGAGGTGAGACAGCTAGTAAGGTAGAAAGACAGACAATGTGTTGTTCATTTATGTATCTGGCTTAATCTGTTCAGGCTGCTATAACAAAATACCATACGTGGATTAGCTTATACACAACAGAAATTTATTGCTCAAAGTTCTGGAGGCCAGGAAGTCCAAGATCAGGATACTAACAGATTTGATGTATGGTGAGGACTTACTCTATGCTTCATAGATGGCACCATCTTACAACCTTCTTACCTGACAAAAGGGGCAAACAAGTTCCTTTGGGTCTCATTATGTGGCACTAATTCCATTCATGAAGGTTCCATCCTCATGAAATAGTTGCCTCCCCAACGGCCCTAACTCTTAATACTATTACATTGGGATTAGGTTTCAAAATAAATTTTGGGGAGACATAAACATTCAGACCATAGTAGTATTCTTAGTGCCGAGTACAATGCCTGAAACAAAGTAGGCATTCAAGAAAGGTATGCTAAATTGAAGAATTAAAAATCATGGAAATAGATATTTTGAATTGGCAGGCATCTTACAAATCAGGTAGTCCAAGTTGCCCAGACCATTTCAACTCCGCTAGGAACATTAAAATAACACAAAGCCATTTTACACTCATTAAATTGCCAAAAAAAAAAAAAAAGTCTGATAATACCAGCTCTCATTTTCTGCTCATGAGACTGTAAATAGGTAAAATCATGTTGGAGAGCAAATTGGCATCATTAACTGAAGTTAAAGATAACTCTATCCTGTGATATAACAAATCTCATTTAATATACAGACTCTAGAGAATGTCTCACCTATGTGATTGATTGTATTAGTTTTCTGGGGCTGCCATAACAAACTAACATAAACTCGGTTGCTTAAAAGCTTAGAAATTCATTGTCTCATAGTCCTGGAACCCAGAAATCTGAAATTAAGGTATCAGCTTCCCTCCCTGTGATGGCTCTAAGAAAGAATTCTTCCTTACCTCTTTCAGCTTTGGATGGATCCAGAGATTCCTTGGCTTCTGGCTGCATAACTCCAATCTTTTCTTCCAAATTCGTGTCATCTTCTGCTTTTCCTAGTGTAACTCTTCTCTGTATGTCTTTTATAAGTTTATTTGTCATTGGATTTAGAGCCCATTCAGATAATCTAGGATTGATCTCATTTTGAGATCCTTAATTATATTTGCAAAGATCCTTTTTCCAAGAAAAGTCACATTCACAGGTTCCATGAGTTTGAATATGGACATTTTTTTTGGTGGCCACCATTCAACCCACTATTTCAGCAAATATTTAAAGCAGTGGTCTGTACCAAAACTAACTATGACCTCCCTGTCATTTGTTCTGGTCTTCTAGTTCCTTGTAGGTCACAGGTTATCTCACTGCAACTTCAGTAATAAAAAAATTTGAGGGAAAAGTGATAGTAGCTTTATTTCATTACTTATATATTTCTTGAGACTAGTTTTATGGCCTGGCATATAGTCTATTCTGGTTAATGTTCCAGGTTAATGTTCCAGTTATGCTTGAAAAAAAAGGTATAGTCTATATTTGGTTAAAGCATTTCATAAACATCATTTAGATCAAGTCAGTTGGTAGTGATGTTCAAGTCTCCTATTTTTTTAAAAACTATTTTCTGTCTACTTATTCTACCAATTATTGAAGAGGCACAGCGAAATCCCCAATTATAATTATGGATTTATCTATTTTTAGTTCTATCAGTACATTTGCTTCTTGATTTTTGAAACACCATTATTATATACACATTGAAGATTATGTCTTCTTTATTAAATGATCATTACATAATCATAGATTGTACTTCTTTATCTTTGGTCATATTCGTTGTCCTGACTCTGTTGTGTAATTATTTACCTACTCTAGCTTTTTTATTATTATGATTTGTGTGATATATCATTTTGTATCCTTTTACATTTAACCCATTTTTATCTTTATATTAAAGTGAGTCAGGTAGACAGCATATATTTGGGTAATTTTTTAATGCTTTGTGAAAATGTCTGCCTTTTAATTGATATGGTTAATGCATTTACATTTCATGCAGTGGGCCCTTTGTGTCTGCAGTTTTCACATCTGGAGACACAACCAACGGAGAAATAGTGGATGCAGAACCTGTGGATATGGAGGGCTGACCATGAGGGACTTGAGCATGTGTGGATTTTGGTATCCAAGAGGGGTCCTGGAACAAAGCCCCCATGGATACCTAGGGATAACTGTATAATTATTAATATGACTGTATTTATTTCTAATTTCCTTTTTTTGTTTTTTATTTTTTTATTTTTAGTTTTGTTTTGTTTTGTTTTGTTTTGAGACGGAGTCTCACTGTATCACTCAGGCTGGAGTGCAGTGGCGTGATCTCAGCTCACTGTATCCTCTGTCTCCCGGGTTCAAGTGATTCCCCTGCCTCAGCCTCCCGAGTAGCTGGGATTACAGGTGCATGCCACTGCACCTGGCTAATTTTTGTATTTTTAGTAGAGACGGGGTTGCACCATGTTGGCTGGAATGGTCTCAAACTCCTGACCTCAGGTGATCCACCTGCCTGGGCCTCCCAAAGTGCTGGGATTACAGGCGTGAGCCACCACGCTGGCCTCTTATTTGTTTTCTATCCTATCTGTCCTTTGTTCCTTTAACTCTTTTTTTGCCACATTTGGATTGTGTGTCATTTTAACTATTCCACTTGATCTCATGTATTGGCATATTAGATATGGCTCTTTGTTTAGTTTTCAGTGGTTACTATAGAATTTATATTATGCATCTTAACTTATGACAGTCTAGCTTTATATAGTATTGTATACTTTTTCTATAAGCACCTTGCAATAGCATCCTTATGTTTGCACCCCCATCTTTTTTATTCTTCTCAGACATTTTACTTGTATATATGTTATAGGTCTGACCATACATCATATTAATTTTTTCTTTAAATAATTTGTTTTGGGGAAAAATAGACTGTAAACAATCTCTTATATATTCTCACACTCTATTTCACACACATTTCTGGCACTCTTCATTCCTTTATGTAGATCTCAGTTTCTATCTGATATTAATTTTCTTTAGCCTGAAGAATTTTCTTTAAGTATTTCTTATAGTGCAGGTTTTCTTGCATTGGATTTTGCACTGTATATTTTCAGATTATGTTTGTCTATAAATGTATTTATTTCACCTTCATTTTGGAAAGACATTTTCACAGGTTGCAGATTTCTAAGATGACAGATTTCTCTTTTTTTTTGGTTTGTTTTCTTTCAGAAATTTAAAGATTTCATCCATTGTCTTCTGAGTTCCATTTTTTTTTTCATTTAGAAAAGACATTTGGGCCAGGTGCAGTGGCTCACGCCTGTAATCCCAGCACTTTGGGAGGCCGAGGCAGGTGGATCACCGGGGGTCAGGAATTCGAGAGTAGCCTGACTAATATGGTGAAACCCCGTCTCTACTAAAAATACAAAAATTAGCAAGGCATGGTAGCACATGCCTGTAATCCCAGCTACTAGGGAGGCTGAGGCAGGAGAATCGCTTGAACTCGGGAGCCAGAGGTTGCAGTGAGCAGAGATCATGCCACTGCATTCCAGCCTGGGCAACAGAGCAAGACTCTGTCTCAAAAGAAAAAAATAAAAAGAGGTTTAATTGGCTCTGCAGAATGTATAAGAAGCATAGATACTTCTGCTTCTGTGGGGGTCCCAGGAAACTTTCAATCATGGCAGAAGGCAAAGGAGAAGCAGGTACTTCTTACATGGAAGGAGCAGGAGCAAGAGACGGAGGGGGAGGTGCCACACACTTTAAAAAAATTTACAACAGTCTTTTTTCTTTTTCTTCAATTTTTAAGTTAAAGGGTAGATGTACAGGATGTGCAGGATTGTTACATAGGTAAATGTGGAGTTGCATTGTTTTTGATAAGAAGTCACCAATCATTTTAAACTCTGTTCCCCTCTTTGTAACATGTCTGTCTTTCTGACTGCTATTAATATTGTTTTATCATTAGGTTTTGACAAAGTGATTATGATGTACTTTTGAGGTGTTTTTAATTTTTACAAATGTTTATAGTCAGCTCTCTGTATCTGCATCTGTGGGGTATTGGTGCAGGACCCCCTGCAAATACCAAATTCTGCAGATACTCAAGTCTCTTACATAAAATGGTGTGGTACATTTGGCTCTCCATATCTGCGGGTTTTGATCTGTAGTTGGTTGAATCTGTGGCTGTGAAACCTGCAGATATAGGGAGCCGACTGTATCTCGTTTGGGATTCTTTCCGTTCTTAAATTCGTTGGTTAGTAGTTTTCATCAAATCTGGAAAATTATGGGCCATTATTTCTTCAACTATTTGTTTTGATCTATCCCTTCAACATTTTGGAAATTTTTTCTGTAGTAGATCACTTTATATTGTCCATATGTCACTGAGGCTCTGATAGTTTTTTTAGCCTTTTTTTCCCTCTCTGTGCTTCAGATTGGTAGTTCTTTTTACCATTATCTTAATTTCACTCATCTTTTCTATTGAAGTGTCTAATCTGCTGGTAAGCCATACAGTGAAAATTTCATTTCAGATATGGTATTTTTTTCAGTTCTCGAGTCTCATTTGATTTCTTTTTTTTTGTAGTTTCATTTCTCTTATTTATGTTAATGTTTTGCTTTATATCTTGTATATAATACTAATATCTGTTTTAAAGTGCTTACCTGCTATTCCCATCATCTCTGTCATGTCTAGATTTATTTCCAGTAAGCAATCTTTTTCTGCTTCTTCAATTACCTAGTAATTTTTTGATAGGATGCTAGTTATTAGAATGCGACATTGTTGAATGTTGGAATTTGGTTGTCTTAAAAGAGTATTAGGCTTTGTTCTAGCAGGTAGTTAACTTACATGCAAATCAACTTGATCATATTAAGACTTGTTTTTAAACTTTGCATGAATCTAAAGTAGCATTTACTCTGGATATGGTTTAGTCCTACTTCTAACATGTGTCCTTTTTCTGATTTCCAAATGCTCAATGAAGTCTCTCCCCTCTGACTGATCAGAACTCAAATGTCTCTCGGTCCTGTGTGATCTTCAGTGGGTATTTATTCTTCTCTGGTAGTTCTTCTGATAGTTGTTCTGTGCCCATTCTCGTGGAGTCTCCTCTAAACTTGTACGGATTGATATTCAGCCAGACTCAACTAGACTCCACTGCAGATATCTGGAACTGTTTTTTTTTTTTTCTGTGGGGATTCCTCTTCTCTGGTAATGTGCCCTATAAATCCAAGCTGCCACTGCCTTCCTGATCTCCCATCTCTCTTTTTTCAGTTCTGTAAGCCTGCAGTACTCTGCATGGTTTGTCCCCTCCCTGCACTGTAATGTGTACTTCCACACACAAAGGCTGGGTGGCTATAGGGCTCACTTAATTTGTTTCCTTTCTCTCAGGGATCACAGCCCTTTGCAGCCTGTTGCCCAATGTCTAAAAACAGTTGTTTCATATATTTTGTCTGATTTTCTAGTTGTTTACAGATGGAGGTCTAGTCTAGTACCAGTTACTTCTTTATGGCCAGAAGCAGAAATCTCTAAATGTAGCTTTTATAGATGGATGAGGTGTGTTCGGTTGTCTTTCTTTAGTTAATAGGCCCTTGAATTTGTATTCATTTTTATCTTGGGCACTGCATTTTAAAAGTAACCTTTCTTGGCCGGGCGCAGTGGCTCACGCCTATAATCCCAGCACTTTGGGAGGCTGAGGCAGGCGGATCACGAGCTTAGAAGTTCGAGACCAGCCTGGCTAGCATGGTGAAACCCCGTCTCTATTAAAAATACAAAAATTAGCCGGGCATCGTGGCGCGTGCCTGTAGACCCAGCTACTCGGGAGGCCAAGGCAGGAGAATCACTTGAACCCAGGAGGCAGAGGTTGCAGTGAGCTGAGATTGCGCCATTGCACTCCAGCCTGGGTGACAGAGTGAGACTCCATCTCAAAAATAAAATAAAATGAAATAAACCTTTCTTAATTCTAGAAAATTTTACATATATTATTATATATAAGATTATATATAAAATATATAAATTACCATGGGTTAATCCTATAAGTTTAATCAGTAATGTAGTGATCCTTGTTGTTTCTACAAAATAATTCTTATATGTGTGAGAGACATTTACATGCTGAATTCGTAGGTAGTCTGTTTCAAGTAAAAGAAAACCATTACAATTGTGACCTACTTTTTTCCATTTGATTTTATTCACTAATAGCCATGTGTTTTGATAGTGTATAAAGCAACATTTTATTAGTTTCTCAAATCCCTTGCTATGCTCTTTTGCAGAATGAAATTTTTCACTATTTATGTCATACTGGAGAATATAGAATGTGAAAATATAATTGTCCACTTCTCTTAACTGCAATTATAGTCGAATAGTCTCACAAGATACATTTTTTTTTCCCCAGATGTAAGTGAAGCCTCTTTTGAGTTCAGAGCTAAAATTAAGGACTATTTTAGATTGAGTCCCCAGGACACTCAGTTTTTCATTCTAGGTAGCACTATCTCATTTTTACATTTCCTGTGTTGTCTCTGTAGATGGTTAGAAAAGCATACTTCATCAGAACGATGGGTTACTGCCAGCACCCCTCTGTGAGATGGTTATTAAAAGCATGTCCTTTCCTCTCCAATTCAGAGTGCAAGGTTTTCACTGATGTTATATACTTGAGCTCTTCTGACACAAGGGAGAGGATAGCTAAAACAGCTCTCAAAGCTGGGTTTATAGCCTTTCCTATCATTTGGCATTTCACTGAACTAGGTGAGGTGGTTCTTAATCTTTCTCTACCTCTCTATCATTAACATGGTTGATCGTCAGTGAGAGCTGCAGTCAAACAAAAATGGAAACTTTGTAATTTATGTATAGCTTTAAAAAGGCAAAGAAATGAAGGATTATTGCAGTTGGTGCAATCCCCGATACAATTAATATCAAATGCATATAAATCCTATTAGAGATCTGTCATGGGTGAAAAAGGAATATGAAAAATGCGTGACCTATCTTTATTAGATTCAGTTAGAGAGAGACCATACAGAGCTAAGGAGCTTTACGAACTGCATATTAATCATAACCAGTCTTCTGAGATAAACCTATTTCTTGTAACTTATCAAAGCCATACAGAAGATTAGTCATTCCCTTTGGTAAAGGAATGTTTTACATATTGTTCTGAGTTTTGAACATCACAGCTTTAAAAGCTGATTAACAGATATTTTAATACTAAAATATATCTCATTGAATTATATAGCTTAGGCAGCTATTATCCTGTAATGCTACCTCAATAGGGAGATGGGCTCTTTGTCAAAACCTCTGCATCATTGTTTTGTTGCATATTGAACAAGACACTCTAGGGAGTTGTATTAGAGACCAGACAAAAGAACTTTGCTACAGCAAGCAATCATTAAATCATGCAGAAATATTTCTTTCTTAAATCTTTACTTTAAGCAACAATTGGTAGATGCCAGCACCATTTTTTAAATGTCACTTTCAATTCCTGAAGTCTTTTATCTCTTTGAGAAGGAGGGGAATTAGCTTAAGGGGACGGTTAAGACCATCATGTTAATACACGGTATTACTAAAGATAGGGGATGTATTAACAGCTCTAATCTGACAAAGATAATTAAGATTGTATTTTAAAAATGTGAGAGAGGGTTTCATAAGATTATGAAACTTTTAGATAAAACATAAAGACTAACAGGTATAAAATGGATTTTGTATTACTGTCTCACAAAACTTAGAGATGTTGAGTGATATAAGCATTTAGTTTCTGACCTCCTGTTACCACTTCAGTGCCCAGAATTTATGTCATGTCAATAAAAATACAGAACCATCTCATGATGAAGATTTCTATACTTGATAATATATACCATTTTATATATTTGTTTTTATATTTCTAAAATAATAATCTTGTTTAAAAAGCTAAAAAATACTGAAGTATATGCATTAGAAATAAAATCTCCCCACCCTACATGGTAGAGGTACTACTATTAATAATTTGGTATATAATCCTTCTAAATATTTTTTAAAATACATTTATTGAAGGGATACATACACAGAAAAGTACACAAACCATAATATTACAGCTCAGTGAGTTATCTCAAAGTGAATGCACACATATAACCAATACCCAGTTCAAGAAATAGAACAATACTGTCTCTTCCCAATTCCTACTGTCCTTGTCCTCCCTAAAGACTTCCAGTAATTTGACTTGGAACAGTACAGTTTATTTCTGCCTATTTTTTGAGTTTTACATAAAATAAATCACAGAGTATCTACTTCTACCTATCTGGCTTCTTTCACCCAATCCCATGTTTGTGAGAATCATTCACAGGCCTGAGTATAACTATAGTTTTAAATTTTGTTCTTCTGTAGCTGGGGTTGGGCACCTTATTCTAATAAGCCGTAAATATTTTAGGCTTTGTGGGTCATATGGTCCCTGACACAGCTTTCGTAAAACAAAAACATCAATAGATGATATGCAAATGAATGTGATTTTGCTCTATTAAAACTTTATTTGTAAAAATAGGCTTCAGGCTAGATTTGGCCTATGGACTGTAGTTTGCCATACATGCAATAAATAAATAGAATACTCTAGTATACTGTAGTATTTCATTGTATGAATATATCACAATTAGCTGAGCCATTCAAATATTAGCAGACATTTGTGTTTTTGGTATGAATGCCCTTGGAATGTGGTTTTGTATAAATATGCATGCATTTCTGTTTGGTATATGGAATTGCCTCATGATAGGGTATATATATAGGGTAAACTTAAGTAGTATTGCCAAATGGTTTTCCAAGGTGGTTGTATTAGTCAGCGTTCTCCAGAGGGACAGAACTAATAGGATAGGTGTATACATGAAGGGGAGTTTATTAAGGAGTATTGACCCACATGATCACAAGGTGAAGTCCCGCAATAGGCCATCTGCAAGCTGAGGGGCAAGGAAGCCAGTCGGAGTCCCAAAACCTTTAAAGTCTGGAAGCTGACAGTGCGGCCTTCAGTCTATGGCTGAAGGCCTGGGGGCTGCTGGCAAATCACTAGTGTAAGTGCAAGAGTCCAAAAGCTGAAGAGCTTGGAGTCTTACATTCCAGGGCAGGGAGCATCCAGCACAGGAGACAGATGATGGCCGGACGACTCCGCCAGTCTACTCATTCCACCTTCCTCTGCCTGCTTCTATCCTAGCCACACTGGCAGCTGATTAGATGGTGCCCACCCAGATTGAGGGTGGGTCTGCCTCTCCCAGTCCACTGACTCAAATGTTAATCTCCTTTGGCAGCACCCTCACAGACACACCCAGGAACAGTACTTTGCATCCTTCAATCCAATCAAGCTGACACTCAATATTAACCATCATAATGGTAGATTAATTTACACCCCTACCAGTAGTTATACTCATCATCACTTGATATTGTCAATCTTATTAAAAGATGTTTTCTTTACTAACTTAGATTATACATAATAAATGATAATTTTATTTTTAAAATTAAAGAATGAGAGACCCTATATATCAATTTATGTTTGCCTGCTCAGAAAAATTCATACAGAAAATCTGATATGTTAGCCCCTAATTTAACCAATATGTTAAATCTTAACTAGCCTTTAATCTTAAAATGATAAAGAATCTCCACAGCGTATATTATGTAATTTATATACTGAACTGATTTTCATTCTCAACAGTTGCCTAGTAGTAACATTAGTGTAGCTATGCAGAACAAAGAAAGAATACCTAAGCCCTAGATAACAATTTCTGCACACATACTCTATTAATAGCACTTTCCAAAATTATCTACGATCTTTTTCTTAGAACTCAAATCCAAAGTCCTTTTTTCAAATGTAATCTTCAAACTTGTTTTGGCATTTGATACCACCTACTACCCATTCTTTCATAAAATTCCTGTGCTGGCTGGGTGCGGTGGCTCACGCCTGTAATCCCAGCACTTTGGGAGGCTGAGGCGGGCAGATCACAAGGTCAGGAGTCCGAGACTAGCCTGACCAACATGGTGAAACCCCGTCTCTACTAAAAATACAAAAAATTAGCCGGGCACGGTGGCACGCGCCTGTAATCCCAGCTACTCAGGAGGCTGAGGCAGGAGAATCGCTTGAACCCTGCAGGCGGAGGTTGCAGTGAACCGAGATTGCGCCACTGCACTCCAGCCTAGGTGACCGAAAAAAAAATTTCCTGTGCTTTCTACTTATCTGTACCCTGCTTCTCTGTTGTCTGTGTCCTAGTATCTCATCTCCCTGACCGGAATAATTTTGTCTGTTTCCTGAGTTTTTGTTCAAGGCTGTTTGTTCTTCTCCTATTAAAATTTGCCTGGCATCTTGAGTTCATATTATCAGCCTTATTTGGATGCTCCTAAATTTACATCTTCAATCCAGACTTCTCACCTGCCTAATGGCCTTATATTTTCAGATACCTAGAAGGTATCACCTTTTATCTCATTTTCTCAAATTTAAATATCCAAAGTAAAACTCAAAATGTTGATATTCATTTTCTCTCTCTGCCTCTGCCATCCTCTCTACCACCCTAAAGTCCCAACATTCCCCATTCTCCATTTAGCAAATAAAGATAGTAGAAAGAAGTGTTTTATTAAGCATTGATAAGTAGCAAAAGATAGAATAATTTCTATTGTTGGTTAAATGAAAGATAAGGGAAGGAATGACACATTTTATATAACGCTTATTAGGAAAGAAATGTGCTGTAGTCCAAGTAATATGAAATATTATTAATTTTAATATTCATTCACCAAACACCAATCATTTTACAGTGATAATTTGGGATAGTTAGGCAAGTTAATTTTGGAAAATAGTGCAAAAGTAGAGCTAGATCATTCTAATTGAACAATGATAATAGTTCAGTTCTTTTAGTGTTCCAAAAATAAAATAATAAATATATGCTAAAATTTAAAAATAATTTATTCAGCATAAATAAATGATAACTATCATCTTGAAAAAGTAATTGCTCTGGGTAGTAACAAAAAGCCTGTCTTTCCAGTGAGGCACTAATGTCCTCTGAATCTAAATGGAGTTATTTTCAAACTTTTGAGAAAAGCATATAATTTATCAGGGTGTCATTTTTAAATGTGGAAGCCCTTAATCTCATAAGGAATGAGGAGAGCCACTGAAATTCTTTAATATTCTCTAACATGCAAACAAAAAGTAGGGTAATACTGAGGTGAGTTCCCTGGTGATAACCCTGGCAACTTATTAGGGTTTAATATAGGCAAAATAATGGGAATGCCTAGATGTTCCAGGCATTATTCTAGCAGATTATCAGTACATTCTAGTAGGACAGATTAAAAAAATGTATGTATTCATGCATACATCCATATACATACACATATATATTTATACACACACACACATACACACACATATATATACACATACATATATAATCATAGGTGTAAGTGCTATCCCGAAAAGAAATAGAGCAGAGTAAGGAGTACCATGGGGTGGGTGTTGCAATTTTAAGTAGGATGATCAGGGTGGGCCTTGTGGAGAATGTGATACTTGAGCAAAGATGGGAACAAGGCAAGGTAGTGAGCCAAGAAGATATCTGGTATGGTTATATTTAGTAGGTTTTTTTTTACTTGTTTCTCACTTTACTCCTGAAAGGATTCAGTGCCTGCATTATTTAGGTGGTCAAAACTAAATAAAAACTTGATATATTAACATTTTATTCCTTTGGTAATATAGGGGGACCATGCTAAAGAGAACTTAGTCCACTCTGGGGAAGTGCTACGTCAAACTTTTGTTTGACTGTCAGAGCTCTCACTGGGGTACCTACCATGCTGCCACGGGGTGGAGTATTTCACTGTAATGTTTCTATACCTTATGAAATTGACTTAGATTGAAAATATCCCACCACTTTAGCCCCTGAGCCTGATTCTTTTTAAGTGCAGATTTTCTAATCTAAAAATCAAATAAGAGAGAATATGAGAAGGTTCAATGGAAAATCCTAGGTAATGTATAGCTGTGTAACAGTGACTCTTTGGAAACGTTTCTTCTGATGTTATTATCTATTGAGTGGAATAATGCTGATTATTTCTGGTTAGATAAAGGGGAAGGCAGATAAGACCTTAGGGTAGCCCATAAATCACATAGTATAGGAAATTACCTTTTCCAATTATGTAGAAGCTGCCCTTGTTGCTGACTTTCCCCATTATTCACCATCACTATAATTGGGAAAACCAGAAAGCTTGGCAAGAGAAATTTGAATAGCGAGCTCTTAGTTTGTTATGTTGCTGCTATCACTGGTATAAACACAGGTGTAGTTTTACAGGATGTTTGGTGATTATTCTATGCAGAAACCTAATAGTCGTGTCACAAATTTCTACCTCAGTATCCAGAATCCTATAATCTGTTTTGGGAATTTTCCTTTTACTTATATGTAATTTTACAGATAAATCCTCAGTTTTCTAGTATGGCATTTCACCACTGATGCTGAAATTAGAACATTGAGGGCTTGTAATTTGAAAATGTAAAGATTAGAAATTATATTTCATAGTCGGGTGTGGTGGCTCATGCCTGTAATCCCAGCACTTTGGGAGGCTGAGGTGGGCAGATAACCTGAGGTCGGGAGTTTGAGACCAGCCTGACTAACATGGAGAAACCCTGTCTCTACTAAAAATACAAAATTAGCTGGGAGTGGTGGCGCATGCCTGTAATCTCAGCTACTTGGGAGGCTGAGGCAGGAGAATCACTGAAACCTGGGAGGCGGAGGTTGCAGTGAGCTGAGATTGTGCCATTGCACTCCAGCCTGGGCAACAGTAGTGAAACTCCATCTCAAAAAAAAAAAAAAAAAAGAAACAAAGAAATTATATTTCATTTGTCCTGTCTATATATGATCCAATGTACTTTTGCTTTCTGGCTTCTGGTTTCTGCATTTTTTTTTTTTTTGAGACGGAGTCTCGCTCGGTCATCCAGGCTGGAGTGCAGTGGCGTGAGCTCAGCTCACTGCAAGCTCCGCCTCCCGGGTTCACGCCATTCTCCTGCCTCGGCCTCCCGAGTAGCTGGGACTACAGGCGCCCGACACCACGCCCATCTAATTTTTTGTATTTTCTTAGTAGAGACGGGGTTTCACCATGTTAGCCAGGGTGGTCTCGATCTCCTGACCTGGGGATCCACCCGCCTCAGCCTCCTGAAGTGTAGGGATTACAGGCGTGAGCCACCGCGCCTGGCCCTGGTTTCTGTTAAACTGGACATGCCACTTTAACATTAGCTCATTCTTTATTTGCTTAGCCAATTATATACATTTTTACCCTTGCAACAAAGAAGGATAGGCATAGATGTTCTGGACTTATTGTTGAAGGAGAATCCAGGTTAATAATCTGACTAGGCTAGTGGACAAATTTAAGTAAGGAAAGGAACATAGTTAACTATCATAGGTCTGATACACACGTTTCAGTGTTAAAGAGGAATCACTAATAGTCTATTATTCACAGATAAACTGAGGTACATGAAAATGTTAAAGAGTTTATTTTAGCAAATAAACTCTTGAATCCAGCAATCCCAGATGATAAGTGGCTCAGGAGTTCCACCCAAGAAACATGAGGTGAAGACTTTTGTCAGATGAATACAGAAGCAAGGCAAAGAAAATAGTTTGATTGGCTAACGTGGAGCGGTAGCCTTATTTGGATCATTCAAATGAAAAGTCCCCAGTTAGAGATTAGTTTCGAATTGATTACACTTAATTTTCGTTTTCCTAAAATGTGATTGTTACACTGAGTTGGGTTTCAGTTTGCTTACATAGGATCCCAGGATGCTGGGTCCCCTCAGTCTTATGGCCTCCTGATTAATTAATTTTAACACTAGGAAACTGGGAAACAGAATCTGGGACTGAAGAAGAGGGTCTGAGCTAAGAAAAAAGTCCTAAACAGAGGTCAGAGACACTAGGCAAAGGAAAAAGTGTGCCAGGAATTCAATAAACTTGGTGTGGAGCTAAAGCCTTTACAATTATGGGCTTTCCTACTGATAAGAGTAGATCACTGCAGGAAGGACACTCAGAGGACACCTGGTCTATGAGGCTATTGGGGAGGATGGAACTCCATCTACCACAAGTGAGATTTGGTATTGTAGAAATAGCAAAAAAAAAAAAAAAAAAAAAAAAAAAAAAAAAAAAAAAGTCTCCTTGTGATCCTTAAAAAAAGATTTGAGCCCTGTTTGAGGTTGATCTTTTATATGAATTAAAAGTAATTATATCTCAAAGAATCAGTGTAAAATGTATGTATTGTTTGGTTTCATGACCCTTTGTTATTACTTACCACTCTACCACTGCAGTTCCTAGGTACTTTAATTCAGTTGCCATCCTTCCCACTCTCTCTGAGCTCCATAATAGTGCTGATTTAACAAATACTCACTAAATAGACAAAACCCTACTTACCATTAATTATGAACTGAAATGAAGCATAAATGTGGAATAAATAAAGGATATAATGAGAAAATGTACAAAATGCTTCAAATGCACCAGTACCCATTATATATCACTCTAAAAATTAATCATTATATTAAAGTTATAGTGACAAAATGTTTTTTACTAAGCAGAAGTAAAATTTTTGTGCATTCTTTCTCTATCCCACCTCATATTTTGAATATATCTGCAAAGCTGGTTTAAATCTTGCTTAAAATTTTATGTTAAAAAATGTATGCACATCACATAAACATGGTAATGCTCAATTGTCCATTAAGGAAGACATTTCACATTTTCAACATGAATGCTTTTCTATTCTAAACATTTTTATTAAGCCATTTATTCAACCAGAGGCCTGCACAGTAAGCAATAGTGTAGTTGTTTTTCAACTAGTACTCTGTCAGGAACTTAGATAGAAATACCACATTGAGAAAAAAAGTCTTTAACAGAAATCTAAAAACAATCATTGGTGTTGGACTGTAAAATTAGTTTAGAGTTGGATTTTATGACTTTTTAAGGATACTACCTGTAAGTTCTTTTACTATTTTTACCATTTCTCTTAAATTTTCTTCTATTGATGGTTGTTTTAAATTACGTGATGCCAGAGATTGTATTTGTATCCTTTTTCTCCACTCGGAAATGCTTTTTATACTGCCTTGAATAGTACCATGTATTTATGTATTTTAAAGGTGTTTTAAGACATGCTTGGTAAAGATGTTATTAATTGCTTATGCATATTTCACTGATTGACATATACAATAAAATAGTAAATTATTAAACTTTTTAAACACCCAGCCACAAATATTGTTTCCTTGATATTGCATGACAACTTTGCATAGTGCTCTATTAAGTATTTAATATAAACAAGATATCTCTCTCTCCACCCACTTTTCCTCTCCGTCTTCTCTCCATTGCAACTTTTCTGGAAACTTCTTCCTAGTCCAGTAGTAGCTGGAAGAGAATTCCTCTTATTCCAAAAAAGTAATCTCCCTATTTCAAAGTACAAATAAATCAATATGTTTGCAGATCCCAGCTTCATATTGTATGGCGGTCTTTAAAAAAAAAATGTGGTTAAAAAAAAAAAAACATAACCTGAGATCTACCCTCTTAAGAATTTTTTAAGTGAATAGTACAATATTGTTAACGACAGATATAATGTTGTATAACAAATCTCCAGAACATTT
The DNA here is from genome assembly GCF_000001405.40 of Homo sapiens. Lineage (NCBI taxonomy): Eukaryota > Metazoa > Chordata > Mammalia > Primates > Hominidae > Homo > Homo sapiens. Next base: position 96,809,453 of record NC_000023.11, read on the forward strand.
ACATCTTGCATGACTGAAACTTTATGCCCATTGCACCACAACTCTTTTTTTTTCTTTCTTTCTTTCTTTTTTTTTTTAATCATACTTTAAGTTCTAGGGTACATGTGCACAACGTGCAGGTTTGTTACACAGGTATACATGTGCCATGTTGGTTTGCTGCACCCATTAACTCATCATTTACATTAGGTATTTCTCCTAATGCTATAGCTCCCCCTGCTCCCCACCCCATGACAGGCCCCAGTGTGTGATGTGCCCCACCCTGTGTCCAAGTGTTCTCATTGTTCAATTCCCACCTATCAGTGAGAACATGCAGTGTTTGGTTTTCTGTCCTTGTGATTGTTTGCTCAGAATGATGGTTTCCAGCTTCATCCATGTCCCTGCAAAGAAGATGAACTCATCATTTTTTATGGCTGCATAGTATTCCATGGTGTATATGTGCCACATTTTCTTAATCCAATCTATCACAGATGGACATTTGGGTTGGTTCCAAGTCTTTGCTATTGTGAATAGTGCCACAATAAACATACATGTGCATGTGTCTTTATAGTAGCATGATTTATAATCCTTTGGGTATATACCCAGTAATGGGATGGCTGGGTCAAATGGTATTTCTAGTTCTAGATCCTTAAGGAATTGCCACACTGTCTTCCACAACGGTTGAACTAGTTTACACTCCCATCAACAGTGTAAAAGTGTTCCTATTTCTCCACATCCTCTCTAGCATCTGTTGTTTCCTGACTTTTTAATGATTGCCGTTCTAACTGGTGTGAGATGGTATCTCATTGTGGTTTTGATTTGCATTTCTCTGATGACCAGTGATGATGAGCATTTTTTCATGTGTCTGTTGGCTGCATAAATGTCTTCTTTTGAGAAGTGTCTGTTCATATCTTTCACCCACTTTTTGATGGGGTTGTTTGTTTTTTTCTTGTAAATTTGTTTGAGTTCTTTGTAGATTCTGGATATTAACCCTTTGTCAGATGGGTAGATTACAAAAATTTTCTCCCATCCTGTAGGTTGCCTGTTCACTCTGATGGGAGTTTCTTTTGCTGTGCAGAAGCTCTTTAGTTTAATTAGATCCCATTTGTCAATTTTGGCTTTTGTTGCCATTGCTTTTGGTGTTTTAGTCATGAGGTCCTTGCCCATGCCTATGTCCTGAATGGTATTGCCTAGGTTTTCTTCTAGGGTTTTTATGGTTTTAGGTCTAACGTTTAAGTCTTTAATCCATCTTGAATTAATTTTTGTATAAGGTGTAAGGGGGGAATCCAGTTTCAGCTTTCTACATATGGCTAGCCAGTTTTCCCAGCACCATTTATTAAATAGGGAATCCTTTCCCCATTTCTTGTTTTTGTCAGGTTTGTCAAAGATCAGATGGTTGCAGATGTGTGGTGTTATTTCTGAGGCTTCTGTTCTGTTCCACTGGTCTGTTTCTCTGTTTTGGTACCAGTACCATGCTGTTTTGGTTACTGTAGCCTTGTAGTATAGTTTGAAGTCAGGTAGTGTGATGCCTCCAGCTTTGTTCTTTTGGCTTAGGATTGTCTTGACAATGTGGGCTCTTTTTTGGTTCCATATGAACTTTAAAGTAGTATTTCCAATTCTGTGAAAAAAGTCATTGGTAGCTTGATGGAGATGGCTTTGAATCTATAAATTACCTTGGGCAGTATGGCCATTTTCATGATATTGATTCTTCCTATCCATGAGCATGGAATGTTCTTCCATTTCTTTGTGTCCTCTTTTATTTCATTGAGCGGTGGTTGGAGTTCTCCTTGAAGAGGTCCTTCACATCCCTTGTAAGTTGGATTCCTAGGTATTTTATTCTCTTTGAAGCAATTGTGAATGGGAGTTCACTCATGATTTGGCTCTCTGTTTGTCTGTTTTTGGTATATAGAAATGCTTGTGATTTTTGTACATTGATTTTGTATCCTGAGACTTTGCTGAAGTTGCTTATCAGCTTAAGGAGATTTTAGGCTGAGACAGTGGGGTTTTCTAAATATACAATCATGTCATCTGCAAACAGGGACAATTTGATTTCCTCTTTTCCTTATTGAATACCCTTTATTTCTTTCTCCTGCCTAATTGTTGTCCTGGCCAGAACTTCCAACACTATGTTGAATAGGAGTGGTGAGAGAGGGCATCCCTGTCTTGTGCCAGTTTTCAAAGGGAATGCTTCCAGTTTTTGCCCATTCAGTATGATATTGGCTGTGGGTTTCTCATAAATAGCTCTTATGATTTTGAGATACATTCTGTCAATATCTAGTTTATTGAGAGGTTTTAGGATGAAGGGCTGTTGAATTTTGTCAAAGGTCTTTTCTGCATGTATTGAGATAACCATGTGGTTTTTGTCTTTGGTTCTGTTTATATGCTGGATTACGTTTATTGATTTTCGTATGTTGAACCAGCCTTGCATCCCAGGATGAAGCCCACTTGATCATGGTGGATAAGCTTTTTGATGTGCAGCTGGATTCGGTTTGCCAGTATTTTATTGAGGATTTTTGCATCGATGTTCATCAGGGATATTGGTCTAAAATTCTCTTTTTTTGTTGTGTCTCTGCCAGGCTTTGGTATCAGGATGATGCTGGCGTCATAAAATGAGTTAGGGAGGATTCCCTCTGTTTCTATTGATTGGAATAGTTTCAGAAGGAATGGTACCAGCTCCTCCTTGTACCTCTGGTAGAATTCGGCTGTGAATCCATCTGATCCTGGACTTTTTTTGGTTGGTAAGCTATTAATTATTGCCTCAATTTCAGAGCCTGTTATTGGTCTATTCAGGGATTCAACTTCTTCCTGGTTTAGTCTTGGGAGGGTGTATGTGTTGAGGAATTTATCCATTTGTTTTAGATTTTCTAGTTTATTTGCATAGAGGTGTTTATAGTATTCTCTGATTATAGTTTGTATTTCTGTGGGATTGGTGCTGATATCCCCTTTATCATTTTTTATTGCATCTATTCAATTCTTCTCTCTTTTCTTCTTTATTAGTCTTGCTAGTGGTCTATCAGTTTTGTTGATCTTTTCAAAAACCATCTCTTGGATTCACTGATTTTTTTGAAGGGTATTTTGTGTCTTTATCTCCTTCAGTTGTGTTCTGATCTTAGTTATTTCTTGCCCTCTGCTAGCTTTTGAATTTGTTTACTCTCGCTTCTCTAGTTCTTTTAATTGTGATATTAGGGTGTCAATTTTAGATCTTTCCTGCTTTCTCTTGTGGGCATTTAGTGCTATAAATTTCCCTCTACACACTGCATTAAATGTGTCATAGAGATTCTGGTACACTGTGTCTTTGTTCTTATTGGTTTCAAAGAACATCTTTTTCTCTGCCTTCATTTTGTTATGTACCCAGTAGTCATTCAGGAGCAGGTTGTTCAGTTTCCATGTAGTTGTGTGGTTTTGAGTGAGTTTCTTAATCCTGTGTCCTAATTTGATTGCACTGTGGTCGGAGAGACAGTTTGTTGTGATTTCTGTTCTTTTACATTTGCTGAGGAGTGCTTTACTTCCAACTATGTGGTCAATTTTGGAATAAGTGTGATGTGGTGCTGAGAAGAATGTGTATTCTGTTGATTTGGGGTGGAGAGTTCTGTAGATGTCTATTAGGTCTGCTTGGTGCAGAGCTGAGTTTAAGTGCTGGATATCCTTGTTAACCTGCTGTCTCATTGATCTGTCTAATGTTGACAGGGGGGTGTTAAAATATCCCATTATTATTGTGTGGGAGTCTAAGTCTCTTTGTAAGTCTCTGAGGACTAGCTTTATGAATGTGGGTGCTCCTGTATTGGGCGCATATATATTTAGGATAGTTAGCTCTTCTTGTTGAATTGATCCCTTTACCATTATATAATGGCCTTCTTTGTCTCTTTTGATCTTTGTTGGTTTAAAGTCTGTTTTATCAGAGACTAGGATTGCAACTCCTCTTTTTTTTTTTGCTTTCCATTTGCTTGGTAGATCTTCCTCTGTCCCTTTATTTTAAGCCTATGTGTGTCTCTGCACGTGAGATGGGTTTCCTGAATACAGCACACTGATGGGTCTTGACTCTTTATCCAATTTGCCAGTCTGTGTCTTTTAATTGGAGCATTTAGCCCATTTACATTTAAGGTTATTATTGTTATGTGTGAATTTGATCCTGTCATTAAGATGTTAGGTGGTTATTTTGCCCATTAGTTGATGCAGTTTCTTCCTACCATCGATGGTCTTTACAATTTGGCATGTTTTTGCAGTGGCTGGTACTGGTTGTTCCTTTCCATGCTTAGTGCTTCCTTCAGGAGCTCTTGTAAGGCAGGCCTGGTGGTGACAAAATCCCTCAGCATTTGCTTGTCTGTAAAGGATTTTATTTGTCCTTCACTTATGAAGCTTAGTTCGGCTGGATATGAAATTCTGGGTTGAAAATTCTTTTCTTTAAGACTTTTGAATATTGGCCCCCTCTCTCTTCTGTCTTGTAGGATTTCTGCTGAAAGATCCACTGTCAGTCTGATGGGCTTCCCTTTGTGGGTAACCCAACCTTTCTCTCTGGCTGCCCTTAGCCTTTTTTCCTTCATTTCAACCTTGGTGAATCTGACAATTATGTGTCTTGGGGTTGCTCTTCTCAAGGAGTATCTTTGTGGTGTTCTCTGTGTTTCCTGAATTTGAATGTTGGCCTGACTTGCTAGTTTGGGGAAGTTCTCCTGGATAATATCCTTCAGAGTGTTTTCCAACTTGGTTCCATTCTCCCTGTCACTTTCAGGTACCCCAAACAAACGTAGATTTGGTCTTTTCACATATTCCCATATTTCTTGGAGGCTTTGTTCATTTCTTTTTACTCTTTTTTCTCTAAACTTCTCCTCTCGCTTTATTTCATTGATTTGATCTTCAATCACTGATACCCTTTCTTCCCCTTGATCGAATCATGTGTTGAAGCTTGTGCACGCGTCACGTAGTTCTTGTGCCATGGTTTTCAGCTCCATCAGGTCATTTAAGGTCTTCTCTACACTGTTTATTCTAGTCAGCCATTTGTCTAATCTTTTTTCTAGGTTTTTAGCTTCCTTGCAATGGGTTCAAACATCTTCCTTTAGCTCGGAGAAGTTGGTTATTACCGACCTTCTGAAGCCTACTTCTGTCAGCTCGTCAAAGTCATTCTCCATCCAGTTTTGTTCCGTTGCTGTCTAGGAGCTGCAATTCCTTGCAGGAGAAGAAGCGCTCTGGTTTTTAGAATTTGCAGCTTTTCTGCTCTGATTTCTTCTCATCTTTGTGGTTTTATCTACCTTTGGTCTTTGAAATGGGTGACCTCCAGATGGGGTTTTGGTGTGGATATCCTTTTTGTTGATGTTGATGCTATTCCTTTCTTTTTGTTAGTTTTCCTTCTAACAGTCAGGTCCCTCAGATGCAGGTCTGTTGGTGTTTGCTGGAGGTCCACTGCACACCCTGTTTGCCTGGGTATCACCAGCGGAGACTGCAGAACAGCCAATATTGCTGCCTGATCCTTCGTCTGGAAGCTTTGTCCTGGAGGGTCACCCGCCTGTATTAGGTGTCAGTTGGCCCCTACTCGGAGCTGTCTCCCAGTTAGGCTACACGGGGGTCAGGGACCCACTTGAGGAGGCAGTCTGTCTGTTCTCAGAGTTCAAACCTCCGTGCTGGGAGAACCACTGCTCTCTTCAGAGCTGTCAGACAGGGATGTTTAAGTCTGTAGAAGTTTCTGCTGCCTTTTGTTCAGCTATGCCCTGCCCCCCGAGGTGGGGGTCTACAGAGGCAGTGGGCCTTGCCGAGCTGCAGTGGGCTCTGCCCAGTTTGAGCTTCCCCAGCCGCTCTGTTTACCTACTCAAGCCTCAGCAATGGTGGATGCCTCTCCCCCTGCCAGGCTGCTGCCTCGCAGGTCGATCTGTGCTAGCAGTGAGCAAGGCTCCATGGACGTGGGACCCACCGAGCCAGGCGCGGGATATAATCTTCTCGTGTGCTGTTTGCTAAGACCATTGGGAAAGCACAGTATTTGGGCCAGAGTGTCCCGTTTTTTTAGGTATAGTCTGTCACAGCTTCCCTTGGCTAGGAATTGGAAATCCCCCTACCCCTTGCACTTCCCAGGTGAGGCGATGTCCCGCCCTGCTTCGTCTCGCCCTCCGTGGGCTGCACCCACTGCCCAAGCAGTCCCAATGAGATGAACCAGGTACCTCAGTTAGAAATGCAGAAATCACTGTCCTCTGTGTCGATCATGCTGGGAGCTGCAGACCGGAGCTGTTCCTATTCGGCCATCTTGGAGAGCTCTCTGTTTTTTTCTTTTTTTTGAGACAGAGTCTCTCTGTCGCCAGGCTGGAGTGCAGTGGCACTATCTGGGTTCACTGCTTCCTCCTCCTCCCACGTTCAAGCAATTCTCCTGCCTCAGCCTCCCAAGTAGCTGGGACTACAGGTGCACGCTGCCACATCCGGCTATTTTTTTTTGTTGTATTTTAGTGGAGACAGGGTTTCACCACGTTGCCCAGGCTGGTCTTGGAACTCCTGAGCTCAGGCAATGCGCCCACCTTGGCCTCCAGTAGTGCTAGGATTACAGGCGTGAGCCACCGCGCCTGGCCTGAACAACAACTCTTGTATTTCTCTCTCACCCCATCACCTGTCGACAACCACTTTGAGTTTTTTTTGATGAGTTTGACTACTTGAGGTATAAATGGACTCATGCAGTATTTGTCCTTAAGTGACTAGCTTATTTTAATTACCATAAAGTTAGCTATGTTCACTCATGCTTTAGCATATGATAGAGCTTCCTTATTTTTTATGACTCAATAATATTCCACCGTATGTATGTATGTATGTTTTCTTTATCCACTCATCCATCTATGGACATTTAGCTTGTTTTCTCCTCTTGGCTACAATGAATAATGCTGCAATGAACATGGGAGTGCAGATATCATTTGGAGATACTGACATAAATTCTTTTGGATCAATACCTAGAAGTGGGTATAAGGATAAAAGGGTCACCATCTTGCTGTTGTCATTCCCTTATTTGTCTGTCTTTTGCATCAGTATATGAAGTAATAGAAAATTAATTGAAGAAGGAGAGAGATGCATATGAAAAGATGCTCAACATCATTGATCATCAGAGAAATACATATTAAAATTACAATGAGGTATCATCTCACCCAAGTTAAAATGGCTTTTGTCTAAAAGACAGGCAATAACAAATGCTGGTGATGATATGGAGAAAAGGGAACCCTCATGCACTGTTGGTGGGAATGTAAATCAATACAACCACTATGGAAAGCAGTTTGGATGTTCCTCCAAAAATTTAAAATTGAGCTACCATATGATCCAGCAGTCCCACTGCTGGGTATATACCCAAAAGAAAGGAAATCAGTATATTGAAGGGATATGTGCACTCCTATGTTTGTTGAAGCACTATTTACAATAGTGAAGATTTGGAAGCAACATAAGTGTTCATGAACAGATGAATGCATAAAGAAAATGTGGTACATATACACAATGGAGTACTATTCAGCCATAAAAAGAATGAAATCCTGTCATTTGCAACAACATGGCAAGAACTGGAGGACATTATGTTAAGTGAAATAAGCCAGGCACAGATAGACAAACTTCCCATGTTCTCACTTATTTGTGGGAGCTAAAAAATCAAAGCATTTGGACTCAAGGATATGGAGAATAGAATGATGATTATCAGTGGCTGGGAAGCGTAGTGATGGGGAAGTGGGGATGGTTAATGTGTACAAAAAAATAGAATGAATAAGACCTAGTATTTGCTAGCACAATAGGGTGGCTATAGTAAAAAATAATTTAATTGTACATTTTAAAATAACTAAACTAACTAAACGTGTATAATTGGATTGTTTGTAACACAAAAGATAAATGCTTGAGGGGATAGCTAACCCATTTACCATGATGTGATTATTATGCACTGCACGCCCGTATCACCATATCTCATGTAGCTCATAAATATATACACCTACTATGTACCCACAGAAATTAAAAATTGAAAAATAGGCACACTTCCAGGATCAAAAAAAGAAGGAAAAAGATGGCTTAATTATTGTGAGTTTCCAAATCATCAGATAAATATGCCATATTTAAATGCAAACAATGTCATATTAACTTTTTATATATTGGAGGCTATTTTCTTTCGGGCTGCTATAACAAAGTTATGTTAATATGTCACCCACCATAGACTGGGTGGCATATTTAACAAAAGAAATTTATTTCTCACGGTTCTGGAGGCTGGAAGTCTGAGATCAGAGTGCCAAGGTGGTCGGGTTCTGGTGGTCTGGGTTGCAGACTGCTGACTTCTCTTTATATTTTCACATGGTAGAAGGAGGGCGAGAGAACTCTCTGGGGTCCCTAATAGGGGCGCTAATTCTATTCATGAGGTCTCTCCACCCTTGTGACCTCATTACCTCTCAAAGTTCCCCCCAATCACATTGGGGGTTAGGATTTCATCATAAGGATTTGGGGGCACACAGGCATTTAGCATTTTTGTAACAAAGGAAAACTATATACTGTATTCCCCTCTGAAAATTAGTGAAGTGTGTTAGCTGTTGAAACTTCTAAGAAGTCTTTGGTTTAACTTTCTTTCTTTTTTTTTTTTTTGCTTTTTTTGAGACGGAGTCTCGCTCTGTCGCCCAGGCTGGAGTGCAGTGGCGCGATCTCGGCTCACTGCAAGCTCCGCCTCGGTTCACGCCATTCTCCTGCCTCAGCCTCCCGAGTAGCTGGGACGGCAGGTGCCCGCCAAAACGCCCGGCTAAATTTTTTGTATTTTTAGTAGAGACGGGGTTTCACCGTGTTGGCCGGGATGGTCACGATCTCCTGACCTTGTGATCAGCCCACCTCGGCCTCCCAAAGTGTTGGGATTACAGGTGTGAGCCGCGGTGCCTGGTCAGTTTAACTTTCTTTAAACCCAGCATTTCTTAAATCTCTAGGATGATGCAAAAGTAATTGTGGTTTTTGCCATTAATGGCAAAACCATTACCCAGCAACCTCTTTTGGGGTTACCCAGGAACCTCTTTTGGGGTTGGGGGAATAGTATCCACTAAGTATCCACTTGTCTTCTGAGGCAAGGCACTGCTTTTCTACTGCCTACAGTTAGGTTAGTGCTGAATGGTATATTTAAGTATAAAGTAACCCCAGGTCACATATGGCTACTTAAATTTAATTAAAATTGATTAAAATTATTCAGATCATCAGTCACATTAGCCACATTTGAAGTGCTCAGTAGCTGCAAGTGGCTAGCGACTATTTTTATTGGACATATCCATAAGAAAGACACATATTGGGATCCGTTTTGTCACCTAACATCCCTACCCCCAAAGAATTTACTGATTTGTTATTTGTTTTTGTGATTTTACATTAACTGAATAATGTTACAAAACTAGTCTTAAAAAAAATCTGTTGCTGCTTTCAATATAACAATGTTGTATAGCAATGGTCCCCCAACTTTTTGGCACCAGTGGCCGATTTTGTGGAAGACAATTTTACCACGGGACGGGCGGGGTGCGGGGATGTGGGGATCGTTACAGGATGTAATTGTTCCACCTCAGATCATCAGGCATTAGTTAGATTCTCATAAGGAGTGCACAACCTAGATACTTTGCATGTGCAGTTCACAATAGGATTTATGCTCCTATGAGAATCTAATGCTGGTCTGACAGGAGGTGGAGCTCAGAGAGTAATGCTCATTGGCCCGCTGCTCACCTCCTGCTGTGAGGTATGGTTCCTAACAAGCCACAGTAGTGGTCTGTTGCCCAAGGGTTGGGGACCCTTGTTGTAGAGGACAGTGTGCACTGTTATTGTGTTTTTTGTATGAAAACTCCTATGAGCCCTTTTATTTGGTTCTAAAAGTTAGAAAATCCTTTGCTTCTTTGAAAAGTAACTGATTATATTTTTATTTCCTTTTATTTGGGCACCAGAAAACAGTTAAATCTTTGTCCTAACATTCTTTTTAATCTCATTCTATTCTGATTTATATTTTTTTCTATTCCTGTTTTCTCTCGATATTTGTTTTCATAGTTTTGCAAAATACTTCAAATTCCATAAGAGCAAATCAGGTATAACTGAACATTAGTGAATTACAGTCTTTTTTCACAATTCATCATAAGTGGTCAACATTCTTGGCTGTCCATTTTTGCAGGGCATTTGATAGTTGAGCCATTTTTCCATTACAAGTGTTTCTAGTATCAATGGTTAAGTTTTCTGTATTGTCTGTAAGCTGTTTCTTGCTCAGGTATCTTATAATCAATAGTACATGATACAGAATTCCTGAGAAGTAGGAATAGAAAATCTATTTGTAGTCTGTGTTTCTCCATAAGGCTTTAGAAGTAGACGAGACTAAGCAGCTTTGTTTCTAATTCAGTATTTGGAACTTATTGTATATTCATTCATTTACTCTTTCATTTATTCATTCATTCAGTAAATATTTGTTGAATGCCTGCTATGCACTGAGCACTTTTCTGGGTGCTGAAGATGTAGCAAGAAGACAAGAAGACAAAAAAAATTCCCTCCCTCAAGGAACTGACATTTTACTGAGATTAAGCTCAAATTCCAATTCATTAAACTCTTAATTTTTGAGATCATTAAAAGAAAAGATTGTCTCTTATTGGCATCTCCTCTCCACGTACACCGAAAGTTATTTCATTTCCATGGCCTTATTTGCTGTGGCAGTAAGAGAGATAAATAGGCCAAATCGAACTGGGAGGCAGGAGGAAGAACTCTTGTCCAACTTTCATTGTATTCAAGAATTCAAGAATATGAGTGAGAAAAGGCTGATAAGAAATATAGTTTGTTGATCCTAGGCTGAGTGCAATGGCTCACACCTGTAATCTCAGCAGTTTGGGAGGCCGAGGCAGGCGGATCATTTGAGGCCAGGAGTTCGAGACCAGCCTGGCCAATGTGGCGAAATCCCATCTCTACTGAAAATACAGAAATTATTTGGGCATGGCGGTGCACGCCTGTAGTCCCAGCTACTTGGGGGACCGAGGTGGGGGGATTGCTTGAGCTAGGGAGGCAGAGGTTGTAGTGAGCCAAGACTGTGCCACTGTACTCCAGCCTGGGTGACAGAGCGAGACTCTGTCTCAAAAAGAGAAAAGAAAAAAAGAAATACAGTTTGTTGATCCTAAAATATTTGGAGAGCAGATTTATGGTCAAAATAAGACATAGTCTCTGAGACCTACTCTGTTCTTAGAAGTAATCAGGAATATTTATAGTTGATTGGTTTTCAAAACAAAAATGCAAAGCAGTTAAATATATATTTGCTAAACTTATTGAACACTTAGTATATGACAGTGTTCTGAATGCTGAAGATAGATCAATGAACAAAACAACAAAACTCCCTGCCTTGGAGCTTGCAGTAAAGAGTAGAAACCATGAGAGCAAGTAATTGACTAAGGAAGCAAGACAGTGAGTGCTGTGGAGAGAAAGTGCTATAAAAAGAATTAAAATGGAAAGATGTGATAGTGATAGACTAACCCCTTTATAGCGATACTTAGAAAAGGCTTTCCTGATGTAGTGATTTGTAACCTGAAACCTGAATGATATGAAGAAACCAGCCACATGAAGATCAGGAGGAAGACCTTTCTAGGCTGAGGGAACAGTTAAACTAAAAGCCTTTAATATTGGAAAGAACTTGGTCTGGTGGCAAAACAATAAGAAAGCCAGTTTGGGTAGGAAGTAGTATGAGCGCCAAGTGATAGGAGAATCGATCACAGAGTGAGGGGGAGGCCAGATCAAGTAGAGCTGTTTACTTATGTTAACTGAACTAAAACTACTATTTGTCTTTAAAGTAAAATGCTTTCTGAGTAGCCAGTCCTGAGTACTTTCCAGCTGCTCATAAGCCAAAAGTCAATCACAATAGTTTAGGCTTCACTTAAACACAGGCAATCTAATGTTCCATTCTTTCATTTCATTTCATTATTTGTTTTATATTCTCCTTCACTCTTTTTTTTCTCCTGGTGAAGCAGCAGAACCCATTGACTTTTTGCTGTACTTTGGATTTCAGTCTCTGACTTCCTTGCACATGTGCACACAGAAGGAAAGAGCTGTGAAAGAGCTTCAGCCAAGGGGTTGGGAAGCAGGAGTCCAGAACTTTCTAGTTTGCTAGATGGATATGCAGTCAGTGATGATCACACCCATGTCTCACTGGTGATTGATTGAATCAACCATTTAACATTTTTGAGGTTATTTAAAAAGTTGGAAATAAAGTGAAATCTCTAAAGAATATACTAATATTTATAATTTTGATAATGAATTTTTTTTGTTCTTTTAAGTTACTTTATGGTTGAAATGCAGCTTTTCAGTCTTAAATCTCATATCAGTCACCTTCCCATAATTTTAAGACTGCAGTATTTATTTGGTTCTATTATATAACTTTTATGGCCTTTGAAAGTAAGAGAGTGAATGTAACTGATAGTTTTCTGTCACTTATACTGGTACTGGATCTGACTTTTAGCTCTTTTAAAAGTTATTTTCACTTTGGAAACACTTTAAAGATGCATTGAACTCTTTTTCTACAGCTCTATAATCCATTTTTATACACAAGACATAGTAGCATAAGGCTCCCACATACAAGGCTCACAACAGGCAAAATTCCATATGTCTGCTTCAGATTTGCCTGCTGAATACATTGTTGTGGCTGCTTCTAAAACATTAAAGACATACCTGCCAGGTTGTGGATTTTTTTTTTTGTCTTGACTTTTTGAAAGTTTCTGCACTATTTTTTCTTAGATTACATATAGAATATAAAGTACAGTTAAGTCCTATGAAAGATGAGAATCTTATAGACCTTCTGGCCACAAGAAACCATCAAATTTACATTAAACTCTACTTCTCTGTATTATCAATTTCTCTCAATAAAAATATGAAAATAATTATTATGGCATGATACAGTAAAACACAGGAATAGTGGATTTAGTTCCCTGAATACTGTATTCCTTTCTTCCTTCCCTTCCTAGTACCCACTGGCTTGCTGTTGGATTGTGCATGAAATTAAAAGAAACTTGAATACATTGTGCCCTGGAATTGTTTGAATGAAAGTGATTGCATTAATTCAAAGGTTTGGATGCCTTTAAGCATACGTTGTAAAATTTTTAACTGGAGAGATAGGTGAATTTTAAAAATTAGAGACATTTCAAATCAGTAAAATGTTACTAGAGCAGTAGACAAAGTGGGGGGAAAAGATAAATTGATTCCCTATATCATACCATTTACCAGAATAAGCTTCAGAACAATGAGTTATAAATATAAAACCATACACAAACTAGGCCTGAATATAGGTAATATTTACTTGAAATAAGAGCAGCTTTGTGAAAATAAAAACAAAAGTAGAAGATAAAAGAATATATTTTTGACTGTACACAAATGAAGAACTTTTATAAATCAAGAACATAGTATATACTATTAAAGGGCAAATGCCGATTTTATAACAATTTTAGACAATTTTGATAATGGATTAATAACTTTATGAGTATTCTTATATAGCAACATGAAACATGTGTATCCTAATAGAAATATGAACAAAGGTATTGAACATAGTATTCATAAAATATAAGTTACATATATGATGTGCATGGTGTATATGGTATGTATGAGTGGGCTTGTATGAATGTGGATGGCTGTGCATATATTCAGCCTAATTAGCAATAGAAGAAATGACTATTAAAAGAATACTGCAGTTTAATAGACAAAAAGGATCTAAAATAATGATCTGATATGTGAGGGTGCAGAGAAGCATGCACTCTCATTTCATGATGGTTGGTTTGTAGAATAGTACAACCTTTCTGGAGGGCAGTTTAGCAGAATGAAACATAAGCAATGAAAATATTTATATTCATGCCTAGCAATTCCATTTCTAGAAAATTGTCCTAATGAAGCAGATGTATAAAAAATATATCTGTAGTATTCACTTCAGAATTATTTCTAGTTGTGAAAAATTAGAGCATAAATGCCCAATAATAAAGGAATTTTAAAATAATTGTATGATAATTTAAATAATCTATATAATTATATGGGAGATGTTTATGATATAGTAAATGATAAAGCAGAATGTAAAAGATATGTACAGCCAATAGTATGACCCCAATTTTCTTTAAGAATATATTGCACATGGGAAAAATGATTAGACCAAGTGATAAAATATATTAACAGTACGTCTCTCTATGTGAGAAATTATGGTGATTTTTAAATTTTCTTCTCTTGCATTAACTCTGTTTTCCAAATTTTTAACAATGAACTTGTATTAGTTGTGAAATGAGGCAAAAGGAAAAAATGATAAAGGAGAAAGGGTTCAATTATATTATCTTTATTCTCTCAGTGTTGCAATTAATGATAGAATTAATAAGCCCTATTTTTGCCTTGTTTACCAACTTTGAGTTTAGCAACAGGAACTATTTGTATTCCATTATGTTTATAAAAGATGGAAATATATTTTCTGTTTTTTCTTGGTGGAAGGGGCAAAGTAAGCCACAGCAATTCTTTTAGTTAGCATTTCTTTTAGATATTCAAAAGGACAAGTATGTTATATACTCTTGATTTGATTAAAGGAAAACATATATAAAGAAATATAAAGGTATATATATAAATAAAGAAATATATATATAAAGAAAGATGTATAAAGAAAGAAAATAGATATATAAATATCTTCACCTTTCCCTCCACACTCTGATCATTCTAGTCACATCTGGTCTTAAACTTTAGACAGGACATCATATTAGTAATTTATTTTCACCACATCTGTAGGGGTCTTTTATTTGTAGATTCTATAGTGATAATTAATTTAATGGGAGTTAACATTTAGAAATAGATTTGTAGCCAGGTTTTGTGCTCTTTTAATGGGCTGGGAAGCTAAAAATAACGCCTTGTAAGGGAAACAATTGCAAACAGATGAAATTTAACTGAGCACCAGACATTCAGAGTTGAAGAGCACACATGGGGGAAATTGTATGTCCTTAAATTATCAACTTACTGGAAATGAAATGCTTTGGTACAGATGTGAAGAGTAAAACAAAAACAAGTCTGGTAGTTGGTTACATCTTCCCGTCTGCTCTTCGTATTACAAGTAGGAGTCCCACTGTCCAAGCTCATGACACTAAGCTCTTAAAAAAAAAAAACAAATAAATGCTTTACAATGTCAGCTTTAGATAATATATTCAGAAAGAGATGATAACATCATGTATAGTTGTAAGGGACAAATATGCTAGTTCAATTTATCTACAGATGTTCATTGGGATGCTTCCCCTCAAAGTGTTTTTGATTTTCTCAAAAGACCAATCTCAGGAGCTATTTAAGAAAATGTCATTTGATTTGCATATGTAAACAATCAGGTCTATGAACCATATGATTTTATCCCCTAATTATTTATGTAAGGGTTTAAAGTGAGCATACATCACCTATCACAAACCTATCCTGCAAATTAGCAAATGCATACACTAACAAAGACAATTGCTCTGCTTAGCTATATCTCTTAAGGTGAGACATTTAATCCCTTGGTAAGTGGTTGTTTATATGTAACTAAAATAAGCTTTTCCCTCCTTCACCAGTATTAATGTTTTTCTTTCTTTTTTTTTTTTTCTTTTTTGAGACAGAGTCTCACTCTGTCCCTGAGGCTGGAGTGCATTGGCGTGATCTCAGCTCTTTGCAACCTCCGACTCCCAGGTTCAAGTGATTCTCCTGCCTCAGCCTCCCGAGTAGCTGGGATTACAGGCGCATGCCACCACGCCTGGCTAATTTTTGTATTTTTTTTTTTTTTTAGTACATATGGGGTTTTGCTGTGTTAGCCAGGCTGATCTTGAACTGCTGACCTCAAGTGATCCACTGGCCTCGGCCTCCCAAAGTGCTGTGATTACAGGCATGAGCCACCATGCCTGGCCGTATTAATGTTTTTCTAATACTTCCTTAATCAGATAAAAATTTCAATTTGAAAAACTTGAAATATTGATGTAAATTGTTTGATTACTACATGTGTTTTCTTTTTTTTTTTTTTTTTTTTACTATTTTGCTAAAGAATATGGTTAGTTATAAGTTGATACTATGTATATCTTCATGGAGATTTTTAAGTAGGTTTTTTTATTGGCCCTGTTTATATGTGTAGGAAATTATGCTAAATCACAAAACTGGAAACAAGAGCTATTTCTTGCTGTGTAAGTCAGTTTATCAAAAATCTAGATAGCTGTAATAATCTTTTTTTCCTTGTTACATGAGAACATTCTGTATTCTCTATCCCTTAATAATGATTATTTTAAGTTATACTTGAATGTTCCACTGGCATTTTACACTTATTATATCTAATATGGACTTTGTAAGTTTTCGTTATTACCTACTCTAGTCACTCCTCATCTGCCTTCTATGTAGTCCTTATTACTGTTAACATCATCATTCACTCAGTTAAACAAATCTGGGTAACCTGTCCCTCATTCCTTCACTCTATTCTCCAGGGTCAACCACTCCTCCTTATCTATCAGTTCCTGAGTAGTTTCCTGAATCTTCACCTTCATCTTCTCTACATCCTATCTCTGAACTCATCCTCCAGAATGCCTTCAGAATTACTTTTATAAAGCTTAGTCTCCTCTCTACCACTTTTAAAAAATATAATTCTTTTAATTTTGTCCAGTGTTCAAATAAAACACTCCTAGAAAGAGTATTTCTTCATGAATTCCTTTTTCTTATATCACTATTTGGCTCATACTTTCACTGCATTTTTGTAATCCAAGTCCCCCTAACACAAAATGAGCTTAAAATATGGTTATTTTGGCCGGGTGTGGTGGCTCACGCCTGTAATCCCAGCAGTTTGGGAGGCCGAGGTGGGTGGATCACTCGAGGACAGGAATTCGAGACCAGCCTGGCCAAAATGGTGAAACCCCATTTCTACTAAAAATACAAAAATTAGCCAGGCGTGGTGGTGCATACGTGTAATCCCAGCTACTTGGGAGGCTGAGGCAGGAGAATCGCTTGAACCCAGGAGGCAGAGGTGGTAGTGATCTGAGATCACGCCACTGCATTCTAGCCTGGGCGACAGAACAAGGCTCTGTCTTTAAAAAAAAAAAGAAATGTGGTTTTAATGGTTAAAGCCATTAAAAAACCCTTAATTATATAAAGCAAATAATAATTACAATTAGGACATCAGAGAAAAATGCACTTTACTATCAGTTACCAATATGTGAATTACCACCCTTTTACGTTATCTGTGAGAGTCAAACTGTATACCACCATGTAAGTTGAATATGTGTACACTTTGCCTTGGGGAGGAGCTCTAGGCTGATGTTTCTAAATGGTGAGGAACACACCACACCTGATTTGTAAAGTCAGAGAAGGCTAGAGCTGGAATCGATCATTTAGTCCAAAACCCTCTTAAAATTTTTTAAAATTTATTTTATTTTTATTTTTTAGAGATGGTATCTTGCTATGTTGCCTAGGCTGGACTTAAACCCCTAGGCCCAAGTGGTCCTCCCATCTCAGCCTCCCAAGTAGCTAGGACTATAGGCTTATGCCATTGCACCTGGCTCAACACTCTTTTTTTAAAGAGGGAAAGGGCAGGGTCTTACCCAAGGTTATATATCTAGTTCTAGAGCTATATTGCTAGTTATAGATTACTTAAATGTACTATGTGAAATTTAATGTTTAAATTATTTGGTTGAAATTATTAAACATTTGAAACACAATTATTTTTAATGAAGTGACAAATATGTATTAAGTTTAAAATATTTTTTGAAACACATTCTTGTACTTGAACACATTTTCTTGATTAAATATTGGTATAAAGCAGGAAATGATCTATTAAAACAAAACATTCTTAGAAAACTTAGTAGCAGTTACTCCATATCAATAGTTGAGCCTAGATTAGATCATAGGTTTAAAGCATACTTCTGATATTATCTGTTATCTATCTAACACTTTGAAATGATCTGAATGTCTTATTGCAAAACACGGGGAAGATATTAGCTAAAGATTTAAAGAGAAAAAGCAAACCAAGGGCTGGAAAATGATTCTCTGAGTAGCAAATTGGCAGAGTTAAGGAGTTTATTGCAAAGAAAAAATTATTATGTCTATTATATAGCTATTAAACCATAGTCCAGGTGAAGAGAGCATGTTAGATTAAAAATAGCATTAGCACCCCAAAAGATCTGGAAGGCTACTTTTCAAAGGATAGCAAAACCAATTGTGTTACAGGGACAAACCTTACTTAGACCAATAAGTTATAATGCCTTTCAAACTTTTTGGTCTTAGGGGCCATTTACACTCTTAAAATTTTTGAGGACCCTGAGGAACTTTTTTGTGTGGTTCATATCTATTGTTATTTTCTGATTTGATTTAAATCTGAGAAAATTGTAAAACATAAGAACAGTCCATTTGCCGTCAGAGTGATGATGCCATTCCAGGTCATGAAGCCTCTGGAAAACACCACTGTACACTTGTGAGAACACAGGAGTGAAACAGACAAATAACTTTTTTTTGTTTTGGACCGAGTTTCACTCTGCTGCCCAGGCTGGTGTGCAGTGGCGCCATCTCGGCTTGCAGCTGGGACTACAGGTGCCCACTACCTCGCCCGGCTAATTTTTTGTGTTTTTAATAGACACGAGGTTTCACTATGTTGACCAGGCTGGTATCAAACTCCTGACCTCAGGTGATCCACCCACCTCGGCCTCCTAAAGTGCCGGGATTACAGGCGTGAGCCACCGCGCCCAGCCTCAAGTAACTTTTAGTCTTGTTACAACAATAGTTTTGAATTTACATACACCTCTGACAGGGTCCCAGGAATACCCTGGAATCCTTTGACCACATTTTGAGAGCTGCTGCTCTTCTCACGGAGGTCAGTGTATATGGACCCAGTAAGGACAGCAGTGAAGCCTGGGACAGGGATGAGAATGGGCCTGTATTACTAGAATTTTGTCATTTTCTCATCTCCTCTTCTCTTAATGGATCAGCTCATTCTCTCCTATTGGAGAGAGGCTTCTTGATTTGGCCGAAGTCTTAGTTATCAGCAGCAATGAGAGCAAACAGACTGGCTGGACAACAATTTCTGTGTTTCAATGCCAGTGCCTAGTGTGATGTTATTTGTCACATATGCATGTGGAAGATGTCTTGGCCAAATAACTTTGGGAAATTTTGCATGCTCTACACCTGTCCCCTCCCTTTGAAGAATCACAATGCACATTAACATATTAAATTATCTGAAATGTCCTATGGTAGAAAAATTAATTACCTTTATTGAACTCACTGTTTCCAAATCTTAGGTGATTTCAGAGCATTTATCATCATCCATGGATACTAGTGTCTCACAAAAGAGTTTAGAAAGTTGGATGTTATAAAATTTTTATTTCATTTTTACATTGTAGAATTTTCTACTCCCCTTTCAATACCAGGCAAATCGATGTGATTTCTGTGAATAAGTAAGCAAGCCATATACATTTATACAAATATGCATCATTTGATGGAAAGGCAGCACATTGTTGCCAGGGAAAATTGTATCTAAATGATGTTTAGATTTTTGTTTGGAATATAAATGGATAGATAAATGAAATTATTCCACTTATACTTTTAAAATGCCACTGACAGAAGAAAAAAAAACCCATATTATCTCAATATGTATTGTCAAAAAGTCCTTGATAAAATTTAGCATGCTTTCCGATTATAAAATTAATACAATAGGACAAGTACTTATTTCCTTAACTGGCTCTTTCTTGTTATTCAGGTCTCAGCTTAAGTATCACTTTGTCAAAGAAACCTTTCCTAACTTCCTGCATGAAGTAGCTCCCACTCCCTATTGTATTAGTCTGATAAAACTATATATTGCAAGCCAAATGGCACTGTTCTGTTTAATGCTAAAACACTTGAAGAATTCCCATGTGAAGAGCCAGACTAGGATGTTCACAATCACTAGTATTTTTTAGGCTTTTTTCCCCATTTTTTAGAGAGGAAGGGGGAGTGTGTATCTGCCAATGCAATTAAATAAGAGAGAGAAGGAAATAAAAAGATTTAGAAAGATATATGTAATTTTTTCACATTATGTGACTATCTGATAAAGTATGTAAAAATCAATAGCATTTACATATATATATGTATATATATATATATATATAAAACAAGGCAAATGATTGTGTGTGTGTGGTTTTTTTGTTTGTTTGTTTTTGAGATGGAGTCTCGCTCTGTCGCCCAGGCTAGATTACAATGGCACTATCTTGGCTCACTGCAACCTTCACCTCCTGGGTTCAAGTGAATCTCCTGTCTCAGCCTCCTGAATAAGTGGGATTGCAGGCGCCTGCCAAGATGCCCGGCTAATTTTTTGTATTTTTGGTAAAGACATGGTTTCACCATGTTGGCCAGGCTGGTCTCGAACTCCTGACCTCAGGCCATCCGCCTGCCTTGGCCTCTCAAATTGCTGGGATTATAGGCGGGAGCTACCATGCCAGGCCTAAATGATTGATAATGGAATAAAAAGTCCTATTTAGTATAGTAATAAGAGAGAGTCAATGACATACCAATATAATTTCAACAGAATTTTTCTTTTTCTTTTTTTTTTTTAAGAAATTGACAACATGATGTGTATTTTTATCTGGAAGTAAACATCTGGGAATAGCCAGGAAAAAACTGGAACGGAAGTGCACTGAAGGGGAACTAGTTCTACCAAATATATATATAAAAAAAGGTTAAAGTTATAGGATTAAAATAGTTTAT
Source organism: Homo sapiens (assembly GCF_000001405.40). Taxonomy (NCBI): domain Eukaryota; kingdom Metazoa; phylum Chordata; class Mammalia; order Primates; family Hominidae; genus Homo; species Homo sapiens. Next base: position 96,830,057 of record NC_000023.11, read on the forward strand.
TCTTGTTTATAACAGAGTCAAATAGTAGACCATAATATATGCAGGAATTTACTGTATGATAGATGAGGCATTTGAATTCAGTAAAGATCAGTTATTCAATCCAAAATTTAATTTGATAAAAGGATCATAAAGTTAAATATTACATTACAGGCTAAAAAATATATTTGCAACACATATGGCAAAGGGCTCATTATCTTAATATACAAAGATTTTTTACAAAATAAATATGAGTGGGCCAGGCGTGGTGGCTCACGCCTGTAATCCCAGCACTTTGGGAGGCCGAGGCGGGTGGATCACGAGGTCAGGAGATCGAGACCATCCTGGCTAACATGGTGAAACCCCGTCTCTACTAAAAATACAAAAAATTAGCCGGGCATGGTGGCGGGTGCCTGTAGTCCCAGCTACTTGGGAGGCTGAGGCAGGAGAATGACGTGAACCCAGGAGGCGGAGCTTGCAGTGAGCCGAGATCACGCCACTGCACTCTAGCCTGGGCGACAGAGCGAGACTCAGTCTCAAAAAAAAAAAAAAAAAAAAAAAAAAATGAGCAAATGAAAACCCCTATTAAAAAAGTGGCAGAGCCCCTGAAAAGGTAGTTCATAGCTACAGAAATACAAATAAGCAATAAAATGCATGAAAAAGGATTTAACTTCAAACAGAATTAAATAATTGGAGATGAAATCAGCAATGACATAACATTTGAAAAAAAAAGTAACAAATTAACAAAGTTTTAAAATGTTCGATAATGGTATAAGAGAGAATATGGAAAGAAAGCTCTTCCTTCTATTGACACAGTTTTTTTCTTTTGTCATCTTTTTGGAGGGGCATTTCGTGATATCTACCAAAATTGGGCCCAGCAGTTCCAGTTCTTGGCACGTATCCTACACGTAATCCTATACAAATATGTGAAGGTACATGTAAAAGAATATCAGATGAAATATTGCCCCTCAGTGAAAGACTGGTAAAATCTGCTGTTACTCTTCCCCTGGCTTAGTGTGCTCCAACCACAGTAGCTTTCTATCTCTTTATGGGACATACCCAGTCTTTTCCACCTTAAGACATTTGTACTAGCTATTCTTTCCTCTTGGGATGCCTTTTCCCTAGGTTTTTTACGTGACTTTTTTTTTCTTGTCATTCAGGTCTCAGCTTAAGTATCATTTCCTCAAGGAAGCCTTTCCTAACTTCCCACTACAAAGTAGCTCCCATTTCCCATCATAGTACTCTGTTTTATTGTCATCATAGTAGCTATTACTATTTAATATTGTCTTCTATGTTTACGTATTATCTGTTTCTCTAGAATATGGAAAGGCAGAATAACTTGGTAATTAAAAGCATTGACTCTGTAGCCATAGCTGGGTTCAAATTTTGGCTCTGCCATTTACAGTCTGTTGGCACTTGGGGACAATTCTAACTTAATCTCTAGTGCTTTCACTTTTTAAAAAAAATCTGTGCAACTGTGATTAAGAATAGAACCTACCTCACAAATTTGTGATAATAAAATGAACTTAACATTTAAAACACAGCACTATTGAGGACATGGTAGACACTCATAAAATACTTGTAGATCAATTGAATTAAATTATCATTTATTCATTTAAAAGAATATTATGAAACCATCTCAGTGAATGAGGTAGATCTGTATGTTCTGATATGAATTTTCTTCAAAATGTAGTGTGAGTGAAAATAGACTGTGAAGGTAACCTCAAAATCTGGGTCTTTAAACAACAGAGACTCATTTCTTGCTCATGTTACATATCTATTATGTGTCAGTGAGGGTCTCTGTCTCATGTTGTCCTCACTAGTGTCCTGGGCTCCACCATATGGCGAAAGGAAGTAGAATATTCAGAGTGGCATTTTAGATGCTTCCATCTAGAAGCACTACCCTCCACTTATCACATTGCATTGGCCAAAATAAGTCACATAGCCACACCTAACTTCAAGGAGTAGGAAAGTACGATCCTACTGTGACCTTCTAAGGAGGAGAACCAGAAATGTTGATGAACAGCAATTATTAATGAGAATGTAATAATTGAGAAAAAAGGTACAAAAGAGTAGGTATAAAGAGAGCCTATTTTTCAAAGATGTGTGTGTACTTGGATTTATATTATAAAAATGTATGGAACAATCTGCAAAACTAATAGTGGTCTGCTCTGGGAAATGGGATATTTACTTTTTACATTAAACCTTTTGTACTATTTGATATATTTTTCAATGTGGACATATATTACTTCCATAACTAAAAAAAAAATTGTCTCCCAACTGCCTCTCACATATACTTTGACAAAGTGCTATTGCAAATACTATTACAACTCAGTAAACATGGGATGGCTTATATTGAGAGAAGGAAACTGATTCACAATGAGAGAAAAGGGGCAGAAATAGATAGGTTATTTTCTGGGTAGAGAAGTACAGAGAGGGGCTCCTAAAAGACCAGTGGCAATACTAAAGTTCTTTATAAACTATCTAGTAGAGAGGATTGTGTGGTAGAAATTTACAAGCTTTCTAGTAACAAAGTTTCCTGGGTAGTTAAGTGCCAGACAGTAGGGGCAGACCACAAAAATATTTTTATATCATTTTGTATTTGGATAGAAGAAACATATTAAGGATAATATATTTCTGAATAGATATCAGTGATAAATTTGAAGATTCTGAACTATTGCAGAAGACTGGGAAAGTTCCCTGAAAGTCTCCATTTTTCCATGATTTCATAAAAGTTGCTGTTGGCAATGATTCCAGGGCTTTTCCCAACTTGGAAATTCTTAGTTTTCAAAGTACTTTAAAAGTAAGATATAAAATTATTTTAAGGGAAAATGATAAGATAATGTTTTATCCAACTCTGCTTGCCAAATTATTTTTAGATATATATGAATATTTGTGTATGATTTGCGAACAATGGAAGAAGTATTGATTTTAGATAAAAATCACTTCTGTTTTAGATTTTTGTTATTTGTAGTGACACCAGTGTGTGTGTGACACCAACACACACATACATACATACAACATAATTAGATATATGTACACCTAATTAGCTCCCTTGTTTTTACTTTTTTTAAAATTCCTTGGAAATGCCTACTTTTTACAGGGGAGGCACAAATATGGAAGTTCTGTATGGAGGCACAGATTTAGCTCTAAAGTATGTGGAATGGTAAATTGAAAGGATTTTGGAATTAAACATTTATTGAATCATCTCCAAAGTAGTATAAGATATTTGTATACAGAAAATGCTGTGAGAGAATTTGAAGCAAAATTTTCTATTATCCCTAATTGCTCTTTGTAATATATTTTAAATATTGATATTAAATATTTATTTTTAATTAGTGTGTATTTAAAACTATAGTTAAGGTAGGAAATTATGATTTAGTGTATTTTAAATATGTATTTTTATTCCTTTCCTCAGCCTTCTGTTAAAATGAGTTGCATAATGCTTACATTTTACATAGGAATGCAAACAGTCCTATTTTAAGTCTGGTCAGAATTTTTAAAGGATTAAATTCAGGTATTTAAAAAAATCATTACGTCATTATATAAAGACAAGTCTAGAAAAATCAGATAGATTCACAGGCCTTTTTACTTACTCAGTCTCATGACTTTTCTCAGGGGTTTATTTTATTTTATTTTATTTTTTGGGACTGAGTCTCACTCTATCACCCAGGCTGGAGTGCAGTGGCTCAATCTCGGCTCACGGTAACCTCTGCCTCCTGGGTTCAAGTGATTCTCTTGCCTCAGCCTCCCGAGTAGCTGGGACTACAGGTGTACACCACCATGTCTGGCTAAATTTTGTATTTTTAGTAGAGACAGGACTTCACCATGTTGTCCACTAGTCTCGAACTCTTAATCTCAAGTGATCTGCCCACCTCGCTCTCCCAAAGTGCTGGGATTACAGGTGTGAGCCACCACCACGCCCGGCCAGGGGTTTATTAACATATATACATACACCATGAGAACACTATATTTTGTATCTCACATTCTTGCATGATCATATTTAAGACAACAGGATTTGTTCAACATTCCTAGACACCTAGTATGTCAAGGAATGTTTCTACATAAGTATTATTTATTGAAATAAGCTGCATTTAGACTATGCTACTCACCATATAAAGGTTGACTATGCCTAATCCAAACATCTGAAATCTGCAATACTCCAAACCTAAAATGAAATACTCATTAGAATATTTCTGATTTGGGAATTTTGGGTTAGTGATGCTCAACTGGTGGGTATAAAGCAAATATTCCAGAATCCAAAAAAATCTGACATCTGAAGCAGTTCTGGTCCCAAGCATTTCTAACAGGGATACCCACACTGGACTCGGGTGGTAATCTGCAGCAGCTAGTGAGGTAGCATTCCTGCCAAACAATTTGAGATACATTTTGAAGTATTTGGAAATAGGTGTCATATTCTCCCTTTCCTGAGTTTCTAGTAATTATAAGCTTTTCACTTCAATAGTTACTCATGTATAATCAGTGAGTTTAAGAAAATTCCAGATATGGTAATTAGATACTAACACAATATGGTGAAAAATAGGAACTAATATACAAACTTGCAGATTCTTTATATATTTAATACAGATGGAAGTCCTTGTTTAAATTTTAATAGTATGATACATTAGGAGAAAAGGACATATTTGGTAAATCTATATCATATATAGTGTCAGATTTTACAGGATAACTTGTAAGGAAGGGATTTATGAGAAAAAAAATGTTAGCGGGGCCAAACAATGTAAATAAATACATGTTGGCAAATGTGCTCAGGAGTATTTTGTAAGGAAGGAGTTATAAACATTGCCTTTACCTTTTGATTGTATTTGCAAAACAATGATTCTTAATGGAAACTAAAATTTAAAGTGTTGAGCCATGAGTGCTCAACTTTCATTGCATACTCTGTCATAAAGCATGCTGGAAAGAAACAAAAACAAGCCTACTAGTTGATCAGTTATTTATTGAGTTTTTGTTATTTACTCAACACTACAATTAAGTGTGGAGAATACAGAAAGAAAGTGTAACATATCTTTATTTCAGTTAAAATTTTACTGTTTGACCTGCCGAGAGAGGTTAATTGGATAGTCAAATTGGACTTTAAAGGATCTTCCTGGGAGAAGACCAACAAGAACGGAATTTTAAAAAGTGGCAGTGAGGAAACTGGCTCAATCCAAACACAGGGCATGTCCTCAGCAAATAAGGGAATAACAACAAAACCAACAACAATAACAATGGTGCTTCACATTAATCGAATACTTATTACCTGCTGAACACTGTTTTGAAGTGCCTTTAGTTCATGAACTAATTTAATTCTCACAGTGCCTCCTTCCAAATAGAGGAAAAAGAGATCTCTCCCCTCTTCCATGGCTACCTGGGCTGACCCCAGGAGGGCATTAAAAGCACCTAAATATTCTTGGGTTGGATGGAAAATCCTTGTTTGGGATTTTAAAGACCTTTCCAAAAGAGGAGTCAGGGGCATTTTGTAATCAGCTTTCACCTTTCCCTACCCTGTCAGGCCTAATGCCAAATCGGAAGGAGGAGCTTTCTATATTTTATACATTGTAAACATTTATTGCCTTGGAAATATATTCTTATAAGATTTTGTTTTAGATTTTATGTTTAAAGGATTTTAAAAATTGAGTAGAGATTTGCTTTTATCACAAAGAATGCTATTTATGTACAAATGCAGTTATCTGTTTAACTACAAAAAATGAGTTCTCTGTGTTGTACATGGGAGGGTGATGTCCAAGTATCACACTTGACCACCAGTCTAGTTTTAATCTTTTTCTTTTACGTTTTTTGAGGCAGAGTCTCACTCCAGTTGCCCAGACTGGAGTGCAGTGATGTGATCATGGCTCACTGCAGCCTCAACTTCCCGGACTCAGGTGATTCTCCCATCTCAGCCACCCGAGTAGCTGAAACTATAGATGCACGCCACCACAGCTGGCTAATTTTTTGTATTTTTAGTAGAGACAGGGTTTCCCCATGTTGCCCAGGCTGTTCTCAAACTCCTGGGCTCAAGTGATCTGCCTGCCTCTGGCCTCTGTCACTGTGCCTAGCCAAGCATGGAATTTTTTTTTTTTCATAATTTACATAGGTTTTTGGAGAACAGGTGGTGTTTGGTTACATGTGTAAGTTCTTTAGTGGTGATTTTTAGTCATTTACCCCTCATCCCCCTCCCACCGTTTCTCCTAAGTCTCTTAACCACAGAGGTGGTAAGGGCCTTGAAGGCTAGGCAAGAATTTATGGCCAAGTCTTTGCCTTATAGGATTATATAATCTAATGATTTAGAGAACTTTTGTTATCTAGAGTTTAAGGTACTCATAAAATGCTGTTTGGTTATAGAATGAATTTTCTCTTGATAAATGACTGTACTCAAAGGCATATTGATTTCCATATAATTATATAGCTAGTTATACTCTATTTTATTAGCAAAACAGTCTTGAATTTTGCATAATTTAATGAATATAATTAATGACTAACTATTCTTCCTTCCTCTGATAGGCTAAGTAATCAGGCTGACCTAGCCCGATTCATTATACTCATTACAGAATAGAAAAAAGAAAAGCTGCAAAATAGTATTTTGCATGATGGCTCTATTTTTCTCAGTTTCCAATCTTAGGGACTTGACTAATTTCATTTTAAAGCAGTACAGGTATATATATATATATATATATATATATATATATTTTTTTTTTTTTTTTTTTTTTTTTTTTGAGACGGAGTCTCGCTCTGTCGCCCAGGCTGGAGTGCAGTGGCGCGATCTCGGCTCACTGCAAGCTCCGCCTCCCGGGTTCACGCCATTCTCCTGCCTCAGCCTCCCGAGTAGCTGGGACTACAGGCGCCCGCTACCACGCCCGGCTAATTTTTTGTATTTTTAGTAGAGACGGGGTTTCACCGTGTTAGCCAGGATGGTCTCGATCTCCTGACCTCGTGATCCGCCCGCCTCAGCCTCCCAAAGTGCTGGGATTACAGGCGTGAGCCACCGCGCCCGGCAGGTATATATTTAATACAAGGAATAGAGACATTCTAGCCAAAATAGTGGTGAAGTAAAATTCACGTGTAAAATATCCCTTTCCTTGCATGCTTCAAAGTAAAGTGGTGTCACTGGAAAGATATACACTGGTGTTTTAGATATTAGTTTTTAAAAATCATTTAATTATTAGGTAAGGGTGTTTTATTTTGTGAAATATGGATAAAAATCTGAAATATAAGTCATATTAGGTAATGACCAGTTCCCAAAGGAACCTTATAAAGAGCTTCATGGATGAATGAGTTTACATCTAATAAGATATAAACTCGCTGATAAGTGGCTTTCTCTCTCTCTTTCTCTGTCTCTCTGTCTGCCTCCTTCCCTCCCTCCCTTCCTCCCTCCCTCTCTCTCTCTCTCTCTCTCTCTCTCTCTGTGTGTGTGTGTGTGTGTGTGTGTGTGTGTGTAGTACTAGTAGTAGTAGAGAGCATAGTCAAGGAAATAACTACAAGATGAGATAGTGAAACCTTTTGTTTGATCAAA